>NC_000017.11:51310980-51935980 GCF_000001405.40 Homo sapiens | reverse complement strand
GGAAGATGCCTAAAAGCACAATCTAACTTCGGAACACCTTCTCTAGGACAAAGAAGTCAAGGCCAGTTTTAACTCTCCTTATCGGACTTGATTCCTCTGGTTCCTTGCTCTTCTGACCTATTTGTTTTTGGTGAAAACTTTGTTGTTTTTGTCCAGACGTTGCCAAGGTGTGTTATTAAACAGCTGGAGCTTTTTTATTTCATGGGTCTGAACAAGCAGCTGATAAGTTTTGCTTTGGGTTTGCCAAGGCTCATGATTTAAGCAGTTGAAATCACAGAGTCACTGAGCATCTTTCAAAACTCACTGGACCCAGAGCCAAGAGAACGTTTGGGATTTGTAATTTATGGTAAGAATGGCAGTAGTGCCATTGGGAAATACTTTGGCAAGATAACACATCGCTGTGATGCAGCAGTTAAGTTCCATGGTTTAGGCTGTGTGAAAATTAATTTGCAAAAATATTTGGGTCTGTTTTGTGTTCTAGTTTATATGTAAATTAGAAGATTGTACAAAAAGGATGCCAAGGATGATGGAATTCAAACATCGTCAGACTGGTTGTCCATTAATTAGAGTGATTCTTACTCTATTTTGCTTTATTTACATTTTCTCTCAACAGTAAGTTGTATTGATCAAGTAAAGACACAGCATTAGCTAATAAGCCATAATAATGGATGCTTTAAAAATAAAAGTTTAAACATCTGATTTTGGAGGATAGCCATGGAAACTAAGAGAAAAAAATTCAACAATATTTCTCTTACCTTGGAAATAGAGGCAGTGCCTGCCACAGCATTATATAACCCACTTTTGCTCCAAAAGGTGACACGGGTGTCTATAAACCTGAAAGATAACACTATGAAGGGTAGATGAAGGGTAGTTAAGTATCAGAACCTTGGATATAACTGACAGTTCTGCACAAACCCACAGGGCAAGTTTCTCACTCTAAATCTTGAAGCTTTCATTCATACGCCCATCCTTGCTCTGCATGTAAAGTGGGCCATCTGACTCCCATGCCCCAGTAGGCACAGGCACTTCATGGACGCCTGTTTTCACAGCCTTCGTCCTAAACCATTTCCCTAGAATCTAGATTACACCACATTTGCAGACCTAGTCTGGTCCATTCGGCACTTGAGTTCCCTAGACTAGCTTCAATATCTTAATTATTGTCCCAACACTTAACACCGCTCCTAACAGCACTGACTTCTCATTTTTATCTGCACTAAAACCTTGCCCGGTGCAGCTGACCCCAGGAACTATCCCTGGAGCAGCTCTTTGTGTGCAATCATCCCCATCAGGTCTCCTCAGAGGCCTGCAGATGGGACCCAAACACATCGCCTGAACTGAAGTCTTTTCACACCCAGGCCCTTCTATGTATGTTACTCCATGGTTGTATGGCTCCTTTAAAATCCTAAGTTTATTTAGAATAGTTGACTTTCAAAGCAGTTTGATTCAAACCTTTGCACTTGAAATTTATTTTAACTGGAAAATTGGCACTAATGTTATTCTTGATTTACCAAAAGAGAAATGATAGCAAAAGTCTTACAGGGGTCTTGGCAGCAATTAACTGAAATTTCCTAAAATGATCTGCTCATGTATAGAGCCTGCTGGAGAGGAAGGGGTTTAGAGCAGCAGAGGCTCAGTAGCACTGGAAATCTTGAGTAATGTTCTTTACTCTGTCCTTCCTCGCCTCTACCTGGCTGTGTGACCTAGAGTGGAGGACTTTACTCCCTGCCTCTATGGCCTTAAATCCATGTAATGAATTTAAGTCAGACGATCTCTAAGGTGGCTTCTATTTCTGAAAAGCTATTAATTCATAGCTGATTTAAAATCAGCCATCCAGGGGTAAATAAACTTAGATAGCAGTTCAGGGCTGGAGCCAATGAGGGACACAGCTGAGCAGGAGAGAGGTTTCTCACTTCTTCCTCGATTGGCTGAGCAGGTGATTAGCATCAGAGACGCAGGCTTTGATCGTGAAGTGGGGATATAAAACCCCGAAACTGTTCGTCATAAAGAATTCCATGCCCAATAAAAGAGAAGGCAGATGTTCGCATAAAGTTTTTCCTGTTTGTGTTTTTGCGGGGGTACTTTTTGGGCATGACGTTTATTAGTGAAGTACAGCAGCAGCTGCCCACCCATGTTGCCACATAATAGCAGTCTTATAATCCATTTATGGGCTTGGAATTATTTTTGTTAATGCTTTTCATGGGAGTAGATGAAATGCAATGTGCACCAGCTGTAACTACTTTAATCATGCAGCTGCCTTCTAGGGAGAGCCCTGCAAGCATCATAGATGTCTTCATTGTCAAAGAGGTTATTGTCTCACAGAGTTTTAAAGGTAAAGGGGTGCTGTATTACTTTTCCGTTACTGCCATAACAAATGATCACAACTGCATGGCTTAAAACAGCAGAAATTTATTATCCTACGTTTCTGGAGGTCAAATATATTCTCAAGGGGTTAAACATCATGGTATCAGCAGGCCTATATTCCTTACAGCAGGAAGCTCTAGGTGGAGAATCCATTGTCTTGCCTCTTCCAGCTTCTAGAGGCCACCTGCATTCCTTGGTTCATGTCCCCTTCCTCCATCTTCAAAGCCAGCAGAGTATTATCTTCTCTCCTGGCTGACCTCTGTTTCCATCTGTATATCTTTATATCTCTGACCCTCCTACATTTCTCTTATAAAGACTTCTGTGATTACATTGGGCCCACCCAGATAATCCTAGATAATCTCTCCATCCCAAAACGATTAACTTAATTACATCTGCAAAATACCCTTTACCATCTAAGATAGCATATTCACATGTTCTGAGGATTAGGATAGTAAACATCATTGGTGGAGAGCCATTCGGCCTACCACAGGAACCATGAAGAAGGTCCAAGGGACACATGACTTACCAAGGGCCACTCAGTTCACTTGTGGAGGTGCCATGACTATATCCCTGGCATGCTCACATTTGCCACTTGTGTGTGCGTTACGGACAAAGACTGCTAGGAGGATGCCCTAATGAAGGCTTTATTTTCATAATTTGAGATGATTGAGGGATAAATAAATATAAGATCAAGTCAGTGTTTTTTTTAAAAAAAAGTAGTTTAGAAAAGACAAGTTTATATTTATAATATAAGTGCATTCATAATGCAAGAACTTTCTTAAATATTGTAGTCTTGCTAGGACGTGGTACCTTCTAAAGGTGGAGTAACTTGTAGTGATAACATATTTTAAGAAATGATAAGAAATGAGAGGGCCGAGGAAGCCCATGCACATGTGTCAATGTTTCTCCTCTTCCTCCTCCTCCTCTTTCTCCCTCTGTAACTCAGGCCATTGCTACCATTTTGAAAGTCATTAATGACTAAAAAGCCAATTCAAACTCCTTAAACTAAAGGAAATGGTCTACCAGAGGCTTATTGGCATGGATGAAACCAAATTAGATATTTGTCATATTTTAAAATGAGACCCATCTTATTTTGATGTTGAAGTGTTTGTCTAGGCCAAGGAACTTATTTTTAGTTCTCCTCCCATGTCTGTTACAGTTGCCTATAACAAATAAGAGAGTCAAAGAATTTGAGTATCTTTGGCAAGTGTCTCCAAACTCCTCTTTTGCCTTAGTTTTCTCCATCTATGCTATAGGCAAGAATGATGGCTACTGTAAGTTAAAGCCTTTATTCAATTTAAGTTTAATTAAACTTGAGTTTCTGAGAGGACAGGTCCATTTAAGAAGGCTAATGTGATTGTTAGGCTCATCTTCTCCAGGAGTCACTCCCTGCCTCCCCTCTACCATGGCAGGATTGGCTTCCCCTCATCCGGAGTCTCATAACATACTCGACCTCACACTAGTGAGCCTCCCCAGTGTGTTAGTTGTTCTTGTGCTTACCTGCCTTCCTCGAGATTCAGCCTAACCCAGTGCGTGATGCCAAATAGGAGTTCACTGCATGTACTATGGGTGGATGAATGAATGGCCATATAATCTCAGGGGAATCTGAAGGACACATGGATCCAGAGACTCGATGGAAGTACTGAAAGGGGCAGGGAAAGGCTGAAAGTATAGTTTTGATCTTCACTGATATAAAATTAGTAGGTTGGCTCCCCACCCTTGCCCTGAAAACTTTCTTAAATAGAGAGAAATCGAACTGGAAATTGCCACAGAAATACATTCTAATAGAAGTTTTCATGTGACACTGAAAATGAGTGGACGGTTTCCTTTGGGTATTTGTGCTCAGCTCTTAATGTCATTTTTCTGCCTATCAAATGAACACCAATTCTTTATCTACAAGTACATTAGGTTAATGACACAGTGTTGAACTAAACAAAGATGAAGTCAAGTTGCTAAGCTCTTGTCTGGCATTGATTAGGGGGCTCATAAAATAAGTCACTCCCTCAGTTTAGTCTTGACAACCCAAAGAAAAACTTTGTGTACACTGAATGACACTTTCCTTGAAAAACTTCCAAATAGGATAAGGTTGATTTTCACATCGTTCTTGCCAGATAGGAAAAGCACAGCATCAACTCCAGGGAATTGCTAAATATTTGTGCTACCCCAGGCATATTGCAAAGATGATGAGACCTGAACAATGATGTTAGCATTAAAGTGTTAATGATGACTGCAGTCAACAAAGAAACTGCAGGATGAGTGGGCCTCAAACAAGAAAATCTGATGACAAGAGACCATGCAGGTAAGACTTAGAGAAGTGGACCAAGATTCAGACCAGGAAAATACCATAGCAACCCCCAAGGATCTCCATGGGTGGGAACATTTGGTGGTTCTCTTCCATTTTACCACGTTTGTACATAGCTCTGTTTATTTATGTTGTTTCCCCAACCTGCTACTCAGCCTAATTCTATAATTTCTTTTTGTTTCTAGTTCCTTCTTTCTGGGGATTGGTGAACTCAGCTTGGAATCTTTGCTCTGTGGGGAAACGGCAGTCGCCAGTCAACATAGAGACCAGTCACATGATCTTCGACCCCTTTCTGACACCTCTTCGCATCAACACGGGGGGCAGGAAGGTAAGCCACCATATTGCTTCCATGGTAAAGTTGAAGATGGGGCCATCTTGATTCTGAAAGCTAATCCTCAAGGCTTCAGTCTCTGTGATGAGTTTGTCCTCCCACCTAGGAATACCACAGACTTCAGACCTGCCGCCATTAGATAGAAATATGTCTAAATTGTGCTTTTTCTCCCTAACTAGTCAAACTTTTGTGCTTCTGATTACTCTGTACCTCCTGGAGGTTGCCTGAAGTCTTATCAGACAACCTTGGTACCCCCATAAAGGACAGAAAGCATAGTGGCCACCCCTGCCTATCATGCTGGGAAAATCTTTCCTCTAAGAAACTGCTTTACTAGGCCTTCTTTTAACCTCAGTGAAGTGAGAAAACCAATTAACAAAAATAAAATCAGACGTTCATCATCTTGGGAGGAAAAAAACAGACAAAAATCACCTTAGATGATTTATAAGAAAATCAATAATTAATCTTCCTAGGGGCATCTTGCTTGCTAAGAATCCTAGCTCCTGCACAGAAATGCTGAGCTGGGCTTTGTGATTCTCACACCTAAATCCCTCCTTCACTCTCCTCCCCCCATAACGAGCTCCTCTTTAATTTGTGGAAGGGCACAAGTGCCCATTGGGTCTTCTCATCACTGGAATCTTAGCACTTCTCTTGCTGGTTCATGTCTACTTGGCTATCTTTTACTGTTGAGTAGGTTGTTAAAGGTAAAAAAAAAATGCACATGCAGAAAATTGTGTTCAAAGGTAATTTAGCTATTGTTAAGAGAAATGGAAAATAATTTGTGTGCAAAAAATTGAGGTTAAAATTATTGACAACTTTTGATAATACCAGCGGCTGATTCTTCAGGGTTTGGGTCATTGGGCTCTGTTCTCTCTTCCTTTGTGCAGTCTGTTCACCATAAATACCATGAAGTTTGTAAGTTAACTTTTTCCCCTTCTGATGTATTGAAATATATTTTCTTGTACCATGTAACTGTCACAGATACACACACCCCTAATGACTCATCAAAAAGCTGTAAGTGACTTTGACTCAGGTCACAAAGCAGGTTTTAAAAGACATTGCATGTGGTCGACACCATTTAGTTATGCAGTATTTGTGTACTGTTTTAAATATGACTTGAGAAGCATTTTTGTGGAAAGGTCATATATAGGTCATTTAGTTTATTGCTCTGATTCCATATAAAACGATGCTATCCTAATTATTGTTCCATTTATAGTTTTATTTTTATAAATTCTGCAAGGAGCTTGTCATGGCTTCTAAGTACATTTCTCTTTAAAAAGGTGAATTATTTATTTAAAGTCGTGAACACGTGTGAGTTCGCTGGTCAGTATTTAAGAAGGAAAAGTTGTAGTTATGATTAAATATTCAGTCATTCTTTCTTTCTTGGAGAGGGTGATGTAGGGGATAATTGCATTCTAGGCAAAAGGAAAAGCAGGGGGTGGAAAAGCCCAAGATACAGAATGGGGTTTGGTGCCTGAGTTCCAGAATGCAGCTGAAAGGTAGCCAGCAAGGCTGAACACAGGGAGCGAAGAGAGGCTTGCAAGATGGTAGGCTAGAGAGGACAGCAGAGGGCAGGTCCTGAGGCAGTGTTCGGGAGCTGAATCCTTCGCCTACGAGTTATGGCAAGCATTTGAAGGGGTTTTAGATAAAGTACAGATTGGGATTGAGATGGAAAATGTGTCAAACTAACACAAACAATGGATATATAATTTTTACTTTCCATCAGAATGTCTTAAAGGAAAAATGTTGATGTGAAAGAAAAAAATGTCAACACAGCTTCTCCCTAAAATTTATTGGGAAAGAAGAGATTGGGAGATAGTCTAGTGTTAAAAATCACTCACATGTTATGACTTGGGTTTTTTTTTGTTTTAGAGATATTTTTTGAACAGATGATTTTGTATCTTTCCAATTCAGGAAAGTATACCTGATCCAAACCAATTTTCAAATGCATTGGAGTTTGGAATCTTGGCAACATTTACTTTTCATGATGTAAATATTTATATCTGGCACAATTTTTGTTGTCAGTGGTTTGAAGAGCTGAGAACTGTCTGATGGTTCCTTTTGCATTTGTGAAAGGTAGAAAATAAAATATAGTTGGTCGTGATAAACTAATTGGTAATGAAATGCCTTAATTTGCTAGGCAATAGGTAAATCATGTTTGTATCACATTTTGAAGGTGATGTTTAATGAGTTGGAAACTTGTTTTGAAAGTGAGAATTCAAATCACTGCTCTGATTTTTGTTTTCCCTTAAAGAAATACCCAACTTAATCGATTTGAAAATCACCCTGTAAGACTGGGAAGTTTTGTTGAATTTGGGCAAGATGTCACATTTTGAAGTCTGAGCCAAGCTGGGTGTCAGTACGTGAAATGCAGCCTAGTAACTACATGTTTTGTGTCGCATTTTTATCCACAAGCATTATTCTTTCTGGTGTTCAAGTGTATCTTATGCACAAAACTGTGATGCAGCTCTCTGGAAGCCCCTGACTTGCGTTACTATGTTTATTTTAACATATTTGACCTGACATTGGGCTCAAATGAAGGAACAAGGGCTTTCCTTACCATAGTTTAAGGCTAAAATTCAACCTCAGTACAAGAATAGCAAGGAATAATAGTTATTCCTTCTCATCCTATGCACTGTGCCTTGAGTGTAATAGAAAATATTCATTTTTATTTAAAAATGAGATTTATTTCACCTTTTAGCCTCATGTGACAGGTTGCAGTCAAAATGCAGTTCAAACTGTGTTTCATGCAAAAAGTTATTTAAAATATTGTATATAATTACCTTCAGGCTATCTACATAAGACATAATGTATATGAAACATACATGAATTTTTTGTTTCGACTTGGATCCCATCCCCAATAAATCTCATTAGATATATGCAAGTATCCAAAATTAGTAAAATTTGAAGCACTTATGATCCCAAACATTTTGCATAATGAATATTAAATCTGTAATTGTATTTTTACAAATGGCACGCCCTTAAGGCTGGGTTGTATGTAGATATAAGACTCCTACCTTGGAACCAATCTCCACCCTTTGACCCTGTTAAATTTAACATCCAATTGCTACATTGTTTGGAGCTAATTAATCCATTCTAGTTAAAGCTACTAAATTAACTTAATCAAAAAGAGGAGGTTGGGGAGATAATTCTTTGTGGTTTCAGGTTGCTTAAAGTTTCCATATATGAAGAAGTTTGATTATGATATAAATGATGTTTTACACTGAGTTAAGCCTCACTGACTGTTTTAAAGATTGAGACCCTTGTTAGCCATTGAACTTGTAAAATTTCACAAAAATGTTCACCTTTCATGTCTTTTTGCTCAGACCAAAGTGAGTGTACGCAGTGTGTTTGTGTTTTAATTTTAGTGTATAGTCACATAAGTGAGATTCTTGGTAATTTGAAAATGAAATACAGGATGAGAAGGTTACCGCAGAGTAAAATATGGATAACTTCAATCAATTATTTTGGAATATAGATATTTGCTTTGAGGATTTGATATAGGTGGGTATTGAAAGGTCGTGAGTTTAGCTTTCAGGAAGGAAATATGGCACATAGAAACCTATCTGCTGATCTAAAATATCTAAAAGGAGAAAAAACATATTAAAACTGAGACTAAAACCCACTTGCCGATTCTATCATTTTAACCAAAACTCAGTTCCGTCATCTTTTCTCATCTTTTAACTCATTTAATAAAATAGACACCTCAGTAGTTAAGGACATGACAATTGCTTATCATATGTTAAGTATAAAAAGTAGGATCTGTCATATGTTAGGTATAAAAGGTAGGATCTAAACATAATTATCATATATTAAGTATAAAAGGTAGGATCATATGTTAAGTATAAGAAGTAGGATCTAAGTATAAAAGGTAGTTGATGACACGACAAATCCTTATCATATGTTAAGTATAGAAGGTAGGATCTAAAAAAGAGACTGGGATGAAGGATAATACTGTTTTATTTTTTCTTTTCTAAAGTTTCTAGATTTGCTAAAACAGACTTGCATTAATTTGGTAATCTGAAAAATACGTATGTTCTAACCTCTCTTTCCATTTCATTTGAAAATATATTTGGAGTTGATAAATGTGGTAGACAGAATAATGTCCCCTTCCAAAAATGTCCACATCTTAATCCACAGGACTTCTAAATGTGTCACTTTACATAGCAGAAGGTATCTTGAAGATATGATTAAATATAGGATTTTAAAACTGGAAGGTTACCCTGGACTATCCAGGCAAACCCCTTGTAACCATAGAGTCCTTAAAAGGAAAAGACAGAAGCAGGAGAGTCCGAATCAGAACAGAGACGTGAGGATGGAAGCAGAGGTCGGAGTGACACAGGGCCATGAGCCAAGGAGGCCTCTGGAAGCTGCAAAGCGCAAAGAAACAGATTCTTCCTTGGAGCTTCCAGAAGGAATACAGCCCTACTGACACTTTAATTTTAGCCCAGCAAAACTGATTTCAGATTTCTAACTCCCCAAATATAAGATAATAAATTTGAGTTCACTTGAGCCACTAATTATGGGGTAATTTGTTGCAGTGCCAAAAGGAATCTAAAATAATAGATGTGAACATAAAGATTATACTGGTTTACTAACCACAAATCAACAAATTATTTTTAAAACTTTTTGGCATTTTTGTAAAATTATAGTCAGAAACAGCCTTTTTCCTGTACAACAGGGAAACAATAAAAATGAATCTAATCACAGATTCATAGCAGCTTAGATTTGTGAGAGCACCTTTGGAAGCCAGCTCCTGACACTTCCAGTCCAATGCTGTGGGGTCTAAGTTCCTCTCCACTCTCAGTATCATCTTGTCATTTCTAGGAGTTCTTAACTACCGATAGTTCTTCATATGGGTCCTGTGTTTGGTCTCTGCTGCAGAATATTTGACAGCCATTTTTTCTTTAACCATTTTAAAGTGGATGGTTCAGTGACATTGAGTACATTCAGGCTATTGTGCAGTCATCACAACTATGCATTTTTGTAACTTTTTTATCATCCCAACTTGAAACTCTGTACCCAGTAAACAAGAACTCCCCATTTTCCATCCCCCTCAGCCCCTGGTAACCTCTGTCCTACGTTCTGTTTCTATGAATTTGCCTGCTCTAGGTACCTCATATAAGTAGAATTACATAATATTTATCTTTTTTATGTCTGGCTTATTTCACTGAGCATAATGTTTTCAAGGTCCATCCATGTTGGAGCATGTATCAAAATTTAATTCATTTTTAAGGCTGAATAATACTCCATTGTATGTATATACCACATTTTGTTTGTCTGTTCTTCTGTCGATAGACATTTGGGTTGCATCCAGCTTTTGATTATTGTGAATAAGGCTGCAATGAAAATTGGTATACAATGAACTGTTTGAGTCCCTGCTTCCAGTTTTTCTGGGTGTATGGCAAGGAGTGGAATTACTGGGGCATATCTATGTTTAACTTTTTGAGGTTTGTCACACTTTTTTACACAGTGGCTATACTATTTTACATTCTCATCAGCAACACACAAGGATTCCAATCTTTCCATATCCTCACAGAAACTTGTTGTTTTTTTTTTTTTGTTATTTATTTTGAAATAGCCATCCTAATGGTTGTGAAGTGATCTCTCACTGTGATTTTGATTTACATTTCCCTAATGAATTGGCAGACTTTCACAGACATCCAGTACAAGTTTTTGGAATACAACCTGTTCCTGATACAGAGGGTAGAAGATCTTGAAACCTCTGAGAAGGAGATAGGTTGTAGAAATAATTGACCTTAGCCTAATGGCACAGTCAGGAATATAAGAAGTAAAAAGAAGCAGGGTGCAGTGGCTTGCACCTGCAATCCCAGCTCCCCAGAAGGCTTAAAGCAAGAGGATCACTTGAAGCCAGGAGTTCAAGACCAGCCTGAGCAACATAATAAGACCCCATCTTTAAAAAGAGAGACAGAGAAAGAGAGAGAAGCAAAAAAGAGAAGAAGCTGGCCATCAGCAGACTGAAGACCTACATTGGTTATCTCAAAGAAGCTGATTTTTCCCCATATCTTCAGGTTTTTTGTTTGAAATTTTGCCCAGCAAAGGCTAAAACTACTGTTGTCGCCAATTTCCTTTTGATTTCTGGATACCTGGGGATTATATCAGGGAGAGTCTCAGCAAGAGACATGGAACATGTTGAGTCATGAGGATCCCTCATAGAGGGACCGTTTATAACCACCCCAGGTCTGGAAGGGGTGAGGAGAGGGAGTGAGGACCAGAACCTGGAGACCAAATGAACCAACCATGGAGAGGAACACCTGACCTTCAGTGAGGGAAGCAACCAGCTCAGGGCAACCCCTAAGGGTGGAGCTGGGGAACAAGGCTCTGACTGCACTCCTTTCCTCCCCTCTTATGGAAAGAAGGCAGAAGCCAAAGGAGCTTGTTGAATCAGTCCATGCAAGCCAGCCTCCAAGCCCCTAAGCAAGGTAAAGATGGATCCAAATGGACGATCGGAAGACATCCAACACAAAGCTATAGGTGTATCTACATGGAAGTTTCCACATTTCCCATGAAATAAATACGAGCTAATAAAACTCTTAATTGCTTATAAATCAGGTATAAATGCTTCAGCCTGGCATTCACAGCCCTTGTAATACAGCACCAAATCTCCTTTCCACAGACATTTGCATTATACTTCGTACATACCTTTTGTTCCCAGTGAGAGTGTAAACTTTAAAAAACAAACAAACAAAACAAACAAAGTGAATGCATCTCTCCTTTTCCTGGGATCTGTGCTTTGGCCACAATATACCCTTCACCCCACTTGCCTAAGGAGTCCGAACCCCTGCTTTTAACCTCTGTGGCTCCAATACTATCTCTTAAATTCCTCTTGATCTCTTTAGCTAACTGTGAAATCTCTCTTTATTTGGCTTCTTAAGCACCTTACTTATATTTATTTTAGGATCTGAACCTTGGCCTGTAATATTAATATCGCTTTCCTTGTAAGGAATAGTAAGACAAATATACTATAGATATTAGCCCTTAGATTAAGAGCTCCTTATGATAAACATGCTTTCATATTTTCATTTTATATCCTTGGGGTTATCCATGACAGCGCTGACTGATTTGAATGGAACCAAGAGTACCCTTGCTTACCAAGAAATGCGTTTAGGTGGAATTCACCAAAAGTTGCTACGATCCAAGGTGGGGGGAATGTGAGAAGGCCCATGGGGAAAAGAACTTTGCTATCCACAGAATCTGTTACTAAAACTAATTTTCAGTTATGTTTTTTATGACTATTAAAATAAGTTGAAAAAATAAGAAATGTGAATTGGTTTGGTATTTAAAATCTTATCACTTCTCTATTTTAAAATTTTCCTCTGAACCTGATTGCAAAATTTAATCATTGCCATTCACGGCATGTCCACATTGCTATGTTCTGAAACCTCTTATGTTTGAGGCTTTTATGTTCCTTCAAAAAATTTACGATATATTTGGGGAGAAAATATAGACACACAGAAGCTAAATGGCAGTAACTGATTTAAATAACTATTTGAGATAATAGCGGTATAGATATTAAGAAATGATTAATTAGCAAATCAATCATCTTGGCATTAATGTTTTAATAGAGTGAGAAGTTGGGTTTGTCAAACAAGACTTTATGGAAGAGGTAGGATATGAGCTAGCATGAAAAGGGAGATAGAAAGAAATGTAACTTGCAGGAGGATCTTAAATGTCAGATGATCTTACTCTATATGCAGAAGGTGGAAAGAAAACAAAAAGGTCGATCAATTTTGTCATCTAAATGTGTTGCCGTGGTGCTGGTTTTTATTGGATAACTGATGTTAAATTTTCCTGGATAAGTATCCTTACCCATTTAAAACTCAATAGCTGTCTTTAAGCACCAAAGGTCTTTTTACACTGAAACTCTGATATGAAAATGGTATGTATAATTTTATGTATGTTTGTGGGATACAGCAGATCTTTAAGAGCTGCTGAAGAAGTGGATGCAATTCTTACTCATCTGTATTTTGTGGTTAGACAAATTCCTTTATTGACATATCAATTATATCCTTTCCAGGAGAAAGTGATAGGGGTCTGGTTATTTAATTCTAACCAACAAGGAAAGGCTTAGTGATGTGGAGTGGACAGTAACTCTAGGAAAAAGTAGGTGTGTTATCTTAGAAATAATGGTAGCAAGGTTAAAAAAAGAAAAAAAGCTAGGCATTGTCAGACATGGATATGAAAACTTCAAAAGGCAGATTTTTAAAATATCATGATTAAAATTGATGTGATCTCATTGCTTCATGGAAGATGGCTCTAGTGGATTGGGAAGCTCTTAAAAATAAGATTATGGTGATAGAATCACAAACGATAGTACCGAAAAAGGAACTGGCAGGAGCTAAAGATATCGAAGTGGCAGCACGGGGAATTTTATGAGAAATAATATTGTTAAATGGCATGTAGAGATGCAGGAGAAAGGGCTTAGAGCCAAGGAGGACCAGAGGAGAAATCATTTGTCAATGGTTTCACAGAGAATCAAGCCCAGGACAAGTTGAAGTTTCCAGAAAATGAGGAGCACTTTAAAAAGTTGTGGTTAGAGGAAAGCAGGATAAGCAAGACAATGTATACCTCCATTTGGGAGAGAATACATGGCCATGGATGACCAGATGTGAGAACTGAGTTTGAATTTTAGATTGCTACTGTCTAGCCAGCACTATCGTAGATAAATGTGAGAAGGTGCTGGTTGATTCAAAATGAACCAAGATTATCTTTGATTACTAAACAAAGGGTTTATTTGGCTTAACTTCTCTAAGCTTCAGTTTCCTCATTTGTAAAAGGAGCATCATCATTCTACCTTCCTTGCAGGGTGGTGGTGGAGAGAATTATATGAAAAAATGCACTTAGTAGGCAGGTAATAATGCAAGTTATCAAGCCAATGACTGGCAGAGAAGAACATGCTGTTAGCTACCATCACAGGTGTTTTTGTTTTCAGCAAGAAAACATAACTCCCAGTTGAATTTCTTTGTCAGAGAAACTAATGTTTGCATTAGAATTCATAGCATATGTAGAGAGAGGTGAAGTGATTTCAACTCTATGGAAGACAGAAGAAGAATTCAGAGCCACCTCGCTAGTACCCCAAACCCAAAAGGCATAAAGATAAAACTTTCCTCTCAAACTATATTTACATAAAATGTCACAGATTCAGGCCGAGCAACATATTCTGTAAGAACACTACATGTGAAAAAGTACAGGAAGTTAATGAATAATATGCTCAGTTGAGTAAATAGCACAGGGGAAATGCCAAGAGATGAATTCAGTCTAATTACACAGTACCTGAGGTTCTACATCCATGACAAGTGAGGCCATTGTCATGCAATACCCTTCACTGAGAAGACAGTATCTGGAATGTTAGCATCAGTTCCCCTAGTGCTGACAGTAAGGTTAACTAATAGAAAACACATTGACACAGTAAAGTACAGAAGAAGAGGAAGAAAGTAATGAAAAATCAAAATGTTTTATATTCAGTTTTCTCTGTCTATGCATCTATTGGAAAGGAAAATATTTTAAGAAGTCATTACAGCTGATTTTAAATGTACCTTTTCTGTGCAGGCTCAGACATAGGGGAGAACTAGCTCTGCTGTTTGAAAGTAACTTTGGCCAGACTTCAATTCAAAATAAGAATTCAAGCTATGTGAAAATTGAATGACCTTCTGTTTCATGGAGACCCGTGGCACAGAAAGAGTTCTGATGGGCACTGAGGGGTACTTGAAATTGTAGAACACAATGAGGCATCAGATGAGAGCTTTGACTTGACCTGTGAATCCCCTTCCAACCTTGATGTACTTTGATTCTGTATGAGCAGTGGTTAGATGGGACGTGTGGAATATATTTGCTTGCAGCCATCCTGGAATGAAGATTTAACTAGGATGTAAATCCTCCTAAAGGAAAACACCCTTTAAAGCACTAACATTGGAAGAAACTTGCATTGTCCTCTTATTAACCACTATCAAAATTATTCCTCAAAGTTTTGGATACAGGCTCTCTCCTTTGGTATATTGTACTCTGAGTAGCTGGAATGAAGGATTCAGAGCAAAATGAATGTTATAAAAGAGGATTTTGATTACAGATTTTAAAATGAGATCAAGGTAGTTGTGTTTATACTCAGAGCAGAGCTTTTTGCAGGGAGCGGAAGATTTCAGTGCATAGCAGTGAAAAGTGATGAAAGATAAGCAAAATGTGAAAGTCTAAGATGCTGTATTTTAAGTTGGGAAATGGATTCAGTGCAGAAGCATTCTGTTGTGGGTATCAGGTTCTCATGCACCATTGCTGAGTTTAGATCTTGGCTGAGGATTGCCGCTCACTGTCTTGGCAGTTCTTTGTAATGTTTACCTCTTGACATCATCCAGAAAATCAATGCAGAGTCATTAGGCAAATCTCCCAAGGAAACACCTGGTTGTTGGCTTTAGTATTTCATAAGTGTCTCTAATTCTCTCTCATTCTTTACTCCTCCTGTGGGTATTAGAAAGGACTTTACTCTTCTTTCCTGCATCATGTTCCTTTATTTCTCTATACTTCTTCTCATTTTTTCTCATTTTTTCATCTCTTTTACTCTCTTAGCCTTTTCTTTTCTCTCCAGTCTTTATCTCCAACCTCCTCCCTCCCTTTCATCATTTCCCTGTGTCTCTTTCCCTGTCCTTCTTTCCCTGTCCTTTCACTTCCTCTTTTCTCCTGGTTCTGTATACATATGACCAAGGAACATGTGCCTTCTCTTTTCTGTATGAGTGAAATTGGTTCTCCACTTTCATGGAACATTTTAACTAAACACAGAAAGATTGACAGTTGTACAATTTTAGTGACGGTACTTAAATGAGAGAAAATTCAAGTTATCCCAGAACTGAGTATAATTTTTATTAAAAATTATAGAAGGACTAGCTTGAGATGTTTAATTAATTTATAGGCAGATGAATTCCTACAAGAGAGAATGTTTTCCAGGAATCTCATGAGTTCAGTAGCCATCACATCATACCACTTTAGTTTTCTGGTTACATAATCCCACAGATAAAACTAACAGGCATTTGGCCAGGAGCAGTGGCTCACGCCTGTAATCCCAGCACTTTAGCAGGCCAAGGCAGGCAGATCATGGGGTCAGGAGTTCAAGACCAGCCTGGCCAATATGGTGAAACCCCGTCTCTACTAAAAAATTACAAAAATTAGCCAGGTGTGGTGGTGCGCACCTGTAGTCCCAGCTACTCGGGAGGCTGAGGCAGGAGAATTGCTTGAACCAGGGAGGTGGAGGTTGCAGTGAGCAGAGATCGTGCCACTGCACTCCAACCTGGGCGACAAAGTGAGACTCCATCTCAAAAACAAACGAACAATCAAACAAAGAGAACAACTAACAGGCATTTTACAAAACAACCAGCCTCTTAAACATAGGCAACAAAATGTGTTATTCACATAATACTGCTTGCAGCTCAGCTCTCTTACCATCCATCTAAACATGGGAGAGAAAAGAAAAAAACATGAGCTAAGTTTTACAGACTAGCTCCACCTGTCAAGCAGCCTGAGACAAATGGTTTTACATTAGTTAAAAAGGTAAGACTGGTAGATCTCCTGGACAGCGGCAGAAACAGTCACACACACCCAAGATAAGCTTTTGATGCTGATCTTAAAAAGCTGGTATCAGTTGTACATTCTCTCCAAGAAGGCTCTGAAATTGGTCGATCTACTCCTTGTAAGCCTGACCATTTGAATAAACCCACAAAGTTGTTCTATGTAAACCTCAGACACTTTGAATCCTATTAAAGGGATATTATTGCCTATAAACCAGGTATCTTTGGTTGGAAAATTAAAATAAAAATAAATAATAATATATCTACTACCTCAGAAAAGAAAAGAAATATAGTAGATTCTTTTTGAAGGACTTAAGAAAATGCTCATTTTCTTCTAAGCTTGGTTTCTGAAACAAAAGAACCAAATTAAAACTGAAAAACTGGAATAAATAATGCAATTTGAGGAGTCTATGCAGCGTAGGCAGTTGAACATCTGAGCAGCTCCCAGACTTAATTTTTCTGATGAAGATTTAATGTCATATAGATACAACTTTATTAATGTTGCACGAAAGATTAAGAATAACTAAAATAATCCATCTCTTTCCAGTATCTCATATTCTTAACGTTTTAAAAAGTTAGATGTTTTAGTTCCTTGCTCTGTAGTATGCTAGGGCCAAAATCCAAACTGCAAATAATGTGAAAATAAGCCATTCAGCCTAATATCTGTTTTTCTCATAGAGCAAACCCAGTGTCTATTCAGTAAGGCGAGAGTTTTATTTTGTTAATGTTATCTTTGCCCACCTGATGTTCTGAACAGATTAGTGTTGTGTTTTTACTCAGATCTTCATCAGATGTAACACTTGATAGGATGTTAGTCCATTCTGGCCCTTAGCTCTGAAACATGCATGCTCTAACCCACATGAAACATTTACATACAATATCATAAGATGAAGGTACATGATTTCATTTTTACCAGTGGGTGAAAATGTATACACGCACACAGTTTGGTACGTTATATCTAATAGAAACCTATCAAACTAGCAGCATCTCATCTGCCTAAAAATATTTTCTGCCACCTTCCTATCAAGAATATTTTTCACATCTCATCTAAGGAGCAGAGATTTTTCTCAATTTGCATTTTCCTCTGAAATATTCAGAAACTATTTTTTTTAAGTTAAGGAAAAGCCACTCTTGCTTCCTTTTAAGCCAAGTAGCTATTTTCACTATTCTCAGTATAAGCAAAATGCATTACTTGCACTATGATGGAGAAAATGAATACACATTATACTTAGTATGTTGCTATTTAATGCATCGTTGCTAGGTAGGTTTGAATACAGAAATCAATTCAGTGTTTGTTGACTCTCACGTCATTTATTCTGAGCTTGTCAAATTCAAATAGAATAAGAGTTTCACAAAATTATCTGTTCAAAATAAGTGTTGTGTCACCCTTCCAGAGTCTGATGCTGTCTAAGCATAGGTTTAGAGCTTGAGATGAGAATTCTTATGCAAATAATTTTCTGAAGAAGTTTCTCACGTGAAAGCTGCCAGGGAATGGGGGAAGTAGGCCTGGGGAGAAGTTCAGCAAAGATGATAGTTTAACTGGAGTCCAACCATAGCCTGATCCCACAGTAATATAGTTGGGATATTGTGCCCTCCAAATCTCATGTTGAATTATAATCCCCAATATTGAAGGTAGGGCCTGGCAGGAGGTAATTGGACCATGGGGGTGGATTTCCCATGAATGGTTGAGTGCCATCCTCTTGGTGCTGTACTCGTGAGTGAGTTCTCACTAGGTCCAGTTGTTTAAAAATGTGTGGCATCTTCTTCCTTACTGGCTCTTGTTCCTGCTTTTGCCATGTGACTTGTCTGCTGACACTTTTTCTGCCATGAGTAAAAACTCCCCGAGGCTTCCCCAGAAGCTAAGCAGATGCCAGTGCCATGCTTATATAGCCTACAGAACTGTAAGCCACTTAAACCTCTTTTCGTTATAAATTACCCAGCCTTGGCTATTTCTGTATAACAATGCAAGAACAGCTTAACATACACAGGGACCTCCTAAGCGTGAATAACACCAAAGTGCTCTCATCCTGCCATGCACTCCTAGGGTCTAGGGAGGCAGCCTTCAGTACCTTCTGAAAGGCACATCTCTTCCCTGGTATTCCCAGGCAAGGTGTCTCCTGTACAGTGGTATCCTTAAGGAGCTGGCTTATCCTGCCTTTCAGAGCCCATCATGTGTATCTATTCCCACCTCCACATTGGGTGCCATCAAGGTGGTGACTTGAAATCCACCATGGTAGGGGTGTTAACACCACAGAAATCTGCAAATGCTACATATAAGCCCCCTTTTTTATCTGGAGAGCTGGATGATAGAGATTTATCAGCACACAGCACACCACTGTTCTTAGAGGTCAAGGGCAATTCCCAGAAGAAAGGTGAGTTGATTGCAGTCAAAATTAATAGAAACTGGGGGACATGTCTAGTGGCCTTAAAAAGTAAACCCAGGTGGATCACCAACTATTGTAGCTGGTGTTGGAAAGAAAGCCTCAGATTAGTTACAAATATTCATATCGGAAAGGACTCCGGTGGCCATGGTTTGGCCTCCTGAAGAATGATTCCAACGGAACTGCCTGTGCCCTGTATTTCAGGTCCCCCAGGCCCAGTTGGCACTACCTCATTCCAAAGATGAGGGGCAGGGGAGAGCATAGGCTTGATTATATGGAGCTATGACTTTTCTTACTTTCATCTTAATTCCTCTTTTAATACAACTTTGTATTAGTCTGCTTTCATACTGCTGATAAAGATATACCCAAGGCTGGGTAATTTATAAGGGAAAAGAGGTTCAATGGACCTACAGTTCCACATGGCTGGGGAGGCCTCACAATCATGGTGGAAGGTCAAAGGCATGTCTCACACGGCAGCAGACAAGAGAATTTGTGCAGGGAAACTCCCTTTTATAAAACCATCAGATCTCATGAAACTTACTCTCACAAGAATACCATGGGAAAGACCCATTCCCGTGATTCAATTACCTCCCACCAGATCCGTCTCATGACACATGGGAATTGTGGGAGCTACAATTCCAGGTGAGATTTGGGTGGGGACAAAGCCAAACCATATCAATCTTCTTTCTTTGCTTGCCTCCTCCAAGACCATAGTCCTTCTAGTGGCACCTTTGCAATGATAAGGATGGCATATAGGTATGGCTTTTGCCTAATGCCTTTGCAGTCACAATGTTCTCAACTTCTTTACCAGTTTAAGCTTCTACCCCTCCAGAGCCTGGGAAGTCCTGGGCTA
Organism: Homo sapiens; assembly: GCF_000001405.40. Lineage (NCBI taxonomy): Eukaryota > Metazoa > Chordata > Mammalia > Primates > Hominidae > Homo > Homo sapiens. The sequence continues at coordinate 51,916,185 of NC_000017.11, read as the reverse complement.
TTTCACAACCCAGGTGGCAACCAGCTTCTGGCCAATGACACTGTTTCCAGCAGCGTAGCATGCAACAATGTGAATGCATGCTGGAAATACGTTCAAAATCTAAAGAGAGGAAATAGAGGGGAGCTTTTAGGCTTCTTCAAGTATGTGATCTTTATTCTACAAATTGCCTTTTAATGATTCACAGTTTCTGAATCTAAAAGGTAAGGTTTTTTTTTTTTTAACCAAAATCTTAATAGCAGTGAGGAAATAGCCCTATGCCAAGCAGTTTGGGTCCATGCTGTTCAATCAATTCGACGTATTACTAGCATTTTCCTCAAGAGTGTAATATATGACAACTGCCAAGCTTTCCTTTTGCGATTACAAAAAGGACAGATACTGGAGTGAGCCATATTTCTGCACTGCAGGGATATAAAAAATGAACTGCTAAAAACGGCCCGGGAGGAATGAATAGCAATAAGACATCAATGTCATCTGTATACTGATTTGTGATGAATTTCCAAAAGGCTTAATGGTATGATGCTATGATATATAGGGGCCTCCTGAAAGTTAATAACTGTAAGTTATCCACTTGGAGGAATGTAATGGGGGAAAGGAAGTGGTCACAGATAATATATAAATAAGTAATTTTATTAATATAGTCAAACTGTTCTGTGTTGTTGGCCTCTGTGATTAGAAATATAAAATTAAAAGAATTGTGAAGACATGGGAAAGCTGAATGTTACACAAACTCCCAGGATTACACACTTGGTGAGAACTTTAATTTGACTTTTAATAGATCGGAATCAATCTATTAACCAAAGGGAAGAATGTAAGAGTTTGTTGATCACCTTTCAGAGGTGAATTAATAACAGAGACTTCTAAAGGAGGCATTCAAGTGGGAGCAACAAAATCTGTTTTGACGAACAAATTGTCCTTGCCGATTACCGTGAGATCTGGTATTTCCTACGTGGATGGTGTAACATCCCTGTAGGATGCTTGAGACATCAACAGATATGAGGCATAAGATGTGCATAAAGATGACCCCTTTCAATCTACAGTCTGGGTTCCTTTTGGCCCACTAATTTTTATGGCTGTGTCAGCATCTGGTTAGCAGCAAAGTATGTAATATACAGAAAGCAGTCAATAAATGTTTATTGAATGAAATAATAAATAGATGAATTCTAAAATACCCCAGATCCTGGAATTACATATAGATGAAAAAAGGGAAAGGAACTAAATATATTGAGTACTTACTACTGCCATTTATACATACATATTTTATCTCATTTAGTTCCCCAAATGACCTCAGATGGCCAGTTTTACAAACCAGGAAACTGAAATGTGCAGTTGTTAAATAATTTACCCAGAGTTACAGAGATGACAAGAAACAGAGCTGAGTTTCAATCTTAGGTTGTCTGACTCCAAAACTGGTTTCCTTTACAGAACATTGCACTGAAACTGAAGACAGGGGAGAAATACATTCCATCTATATCAAGGGCTTAGGAAGAAGGCAGCATGGGTCAGAAGAGCCCTGACCTTCAGCCAATTTCCTTCTCTTTGCCATGTTTTGAGAGCATGAGGGATGGTGGGTGCTCTGATACCACCATATTTCAGCCTATTAATTGCATCTCTGCAGCCTGTTTGTTTTGGCTCTAGCACTATACGTATTTTATCCTTAGGAGTGGTGTTACATGTCTGTTTTGTTATCTGACCATTGCTCTCTTCCCTGGCAAGGTGGCAAATCACATAGTGAATTTCATTTCTGAATGGGTAGTTAATTTTTTTACACGTTCCATCAAAAAAATGGCACATAAAATGCCCAAGATAGTTGTCATCACTGAAGCAGTTCTGGCAGCCATAGAGTCAGGGGAAAACACATAGTTTTAATTTCTAGGTCACGATATGTATGCTTTTTCTCTGTAAAAAATGGCAATGGTGCTCTCTCTGTCTCCTCTGCAGCCTCTCTTCCTGGCTCTGTCTCTTACTGTGAAATGAGGACAGACCTTACTGTTTTTGCAGCTGGGGTGTTCACCCCAAAAGCATGATTGCACTTTGGAAACCGTAATAGGCACATTTCCAAGTTCCTCAGGGCTCAGAGTGGATCAGGAATAACTTTTAAAGTCATGAGCCTCAAAGGACTGGCCAGTGTAAATGGCCTGTCTCTGTTTCTCCTAGGCAGTCATCCTTTAAGTCATTTCATATGATGTGCATAATTTAACAGGGGCAAAGCTGACACATCTCTGCCATTCATTTCTCAGGCTGCCCTCAGTTCTCTGTGGATAATAATAATGGTAATAGATGGAAATTTAAGATTTGTGCTTCTCCTAGTTCAGTGTTAAGACTGAAAGGAATTCAAGGGTGACCCTCAGTTCCCAAGTCACACCAACAAGAGGATGATCAAAGGCTTTGATTGCAATGGTATTTGGCTCAGCATCCCCACCAAACACTGTTGCTGCCAGCTTACCCCAGCCTCCCAGGGTCATCCCTTCTGCACAGTCCTGGGAGACATATGTTTCCTTGGAGGCTGGTGCTTGGGGAGGTGCGGTCATTCGGACTTCTCTAACACTCCACTCTTGCAAGCACTGCTGAAACATGACACAGCTACTCCCATCATGACAGTGGTATTTCTCCAAAGCAAATAAATTGTTCCCAAGCCTGAAAGGTCTGACCTTGAAGGGACTTTAGTCTTCTTTCGAGTTTCCCAGAAGATGGCATGGCTTTCCCAAATTTCACAAAAATCTCAGACAAACAATTTAAAACAGGATCCCTGAAGACTTGCTAGGATACCATTTGAGTGAACTGCACCAGGTGAGACTCAGAGACTGAGTCACCAACACAAAGATGTCTCTCCTAGGCATATATGTCTTTAGACTCACCCTGCCTTCAGTTCTTCAACTGCCAAAAATTGGTGCATTTCCTCCCCCCTGCTTTTCTGGGGATTCTCACTCTCAGTTCCAAAGTTTCCTTTGCTATTTCCTGAGAGTGTCCTGAAACCTTTATGTAAATGTCTTAGAGGCTAGAATCAATACCCTTGTGATTCTAAAGAGATATGCAAATTCAGCTCCGACTTAACTCCCTGTGCACGGGAAAGAAATTCCTCCCACTAGCCTGCCATTCAGGAGGAAGACTTAGTTAATGGATGCCTTCCACACTGCCCCTTAGCTTCTGCCTCTTCCCCAGCTATAAAGAGTGGGCAAAGCCACTGGGTTGAGCTTTTCCTCCTGTAACTGAAGGATAGATTCTTAGCACAGACAAGTGAACTGCCTGCAGAAGGCTATGAGATTCTTTGAATGCTATTAATGTGAATGCAGCATTATTAGAATGTACTTTGAGTTTTAGATGGATATTTTATCCTTTTGTTACCAAGGCTTTTCAAAAGATAAAATATACATTGTACTGCATGGAGTATATGAAAGTTCGGTAGAATATGATAGTGTTGCTTCACATGCTGTTCTCTTGGGTATGATATCAGGAAAATGTTTTCCTCTGACAGCCTCTTATAATGGATGAAAATATTCCCTTTCATTGCACACACAGTGCAAGGTTTGAGGCATATTATTGGAGTCAGGTAATCTGCCTCTGAAATACTGGTATTTGAAAAGCAAATTTAAGGCTTAGGACGTTTTAGCTTTATGATCATTGACACTGATGTTAGTAAACTCTTTCACTAGCTATGAAGAAGAGAAATGGCAGGCAAGTTTTTTTCTTTTTTTCTTTTTCATTGCCATTTGCTTGGTAGTGACTGCACCATATGGAGCACAGTAAATAAACTATGAAGTTGGCAGGATGCATGAAAACAAGGAATGCACTTGGACTCCAGGGGTCCCTAAGCAAGTTACTTTACCTCCTTGAGCCTCCTTCCTGACTTGTAGACTGGAGCTAATATTTTAAAATGGTGGTAAGGATTACAGCTTATTGGAATGCTCCCATTACTGTGCCTAGCACATAGTGTTTTCAGAATTTAATTTTAATTTTACAGAGAAATAGCTGACCCTTGAAATTATGTCAGTAGAGGCTACTCATGTAATACCCTTGTGATTTGAAGTCGGTGTTATTTATTCCATCAAGTTTGCTATACTACTTAGTCCACAAAAGAGGTAACGGTGCTACATATAACATGGTGAAATAGGTGCTAGATTTGTGGGCTTTATAGAATGTGATATCTGTACTTGTTAGTCTTCATGAAGTGTAGTAATTTACATGAATTACTAAAGTAATTGCTCATGTAATTATAATTTGTCATACATTTAACCATGTCTAATGGTCTGTTTGCTTATCTCTGAGGCTGCAAATTATTTGGCACATAGTAGGTGCCCAATTAATATGCACTGAAATTGTTTGTCGGTGCTTGATAAATGCTTATTATATTTTTTTGGACTAGGATGGCCAAGCTAGGTTGAAGAATATCCAGAAATTTGAGTGATTTCATTATCACTTCTATGATGTTCCCCAGAAAATGACAAGTAGATAATTCAAAATTCTACAGATTCTGCAGAGGTATCTCCATCATATCAGATGATTAGTGCCTAATTATAGACCAACTAGACTTCCATTTTGGTTTTCAGACTCCTTCTGTAGCTCATTACTATTCTGTCTCATTCTTTTGCACTTCTCGATTGTCCTTTTTGTATCATTCCAACCAGCAGTCTCAACTCAGTGTTTCATTCCTGCTTGGCAGACCAAATACAACCAGGGCCTATTGCAATACAGAAGCATCCATATAACATGTCAACTAATGGATCTGGTAATGCTATGCAGAATGAATCATTTTCTCTAACTCTTCATTTGCTCATTCAATTTGGATATGCGAATAATATCCAAGAGCATTCTCTCACTTAGTCTGCACAACTTCATGAAGTCGTCAAGGCAGGGTGTTAGTAAGTTATTGCCGCAATAACGCTATCTATCCACCACAAAAATCTCAGTGGTATAAAACATCAGCGTGTATTTCTTGCTCATGAGTCTTCAGGTCTGCTGGGGGAGGTCTGATTCAAGCTTCAAGTCAAGGTCAGATGTATTCTATGGCCCAGGGTGAAGAGGCAGCAGCTACCTAGAGCATGGCCTCTTGACTGAGATTAAAAGCGCCTGGAGGGGCAAGTGGAACCACGTAATGTCACATAATGCTTTAGGTTCAAAATCGGCCCACAGCCGTCTCCACTTTTCTTCCACTAGCCAAGGTGCATTATCACCTATGTCTTCCACCCACATTCTTTTCACTGCAGAGACTGGCTTTTACTTGAAAATTTAACATAGAACAGTTCAGACTTGACAAAAGTGATAAATTGAAAGGCGATAACTTACAGACCAAATGTGTCCCCTCCCTGCAATGACAAACACATTTAAGATTCATTTTGCTTTGCAAAACTTAATTTTATGAGCAGTTTGGGGGAATTGCTGTTGGCATTTTGTAAAGGACATTGTGTCATTGGGTCTTCCTGAAGGAAGCCCCAGATGAGAAATTTCTTTAACCCTAATTGCTAGGAAAAACCTTGCTTCCTTTGAACAATCGATGTGTTTTATTTTTCCTCTCTGCAAGAACGGCGTAACTACGTTGTCCATTTCCCTTTGAGTGTCAAGGCCTTCAGAACCAAATTTTCACTTGTAATAAAGTTAGAGGAACTTTATAAACTGGTGAATTACTCTAGATCCTGCCATTCTATCTGAATTTGTCTTTAATCTGCTTCGATTTTTGTTGTTGTTTTTGTTGTTAAACGTAATGTTAGATACAATATGTTTTTCTTATCCTGTAAGCCATAACAACTCTTGTGGAATGAGGCAGGGTAGAAGGAAGAACAAAACAATTAAGTGAAGCTGTGCACCATCAGGAACAGCTGATTCAGAAGAGGGACATCAGCTGGTGTGTTTCCCTGCTCTTTCGTTGTTATCAGTTACCATTGGTAGAAGGATATTTTGTTTATAATCAAAATTAAACTAAATCTTTGGAGATTAAGTTTTCTGAAAGAGCTTAAGGGCAGGATCAAGGGGGATTGAGTACATTGTCTCTAATGCTGCCCTCTCACCATGCCCCTCTCTAAGCCTCTCCTCCCCCCACCTTCCAGGATGAACCCACAAAAGGACATGAGCCTCCCCTTCTGTTATTCATTCCTATTACCCTGCTTCTCATGGTGCATCTGGTTTAAACAGCTTCAGTCACCAGGATGTGAAAAGAAACGATGACGATAAGAGGAGGAGCAGATAGATTAAGCAAGCAGTGCAGGGCAACATTTTATTACATGTCTATAATTTTTAAAATTGAAGCGAAAAATTTTTCCAATTACAGAGTGGAAGAACTTGCAGTAGTTTAAAAGAGCCAGTGCAGTGAAAATAGAGAAGGTGGTTATGGGATGGCAGGCAGGCTGTTGAAGAAAGGAGTCTTTCTCGACATTCTTGTTACTTTCTGCAGTTAACATCGATGAGATGCAAATATTGCGGAAGAGTGAATACTGCAAATCTCAGAGGTACTAAATGATCTAAGAGAATAGGATGCTTTTTCTGGGAAACTAAATTATAAAAAGCTGAGCCTCCAGTTGACTATTAAATAAAAAGCTATCAAAAGAACATCTGTAGAAGATTCCCTGAAATGGGGTCTTTGTCCTCTGAATAGATGATTGGAAATTGACAGGTTCCGTTTCATCTCAACACTGTAATTTTGTTCTTATAAAGGATTGCTTTTTATTTCTAATACTTGCCATGTTTCTTTAGTGTCTTCCCATGTCTCAAAATAGCTCGAAAAAAGAGCAGAGGACACTGAGCTTCCCCTTTTCAAATTTGTAGCATTTACCTCTGAATTTCACCTGACTTGTGTGGCTTTCAGTTCCTTGAAATCATGGTAACAAGCTGGATTCTCGGTCTTCAGATAAATAGTGACTAATTCTGCAAGCCTGACCTCCAGTTCCAAAGAACTCTGAGCTCCCCCTTCAGTGTAATTCTACAGAACCAGGGATGACATCCAGTCATCTTTGGTATTGCTTTAGCTGGAAAAAATGAGTTTTTTTGTCTTTAACAGAGGCTAGGAAAGAGATATCTCAGTACACCTTTCACCTTCTATCTCACCTGTGACGAGGAAGTGCCTGCACATTTATAGTGGCTATGGAAAGATAGCACGGCTGCTTTGAAATATCATGTGCGCTGGAGCATGTTTTCACTGGAGGTACAGTCTTCCCTGAAATGTAAGCAGCTCTATCTCTGGCTTTTGCAGAAAACCAGATGACGTCAAAAAATCAGTTATGAAAGCCAAGGACATTTTATTCAGTGAGAGTGGCCTATTTTACTAATGTCTTTGTGTCGATATCAGATTAGCATAATCAGAGTTTGATTCTCTCTGCATTTGGACAGATGTTACAGTCCATGGCTTTCCTAGTGATTTGGTAAAGTAGGGTACTAAATACATCACTGGAATATAAGTGGTGACGCTCTGGGTTTTAATCCAGTGAATGCGACAGGAGTCATTTGGAAGATATAGCATCATTCCTTATCTGAACTGGCTTTTTATTTAGTAACTGGATTTGTGTTTCCCCAGTAGTCAGGAATGAATGTGGTCAGTATACTTAGCTATTCCTATTGGCTCCCTCCCATTTTATTTTGGTGTAGAGCTAGCTAATACCAAAGTGTCTAAAGTGGAAGTCAAGAATAAGAAGATGTGGAGTTGAATGCTGTCAGAGGAAAACTCGGCTTCTTAACAAAATCAAATCTAGCAGGCAGGAACTGCCAACATGATAAATATTCTAGTCTTTAATATCAGTATACATACCAGGGCAGAAGAAAAGAAGAAATTATTCACACACTCAAAATTTGTTAAAATTATGTCATTTGACTTCAAGGGAGAGAGGCCTACGGAAATGCAAAGTTCAGATGGAAACCTCAGGCTGAGCCTGACTCTGGGCTCTCCTGATGTGTCAATATGACCAAAGTAATTACACTGCCATGCATGAGCTCTCCCAGGGTCACCATTTGTGGGAATGAGTTCTTTCAATTAATCTGTGTGCCTTAACTAACTGCAAGTTTCATCTGGTACCAGGTGCATGCAGAAGCAAGGGCAGAATTTCAAATGGAACTGAATTTCTAATTGTAAGTTGGAATTGCCTGGATGGTAGTGTTTGTGGGTCAGAGAACACAGTGCCTTTGAGATCACACAGGACTGGGTCTGATCCCAGCCCTTCTACTTTATTCATTCATTTACTCACTATTTATTGAACACCTGCTATGTGCCAGGCACTGTTTTAGGCTCTGGGAAGATAACTGAAAATTAGACAGATGAGGTCTAAGCACTGGTGAACCTTATGTTTTCATGAAGGTTTTACAGATCAGGTTCCCCAGGAAACATCCTCTGACATGGACATTGTGCACAGGAAGTTCATTGGAAAGGGCTCTTGGGCTTAAGTCCTGCGGGGAAAAGGAAGAAAGAAGGAATGGACCGTGAAGCAGGCTCAACAAAGGCTGAAGCTGACCTCGTGGAAAGCTCTGAAACTGGGATGACCCTTCAAAATGGTCCCCCATTGTGGCGAGGGAACCCTCATCTTTAGACAGGTGTATAGGTCAGTCATTGACTGTGGGCTCACTGGGAATGAGGTGCGATCTTGCACAGGGGCTCTTATCAGCTAAAGACAATCCTGGGAAAGAGATGGCCACTGAGAACTCCCAGCAGTTGGGGGAATAAGTCCTTCAGCCTCGAAGAGGGATCTGGTCAGGAACAGATATTAAACCAATAAAGTACGTAGATATATATACACACATATATACATATATATGTAAAATATTTTTAATGTGGTAAGTTAATAAATAAAACAGAATGAAAAAAGGCCAGGGTTGCTATTTTAGATGGGGCAGCCGGGAAGGCCCCACTGAAGGAAGAGGAGCCAACCTCTTCCTTCCTCTTCCTCAAATGGCCAACATTTGAGCCAACCTAAGTGGAGTAAGCAAGTGAACAGCAGGAAGTTGATTATTGAGCCAAAGAGAACAGCTGCTCAAAGACCATCAGGTGGTACAGACTTGGCACATTCCATAAACAGGAAGAAGGTCACTATGAACAGAGGACAGTGAGCAGAGGGCGAATTCAGGTTACAGAAAAATGGTCAAAAGTCTGATTGTCAAGAGCCACATAGGCTATGGAAAGGAGTTTGGTTTTAATGCTGATGTTACAGGGAACCACTAGAAAGCTTTCAATAGATATTGGAAAGACTTGGTACAGGTTATTGAAAGATCACTCCAACTGCTGTGTGCTGTGTGAAGCTGACTGTACAAGGTAAGGATGGAAACAAAACACTAGGAAACCACTGTGTCATCTGGAAGAGACATAAGACATGGTTGATGCAAGGTGCAGATAAGTGATGTAGTGCAATATCTGTTTCAAACGTAGGGCAAGCAGGACATGCAGATGGATTGGACATTGGTTGTGAGAGAAGGAGAGTAGTCATTGAGTGAATGGCCCTTTGATATATTGAGATAGAGAAGACTGAGGAAGGAGTGGACTTTGGCAGGGATGGGAGATCAGGAATTCTAATCTGGAGTTACTGAGTTTGAGGTGCCTTTTAAACATGCAAATAGAAATGTCAAATAGGCAAAATACATGTCTGGAAACTAAGAAAGTGGGGCTGAAGATATAAATTTGTTGGTCCATGGCATATAACAAATATTTAAAGCCATGGGCATACATTAGACTATCCAGGGAGTGAATGTAGTTAGAAAAGAGGGCTAAGAATTGAGTGCTATGGTATCCTGACGTTTAGAGATTGGCAGGCAGGGAAGGCACCAGCAATGGAGACCGAGATGGCACATCCGGTGAGAAAGGAGGGACATCCAGAAAGTGTGGTGCCATAAAAGCCAAAAGAAGAACAAAGTTTTTTCCTGGAGAGAGCAATTAGCTGATCATTTGATTTAGCAAGACAGAAATCATTGATGGGAGCAGTTTCAGTGGAATACCGGGGGGAAAAACCTGCTTGGAAGGTTGATAAATGAATATAGAATGAGATAGCGAAGACAGTATAAAAAACTATTTAAAAATTTTTTGACATAAAAGGGAGCACAAAATGGGGGTAGGCTAGCTAGAGAGAAATAGGGATCAAAATAAGGATATATTTTAATCCAGGACATATTAGGATATACTTGTACTGATGGGAATAATCCAATTCACTGGTGATGCTAAGGAAAGACAGAGTCTCTGTAGGTGTCAAGTCCTCCTCCACGCAAGATAATGTAGGATCCTATCCAAGAAAGGAGGTGCTGGCCACCAGCAGGTGAAGGGACAGCTTACCCCCATAACTGGAGGGACAGAGGAGGGTTTCTGTGTGGGTACAGCTGGGGAAGTAGGTTTGGTTGTGGGAGGATAAAGTAGCCCTGCTTTATATTCTCAAATGAGAATCAAGGTCATCAACTGAGAGTGAGGAGCGGGAATTGGAAATTTGGGTGATGGGGAAGGCAGATAATAAAATAGCTAGCCCTGAATGTGGGAGCGTGAGTTGACTAGAGTAATGTGGGAGAATGGTGAAACACACTTGAGATTTATGGTTACAGATGAAATGATAACTGTATATCTTTATCCAGATTCATTAAATAGCCTGGGGATAAGAACAGAGAAGGCAGAGAGCTAGGTCCAACCAGCTATAAGGAATGACAGGTGAGTTTGTTTGATGAAAGACAGCAGCAAAGGGTAGAGTTGTAAAAAAAAAAAAAAAAAAAAAAAAAGGACTGATAGGGATGATGGGCCATAAACTCTAAGCAGGTAAGGAGGAGAGCCAGAAAATGATAGAAATTCCACTTACTAGCATGTGGCACTTCTATGCCTTGTGCCAACAGGAGAAAAGAAGTGTGCCCAACTTAACCAACAGTCAAGAGCTTACTCTGTGTGTCATACACTTTTAGATCACTTCTCAATTAATCTTTACAATGGGCCTATGAGGTCAGGGAGAATTAACTCCACCTGAGGCAGTGCAAACCTTTTGCGCAAAGACTCCTATCTCCAAGCCTAAGCCCCATTTTCCACCTTGACAGCTGTCTTAGTGCCACAGGGAAGCGTCAACTGCAATTTATGGAGCACTGATGGATAAACTTTTTGATTTCCAATCTTAGGGCAAATATTCAACTGCTTATTTTGTCATCATGAAGAGAATATAGAGAATTTACTTACACCTTTGATGGTTGAAATTCTTGTATGCCTTACAATTATCTATCGTGCTGAATGTGAGAGCAAACGAAGCAGCCACCTTAGGAGGTTGGGAACATGTAAATAGTATTTTTTAATGTTTCTAGGTCTCTGTGAAAATGTAACAAGTGAACTGAGATTTAGAGGATTAAATAATTCATCTAAGTATACTGAACTAAAAAGTGGCAGAGCAAGGAGCTTCAACCAGCTCTGAACAAGCTGGAGAGGTCCCAATTCCATAGGGTTTGTATTACATGCATTGCCTCCGATAGGCATGAGAAGCAGAAGCAGCGTAGGATAGAGGCTCCCTCACCAAGCCTGCAAATAATAGAGGTAAAGGGGCTTAGGGATAGATTAGAGAAGGCATTGACCCTCTTGGGCATGAACTTAATATATAAACAAACTGAGCTAGAACTTGCTCCTTATGCATATAAGATTTCCAAATGCATATTTTTATTGTGAGTTTTTTGTCCTTTTTATGACTTAAAAGTGTATCACGTGACTTTTTTTCTATACTCTGGTGAAAAATCCCTAGCAAATATAAAAGGAGCTCTGGGCCTTCTTCATGGATAAAGGATGGATGAAGCTGGGGGACTCTTCTTGCGCTGCAGTGGCTAATTGAGTATTCAGCCCCAAAGCTGTGAGCATGACCATTAAGAGGCAAGGAGCTGGGCCTGAGGAAAAGAAAAATGGTGGGAGAGGGGTGAGGGGTTTGGATAGATGAGCCAGTTTAGGAATTAGAAAGATCTCTGATATTCCTGTAAGCAGGCAGCCTCATTCCTCCACATTGGTCAAAGGAGAGAACAAAGGCGACAGCACTGTACTGGTCAACATGACCTTCTAAGAATATAATAAGAGTTTTTTTTTTTTAAGAGCCATACATTACATACATCAAGGGTTATCTCAGATTGCCTGGGGCTTTCTCAGTTTTAACACTGAAATTCTTGCATCCTAGAAAGCCCCTCCATCCTGAGCAAACAGGGTGGGTTGGTCACCCTGTGATGCATACCAGATAAACAGAAACTGTATTTACTTCAAACATGCCTGCTTCTAGTCCCACATACATGCACACCAGACCATACGTTTCCCACATACATGTCAGGTCATAGATTTTTCCATTTTTGTATAGAAGATATGGCAACCCTGGTACATCCAGGGAACCCAGAAAATTTTCTCCCATTTCTGATTATCCAAGAAAGAATTAAGGCCTTGATAATAGAAAATAGCTTACTACCTTATTCTCTTTCTTTGTGTTCTAAGAATTCTCTGCCTGCCAGAATATTTTGGAGCTCTCTTCTCTTGTTCTTGAAAGTGTAGTTTTTGACATAATGTAGATGGGGTACAAGTGTTGGCTAATTAAGTTTTGACACATCACCATATTCTGTGAGGTGGCTACAGCATGCTTCATGTAGGAGGGGAAAAAATTAGAAAGAGTATAATCAGGTTTGCATTACTTCTAACATAGGCACCCTGATGCCATCTGCTACCCTCAGCAGAGGATGCTTCAGGTTGGGATCTAATGTTTTACTATGAACACTGTGGATATGATTGCAGTTTTCTCTCCATTAGTGTTTGCCTGGCTCATTGGGCAAAGAGGAACAGTCCAACATTACACTCCATATATAAACTGAGAACAGGAAGATTACCATCTACTATATGCAGGGCTGTGAAGGAGGAAAAGGAAGCGGCAGTGTGGTAAGAAATAGCCTATCAGATTATTACAATAAAGGATATAAGCAATATTAAGTAAGCCACTTCCAATCAGCACCTGCAAACTCTCCTTTGAATAGCCAAGCCTTGGAGGAAATACAAAATTTCTCATGTTCTAGTAGAGGGCTGTAAAGAAACTCACCCTTGAATCAGAAGAAACTCACCCTAGATCACATGCTTCTTACACCACTAACTATCCTTTGCCATATTTATCACTTCTGATTTAATGTACGTCTGTATAATCATTTGGTCAATCTTAAGTTTCCCACTAGATGATAATCCTTGAGGATAAATATCATGTGTCTGTATTAACTGTGCATCCCCGGAATTCAACACAAAGCATGGCAACAAGAAGGCAGTTTTTATTTGTTGAATGAATGAGTCAATGAATGATGAGCAGCGTGTCCCTCTTCTGAGAGCCACGACACTTCATTATGTCTCCTTCACGTTACTGATTCCATTGTGTTATACTTCTAGATTTGATTAACTGCTTCCCCACTATAAGCTACCCGAAGACAAGCATCACTGAATGCCTAACACTTTCATAGTTCTCTGCATGCAATCAATGAGTGTTGCATGAATGGCAGAGTAAAAGGTGGGATACAACTGGTATTCCTTTGATTTTGCTGAGAGTTGTAGTAAACTGAATTTACAGCAGACATTACACAGAATCTTCATCCATAAATATCTTAGATAGCTGATATATTGATAGGCTTGTCTTTCCTGCCAAGAGGAATCAGGGCTCCCAGATAAGCTGTTGTCATGGAAGAAAGCACTGAGTTAAGAGTTAAGATTGTGTTCTGTGTTCAGGTTTTTACTAGCTCATTGTGTGGCCTTGGCAGGTAACTATGCTCACTGCCCCTCATTTTCTGTAACATGGGCATTGATAATGCCTGGTGTCCTAGTCTCTCAGGGCTCTTGTAAGGCACAAATGGGGAAAAAAAGATAAAATTAAATTTACTGAGAAAAGCATAAATCATCATGACACCTGAGGTGACTTATTTCTTTACATTATCACTCATCAGAGACATCTTTCTATCTCTGAGCAATCTATAACCATGTTTCTCTTTTGCTGAATTCTGCTATGGTGCCTCCAACAGAGAATGGTAGGAAATACATTTTTACCTGATGAATAGCAAAATCTAACCTAGGTTTTCTCGAGGCCCCAAAAGATCCTTTGAGAAAAAACATTGCCTAGTCATCTCCAGAAATGAAATTGCACATCGTCTGTTTATTTTAAATACATTTTCTTGTATTTTCCCCTTGTAACAAGGGCTTATAAGAGAAAAATAAGACAGAAAAGATGAAAGGAAAAACTACACATAGTTTTACCTTTGAGAACCAGCAGCTATTAGTACTATACTGTATTTCTTTCCAGGTTTTTCAGTAAGTTGTTTTCCCTTATAAAAGATAAAATTTTCTGTCTTGCTTTTTCCATTTCTCCACTTTATTTTAAACTCTTGGTAACATTATCTTATACTAACTTTATAACTTAGCTTTGTAAGATTGTTGTGAGGACAAAATGAGAGGGTGAATCTGTTCCTAATGATTTCTAATGAGGAATCAATAAATGTTAGCTGCTGCTATCATCAACAACAACATTGTCATCATTATTAAAATTACCATGGTGTACCTAATGTTTTCTTTTGAGATGGAGTCTCACTCTGTCACCCAGACTAGAGTGCAGTGGCGCAATCTCAGCTCCAGACTGAGAGTCCTTTAAATTAAAAAATTCAGACTAGTACCCCATCCCTGCCACACCACCACCACTGCCAGTGCAAGTACATGCAGGAACACTGACACCCTACTCCCACTGGTACCTTTCTTTAGCCAACACGTGTACCCCATGATGCTGCTGCAGTTGCTGGCATGTGTGAGTGAGCACAGATCCCATGGCCACTGCCCCAACAAAACACTTTGGCTGGCACCCCCTATTGGAGTATTGTGGCTAGGGAATACCTCAGCCCCTCTTGTACAGCAGCTTTCTAACCTCAAGGGACCAGAGAACAAAGCTGGGGGCTGGGTACCAGGCCCCCAGAGTTAGAGCATACAGCCCAGAAATACTAAGCTGAGCCTTTGCCCCCTAAAATATTCCAGAAATGAAGCCAGTTGACTGAACCCACTTTATACCGCAATCAAACACCCACAGGCATCAAAGGGAAAAAAAAGCAATGAAATCCATCCAAAGGACAGTAACATCAAATATAAAAAGGAACATCAGCCCATACAGATAAGAAAGAACCAGGATAAGAACTCTGGCAAATCAAAAAGCCAAGATGTCTTCTTAGCTCCAAACAACTGCACTGGTTCTCCAGCAGTGGTTTTTAACCAGGCTGAAATGGCCGAAATGACAGACATTAAATTCAGAATATGGATAAGAATAAAGATCATTGAGATACAGGAGAAAGTTGAGACCCAATCCAAGGAATCTAAGGAATATAACAAAATGATTCAGGAGCTGAAAGACAAAATGAATATTTTAAGAAATAATCAAATTGATCTGATAGAGCTGAAAAATGACTTCGAGAATTTTATAATACAATTGCAAGTATTAACAGCAGAATTGACCAAGCTGAGGAAAGAATTGCAGAGCTCGAACACTGCTTTTCCAAAATAACTTAGACAAAAATAAAGAAAAAAATGAACAAAACCACCAAGGGATATAGAATTACGTAAAGAAATAAAATCTGCTACTTACTGGCATCCCTGAAAGAGAGAGCGAGAAGGCAAGGAACTTGGAAAATATACTTGAAGATATGGTTCATGAAAATTTCTCCAACCTTGTTAGGCCAACATTCAAATTTGAGAAATACAGAGAACCTCTGTGAGATACTATACAAGATGACCATCCCCAAGACAAATAGTCATCTGATTCTCCAAGGTTGAAATGAAAGAAACAAATGTTAAAGTAAGCTAGAGAGAAGGGGCAGGTCACCTACAAAGAGAACCCCATCAGGCTAACAGTGGCTCTGTCAGCAAGAACCCTAGCCCAGAAGAGATTGGGGGCCTATATTCAGCATTCTTAAAGACAGGAAATTCTAACCAAGAATTTGATATCCTGCCAAACTAAGCTTCATAAGCAAAGGAAACATAAGAATCTTTTTAGACAAGTAAATGCTAAGGGAATTTGTTACTTCCAGACCTGCCTTATAAGAGGTCCTTAAGGGAATGCTAAATATGGAAAGGAAAGACCATTATGGGCCACCACAGGAACACACAAATGTGTAGAATATTGACACTATAAAGCCACTATACAATCAAGTCTGCATAACAACTAGCTAGTGACACAAAGCCAGGATTAAATCTACACATATCAAAATTGAATGTAAACAGGCTAAATGTTCCAATTAAAAGGCACAGAGCGGCAAGTTGGATAAAGAAGTAAAACCCAACTATATGCTATCTTCAAGAGACCCATCTCACATGCAGTGACACCCATAGTCTCAAAGTAAAGGGATGTAGAAAAATCTACCAAGCAAATGGAAAACAAATCAGGAGTTGATATTAATTTCAGACAAAGTAGACTTTAAACCAACAACAATCAAAAAATACAAAGAAGGGCATTATATAATGGCTAAGGGTTGAATTCAACAAGAAGACCTAACCTGAATATATATGCACCCAACATAGAAGCACCCAGATTCATAAAACAAGTTCTTAGAGACCTAAAAGAGACTTAGATTACCATACAACAATAGTAGGAGACTTCAACATGCCACTGACAGTATTAGACAGATCGTTGAGGCAGAAAACTAACAAATATGTTTGGGACCTGAGCTAGACACTTGACCAAATGGGCATAATAGAGACCTACAGAACACTCCACCCAAAAACAACAGTATATACATTTTTCTCATCTACACATGGCACTCTAAAATCAACCACAAAATTGACATTAAAATATCATCATCAAATTCAAAAAAATATATGTTACCAACCACACTCTCATACCCCAGTGCAATCAAATAAGAATCAATACTAAGAAGATTACATAAAACCATACAATTACATGGAAGTTAAACAACCTGCTCCTGAATGAATGACTTTTGTTAAACAACAAAATCAAGGTAAAAAATTCTTTGAAAATTTTCTTTGAACTAACGAGAACAAAGATATACCATACCAGAATCTCTGGAATACAGCTAAAGCAGTTCCAACTTAAGAAAAATATTCATAGTGCTAAATGCCCACATCAAAACTTTAGAAAGGTCTCAAATTAACAACCTAACATCTCAACTAGAGGAACAAGAAAAACAAGAGCCAGCCAACCCCAAAGCTAGCAGAAGACAAGAAAAAAACAAAATCAGAGCTAAACTAAATGAAATTAAGATGGGAAAACCATACAAAAGATAAATCCAGGAGGTTTTTTTGAAAGAACAAATAAGATTGACAGACTGCTAGCTAGACTAATAAAGAAAAAAAAGAAGATCTAAATAAACACAACCAGAAATGGCAAAGGGGACGTTACCACTGACCCCACAGAAATATTAAAAAAAACCTCAGAGACTACTATGAATACCTCTATGCACACATACTATAAAACCTAGAAGAAATGGATACATTTCTGGAAATGTACAATCTCCTAAGAATGAACCAGAAAGAAACTGAATACCTGAACAGACCAAGAATGAGTTCTGAAATTGAATCAATAATAAAAAGCCTATCAACCAGACAAAGCCCAGGACCAGATGAATTCACAGCCAAATTCTACCAGATGTGTTAAAGAGCTGGCACCATTCCTACTGAAACTTTTCCTAAAAGCTGAGGAGAAGGGACTTGTCTCTAACTCATTCTGCGAGGCAAGCATCATTCTGACCAAACAAACAGGAAGAGGCACAACAAAAAAGGAAAACCTCAGGCCACTCTCCTTGAAGAAAATAGATGCAAAAATCGTCAACAAAATACTGGCAAACCAAACCCAGCAGCACATCAAAAAACTAATTCATCATGATAAAGTAGGTTTTACCCCTGGGATGCAAGTTTGGTTCAACATAGGCAAATCAATAAATGTTATTTATCACATAAGCAGAACTAAAAAACTACATGATCATCTCAATAGATTCAGAAAAGGCTTTCAATAAAATTCAACATTTTAAAAAAACAACAAACCAGACACTGTGAAAACATATTTTAAAATAATAAGAGCCACTTATGACAAACCCACAGCCAACATCGTACTGAAAATGCAAAAGCTGGAAGAATTCCCCTTGAGAAGCAGAACAAGACAAGGATGTCCAGCCTCACCACTTCTATTCAACATAGTACTGGAAGTCCCAGCTAGAGCAATCAGGAATGAGAAAGAAAGAAAAGACACCCAAATAGGAAGAGCATAAGTCCAACTATCTCTGTTTGCAGACAATATGATTCTATACCTAGAAAACCCCATAGACTTTGCCCAAAAGCTCCTAGATCTGATAAACAACTTCAGCAGAGTTTCATGATACAAAATCAATGTACAAAAATCAATAGCATTTCTATACATCAATAACATCCAAGCTGACAGTCAAATCTAGAACATGATCTTATTCACAACAGCCACAAAAAAGAATAAAATACCTAGGAATACAGCTAACCAGGGAGGTAAAAGATCTCTACAATGAGAATTACAAAACACTTCTCAAGGAAATCAGAGATGACAAAAACAAATGGGAACACATTATATGCTCATGTATAGATGAATCCATCTTGTTAAAATGGCCATAATGCCCAGAGCAATTTATAGATTCAATGCTACTCCTG
The DNA here is from genome assembly GCF_000001405.40 of Homo sapiens. Lineage (NCBI taxonomy): Eukaryota > Metazoa > Chordata > Mammalia > Primates > Hominidae > Homo > Homo sapiens. Next base: position 51,897,620 of record NC_000017.11, on the reverse strand, counting down.
TCAAATTACCAATGACATTCTTCCCAGAATTAGAAAAAACCATTTTAAAATTAATATGTAACCAATAAAGAGCCTGAATATGCAAAGCAATCACAACCAAAAAGAACAAAGCTGCAGGCATTACATTACCTGACTTCAAATTATACTACAAGGCTACAGTAACCAAAACAGCATGGTGCAAGTACAAAAACAGGCACACAGAACAATGGAACAGAATAGACAGATCAAAATAAAGCTTCACACCTACAACCATCTGATCTCCTACAAAGTTGAGAAAAACAATGGAGAAAGGACTCTCTATTCAATAAATGGTGTTGGGATAACTGGCTAGCCATATGCAGAAGATTGAAACTGGGCCCCTCACTTATATACAAAAATCAAATCAATTCAAGGTGGATTAAAGACTTAAATGTAAAACCTAAAACCACAAAAACCCTAGAAGATAACCTACAAAATACCATTCTGGACATAGGCTCTGGCAAAAATTTCATGATGAAAACACTAAAAGTAATTGCAACAGCAACAAAATTGACAAGTCAGATATAATTAAACTAAAGGGCTTCTAAACAGCAAAAGAAACTATCAACAGAGTAAACAGAGAACCTACAGAATAGGAGAAAATATTTGCAAACTATGCATCTGACAAAGGTCTAATTCCCAGCATCTACAAGCAACTTAAACAAATTAAAAAAAAAATTTAAAAGTGGGCAAAGGACATGGACAGACACTTTTCAAAAGAAGACATACACATGGCCAACAAGCATGTGAAAAAATGCTCAACATCACTAATCATTAGAGAAATGCAAATCAAAACCACAATGAGATACCACCTCATATCAGTCAGAATGGCTATTATTAAAAAGTCAAAAAGTAACAGATGCTGGGGAGGTTACAGAGAAAAGGGAATGCTTATACACTGCTGGTGGGAGTGTAAATTAGTTCAGCCACTGTGGAAACAGTTTGACAGTTTCTCAGAGAACTTAAAACAGAACTACCATTTGACCCAGCAATCCCATTGTTGGGTATATAACCAAAGATATATAAATTGTGCTGCCATAAAGACACTTGCATGCGTATCTTCATCACAGCACTGTTCACAATAGCAAAGACATGGAATCAACCTAAATGTCCATCAACATTAGACTGGAGAAAGAAAATGTGGTACTTATACACCTTGGTTCACAGCCATAAAAGGAATGAGATCATGTCCTTTGCAGTAACATGGATAGAGCTGAACTCATTATCCTCAGTAAACTAATTCAGGCATAGAAAACGAAATACCACATGTTTTCACTGATGAGTGACAGCTAAACATTGAGCATATGTGGACACAAAGAAGGGAACAACAGACACTGGGGCCTCCTTGAGGGTAGAGGGGGACAGGAAGATGAGGACTGGAAAACTACCTGCCGGGTACTATGCTTATTACCTGGCTGATTAAATAATTTGTACACCAAACTCCCATGACATGCAATTTACCTATATACCAAACCTGCACATGTACCCCTGAACCCAATATAAAAGCTTAGAATAAATAAATAAAAATCTGTGCATTTTATTGTATGCAAATAATACCTTGATGAAGTTGATTTTTTTAAAAAAATAACATGGAACATTGCCTATTTCTAGAATAGTTTAGAAAAATTCAACTGATATTCATTATATTGTCTCATATATTCTTATTTTATGTTTTTATTCTTTAATTTCTTATTTTTTATTTACAGTTTACCTCATAGTAGTTTGAAATTTTCACCTTACATTTTTGTTCTGCTAGTGAACATCCTTAAACTTGCCGAAATCAGAAATTGTTTTCCTGTCCAAATAAAAATAAAGCAGTGTCTACAACAATCTCGCTTAAACAAAATACAGGTTGTATCATTGGTATTTTATAACTTCCCTTTGTTTCTTCCTTACTACCTCTTTCATATTGTTAAAAATTATCTTGAATTTTGGTTCCAGATTGTTAATTTTTTACTTTGTGCCTCTTCTGTTTTATGACTACCTACTTAACAATTCCATTAAATTTCACTGCCATATTTTCAACCATTACTTAGTATTAACTATAAGTTTTACTGATATCATTGCTCATTTTATTGGTATGTTATGTATTTCTGTTTTTCAACTTTATCTTGCTGAAGTACAACCTGAAGATTTTGTTGTTGCTTTGTTTTCAGAAAAGGTTATGTGGGTGGTAAGCCTTCTATGTTCTTGTATGTCTAAAAATGTCATTCCCCTCTGCCCCATACTTTAATGATAGGACTTGAGCTTGAAAACGTACTTCTTTAACTTTTTACAGGCATTGGTCTGTTGTTTTCCTGTTTTCTGTATTGTAAATGAGAAGTTTGATGCTAGCAAATAATGTAATTGTCTTCAGAATCCCATGTTTCTGAACTTGACTTTTAATTCCATTTCTACCACTTACTAACTGTAGAACTGCATAACCTCAGGGATCCTCTTTTTCCATATCCGCATGCAAGTAGATAAGAGTGTGGTATAGGGTCCTGGTGTGGTGAAGATTAAAGTAAAATACTTAGCTCAAATAAATAATGGGCTCAGTGATGAGAATAATAATTCATTTATACCAAAAAATGTATTTTTTAATGGGAGCTTGTAAGATTTTTCTTTATCCTTAGGGATTCCAATTTTTTTACAATTTTGCCATAAGGGACTCAGTTGGCCTTTTCTTCTCTGAAAACTCAAGTCCCTTTCCAGCTTCAAGTCAGTCTTTCTATTATTTATTTGATTACATCATACCCTCCATCTGTATCTCTTTCTTTCCTTGTGATTTCTCACTACAGAGTTATTGGGTCTATTGAGTCTGTTCTCCATGTGTATTAGTTTCCTATTGCTGCTGTAACAAAGTACCACAAACTTAGTGACTACAAACAACACAAATTCATTATTTTAATTTTTTAGAGGTCAGAATCTGAAATGGATTTCATAGGGCTAAAATCAAGATGTCAACAGGGTGGCATTCCTTTGGAGGAATAAAATTACTTATTTACATTTATAAATCAGGATCTAAGAAAATAGAATTGGTTCCTGAAATGTAATTCTCCTTACATGAAAAAAATTGTATCTCCAACAATGGGTATAAATTCTTAAGACAGAAGCCCTGGCTCCTTTCAGGGATTGGGGCACTGGGAAGTCTTTTCTTTAGGAGGTATGACACTTTATCCTTTAGTAGCCCATTATGGTAATCAAAGTTACTTGGGAGTTCAGTGCTGCAATTTTTTTAATGCTAGTGCCCACTCTGGAAACCTCTCACAGATGATTCACCAGTTTATTCAGGAAGCTATTCTTTCAGCTTTGCTTGGGGGACAAACGTGGGGTCAGCCTTTTGAACGGGACAGCTCTTTCAGGTCTCTTTATTCAGTCATCCCTCACCTTTCTCTGCCCCCTGATCTTGGAGTCCCCCAGAATTTTGCTGAGAAAGCCTCTTCTTTCTTCCATTTTGTGTTATGAATTGTTTAGCTTTTTGATATTCTCAGTCAATGTGTTGCTATCTGCCTTACAGCTTTCAGAAATTCCTCAGTATTCAGATCTGCCAAACACAAGCTCCCTATACTTTTCTAGTGGTGTTATAATTTTGTCCTCTTTGTGAATATCTTATGTCATTTAATGGGATATGAGGTTGGAGACATGCATAGTCAACTATCTTGAATTCTAAATTTTTTATTGTTTATTCTATTGCCATATATGTGTTTTTGTAAATTGTAACAAATATTTTTCAAAAATGTATACGTGAATATATAGAGACAATAGATAAGTTGATAAAAATTTTGATCTATTGACCTCACAAATACAGGATCTCTGATTTTGTCTGAATAACCATGTTGTTTACTGGGTCAATTGCTTGTTTGGCAAGCATATCTATGCCTGGGCTATGTTATTCACTGGAGTTACTTTTAAAAAATAAGCCTTTTAATTCTTCATGGTGTCTATTGTTCGTACAATTCAATTTTGCACTTTAGTTTCATTCTGAAAATTTAGCATACATTATAGATTATCAGTTTATCTCACTCAGTAGTTGGCTAGAGAAGTCTGAAGGTCAGAGAATTCATTTCCATGGACCTTAGCTTTTCCTATTTCTAAATTCTTTACCAGAAACCAGACTCTCTTTGGTAGTTTGACTACTTTTTATCCCCATAAACACTGAACACTGTATTTAAGTCAAAGAGACAAAATCCCTCTTGTATAGTCCAAGCACTAATTTTACAGTCATCACTCAAAATACCCCAGTAGAAATGCTTCCCTTCCCGTATCCCCTGCCATGGTTGCTATGTTTCTGCATCTGGAAAGATTGCCCTTTACTATAACCCTGGCTTCGGACTTAGAGCGTGGATTTTTCCAACATCCGTACAGACAATTTCCACCCACGCAGAACCAGTGTGGTTTCATGTTACTCTCAATCCTTCATGGTGGCTTTATTTTTATTTTTTCGTTAGGATATCACATATTTGTTTATGTATTTTGATTATAGTCTTTTTATCTGTTAGCCTGTAACTTGATATTATGCAACTTATAAAAACAATAACAATAATACTGATGATGACAAGAATAATAATAAACATCACTTATTAAGCATAAAGTAGGTACCAAGTGCTTTTATAAACTATCAATTTTAAGTGTTTTTAACTGGAAGTAATGAAAAATAAAGCCATAGTGTCTAATACAAGTAGTTTATTTTTGACACATAATGAGAAGTTTGAGGATTTGCAGCTGCTAGCGTTGTTCCAGTTGTTCAATGTTATTCATAATGAAGCCTCTAGTACTCACGTGGTCTTTTCCCCATTGTGCTAAAATGACTGCATCAACTCCAGCCATCATGCCCACCAGCAGGAAGAAAGGAGTATAAAATGGAGGAACCTGAATCAGAAAAGTAAAAATATCATTGAGACTATAGCTGATCCCACCTATGTCTGATTGGCCAGAATAGTAACACACCAACTGCCTTAGCCGGAATTGGCTAGGGAGAATAAATTTGGAACGGAGGCTGGGCCAACTAACCCATATTGGCCATATGTTTGCCATAACAAGATTATCTCATTTTATACATTTCTGCCATTGTTATTCCTCTAAGGATATTGAAAGCCAGAGAATTTATGTGACTCATGCAAAATCACACCATTGGCAAGAGAAATGGCTGGACTTGAACTTATCTCTACCTTTCTCTGAATTCTCATTATTTCCTTTTATTATACTATCTCCCAGGATTGTTTATAAAACAACAGTATACATAATTAAAGCAGAATTGAAGGAATAAATGAATTAATGGCTTCCTAGCATTGTTGTTTATGCAGATGGCTCTATATAAGAGATAGTTCTGTTAAAGTCCTTACTGAGTAGCTTTGAGAGATAGGTGGAAAAAGGCTGGGAACAACTAGCCTGGATTCAAATCCCAGTTCCACCACTTACTCATACAGGACCATGAATCCGGCACTTCATGTCTCTGCACCTTGAGTTCTCATCTTTCTCTTTGTAACTATTCTCTCCAAGTCCAGCCATGCATTACAGCCAAATTAATCATCAAGCAGTGTTTTATTCCCCTGCTCAAAAACCATAATAGTTCTCTGGCGAATGCCATGAACTAGCTACTCAAAAGGGACTCATAGTTACCTTTTCCCTGGGCTTTCTTTGCCAAAGACTCAGAAAATAGAAAATACTCAATTTCTCAGCCCCCCATGTAGGTAGGGATGGCATGATACATTCCTCACCGGTGAGATGTAGGTGACAGTCTTGGGAGGGGATTGGCCCTCCCTTTACCCTTAAACCTTCTTCCTGCTTATAGTGCAGACATGGGGCTGGAAGAGGAGCAGTCATATTCCCATCGTGAGAGTGAAAGCTACCTGTGCAGAATGACAGGGCGGGGCAAAAGGAAAGAGCCTAAGTCTTCCATGGCCTCCTGAGCCACCATACCAACCCTCACCTGCCTGCCTCCTGACTTCTTCTTCCATAGAGTAAACCAACTGCTTTCTCATGTAAACCACTGTCTATTTTTCCATCAATTGCAGCTGGCTGCATTCTTACGTGATAACACTTTCCAAGTAAAACGTAAACCCTGTACATCAATCTTGAAGATGCTCTAGAGTCTGGTCTCAACCTTCTTTCCAGACTTTTCTTCCACTTCTTCCATTCACAAACTCTATTATTCATCCAAACCAAATCGCTAACTATTACCACCTCTGTTTCAAGGCCAGGCTGAAGTCTGACTTCCCCATTCAACAGGTTTTCCTCATGTTGCCTGAGTGGTGCTATTTCTCGTTCCTTAGAACTTCAGTCTTCTTTAATACTTAGCACTTTCTCTCTTGAATTACAGTTATTTGGGTATCTGTCTCATCTCTCCCTTTGTGCATTACTAAAAGCCCTATTATTCACTACCAACAACCCCTCCCAATCACACACACCACCTCAGTCCCCACATGGCACCTTGGCCCGGTGGATCCTTAGTGTCTCCGTGGTAATGAATGCGTAGTAGTAGATGTGATTGTTTTGGGCTATTTCGTTTTGTTTTAAATACCACTGATAATCATTGGAATCTCTTATTTGTCTCTACTGCCTTTTGCATCTTTTTCAATCAAAATTATTTTCTTAGATCTGGAATTCCATCTTTCCTGAACTATTGTTGACCTACTTATAAAAATCTGGAAAGGAGGAGATATGGCCTTGTTTGCAGTGCTTGGTTCATAAGACTCTTTCCGGGCTGTCTGCTGTGCACTGAGCAGAAACAAGTTTTTAATTCTCTCCTTGACAGGCAGGCAGACTGGTGTGTTCTCCTGGCATAACTGTCAACTAGCTCCAAATTCAGTAACCTCTGGATAAGTAGAATAAAGGCAGCTTTTGCTTTTATGAATTCAGTCCTCTACAGAGCCTAGCACAGTGCACTATATATACTAGTGACCCAATAAATATTTTTTACGGGTTTGAAACTATGGTTTGAGTCCAAATTTTCAAACAGGCTTACTTTGCTTTAATATACTGTTCACTCATTTTTTATTTATGTGTATTATTCATACCCTGACTACTTCTCAAAGAGATGTGTGGTAACTAAAAGCTACAGGTACACCATAACTATTAAATCATTCAAGCGAGGTTTAAAAGGCAAAAAAAACAAACAAACAACAAAATAGCCCAGTAGTAGGGAGACCTAGGGTAGGGTCTTAAAGTTCAGCTCCTTTGTTCCTTCCAACAAAATTATGGGTTTGGTATTTTTTACAAATGAGGAAGCCAAGGATCAAAAATATTGAGCAAATGGCAACAAGTCTTAAACTCGAGAATTTACGAACCCACAACTGAAGCCCAACATCTGCAGATGTCATGGTCTGAAGTCTTCACTCAGTTTCATGCTGTGATGGAAGAAGATTCTACACACCCTGCCTACTCTATCCCCATGAATGACCTGAAACACAGACAAGAGAGATTATTAAGTAAAAATGCGTTACAACAACCAGAAGTTAACCGAACTGTTCTATTCTGTGAAGTTCCTTGCAAAACACTAAGCCATTGGCACATTAATGGAATGTCAGGAGAGAAGTGCCCCTAAAATTTATCCGGTGTTGCTACCCCCTTTTCTTCAACTGAAGAAAACTAAGTGAATTGAGCTGCCTAAGATAATCAATGTAAAGGGTTCATCGGTGCCAACCTACTTCCCCAGGACTGCTTGCAAACTGGGAGACACCAACTCTTTTTCTGTCTAGGGATTGAGGTCAGAAAGTCTCAAAGCATGATGTCTCCAGTGGGTGTTCAGCTAATGAAAAAGCTTTCACAAATTCTTTAGCAAAAACACTTTTGGTCATTTGTTTTGTTACCTTTGATGGAAACCTTGTTTTCATACATGCAGGTGAAACTTCCATTAGAAATTTGTAGTTAAATGGTAAGTGATGCTACTATTGATCTGACAAAGATAGAAATGCTCCTATGGGTAGGAAAGTTTAATTATAATGTAGGCAAGCCTAGCAGCTAGTCTCCAAAGGTGGCCCCCAATGAACCATGCTTCCCAGTAGTGATGTCCTTGTGTACTCAAGTACTTGTGCACTTGATTCTTTTTTATTTTATTTTGTTTTGTTTGGTTTGGTTTGGTTTGGTTTTATTTTATTTTTGAGACAGGGCCTCACTGTCATCTAGGCTGGAGCACAGTGGCGCAATCATGGTTCACTGCAGCCTCGACCTCCCAGGTTTGGGTGATCCTCCCACCTCAGCCTCCTGGTTAGCTGGGACTATGGGTGTTCACCCCAACACCTAGCTAATTTTTTTGTATTTTTCGTAGAGACAGGATTTCACCACATTGCCCAGGCTAGTGTTGAGCTCCTGGGCTCAAGCAATCTGCCTTCTCCAGCCTCCCAAAGTGTTAGGATGACATGCATGAGCCACCATACCTGCCCACCTGCTTGATTCTTGACTAGCCCTGTATAAGTAACAGAATGTGGTAGAGGTGACACTGCATGACTTCCACATCTAGGTCATAAGAAGCCTTGCAATCTCCACCTGGGTCTCTTGAAATGCCCACTTGTGGGACTCTCCCTCACAGAATTCAGCCACCATGCCCAAGAAGACAAAGCCTAGAGAGGCCATGTGTTGTTATTCTGATTGGCAGCACCAGCTGAGCTCCCGGCCAACTTCTAAGAGCAACTGTCAGCCTTGAAAGTGAGCCATCTTAGACAGCCATCCCAGAGAACCTTCACATAATGTATCTCCAGACGACAACCATATTAAAGATCCCCAAGTGAGAGTCACCCAGCTGATCCCAGTCAATCCATGGAACCATGAGTTATAATAATAAATAACTATTTTAAGCCACTGAATTTTGAAGATGATTTATTATGTAGCAATAGGTAATGGGAACAGCAGAACACACTACAAAGATTATTTTTCTCTCCAGTTTCCACAAATCTCAGTGGCAAAGCATTATCAGTATCTACCAAGATCTAGAAGACGGTCAAATTGGAATTTATTTAAACTCCTCTCCCATCCTACCAGAGATTATGTCATTTCCAACTAAGTTATTTATTTCATTCCTAAGCAAGAGACACAAGGGATAGAAGGATCTTGAAAGAGGAATGCAATTTAAAAATATCTATTGAGATAGGTATTTTGACATTTGAAGGAAGAAAAGACAATTTAGGATGCTTTAAGAGCTTTCCAATGTTTACCTTCAAATTATTTCATTCTCAGCTATAGAAAGTAATCCTTATTCTACTATTTAGTTACCATTTTTATTTAGTTTGGAGAAATCTACAATGGCATGGTGTACCGCTTAAAGATTTTAATGTAAATGTTCAGTAAAAGATGATATTTGAAAGTAGCTTATTTTGTCTGGAAAACTCTGAACCAAGCTAATTTTCTTCTATTTGTGTATCTTTTCTTTTTTTCTATTTCTTTTTCCTTCCTCCTTTTGTTACTTCCTCTCTCCCTTCCTTCTTTCCTTTCTTCTCCTTTTTTTTAAAAATCAATACCACCTTCTGATTATCTCTTACTGGAGACAAGGAAAAGAAATCTAGAAGATGTCATATTTCAGGGACTTACCAAGTTTCAACTATCATGTGAAGTGATCACACACAGTTTTTTTTGTTTTGTTTTGTTTTTGTTTTTGTTTTCTTGAGATGGAGTCTCATTCTGTCTCCCAGACTGGAGTGCAGTGGCGCAATCTCGGCTTACTGCAACCTCTGCCTCCTGGGTTCAAGCAATTCTTTGCCTCAGCCTACTGAGTAGCTGGGATTACAGGCACCTGCCACCACACCCGACTAATTTTTTTTCTTTTTTTTTTTTCTTTTTTTTTTTGTATTTTTAGTAGAGAAGGGGTTTAGGGGTTTCACCATCTTGGCCAGGCTGGTCTTGAACTGCTGACCTCATGATCCACCTGCCTTGGCCTCCCAAAGTGCTGGGATTACAAGCTAGCCTCCCAAAGTGCTGGGGTTACAAGTGTGAGCCACTGCGCCCAGCCAACACACACTTTTATTTTATTTTATCTTCACAATAAGCCAGCCAAGTGGTGATGTTGTTCGCATTGTGCAGATGTGGAAACTGAGGCTGAGGTAAATAACTTACCCAGATTCGCTGAACCAAAAGTAATTGGCAGAGCAAGGATCCCAACCATGTTATTTGTTAGTCCAAAGACTTTGCTGTTCCCATAATATAACTCTGTATCTGAAGCCTACATTTAGTTCTGGGTTGCTGAAAAGTATACTGAATGGCTGCCCAGAGTTTCTACTCATCTCAGAGTCCCCGCCTGCCTTCAGGTTTGATTGCTAACAAGCTCTCAAGAACTGCTGCTCTCCTCCATTCTGTGTTTCAGCCTTGTGGGCCTGCTTGCCTCAGCCTAGAGGCTTCTTTCTGCGTGTCTATTCTTTAAGAGCAGTTCTATTGGAGGGGGTATTTAAGAAGACCCTAACTTGAAGACAAATCTATACAAAGACTTGTGGGTTTTTTTTTTTCATTTTTTTCCTTTCCAGATTTTCAAGAATAAGATTGTATTAGCCGAAGTTCTCTACTGAAACAGACTTATAGGATATATATATGAGGAGGTTTATTATAGGAATTGGTTTACATTATTAGGGATGCCAAGAATTTTCATTATCTGCTATATGCAAGCTGGAGAACCTGGAAAGACAGTGGTGTGATTCAGTCCCAAGTCCAAAGGCATGAGAATAGAGCAGGGTGCACAGGGGGAGCTGATGGCATAAGTAAGGCGTGAGAATGGAGCAGGGTGCACACGGGGAGCTAATGGCATAAGTCCAGGTTCTAGTTTGAAGGCCCAAGAACAAGAAGTACCAAAATCCCAGGGTGAGAGAAGATGGATATCCAAGCTCAAACAGAGAACAAATTCACTCTTCCTTTGCCTTTTTGTTCTATTTGAGCTTTCAACAGATTGGATAATTCTGGCCCATTCTGTGAGGACAATATTCTTTACTAGTTCTACTGATTCAAATGCTAATCTCTTCCAGAAACACCTACACAGACACCCAAAAATAATGTTTTACCTGTTATCTGGGCATCCGTTAGTGCAGTCATGTTGACACATAAAATTAACCAACACAATGGCTGACCATGATAAATCATATACATGGATTTAGGGATGGATTTCCTTAATGTAGGAATCCTTAAATATTAGTATTCTCATATTTTCCTGGGAGCTTATTGCCAGTGCAAATTCTAGTACACTACTGCAAAGATCTGATTCCAGGGCATCTTAGATGAGACCCAGGAATTAGGTTTTTTAAAAGCATTCAAGTTATTCTAACAGAATGACTCTAAGATTTTGTAGAACACTCTTTAAAGATAAGATCAATTGCACTTTTCAATTACATTGTGGGAGGGAATTGTTACTCCAGGAAGTTTTTATAGTTGGAAGGTGCAGTTTTTATAGCCACTCCTTCTCATCTATATCTAAGACTACACTGCCACATTCACCCACAATGCTCAAAATACCTCTAAAAACAGCTCTAAGGGATGGTCTTTAGAAAATAATGCAGGTGGCTGTGGGAGGATTCTGCCCTTCACTTACTGGATGGGCATTAGCTATTAGACAGCTTAAGTCCAGTTTTTTGTCCTCCTGAGTAGTCTATTTTGTGTTCTCCTTTGCTAATCTCTCTGCACTCTCTGACCATGACTAAGGCCTTTTCTCGAAGGCTTTTGTTTATTGTAACTTCCAAAATGCCTTAGTTAGAAACCTCATCTTTCCCACCTACTTATTGGCTAACTATGTAGTACATATATCCTGGGGCCCAGTGGCCAAAATTATATTTGCTGTTACTTCAAAGCTTAAGAAGGCAAATCTACCCTACTTCTTTCATTTGGTCAACAGGTGTTTAGCATGCAGCTGTTACAGTCCAAGCACTGGATAGATGCTGGGGGTTGGACTGAAGGAAAAATGAAGAGATAAGGAAGGCATTGGCCCCTGTCTGAAAGATCTCCCAGTTGAATGGAGAAGATTTGTGTTGTCATGATTCTACACCAATGCACTCATGTGCTAAGATGATAAAATTTCTAGTGAGAAAAATAATAACTAACTGAAAGGGACCCAGAAAAAGAGGTTGTTAACTGTTCATATGGAAGGTTTCAGAGTGAGAACTGAGCTGGTCTTAGGAGAATGTGTAAGATTTTAACAGAGAAATATGTGTTGTAGAGGAAAAGAGGAGTAGATGGGGGTGAAGGGGAGAGAAAGAGCAAATAAGGAGAGTTGTGAACGTGTTTGAGTAAGATCCAGGAGTTCACCTTAGTAGAAACAGGAGATACTGAGGGAAGTGATGAAAGCTAAGGGTGAAAACTTCAGTGAGGCCCAGTTTGTCTAACAGCATGAATGCTGTATCCATTGTTTGGACCTTCGTCCTCTTGGTCATGAGGAGCTAGCAGAGGGATTTAGTCATTCAACAAGTCTTTATGGGTTGCATCCCACCCAGGTATAGCAGTGAAAAAAAAATCAGACAAAACTCTGGGCTTTCTTAGAGCTTGCATTCTTGTATAAAGAGAAAGACAAAAAATGAAGTAAAAATATGTTGTATGTCATATGGTGCTAGGGGTTGAATTGTCTCTCCCAATAATATATGTTGAACCCCTAATCCCTGATACTTGTGAATGTGATTTCATTTGGAAATAGTCTGCAGATACAGTCGAACTAAGATGAGGTCATACTGGATTAGGGTGGGCACTAATTTCAATGACTGATATCCTCATAGAGAAAGGGCATGTGAAGATACAAGAATACAGACAAATAAGGAAGAAAGCCAGGTGATGATGGAGGAAAGGGATTGGAATGATGTGTCTACAAACAAAGGAACTCCTAGGATTGCTGGTGACTACCATAAGCTAGGACAGAGGCACAGCACAGATTCTCCCTCAGAACCTCCAGAAAGAACCAACCATGCCAGCACCTTGATTTCACAGTTCATGGGGCAATACTTTTCTGTCGTGCTAAGCCTCCCAGTTTGCGCTAAGCCTCCCAGTTTGTGCTAATTTGTAACACAGCACTAGGACACTAATCATTTTGTACTAAGTGCTATGAAGAAGAAAATGCTGAAAAGGTTCGGAAATACAGAGAGGGTAGGAGAAGCTGTGTGCTATTTTAAATACCATAGTCATGGAAAGCCTCAATGAGAATAGAACATAAAGTCAAAGACCTGGATGAGTTAAATTTGCAAGCCATTGGGTGTTTGCAGGGGAGAATAGCCCAAGCAGGGAGAAGAGCAGATGCAAAGATCTCAAGACAACCCGTTCTAGAGAAAGCTTGGAGGCTGGAGAGGGAGAGTGGAGGAGTAGAGGGCAATGAGGTGAGAGGGATTGCAAGGATTTTGCTTTCAATTTGAGTACAATGAGGAACTTATGTAGGGCTGCGAGCAAAGTGGCCATCTGTTTTAGAGTTTTACAGCATCACTCTGTGTTGAAAATTACTGAAGGTTCTCAAAGACTGAGTCCAGGTGTCCAGTGAAAAGGCCATTACAACAATCCAGGGAAAGGGTGGCTGTGTCTTGACCCAAGGAGGCAACAGAAGAGCTAGTGAGAAGTATTCAGAATCTGGATATAATTTGAAGGTAGAGTCAACAAATTTTGCTGATAGGTTAAATATGGAATGCAAAGAAAAAAGAAGGGTCAAGGATGACTACAAGGGTTTCTCTTGAGCATGAAGGGATTGAAGTTATCCTTTATCATTTTGCAGAAAAATATAAGAAAAGCAGATTTGGGAGAGAATACCATGAGATGAGCCAGTTTTGAGTATGCCAAGTTTGACATATTTGTCAAACATCCAAGTGGAGACCCCAAATAGGAGGTAGAGTGTATAAACCTAGAATCCTGGACAGGGTTAAGCTAAAAGAAAAATTTTGAGGTGTATTTAACATAGATGATATTTAAAGCCATGGCTAATGAAATCATGTTAGACAAAAGGCTTAAGGACTGAGCCCTGGAGCACCTAACATTAAGATGGGGAGGAGCTGAGGTGGAATCAGGAAGGGAACTTAAGATGGAGCTGCCAGGGAGGGAGCTGGGAAACTGGAAGAGTGTGGTATCCTGGAAGATGAAAGAAGAAAGGGTTCTCAGGCAGAAGGAGCTGTTCATGGGTCAAGTATGGTAAAGACTGAAAATGACCACGGAGTCAACAACTTGGAGGCCATTCATTAGTGGCCTTAACAAGAGCAGTAGAAGTGAGTGGGATGGGGGATCATTAGCATATATTCATGAGAAAATGGGAGGAAAGGATTTACAAATGAATATGGATAACTCTTGAGGACTTTTAATGTAAAAAGCTCAAAGAAATGGAGTAATAAAAGCACAAGTGGGAAGAGTGATCAGGAGGGGATTTTTTTTAAGTTGGGAAGAATAACAGAACATTGAGTATACACAGAGAAGAATGATCCAACAGAAAACGAAAAATTAGAAGAGAGAAAGAAAATTTATTGTATTATTTTTAAGTTGATTTGCATGAGTGTTTATGTATGTGTGTGTATGTCCAAGTTTGTTAACCCTGTCAAAATAAAATCAAACCACAGTTTACTCCAAAGTGCTAAGGAGTAAATGTGACTGACAGTAGTTACTTAGTTTCACTCCCATTACTTCCTGCCTTCCCAAAAGGAGATGACCCACCACTAATAGTTTAGTGTGAATTCTTCTAGACCTGCACTGTACACATAAAATCTATCATACAAACAAAATTTTCCACCAGTACCTTACCCAAGATGTACCCAGCCAGGATTATATCTGTTGGGAGCACAACTTTTTTCAAGAGAGAAGTGCCAAACTATTACTCTATTCTGAGAAAGGAGAACAAATAGCAACTTCTGACATTTTAAAAAGAAAACCTTCCTGGACCTCTTTGTAGGCTCCCTAGAGAGGGAAGGAGGATGGCAAGGTTAGGTCTGTAAGCTGACAAATTCCAGTCTTGACTCGGTGCTCTGGCTGGCAGAGACCCGTGAAGTTGTTTGTGTAGGAACAAGAGAGCTGAGCACAGAGAGCCACACTCACAGCTGAACTCAGCCCAAAAGCCATAGGGAGCATCACCCTATGAGTACCAAGTACTTGACATCCTAAATCAGGCGGCATTATCACAGTCAAGTGTTACCATCATAGACTTGACTATGCCAGGTCGATGTAGTCAGGTGATACCTGGAGAAAGCCAGCCCCATTTAGTTCCATCTTTTGAATCTGGAAGATGGATTGCCATCCTCCCCCAACACCCATACACACACACAATTTACAATTGGCATTAATGAGGTGCTGAGGTTTTGGGACAATTCTGGGGATAGGCAATCTCAAGTGGGAGATCCTGGATTTTCTTGTACTAAGGCTTATGGGAATTCAAATGATTAACTGGGAAAAATGAAAAAGGATATGATAATATAACACGATAATTTTATGAAACAGTTTTTCATCAATTACTTATATTTTGTATATATAAATAGCTATCTTTTATAAAATATTTTTATAAACACATATATACATAGCGAATACTGTACATGTTATATCATTTTGCAACTTTTCTTTCTTTTTAGCCAACAGCATAACATACGCATCTATTTTAAAGTCAGGCCGTGTAACTCTATTCTTTTCTTTTCTTTTTTTTTTTTTTTGTTGCCACTGCGAAGTTTTCCACAATATTCAACTGTGGGCTATTGATGAACCATTAGCATTCCTCCACTTTTTTACTATTACAAATCATATAGCTTCTAACATTTTGCGCATGTGTCTTTATGCATGTGAGCAAGCATTCCAATAGGATATGTGCCTAGAAGTGAAATTGCCAAACCAAAAACTCACTAACTTGTAGTTTAGATGGGTTCTGCCTATTTGTCTTCTCCAAAGCTGTTCTCCTGTCATTAACAGTGAAAGATGTTCCGTTCCTACCCACCTCCCACACAGCTTTGCCAAACCTGGATATTACCAGTCTTTATAATTTTTGACAACTTAATATGGGAAAAATGCCCTCTCATTATTGACTGAATTTGTGTCTCCTTGTTAGTGAGGTTCATCACCTTTTCATATGTTTGCCTTTTGTATTTGTTTGTAAATTGCCTATACATATCCCCGTTCTTTTTTTCTATCAGATAGGCTGTCTTTTTTATATTGATTTTTATGTTTTTATACTTTATGAATATTAACCATTCTTATGTTTTAGGTGTTGCAAATTTTTTCTTTTTTATCATTTGTCTTTTGAATGTGTTTATAGTGACTTTTGCTGGTGTACCAAAGCTTCCATTTTTAAAATACAAAATACATGAATCTTTGTGAATCCTGGGTTTCGTCCTTTATTGATAAATCCTTCTTTAGCATAAGATTATAAAAACATTATGCTATTAATTTAATCATTATGGTTTTTTATATCCGTAATCTATCTCAAAATTATTTTGAGTTCATTGTATGATAAAAGGATAAAACTTTTTTTTTTTTTTTTTTTCTTGAGACGGAGTCTCGCTCTGTCGCCCAGGCTGGAGTGCAGTGGCGTGATCTCGGCTCATTTCAAGCTCCGCCTCCCAGGTTCACGCCATTCTTCTGCCTCAGCCTCCCGAGTAGCTGGGACTACAGGCGCCAGCCACCATGCCTGGCTAATTTTTTTTTTAATTTTTAGTAGAGACAGGGTTTCACCGTATTAGCCAGGATGGTCTCGATCTCCTGACCTCATGATCCGCCTGTCTCGGCCTCCCAAAGTGCTGGGATTACAGGCGTGAGCCACCCGCGCCCGGCCGATAAAACTTTTTTCTAATTACTCAATATATTAAATAAATTGTCTAATCACCACTAATTTGAAATACAACTACATTTCTACATATATTTGTAGAAATAAGTTCTGTGCTCCCTCTTTTAGTTTCTTTCTTCATCTATCAATGCACTATGAACATTGGTTTTTTTCATGCTTCCACGTAAGTCTTTCATTACTTATTTTTTTTTATTACTGAAACTTACCAGATATGCCAATAAATAAGATTTCCTATAGGAGATTGGCAGGGAGTCAACAGTTAAGTTGGGAAGGTATTAAAAATGTGAGGTGCAGTGAGCCCAACAGATTAGAAAATAATTGCCACGGAAAAGACATTTTGTGGCAGGGCACAATGTCTCACACCTATACTCCCAGCACTTTGAAAGGCTGAGGCAGGAGGATCGCTTGAGCCCAGGAGTTCAAGACAAGCCTGGGCAACATGGCAAGACACCATCTCTACAAAAGATACAAAAATTAGCTGGGTGCATTGGCACATGCCGTCCCATCTACTTGTTAGGCTGAGGAGGAAGGATCACTTGAGCCCTGGAAATGGGGTTGCAGTGAGGCAAGATCATGCCACTGCACTCCAGCCTGGGTGACAGAGCAAGACCCTGCCTCAAAAAAAAAGAAAAAAAAATATTTTTTTGCTGACAGTTCCCAAGAGGAAGGGGCATGCCAATCTACTCAGTACCACACGGGGACATACCAGGGTTGGTCAGGAGGAATAAAGGGAGGAGGGAACTATGGGGAAGAGCCTTATTACGGTTTCTGCTGGAAGAGGTAAGGCAAGGAAAGCAGGGTTAGGACTGGCTTATTAGTTTCAGCAGGCTCTGGGGTGATTAGAGCAGGTGGTTAGTGGCCTGGAGTATGAGAGCCCTATAAAGAAGATAGTTGAGGTGTGGATTCTGGATTGGCCAGTTTGCATATGAAAGGCATGCTTAGAGGCAAATTGTTCATTATGTCTAGGAATTGGCTAACCCTTGGAGGGGCACTTCCTCCTGAGTCACCTAGGCCCCAGATATCAAAGCATACAGAAAATAGAAGACATGATTAATACACCTTCACTCAAGGAGTGCCATTGGTCAGTGAAGTTCACTCACGGACACATGTCACTTCCTTTTCTTTTTAGAAGAATTCTCCTCCCTAATGTGGATAAGAAGAATTTAATAGGGGACTTTTTGCATTTCATTTCTGCTCCTCATGCTCACAGTTTCTCCAGGATTCTGTTGGGAGCAATGACCTCTCTGCAGTGAGCTTTTCATTGGTCAGCTTTGGGACACTCTGTTCTCTGGTCCTCACTTCAGCCAAGCCTATCTTACTTGCTCTTTATCATTCAGAAGTTTCTCAACGTTTCTATCTACTCCTGTTTTCTAGAGTTTTCGTTGATGTAGGTCTTTATTTTAGACCTTTTTGTTCATCTTAATAATATTGAGAAGTCTGGAGTTATCAAATAAGTGTGCTCAGCTCCACTGTCTTGAATGGGGATCCCATAGTAGATTTAATGAAGTAGAATAGAGAGTAGAATCTCTGGGTTAGATAGATAATCTTGGGAGCAGTAAGAAAGATGAGTAGAAGAAGAAAATAATTAAAATAGGACATTTTAAAGGCTTATGCAGCTATTTGTAGTATTTGTCTCCCCAGTAATTCCAATTCTGGTAGTTTATCCTAAAGAAATAGAGCTACACATGAAAAAATTCACTGTAACACCATGTTCAGTGGACAATAATTAGAAACCACCTGAAATATCTGACAGTAGATAAATGGCTACACAAGTGTGATAACCAACTGATAAGAAACTATTCAGTTGTTTAAGTTCCATTTTGAATAAATTGAATCATGGGGAAATTCTCATGTTATAATGGAAAATAAAAAGGAAAGTCACAAAGTTATATAGTATATGTTTTTATTTAAAAATGAAAACAATAATCTAAAATGCCAAAAGTGGTTATTTTGAGATTTGGGAATTATAGAATTTTATTGTTATATTTGTTCATTATATATATATATACACAAACACACATACACACATACACACACACACACACACACCCATATATATATATATATATATATATATATATATATATATATATATATATATATATATATATATGAACATGAAAAAATTGAAAAAGAGTTCCTTGGAAGAGCACCCTGTTTGTCAGTGAATGAATAGTTATAAGCTTGAAAAACATTTCTTTGGCTCATATTATGTATTAAAATCCTGGAAAATGTAGAAGATTCCTCAATACATGCAATAATCTGATTGAGTAATTAAAATGAATACCTGGATCACAGAAGATAATGGATCAAAGATTTTTATAGGTGGAAGCCCAACTCACACAATTTGCAGATATGAACCCTGGTGCCTACAGAGTTGAGTTCTCTTCCTCAGGTCTGTCTGCCAGTTAGATCAGAGCCAGGGATACATTTCAATCTTGAACAATAATGTGAAAAATATCCTATGACAGATTGTGATTCTGCCAGGTAGGTAATAGAAACTCTTCACATCTCTAAATAGCTGGGGTAATTGCAGGAGTTTTTCTGCGTCTTGCCAAGTTTCTTAGGGTCATACTTCCTACATTTCTACAACTAATGCAGGGGCTTCTGAACTTGTCTACTTATCAGAATTATATGGAGAACTTTAAAAAATATGTTAAGTCTTAGGCCTCAGTGTGGTTAAATCTTAGAACCAGAATTCCCAACTTTCTGGAGGTAATTCTGATGCACTATCAGCTTTGTGAATCATTGTGTTTTTTTCTTTTTTCCTTTTTCTTTTTTTTTTTTTTTTTTTTTTTTGAGACGGAGTCATGCTCTGTCACCCAGGCTGGAGTGCAGTGGTGCGATCTTGGCTCACTGTAACCTCCGCCTTCTGGGTTCAAGCAATTCTCCTGCCTCAGCCTCCCGAGTAGCTGGGACTACATACGTGTGCCACCATGCCTGGCTAATTTTTTGTATTTTTAGTAGAGTTGGGGTTTCACCATGTTAGCCAGGATGGTCTCAATCTCCTGACCTTGTGATCCGTCTGCCTCGGCCTCCCAAAGTGCTGGGATTACAGGTGTGAGTCACCACACCCAGCCGAGAATCACTGTGTTTTTATACCTCTTTACCTCTCTTTATATTCTTAGGAAATGGACAAATAGACAAAAAATGTGAAAAAGTTGCTGGTTAATGAAAGACCTTCTATACACTGACCTATAGAAGACAGGTTTTAAAATGACTTAGTAATACTAATTGTCATTTAGAGATGTTTGCACCAATACAGTGATGCTACCCCCTTGAACCTTAGATGGTGTACCAGCACACCTGATGATCAGGTGGTCAATGAAATGGGTACTTAACTTCATATCTTTGAATTTGATTTATTGCCAAGGTGCATTGAAGAAGCTAAAGTAGTTCTGCTAATGCATTACAGAGAGTAAAAGCTGTGAGTTTATCAAAGAGAGAATCATCATGATGCGGGATGGTCAGGGAAGAGTAAATAGTTATAATAGTAGCAATCATTCACTCTGAACTCCTTTTGAGCCAAGAATTGTGTTAAATGCATTACCCACATTTGTCACATAAATGCTCACAATGAGTCTATCACATAGTAATTTGATTTAGTCAAAATAAGCTAGCAAACAATCTCAAAATACCAGTGGATTTAAACAAAGTTTTATTTCTCACACATACCTCATGTCCATTTGAGGTTTGGCAGGGTACTCTCTTCCATGTCATTTCTACTCAGCAACATTGGCTGATGACATCTCCACCATCTGGACTGTAGGTGGTTGCTAAAGCTTGGGGGAGGGAAGATGGAGCAGTGTGCAACAGCTCCTACACATGTCCACCATGAAGTGACCCACCCCACTTTCACTCTAGCCAAGCCAATTCATATAGTCACATGCAACCTAAAAGGAGCAGGAAATGAAACTTTCTCAAGTGAGGAGAATTTCAGAACTAGAAATATTAGTGAGCTGCATGCACTAATATTTGCCACGGTGTCGTTCCTGATTTTAAAATCAAGGGACTCCCTAATTACAGAATGGCAAAAAATTTAAGAAACCTGCTAATATCAAGTACTCACAAAGATACAGAACAATTGGAGCTCTCAGGCATAGCTGGGGGAATGCAAAATGGTACAGATGCCCTGAAAAATAGCTTGGCAGCTTCATTTAAAGTGAAACATATACTACCATATGGACCAGGATCTTGCTTATGAGTTTTTACTGAAGTCTTCAGTAAGTCACTGAATTCTTCACTGAAGTCTTCACTGAAGTCAATTTTGCCCCCCAACATTTGGTAATGTGAGGAGACATTTTGGTTTTCACAACTGGTTCAGAGGCTGTTACGGGTACCTAATGGATAGATCCAAGGATGCTGCCAAACATCCTGCAATGCACAGGACATTCCCCACAACAAAGGGTTATTCCACTTTAAATTCAAGGTGGAGACATTTTGCACTAAAGAAATAAAAACTGCCAGGTGCACTGACTCATGCTGTAATCCCAGCACTCTGAGAGGCCAAGGCAGGAGGATCACTTGAGCTCAGGAGTTTGAGACCAGCCTGGGCAACATAGAGAGACCTCATCTCTACCAAAAAAAAAAAAAAAAAGATGAAAAAAAAGTAGCTGGGTGTGGTGGCATGCACCTGTAGTCCCAGCTACTCAAGAGGCCGAGGTGGGAGGATTGCTTGAGCCTGAGAGGTCCAGGCTGCAGTGAGCTGAGATCATGCCACTGTACTCCAGCCTGGGTGACAGGGTGAGACCTTGTTCAAAAAAAAAAAAAAAAAAAAAAAAACGAGAGAAGAAATAAAATTTTATCTTCACATAAAACCTACACATGAATGTTTATAGCTGCATTATCTATATCACTGACAACTGGAGACAACTCTCATGTCTTTCCATAGTTAAACAGATAAACCATGGTCCCCATGCAATGGGATACTACTCAGCAATAAAAAGAAATGAACTATTGATAAATGCAATAGCATATATGAATCTCAAAGGCATTGTGCTAAGTCAAGGAAACTGACTCCAAAAAGTTTTATATTATTCCATTTATAGAACATTCTGGAAAAAAGAAATAGGAATAGATAACAATCAGCGGTCTCCAGGAGTAAGAAGTGTCAGAGGGTGGTGAAGGGGAGTTAAGTTAAAAGAAACTGCTTGAGGGAAATGTTGGGGGTGTTGGAATTGTTCTGTATCCTGATTTTGGCAGTGGCTACAATAATCCACATGTACTAAAACTCATTTAACTATATACCCCCCCCAAAAAATAAACTTTAGTAATATAAATAACTTTTTAAGTTGAAAAAATTAAAAATAAGTAAAAACACAAAAGAACAGGGCTGAGAGACTTGTCTCTGTCCCAGAGATTGGGGTGCAGTATAAAGAATAGAACCCAGATTAGAATGACTGCAGAAACAGCCTTCTTCCCCATTGCATAAAGCTGCCTCCACATGAAGAAGGACTGTGAGCTGTAAACAGAGCTTAAATGACTTTTAAGTTCAAAAGTATTTGTCGTTCCATTGTGTTGACTCTTGAAAGTGTTAAGTGTATCACGGTGACTTGGTAACCTTCTAATAATACCATGGTTCTCCATCAGTCTAGGAACACAGATCTAGATCCAGGTCAAAACTGCCTTTCTAGGCTGGGCACAGTGCCTCATACCCATAATCCCAGCACTTTGGAAGGCCAGTATGGGAGGATTGCTTGAACCCAGGAGTTCAAGACTAACTTGGGCAGTATAAGAGTATAAGCAGCTCTCCTGGTTCCTGGGAAATATAGGGAGACCCTATCTCTAAAAAACATTTAGAAATTAGCTGGGGGTGGTGTCTTACACCTGTAGTCCCAGCTACTTGGGAGGTTGAGGTGGGAGGATGGCTTGAGCCCAGGAGGTCAAGCCTGCAGTGAACCATGATCAAACCACTCCAGCCTGGGCAACAAAGAAAGACCCTAAGAAAAGAAAAGAAAAGAAAAGAAAAGAAAAGAAAAAAAAGAAAAAAAAACAGAAGAAAAACATCTTCCTTACTCACTACCCCTCACCCTACCCTATACAGGATGCCCAAGGGTAAGCGTGGAGACATGTCAACAGGAGGAAAGACCCAGTTTAAGTTGCAATAGCCTTGGGTAAAACAGACACTCTATATGAGTAATAGAAATAGATGCTGAATTTGGTGTTAGAGTTATTTCAACTCATATCTACATTTCATTTTTCTGTCCTTCATTTTGTAATAATCTTGCAGTGGTTAATTCTAATAGTGGGCTATTGCTTGAGGTATCAGAAACAAAACAAGGAAGAGCTGAGTATCAATGTTTTCAGTACATTTTACATGTGTAACAAGGTTAATATAATAGACCACGTTAATAATGAGGTCACCTGGTGCTCTCTCATATGCCTTTCCTGGTGCATGTGGTCAGAGGCTATTCTAATCAACTCTGCCCGCCTCCTGACATTTTAATTACTGAAACAATTACTATTGCCTGGGAAACAAATTTGAAAATGACTTGAATAAAAGAGCAGATAAAGGAGAGCTGAGTTTTCAGTTTTTGTTTTTTTTTTTTTTTTTTAATAATTACTCCAAGAGTAGATGCTCAGATGAGAAATTTTTAATGGAATTAATAAGATGATATTAGGGGTTGGACAAAACCTCCACTAAGAATGGGCATAAATGAACCCAAACCTGATTCTTAACTCTCAAGGAAAATATACCACATAGTCCTGGCCATGAAAGCCACAGTCTTGTAATATTGTTTGGTATCCTTCAAGTATTTATATGTACAAAAATGGACTTAGAGCATTGGTCTGGATTCTTCAGGAAGCAAATATATACATTTCCCCTACACTCTACACAGGAAGTTCATAAAACAAGTCATGCTGATTAAAAGCCATAGTTAACTGGGTCTTTTTCTTCCATTGACAAAGGAGGGTTGACAAGTCTGGGAAGAAAAGGAACTCAGATTTATTAAGAACACACAATAGAAGCCAGGCACAATAGTAAGTGTTGCAGGTCTGGTGCACTATCCTATGTGCTTGTGTAATCCTCCCAAACACTGCTTATCAATCAGGGTCTAGTTGCAGAACACAAACACGTTTTTGGTCATTTTAGGCAGTGAAATGTGTATTTACATCATTGGGTGGGCTGAAGAAAAACACTAGGCTGGACACTCAGAGTGACTCCCAGAACAACACTGTGGAAACCAGGAGAGCTGCTTCTACTGCCACAGTCAAAAGGAGCAGAACCAAAGGCCCACCCCAGCCAGCACAATTGCCTCTCAGCACACCCATGGCCAGTCATGGACACTAGAATTGTGCTGCAGTGAAGCCCAACATCTCCACAGCCATGCTTGCCAATAAAGAAAGCCAAAAAGCAAAAAATTGGCCTCTCTCTTGCATCTACATTTCAAACAAGTACGTTGTATTGGTGGAACCTAATTTGCTTATGAATGCTAGCTCCAAGGGAGTGTGGGAGATGTAGTTTTTTGCCTCCCAGGTCCTGTAATACTGAGATCAGGATGATAGAACGATTGCTGAGTGCCAACTACCTAATGCACTGCACTCTGTGAAGGAGTTTATGTTTTTCCAATTCTTTATAGGAAAAATACCGAGGCTCAGAGAAGTGAAATAAGTTTAACAAGATGGTACAAACTGAAAAGTAGCAGTGCCAGCATTTGAACCTAGTTGTCTATCCTCATTGTCATCATTTATTGGGTACTTACTCTGTTCTGTACCTTGTTCTAAGTACCTTCAAATATTATTTTATTTAATCTTTAACGCTGTTACATAAGTATTATGGTCCCCACTTTGCAGGTGAGGGAAAAAAAACAATGCAGAGACTTAAATAACTTCCCTCAAATCCCACAGTTAGTAAAGATTAGAGCCAGCATGCTTAGAAACTAAACTCCAGCACTTCTCTTCTTCTCCTACAGCACATTGAACTCTTGACAGTGGGTGTTTGATCAGCACCATTGTTGATATATATCTCTCAACACTCCCTGAGACACCAACATTCCATGCATATGGAGTAAGATGGTAATCCTCTGAAAGCCACTTAGGTGCTTTTGGCTAACTGGTGTGGAAGGTTTGAGGGCTATTTAGAGTTACATACTTGGTGCAGTACTGGCAAGAACCTAACAATAAGCTCCCTGGAAATAAGAGTCCTAATTTGTAGCCTTTACCAGTCTCTGTGATATAAATTCTCCAACCATGGCCAATTTCAAGCTACCAATATGGTATTAACCAGTTTGCAAAATTCCTGAAAATTTAACAATTGGCTCTTGCAAGCTAGTATGAGCCAGCTCCAGACAGCTCTGTAAATGGTCTCTATTTGTTCAGGACCTAGTATACCCTTACAAGGAGACTTGAATCCTTTCTACATTTGGAGTTCTGACATGTATTGAGATGTCTAAACACTGGAAATCTCTTGACAGAAGGCAGATAGCAGAGAGATACAAAGAGGTCTCTGAAGGGGGAAGAACACCGTAGGTTTGTCATAAATCTGGTGGGATGGGGCTGATAATTTCTGAAGAAACAATGGTTTGGGGTGCTACTCTTGAACTTGCTTGGTCTCTGGCCCCTGTGTCAACTATGAGCCCTACGAAGGAGAGACAAACTTTTAGTGATTCAAGACACTTTGCTGGGAGAGGCCCTTATCACAGGTAGGTGAGTAATAAAGCTGAAAAAACACTATGACTAAGGTTCCAAGTCACTCTGTGGAATAAACCCTATTCTTTGTGCTATCAAAAGGAAGGAAATGTATTTCCATTCTAGCCAGAGACTTATGGGAGCACAGGCACTGCAGAAATTCTCCATAGAAAAGACCAAGTGTAGCCACTGCCTTTCTGCTCTCTGTCTTTAACGTGCTGTTTCTTACCTGGGTATGCTTTTCCCATTTCTTTACCAATAAAAAAAATCCTATTCCTCAGTCAAAATTCAAATGCCATCTTGTACAGGACACTGGGACCCTTTCCCAAAATCTCTGCAGTTGGGATTAGTAATTCTTCCTTTGGTTATATTATCTTTTAAGGTACATGTTTCATTCTTCTTGGCATTTGCATTAGTTGCCTACACATGAGTCTTTGAAGGTACATGATGAACTCTCTCAGGGTAGTGGTGGTAGTTCATTTGTGTCTGTGGTTCTGACCCTCTGGTACATAGAAAAGGGCTGTCGCATACACATGCTCAGTAAGTAATGCTGACATTGCTTATATAGCAAGTAGAGAAGCAACTGGTATTAAAGTACACTCAAAAAAAAAAAGTTTAAAGAAGAAGGAAGGGCTGGCATGGTGGCTCACACCTGTAATCCCAGCACTTTGGGAGGCTGAGGCAGGTGGATCACCTGAGGTCAGGAGTTCAAGACCAGGCTGACCAACATGGCGTAACCCCATCTCAACTAAAAATACAAAAATTACCCAGGTGTGGCTGGGCGCGATGGCTCACATCTGTAATCCCAACACTTTGGGAGGCCAAGGCAGGTGGATCACCTGAGGTCAGGAGTTCGTGACCAGCCTGGCCAACATGGTGAAGCCCCGTCTCTACTAAAAAAAAAAAAAAAAAAAAAAAAATTAGGCCTGGTGGTGGGCACCTGTAATCCCAGCTATTCGGGAGGCTGAGGCAGGAGAATCGCTTGAACCTGGGAGGCGAAGGTTGCAGTGAGCTGAGATCATGCCATTGCACTCCAGCCTGGGCAACAAGAGCGAAACTCCATCTTAAATAAATAAATAAATAAATAAGCAAGCCAGGCATGGTTGGGCACACCTGTAGTCCCAGCTACTCAGGAGGCTGAGACAGGAGAATTGCTTGAACCCAGGAAGCAGAGGTTGCAGTGAGCCAAGATCATGCCACTCCACTCCACCCTGAGTGACAGAGCAAGACTCTGTCTCAAAAAAAAAAAAAAAAAAAAAAAAAAGTAAAGTGGGAAGAAAGTAAAGAAGGAAGGAGGGAGGGGTGGAAAAAGAGAAGAAATCTCTACCATTCAATGTTTTGTCTGAAGGGTGAGGGTACATTTTCACCCCATGATCTGATATTAAAAACATGTTTTTAGAGGAAAGCGAAGAATCTCTTTAGAACATCTTAGAGCTAGCTGCCTGAGTCATGGCATAAGAATAATCCCACCACCCCCTGTATTTCTTATTTGTAATTCATCCTTTCTAGGGATACACATGTTCCCCACAAGAAGTGTTCACCAGTGAGATTATCCTTGGCAAAGCCATTGATCAGAGGGCAAAGGATTGTTTCAGTCCCTGTGCCAATGCTTCCTTGATGGCGATTGCTTCCACGAAGCAAACACCTTAATCACTTTGTTTTCTCTAGCATGTCAATAAGTGCTCATATATAATAAATGTGTGCTTACAGCATATATAATATATATGGATGTATGTGGTGTTTTGTATTCCATGCCTGAAAGAACAGTTGATTTATTTCATAGCTTTTATGGACTGTTTTATTATTCTCAACAACATCACATCCATTCTCTTTGCATGCATATTTTATAGCACCTTGATGGACTTATTTGATTTGACCCAGTGTTTTGATGACAGCACAGCCATAGGAGGTTCACATTAGCTTACACAAATCATTTGCTCAAGTCACTTTAGAGTGTGATCCTGCCCTCAGGTTATTTGTGGACTGCCAGCTCTTTCATGATGGGCAAAATAGCATAGCATGCCCTATAAAGCTATGGCTCAGGAAAAGCTCTTGGTGATTCTTGGATCAACAGGGCAATCTCCTAGGAGGGGCTGCTAACTGTATAAGTATAATCAGTCATTGACAGAATTCTATCACTGGCTTTGATTCAATGTGATTCTTCTGGCTGTCAACATCCTTATAAGGAGAGGCTAAGACAGAGTATCATAACTGTATGTCAGATTCTTGAATCCTAAAAGTTCATGCAGCAATAGATTGGCCTTAGTAAATACTAATTAAAGAGTGGTTTGGGCAGGAAGGTCTGAGGATTGGCTGTGATGACTCGGACAAGCACTAAAACTTGAGAAGCCCTGCTTTAAGAAGTTCATGATATTGCCAGGGATGTTAACATGGGTTCTAATAGACATCTTTATACAGTGCTTTAGGAGCACAAATAATGTAGTAAGAAACACCACTTTGGGTAGTTGAGGACAGTCTTCCTAAAAATTGACATTCAGACATTTTCTTGTCCTTTGATTTTTTTCCTACTCTGGCAGACAAACTGCTTTTTTATATTACTATTTTTTGTAGAGACAGGGGGTTTGCTCTATTGCCCAGGCTAGTCTCAAGCTCTTGACCTCAAGTGATCCTCTCCCCTCAGCCTCCCAAAGTTCTGGGATCACAAGCATGAGCCACTATACCCAGCCTAAATGGCTTTCACTCCGTGCCTCATTCTGAGTCAAAATGGCTCTGTCCAGGGTTCTGAAACCTGCCTTCTAAATGTTCTTCATGTGAAATCAGTTCAAGGATCTGACAGGGAGACTCCTGTTAAGTTTACTGCTGTGTTTTATGTTGTTTCCTGGTGATCCCATATTAAACAGACCTGGGAGGCCTCAGGAGTAAACTTTCACGTCAGGAAACTGAGTCTAGAAGAGGCCTAGCAACTCAGCCCCCAGCACAAAGTGAGTTGATGGCAGGACCAGGAAGACCAGCTCTTAGGCTTTCTGACCTTCAAGCAGCTACTCTTTCCATGACATTGGGGTCTTTTCCTGGTCCATTTGAAATGGTTTATGATTGGATTTGTGGCCATAAGTTAGTGTTCAAGGCTGAAATTTTCATAACATCAATAGAGATGAACTTCTTAATCTTATTAATATTTTCTTCTTGTATGTGTACCCTTAATTTGTGAAAATAGTCCTTTTTCTATTGGAGTTTGACTTTTCCCCCCTGATAATTTATATATAAAAATTATTATGAGCATCAAAATCTTTCTATGCTGATATATTTTGAACGGCTTTAGAGGTGTATAAATCTTTTTTAAAGTAATACGTTTTCATCAAAAGTAATTAGCTTAACTTAAATTAGACATTATCTTGATTTTCCATTTTTTATACTTGTGTGTGCATGTCACCTTTTATAACATCTTTTGTAAAAAAAAAAAAACAAAAAAACTTTTGGCTTCATAGCTAACTTGAATTTCTTTCTTAAAAGATTTGAGAATGATCATGAGTGTTCTATATCAACACTCTTGGGCAAGAATCGAGGAGAGCTGGTGACTATAAACACTGAGTGGTGTCCAACAGAGCTGCTCATAAGTGTTATTTGTAAAGGAAGGTCATAAGGCCAAGCAGGAGATGTCAGAATACCAGGTGGTTAGTCTGAGCAGTGCTGGACTAGGGAGAGAAAAAAACAGGAATCAAATCTTTCAGTTAGAGATGTAGCTAAATCAAAGCCACAACTCTGTGGAGTTTATTAAAAGGGAGGCCAGAAGATCAGGAGACATATCAACAAAAGTCAGGTGGAGATTGGGCAGGGTTGGTAGTGTAAAATAAGGTCAGTTCTGGGATAAATCTTGTAATCTTAACCACTGAGTGCCTTTTACTGGGGACTTGACACCCTTATACTGGGTGAGGCAGGAGACGGCACGCTTAAAGCAGTAAGCACCTTCTAAGCAATAGGTCAGTTTCTCTCAGAAGCAGTAATACAAACATGCATTTATAACCCATGGCAGTAAAAATAATTTGAGCATTATGAGAAGGAGCGGAATAGATTCTGGTGCTTTGTGTAAAACCCTTTAAATTCCCATTTCATTAAAAATTCTTCTCTGCAGCTGGTAGCAGAGATTACCGTGGTTCACCATCTGTGGGGATTAATGTTTACTTAAAAAGAAAGAGGGAGAGCGAGCAGCAGATAAGATGAATGATTTCCAGATACGAGAGAGCTAAAGTAGAATATCTTTGTGTGTGTGTGTGTGTGTGTGTGTGTGTGTGTGTGTGTTACACCTGCTTTATTTGAACTCTGTGATAGAATTGTTTAAAGAAAACCTAGGCTTATTTATGTTTAAAGACTGAATAATGTAGAAACAGTGGATCATCATCAAACTGTTTAGATTTACATTTTATGCAGAATTCATTTTGAGAGGTTTTTAGAATCTGTTAGAAATAATTAGGCATGTTTGGAACTTTCTTTTTACATTTCCCATTCTGGGAAGATTTTTCCTGATACTTACAGATTGAGTTCATGAGGCAGAACTCCACATTCTGTCCTGAGGGGACCAGATTACCAATTCCCTCTAGGTCTGAATCTGATCAATTACAGACATGCACCTCATCCGTAGACTGACTTAGCTTCAGTAGATCACTGACTGGTTGCCTTCCAGGAACTGGAATTGCTGGTGAACTATGAAAACAATATAGATAGTTTTTTGCTTGGGGTTGGTTGGTTTGTCTGTTTTAGCACTGGCTGTGTGACAAGTGCAGTCTGTGCTTTACCTGCAACATCGCTTTAATTCTCACAACCACCTAGAGAATAAACACTGTGAGCATCTCGTCTCATTATAGAGGAGACTGAGACTTAAAGAATTTAAAGAACTTGCTGCACTTCAAAGCTAATACATGTTAAAACAGATATTTGCATTCAGATCTGTCTTCCCCTAAAGCCCATGCTCTTAACCATTACACTCTACAGTCTCATTCAATACTTAGGTTATTTCCAATTCTATTTAGGCACTTTTAGACCCCATCTTAATATTGAGAATCTCATTTCCTTGAAAATCATGCTTTTTCCTTTCAATATGCCACGAGTCATCAGTACCAGGAGCAGAAAGCATCTTACTTACTGCAATTACACTTGCTAATCAATTCTGCATCACTGCCCAGTGTTATAAATGTGTAGTTACCTATATTCTATTGACATGTGGCCTCATTTCTTACTGAAATGGGCAGTAGTCTCAATTTAGAGGCTCTTTTTTTTTTAATAGCACAGGGGAGCCAAAGAAATATGTCAATCTCATTGCCAATCAAACAGAAATAAACCATTGTGTTCATTCCTCATACCGGGGATCCATAAGCTCAGTGTGATCCAGGTACTTCTGAGTTTTAACTTCTGAATTAAGGAGACTATTTCTGAGAAACTGTTCTTACCATTATTTTGAAATTTCCCTTTAATTTTTATATTGATAATTATCTAACTTGCATTAAAATATTCAGTATTATTTTATAGGGTTTGAAAACCACTATATGGAGCTACATTTCTGCTAAGCTTTACAAAATAAAACATCATAAACCATGTGACTATGTTAGAAGACATC
Organism: Homo sapiens; assembly: GCF_000001405.40. Taxonomy (NCBI): domain Eukaryota; kingdom Metazoa; phylum Chordata; class Mammalia; order Primates; family Hominidae; genus Homo; species Homo sapiens. The sequence goes on along the minus strand of NC_000017.11, from coordinate 51,866,745 downwards.
TGGATTGATTCAGTGGTTGACTAGCCAACCACCCTAAAAGTGGTATAATGAAGGGTAAGGAAGCCCTGTCACCTCCAAAGGAGAAGCCAGGAATTATAAAGTCGAGCGGGTATCTTGAGTGTTAGTTCAATGAAGGTCAGCAATGATGTCCAGGGTGCAGAAGGAGCAAGGGCAATTAAGAGGCAGAGGTCTTAGCATCAGCTAGTTGCTTAAGCTGTAGATACAGAGAAATCTACTGTCATGGCTGAGGAGTCACTGGAAGCATGGTCTGCTTTTGGGGAAACACTGATAAAAGTGAGATGAGAAGAGCACAGGAAAGAAAGGAGTAAAAACTAGCTGCCAAGAAAAATAGCCACAAAGTGGCAAGGAGGTTTAGGGGGAGTGCAGAGGGCATGGTTACTTAAAGAAGCTGTTATGTGAACTCCAGTCCACCTTTAAGCAAGGCATGGAGACAATATACTATTTTCAGAGTCTTCTTCCTGCTCAAGGGATGGAATATTTCCTAACCTAGTACCTTCCTGGGGCATTGTTGGCTCAGACATGGGAGCAGTAGTCCTTAACCAGAATGAGTCAGACTAGGATTAATGACAGTTGAAATGGGCTTAGTGGCATCGTCAGGAACTATCAGGACATGACAGAGACTTTTAAAACATTGCCTTTGTTTATTTGGCAATAGCCATTTATTTCCTCATTTGATGTCTCTTAAGAGTAAGTCACCAGGGCACAGTTAATAGGGAGATGAGGGAAGCCAACAGCTCATTCACTGCATCATTTTTATATCTGCCCTGTTCAGCCTTCTTTGAATGGTGCAAAGGGGTGCATGGTCCCATCTTACAGAATCAACGTGGTTTCCTCTGTGAATATTTGTCTAGCTTAGGCTGTGGGTGCTTCTAGTGGAGCAAATGCATCTTGCTTACTTTTCACATTCACTAAGATATGATATAGAGGCAGCCTAACATCATAGATGAGGAAAGCATGAACCATGGCATCTCTCAGGCATGGATTTAAAGCTTAGCTCTAGCACTGATGAGCTGTGGGGCTGTAGGCAAGCTATTTCACCACCCATCTTCTCATTTCTGAAATTGGAAGAATAACTTCTATCTCACAGGGATACATCAAGGGTTGAATGAGACAACACACATTATATTGTCTGGTTTTGACTGCATATTGGTTCCCCCCCACCGGCTCCCTGAGGCCATGGACACTGCCCTGCGGCCTGGCAGCTTAAGGAACATGTCCAGCCCACTCTGGAGGATCATTGCACTATAAATGTCTTTTCAACTTTTTCACTACCCAAGAGGAGTCTTAGACATTTGGGCAGCAGGAGGAACCCCCTGTTTAGTAGATTCGTTCATTAATTCAGCACATTTTTATTGAACACCTACCATGTTCCAGACCCAGATTTTAAAACTAGACATGCAGCTATGAATGACTAGACAAAAACACTTGCCTTCATGGAGCTTACATTCTAGCTGGGGGAGAGACAAGCAAATAAACCAATAGGCAAATTACATAGTGTGTCAGAGGTTGGTGAGTACCATGGAGAAAAATAAAGCAGGAAAGTGAGATGAGGAGTGTCAGGGTGCAGTAGAATAAATGCAATTTGATGTATACCAGTCATACTTCAGAAGGTGATGAAGAGACCCTGAAGAATTTTTTTGAATTAAAGGACCTCAGAGGGAAAGTCCATTCTGCCTGTCCCCATCCCCACTCTCCCTAAGACACTAGGTTCCTCAGGAAGATGCTGCCCCTTCTTAGTACTGGTATTCTTGGCACCCAGCACAACATCTGACACATACAAGGCACTCAATAATTGTTTGTTGAACCAAACTGCACTCCTCAAACCTTGCTCAGGAGCCAATGTGCCCTTTGACACCTGAAATATCAGTTTGCATTAACAGCTCCACCTGCACGCCTCAGTTTGACATGCAGTGAGTTGTGAGCCTGCATGTTGTTTATTGATTTGACTAATAATAAGTAATGGAGTGGCAACTCAAATGACATTAATGTGGAAGGAAATGAACACCATAATTGAAATGCTGTCCTGCATCAAGGCACCTTTGTTACTGAGAGAAGAATTTGATTTTCTTACACAGTGTTTTCTGTTTCACTTCCTCAGCTCTCAGAACTGTAAAATCCCATTGAAAAGGTGTGAAAGGCAAAAGCAGGGTTTTAAGTAGAAATTCAAAGTCTGTTTCACAGTAGTAAGAAATGGTGATAGTGGGATGAACTCAATGAAAATAGGAGAAAGTAGAGAAGGAAATAGAACAAGAGATGTGAGGGCTTCAAATGCCAGAAGTAAATCTATCCAGAAAAATAAAGATAATTGGCCAACTCTCCTTTCATAAGGTTAAAACAATGGCCTTGTCTTGACTTTTATTATTCACTCTGTTATTCATTTAGCAAATATTTATGGACCACTTACCATGTTTTGGGTGATCTACTAAGCAACTTAGGGTGCATAATCATTATCCCTATGTCATAAAAAAAAATTGGCTTTCCTTTTTCCCCGGTTCCTGGGAGGTAACCACTAAACTTTTGTAATTTCCCAAGTGATAGGAATGTCTCTGTTTTCCATGGTGGACCCCTTGGAACATACACCTGATAGTTTTTGCTAATGAGGTGACTCATGGTGGGCTCCCAGATAGATTATGCTAATAAGGTGAGTCAAGATGGGAGCTGGCTGCATTAGAAAGACCAACTGTGTGATTAGAAGGCTGGGGCTTTGAGCTGCCTAATATTAACCCATGGGGAAAGGAAAGGGACTGGTTATTGATGGCCAGTGAATCATGGCCAATGATTCAGTCAATCAGTGGACACAATTAAGCCTCAATAAAAACTCTGGACACCAAAGCTCAGGTGAGCTTTCCCGGTTGGCAGTCCTATAAGTATTGTCATATATTGATGTGCTAAGAGGGTAAGATATCCTTGAGGATGGTGGGAGTTTCACATTTAGAATCCTCCCAGACTTCTTTCTATGCATCTCTTACTTTGGTTGGTCCCTGTTTGTATTCTAATCACAAGTATAGCATGATCCTGAGTTCTGGGAGGAGTTCTATTGAATTACCAAACCTGAGGGTGTCCGTGGGGACCAGTGAATTTGTATCCAGCTCATCAAAAGTGACAGTGGCCCAAGAGACCTCCAAACTTGTGACTGGCATCTTAAGTGAGAGGAGTTTGTGGAAAACTATGCCCTTAACTGTGAAGCTGGGACTAACTCCAGGTGGTTCTTCAAGTATCTCAGAGTCTAGCTAGCAAAATCAAAGAAAGAAAATCACATTCACCCAGCAATGGTAAGGCTATTTGCATGCAAATGCATCCTAGTATGTCATGAAAGAGCAAGGTCCGTGCCATCTAACTCATGGGGATAATCAAAGGTGGCCTTCTAGACAAAGTAAAACTTGAGCTGGATTTAAGCATAACTACTAATTAGCAAAGCAAGGCAGGGGCTAGGTAATGGAGACAGAAAGAGCAGCGTATGGAATAACTTCCAGATTCATCCTTGTCCTATCGGAATCGATGATGATAACAACAACAGTAGTAGTGGCTACATTTACTTGGACTATTTTTTATGTGAAACATGCTTACTGTTTGTTGACTTATGCAGTACCCCAAAACCTCATCGAGAAGTTATTGTGGTTCATATTTTCCAGTGAAGTAAATGAGATTTAGAGGGTGTATACAATTTACCCAAAGCCATCCAACTAGTAAGTTGCCACACCTTTGCTTCACACTTTGGTTTATGTTATAGAGTGAATATTTGTGCCTCCCCTCCACATTCATGTATTGAAGCCTTAATGTCTAGAGTATTGATATTTGGATATGGGGCTTTTGGTAGATAATTAGGGTTAGATGAGGTTGTGAGGATAGGACTCTCATGATGGGATTAGTGCCCTTTTAAGAAGAGACATCAGATAGTTTGTTCTCTTCTCTCCCCAACTTCCCCCGTCCCCGCCCCATACACATACACACAAACACACAGAGAAAAAAAAAGGCCATGTGAACAGAGGAAAAGCACCCTCACCAGAACTCAACCACAATGGCACCCTATAATCTTGGAGTTCCAGACTCCATAACTGTACAGAAATAAATTTCTGTTGTTTAAACCACTCAGTCTATGGTATTTTGTTATGGCGATCCAAGCAAAGATAGTTTCTGAACCCAGAACTCTTATACATGATTATGGCACTGTATTTCCTTTGGGAAGAGCAACTTAGCCTCTGAAAAATATGATTACTGTAAGGCATCCTGTCTCCTCTAGAGTATAATGCACACCTTGAGGTGGGAGAAGGTGCTAAGGTTGAAGCCAAAAAAAAAAAAGACTCCAGTTAAAGGCTGGTTCTGTCTCAAATCCTCTCTTATCTAAATGAATAGAGCTGTTAATTTCTGTTGTAACATATTCTTGTTACTGGCTGCTAAAGAATCCTGAGAATCTCAGTGCAAAAGGGACTCTCCCGTCTGATTCTAGATTCAAGCAGTCCTCCAACTTAAGCTTCACTAATACTAGTTGGAGCAAATTAACTACCTTCCTAGGTAGCTGATCCTTCATCATACAGATGAGATCATTAGAAACTTTCTTCAAGGAGTTGAAATTTACCACTGTGTGTTTTCCACTAATTGGTCTTGACTTTATCTGTGAGAAAATTAAGGCAAACATTAATGGCATTAGCAAGAGGGTGGCTGTTGTATCTGGTTCTATCTGTAAGAGAATTAAGGCAGAAATTAATGGCAATAGCAAGCAGGTGGCTGTTGTATATAGTGGACCATATGAGAAGTCTTACAGTTCTGTCTTGAACCCTTTCTAGCCTTACAGAATCCATTATAGTTCATTTTAAGAAAATCATGGGTCTGGAGTTCTTTTCAGATATAGCCTTTGGTGATTCATCTTTCACTATAAGCCTTTGAAGTGTCTAGTCATATACATAAGTAATCTTTTATTCAACTCTTATTTTCTGTGTATGTATTCATTGTTCACACTGGATTTATTTTATGTAAATCAAGTCCCTAGACATGAGGGAAACAAAGCAAAGCCAGATTAATTGGCTAATTTTCAAAGACTCATTCTACATTGATTGCAGCTTTTTTCCCATGAATTTTTTACTATGCTCTCTCTTTGCTATGCTGAGTCTCCTTTGAAACAACTATATATAAAGTTGGTATATAGAAAGTTGACCCAAATCATCTCATTAAAAAAAAAAAAAACACACATCTGCAATAGTGACCTAGTTCTCATTTTATCAAACTCAGCAGGTTTAAAATATAATAGGGGGAAAGGGGTTTTTCACAGGTAAAGCTTTTCCTAATGCCTTTCTAATCCTATACTTGCTGTATGTACATCTTTTTTCTCTCTCTCTCTCATCCTTATTTTTCCACTTTTGCCATTTTAACTCATGCATTTAGAAAATCTCCACAATGAGGCTGGTTCTGCAACGTTGGAGAAACTGCAAACTGAATTAGATTTCTGTTAGAGGGAGGAACTGCTGCTGCCAGAATGAAAAAGCGAGGCCAGCAACACTTTGCTTGAAGCAAACACTAAGCTGACACTACTAGGAGTATCAGATCTCTCCCGTGTCCTCTGGCCTCGCAGTCTCCTTTAGCACCCCCTACTGGCAGAACCTAACAAGGATCAGCTGGCAAAGCAGAAACGCAGGTTGCTAGTCCTTAGTCCCAGCACCTCAAAGCAAAGTACAGAAAGTTAGATTTGAAGCTGAGGGACAGTGGCTTCATAAATGGCATGGAAGGTATTTTATGTTAAGATTTCAGAGAGTACAGTTTCTGTCCTTGGCTTCATAGGAGGTCAGCGCAATACAGCCCACAGGTTGTGGGGAGTAGGATTAAGTCAAATACTTAGTGTAATATCTTTGTCCCATTCTCAGTCTATTTTTGTTTGCTTCCCCAAATCTTAGTGTATCAAGATGGCTGCTGGAGGGGCGTCTATTCTGAATACCCCTAAAGGTATTTTAGTGGGAGAGATAAATCAATAACTGCTATGTAGTGTTTATTATAGACACATAGCAGAGCAACTATTAATACACAGCTATATCATCTCTATATATTATATGTTACTGGCATATATAAATATATCATTAGAAGTCTGTTTCTGTTATATAGGTAAAAGCCTAAGGGGAGGAGAAAACCTAACTTAAGGAAAAAGCATCCATCCTCCAAGACTGTCTAGGAAAAGTGAATGTGGACAGGGGCCAACTATGCCCCACCAGTTGGTTCTTTCCTCCAGTTATTCTTGCATATCTGCAGCATGGAATGTCAGGCCCACCTCCTCCATATTCAGAAACATCACATATTTGGCCACTATCCTAACCATTGTTTTGCAGTCAGACTTCCAGCCATTCAGTTTCCTGGATGTTTTGGAGAAAGAAAACAAGACAATGCTGAAAATAAAGCCTTAAGACTTATGAGGCAAAGAGAATTGCAGATCTCATTGTGCTTGAGTCTCTACATAATTGGGTGGTTCTAAATAGGGAGGGCTAATTTCATGGGGTCAGCACTGGATCCTGTAAAAGCATATGCCATTTAAAAATTAATGCTTCATGAGTGCTAAGTCCAAAGTGTCTCAAGAGACTAGGGGAGAAAGGGTTTCCAGGAATGAGATTTGGAAAGAACATAAGGATGAAATGGGATATGCCTGTAAGGAAGGAAGAAAAATGTAAAGAAATTCAGTTCTAATAAATCAGGAATAAGTAAATCTTGCTCTGTCTTTGCACACTTCTTTTTCTGCATCCCTGTAGCCTGGCACAGCCCTGTACAAACAGCCACTCACCTCTCACCATTGTACCTTATCCTTATCCAATCTCACCACTCTGACCTTTAAATAAGAAATATAACATTTATTCTTATGTGTATCATGGCAATCTTCAGCCACAGAAACCCTCAGAATTCTTAATATAAGCAACTGATCCAACAATGATGATCCTGTTTACCAAAAGTTATAATAACATCTATGTGGCTCTTTATACTTTACAATGCCCTTTTGCATCACGTCTTTTAGTCTTCACAAAAACCCTGTGAAATAAATAATATTATCCCCATTCTTCATTTTTTATATGAGGAAACAGAGGCTCAGAGTTCATATAATGTGCCCAAAATCACATCATCAATAGGAGGTAGATCCAGGACTTGAACTCAGCTCTCCTGATGCCAATATTGACAGCCCTTCAGTGGCCTGTGTGAAACGTGGCACAGAGAACCATGTACCACAAAGCCTCACTGTGTGACTGGGTATCCCAAGGTGATTTCAAAACCCAGCCAAAAGTATATTATTGGCAGATCTCCTGAGCCAAGTAATTCCAATATGAGGGAACAGGATAACAAACGTGGCCACTGGGGAGACATTAACATACTAGTTTGGGATGCTGACAATTGTTTACCTGCTGTCACTCACTTACAGACATGGCCAGGCAGCAGTGTCAATCTTGCTGTGGGCTGAAACCCCTTGTTGAAGGAGGCACAAGGTAGAGTTTTGTCATTGTTCACTTTCAGTACTCTTAAGAAAGTGATTACAACACTTTCTTGTATGGATTTGGTCATGAAATTTCATTCTGCCACAGATTGAAGAACTCTGCCCTGATGTAGAAGAGAAAAAGATATCACCCCAACAATTAACTAACATTTAATGTTAATTATTAACTAATTATAATTAACTAGCTTATGTTAATTATTAACTAACAATTAATTAATAATTAACTAACATTGGGCACTTACTAGATGCTTTGTATATCTCATTTAATTCCCACCACATCCTATATAGGGAGGTACCCTTATTGTTCCCATTTTGCAAATGGGAACACCGAGACTTTGATAGGCTAAGTGACCTGCTCCCATAGGGATTAATAGGCAGATCTAGGATTCAAGCTTAGTCCCTCTGACTCTAGCACCTTTCCTCTTAATCACTGCATCATATGGCCTAGATGTTAAGGTTGTCCTTAACTACCCTTCACTAGCCACTGAAATTATTTCCATATGATGTTTCTCTCAGTAGGTTTGCACAAATGTGCTAGCCATAACAATTTACAATGTTCCAGCAGAGGCAAGGACCAAGACACATAGGAGCCAAGTGTTTTAATAACTTCCTGTGCTAGCAGTTATAAAAATGTAATTGTTGGTGCACGTTCAAAGAATTAAAATATGGCAAGGTAGAAGGAGCTCTTAAAGCCAGCTTTCAGAACTACGGCTTTGCCCTTGTAAACAACTTTTATATACCCCTTTTGGAGTGTGTATAATGAAATGACTAACATTTTCAGCTGTAACCGGAGCTATTACCCAGCAGCTGACTGTTTTGTTGCTTGAAATCTGTTCAGGAAAACACTGAAAATTGGTGGAAGGGGTAGACTGTGGGGACTCCTTGTCTCTGCACGGGCACATTTTCCTCGTTGTCCCAGTGAAAATGGCCTGCAGGTAAATTGCACCCATGCCTTCTCAGTATAAAATGAAGCTCTCATCTGCCTATTTTGCTTCTGCTTTTAATACCGATGTCCCTTCACTCTTGCTCACTAAAGTGGAACATATGGTTTTCTTTATTTTTAATCTTCTCCAAAGAAAACTACAAGTGGAAGATTCCAGGTGCCCACCTAGAATTCTGAAACTTACATGATTTACATTTTTGATGGAAGTTCCCAGAGAGATATATAATGAGTCATTTCTCTCCTTTCCGTTTCTCAATTTACATAATAATATAGTTATAGTTGCATGTCACAGTTATAAATATTAAGAAAAAGTTAATATGAAGTTGACTGAGCCCCTTTTCCCCTGAATTTCAGACAGTGGGCCTCTGAAGATTGAACAACTGAGGCTAAGGAGAAACCCCTGAATTTCTCATCCAATTTCAACCCTGACTGTGCTAAAAATGAGTGTTTTCTAAGGACAGATGCTATCACAGAACCAGAGAGGTTGTTGTTTTACTTGTTCCTGCAGACTAGACAGGAAATCATAAAATTATGAAAGCAGAATATTGTGCTTGTGTCATCCACTGTCTCTTATGTCATTCAGATCGTAAAGATAGACTCTGTTCTATTTCCAACCCTTTCCTATGAGAATGGCTGTGGGAATAGAACATTAGGACTGCTGCTCTTTCCCCAAACCCAATAATAGTTTTTTGCTAATAGTTTGTTGCGATAGTAAGTTGATGCATGAAGCCGTGTGTGTCTCAGCCGTATCATGACAGATAAATTGGGCCAGCATCATTATCTGAACCAGATTTTTGTATAGTGCTGCATGGTATGGTGCTTAGGATTCCTAAGAGTAACCTTGAGGAGCTATGCTAATGACAGTACTTTTCATCTCTGGCTTTTCCTGTTAAAATACAGAGTCATGCTCTTGGCTGCCAAAATCAGTAGCATGTGGTGGTAGGCGTATACTGCAGGTGGGAGTAAAGCAGCCTTTTGAATCGGATAGCCTTTTCTCTAGTCTTCGCTCTGCCATGATATGCAGATTATGTCACTTCTCAGAACCTCAGTGTCCTCATCTGTAAAACGGGATAATAATACATATTTAGGAGGGTTTTGGCAAGGACATCACAATTGTAAAATGCCTGGAGATGTTAGATACTTTGTAAATGGCACTAAATATTATCATGGAATATATGCTTTGGTAAATAAAAAACAATGGTTTCCATTTGTTTGGATGATGATAATGTTTTAAATCCTTGATTTATGTAATTGTGGTATCACTTTCCTCCTCAAAACAAATGAATTGCTCTGCACTGCATATAAGATAAGATCAACCTCCCTGTTTGTCTCCTGTAACACATGTACACACAGACATCTGTAAAATCCATAATTCAGCCACCGTTCACTCTGGACTATTATCCTGAACCATGGACTTTATGTTATGTCAGTCATTTAGAATACCAATTCCTTCTTTCTCTACATGTAGAACCATTTTATCAGCCTGTTGAGCCCCATCTGACCTCCCCCGCTTTGGAGCCTTTCATAAGCCCCCTGATTCAACTTGGGGTTCCTCAGACCTCCAGATAACCTTTCATCATACCTCCATCCTAGGACTCTGCACAAGCAGCTTGTAGTAAAGGGATCTTGAAGCTGTCTTTCTGCCCCATGAGAATGTGAGAATCAACTGGAAATGGGAATTGTGGCATATTCAGCTCTGTATTCCTCCTCGTTGTGGACCAAATAAATAAGTAAACGCTGGTTTGTGCAGAAGTTTGGTGTTTATGCTACTCCTGTCACTGCTCTGTATTTTCTGCTTGTTTATCTGTGATTTGCGTGCCTTGTCATTATTTTTATGCTCCTTGGCGGCCACTTACTTTACAACTATCTGTCCTTTTATATTGTTTCTAGACTCCTTGTGGTCTCATGTAAAGCATTTGGAGACCAGGGGAGTTGTTGTTGTTGTTGTTGTTGTTGTTGTTGTTTTACTGAAATGTCTCCCTCACCAGTTTTCATGTGGATGACCCCTTAAATAACCAGAATTAACATCGGGAAACAAACTATGAGTTTGCAATGCAGAGTTTCTGCCACTGCTATTGCATGGGAGGAAAGAAAGATCTAATACATTAGGATTGGATATGCTTGAGACATTTTAATCAAGCATGTCAGTCCTTCTGCAAATAGAAAGCACTGGCAGCAAAGAGACAGGATTGTCCAGGGGACAGGTCGGGAATGCTAGAAACATTAGAAAGTTCACTTTCCTAATACCCTCTTCAGCTTAAGGCTTGCACATTTGCGCGGGGCACAGGTGCATGCCTGCTCAGAGCTGAAAGAGCCTTACTGTTTGCTCCTTCAGCCCCCCATTGACAGATAAGGTAATTGAGTCCAAAGGTGAATCAGCCAGTTCAGATCCTGTTGGCAATTAGGGAGGAAAGCAAAGACCATGACAAAAGTCTTCAGGCTCCAAGTCCCCCACTCTTTCCTCCTCTATACCTTGTGGCCACTTTCTGTACACTGATTACTTGTGTAGTTCAAATTTTGACATTTTAAGAATTCATTTAAGGAATTAATTGCAACTTTCATCATTACCTCTTTTTACTTTGAGGTAGCACCAGATTTCAACGTTATTAAACTCTGCAGCTCCATGAATGTTGAAGAGACGAGCCAGCACCTAATTGCCTTCATGCATTACCTACCAGCAGAAAGCTGGCCTGGATGAACATCTGTGTGTAGCTTTTCATTTTCTTTATGGTTCAGGCACTGTGCTCCTCAAGAAACTGGTTCTGTCTTTGTTTCTTTGCATTTCTTTCCTTTCTTGCTGGAGTTAGGGTGGAAGGGGATCTCAAATGCTTTTTGAGTTTTTTGCACCTAGGTCGACTATACTATATTTTGCATTTAGCATCATTGAAGTTGAGATGGGTCTTATAGTCAATGGTGTGTGATAGTTTAATTCTCAACTTTATTTCTTAAAAGGATGGTGCATATTACAATCTTGCTATTGTGAGTTTTAAAGGTCTATTATAGTTCACATTTTACAAAGTGCTTTTCTGTATAGTAATAAGAACCAACATATATCAAATGCTCATTGTGGACCAGGCACTGTGGGCTTGGTGGGAGACAGTAACTATTTTACCTCTTCCTCATAACTCTTCAAGCTGGCGTTATCCTCCATTTTATAGATAAGAAAACCAAAGTAAAGTAATTTTGCCAGTGTAACAAAGCAGAAAGACACAGAGCCATAGGCACACCCGGGGTGATTTAAATCCAAAACTGGTGCTCTTTCCACCTCTCTTCCTATCAGGTTTTGCACTCAACCTTCCCCAGAACCAAATGGATGGTAAGAGGGGCAGCATCAGAGCACTGACTCTGGAGTTACCTGGAGCCAGTTACTCAATCTCCCTGTGCCTCCATTTTCTCCTCTGTGAAATTGGGGTAAAAAGAGCATAAGGTAGTTGCGAGGTTTAAGCGAGCTGAGCTGGATAAAGCACTGGGACCCAGACCCAACACACACCAAATGCTAAGGAAAGATGAATGATCACATTATTCCCTGGTTTGCTTAATCCCCTGTGGACACCACAGTAAGCTTTGAATATGCTCCAGTTCCTTCTGTTAGGTCATAAGCCACGTGGCCAGAAGCCTTTAGAGTGCCTTGTACCATATACCCTCTTCTAGGAGAGAGAAAGGGGAACCAAGACTTGATGCCTCTGCCTTCCAGGGACCCTCCACAGTCCTGGCATGATGACTTGTGCAGAACTCACCTTCCTCAGATGCTGCTTTCATTAGGAAGTGACTCCTCGGCCATCTCATCTCTTCATCCAAGTTCCCAGACTAAAGGGGAGCTACCCACAAAACTAGTCCCTGAAAACTACTCATGCCACTAGTAATAGAGTCAAGAGATTGAGTGCCTGCTGTTAACTTACAAATTGCATGGACATGCATTTCACTCTTCCCTGGAGAAATATTTCCCAGCCACAACTCTGCCATTGCTTCCCAATGCCTAGACCTAATCCTAGGTCTCCTGTATGACCAAAGACTGCCTGACCTCACTGAACATTAACAATGTCCAGCAGGGGTGAAGCTGCTGCCACCCCTGCCCTGTGAACCTATTGACTTGGCCTCAGTTTCTCACCAGGGACCACTCATTGGCCAGAGTAATCTCGTGAGGAAGGTGGAGAAAGAAAACCGTAGAGCAAGCCAACTGGCTGATCATTCCCTGAGAATCTTGGCGAGATGAAGGTGCCTCTCATCCGTGGCCAAGTGTAGGACCAGAAGGTAAACATCTGAAGTGTATCTGAGAGCAGGTGCAGAGACTGAGTCATAAAGCATGCCTGTATAACAGGTCACCAAGGCCAGATGTATTCATTCGTTTTCACACTGCTATAAAAAACTTCCCTGAGACTGGGTAATTTATAAAGGAAAGAGGTTTAATTGACTCACAGTTCCACATGGCTGGGGAGGCCTTAGGAAACTTACAATCATGGCAGAAGGGGAAGCAGACACCTTCTTCGCAAGGCAGCAGAAGAGCAAGCATGTGAAGGAGGAACAGTCAAACACTTATAAAACCATCAGATCTCATGAGAACTCACTATTACAAGAACAGCATGGGGGAAACCGCCCCCATGATCCATTCACCTCCCTCCCGCGACACGTGGAGATTACAATTTGAGATGAGATTTGGGTGGGGACACAGAGCCAAGCCATATCACCAGGGCATCCTACAGTGGACAGAAAGAGCTAACGAGTCTGAAGAACTGAGGAACCAAGAGCAGAAAGAAGCACAGATTGGAGTAAATGCACCAAGAGGTGACCTGGGCTAAGTCCAACATCATGGGCAAGTGCCTCTGTTGGGGTTTGGGGCATTCCCAATATGGGCAGGCCATATCTGCTTAAAGGAATCACTGGGACAGACATTCTAATTACCCAGAACTCCCTGCACATGGAGCAAGGCCCCTGACCAGCACAGGGACAGCAGACAAGCTCCAGGCCATGCCCCACAGACCAGCCCTTGTCCAGCCTTATGCAGAACAGCCTGAGGATCAGGGACACCGGGTGGCAATGCCAAGGCTTTCAGCATTAGATCACTGCAGTATTTAATCACCCCACTCCTGATTAGCAGTTTCTGTGGGGTTTATTATGCAGTTAAATATCATCATTGGGACTTTAAAAATATTCTCTCTTTTATTAAACAACAAATATAATTTATTAGCAAATATATAATAATATATTAGCATTCAGTTTAATGTCTCTCAGTGGACTCAAGCTCTATTTAGCTATCCGCTTGTCTCCTTTCAGTTTTTCCAAGGACATATGATAAAGCCCCCCTATTTCTAAATAGAATGCATTTTCATTTAAATAAAACAGCTTAGACAAATTAGGGTTTCTAAATTAAACATTTCTAAAGCCATTTTTCTCTTAAGAATTAAGAGAATGGGAGAGATCTGAATTATGTAAGTAGCATGATGTAGGAGTAGTAAATTTAAAAAGTAGTAATAAGTAATCTGAACATGATTAATTGTTTACTTTGTGGCAAACATTGTGCTGAGAGACTCAGGTGCCAAATGTTACTTAACCTTGACAACAACACTGTGAGTGGAGTTCTTATTCTCATTTTACCATGTGGTAGAAATGATATTGGTAAAGTTTAATAGGTTCCTCCAAACAATACAGCTCTTAAGAGGCAGACCTAGAATTTACATCTAGATCCTTCTGATTCCACAGCCCAAGTGTTTAACTCAGCATAGGACATTTAGATTCAGACCTGGATTTAAATTTCAGCTGTGTGACTTTGGGAAAATTACTTTACCTCTCTGAGTCTGTAATCTGAAGGTTCATCATGCCTACCTTAACTGCCATGATGACTAAATTTAACATATAAGCAAGTGCCTAGTAGTACTATAATAGTACTATATGTGACACATATTAACTACTCAAGAATTATTACCCAAATTCCTAAATATTTCAGAAAATTAATGGGGGCTTTTTTGTCTGCAGTTTCTCTGGCAATTGATCACCTCCACTTATCATTATAGTGTGGAGAACACAGACAAGCCCAATCTCCTCGCCTCTGACTCGGTGCAGCTGAAATCTCTTTGAACGGAACTGGGCTGTGGTCATGACTGAGTGTCCATCCACCCTGATACTGTCTTGCAAACAAATGAATGTTGCAAGTGACAAACCGGGTGCTTCTGCCCTGATTCTAACACTGGCCCTGGAAGGTTTAAAGGCTGCATGATGCTGGCTGGGTCCTGGGTGGAAGGTGTTGCCTTTGTATTTCTTCTACTTAATTGTATGACCCAAAGGAGAAGAGCAGCAGATTTTTTTTAAGCCCTTTCAACTAGAAGTCTTTATTATGTGTGGACTTCTGGCTAACAGCCACATAGAGAGCTTTTCCTAATTTCTTTCAAAATATGAGGATTTAAGATGGAACTAAAAGTGGGGAAGGAAAGTTTAGCAAAATCTGAAGTTCAGTGAAATCTAAACCTTTTAACTAAAACAAGTTAAGTGTTTGGCTCAAATTTCCCAATGTTTGAAGCAGGAGAAAGTAATTCATGAGGAAACATGGCCAAAGAGACTAGGGATTTTATCTGACAACAGATGGTTCAGATTAGTTCAACAAATATTTATCAAGGACCATGTATTTGCCCATCACTAGACAAAGGGTGATATGTGGATAAGTGGATACAACCCTTGACTTCCAGAAGCTTCAAATCTGTTCAGGAAAAGACCCTAAAATAAGTTGCTTCAATACAGAATTTTAAAAATAGTAAAATTATATCATAAATTTAAAATAACAATAAAATATTTCTCATTCACCTGCTACATGCCTTCCAAATGCTTTACATGTATTAATTAATTTCATCCTCAAAACAACCCGTGAGGTACATATTTCTTTTATTCCCACTTATGGGTGAGGAAACTGAGGCAAGATGGCACAGCTTGAGAATGGCAGAGCTGAGGTTTGAATGCAGGTTTGGCTGGCTCTGTTTGTGCCTTCTTTCTCCTCTGTACCCATGTCCTCATCCAGGAGCAGGGCCGCTGTGTTGAACAACTTCAGGGGCCACCGTTTGCATCGTAGGTTACAGGCTGTGGAGTTGAGTACTATCTAGCCTATGAAGCTTGTCCAGCCTAGAAGATATTAAGATGGGCATTAATGTACTCATTTCATAGGGTTAGGTGATACCTCCAAAGTCACATAGCTAATAAGTGACAGTGCTGAGGCTTGGAACTGGGTCTGCCACCCCCATGCATCTTGGTCTTTCTAGACTCCATGCTAGGCAGCTTTGCTCCTCAGAAGCTACTATGTGAGCACAGGGATAATTTAGTATGGCAGCGCGGTCTGCAGAAATGGTCAGGGCAGGCACTGGGAAGAAGGGGCAGCTTGCCCTTTAAACTGTGAATTCCCAAAGGATCTCCATAACCTGCCCTCTCAGAGGCTGCAGCTGTCCCTGCACTCCCATGAATTCACTCTTCTGCACAAATAAGCTGCTTCATTCCTGTCATCACTGCAAAGATTCTATGGGAAGAAACCAGACAAAAAGTCAGCTGAATCCAGGTTTGCCAACTTCACTCACTTGCTCAACACATGCACCAAGAACTTACTAAGTGTTGGGCGCTGTTCTAAGAGCTGAGGATACAGTGGTGTGCAAGGCCCTTGCTTTCATGAGGCTTCTATTTCAGTGCAATATCTGCTGCCTATGTGCCCTTCCACATGTAACTCAAACGCTTGCCTGTCGGTCCTCCCATCCGTGAAATGGAGACAGTAGTACCTGCCTCATAAAGTTATGGGGAGGCTGAAGTGAGAGAATGAATGTAATGTGCTTAGCAGAGACCTCACCTATTACAGAGACCTCACCCCTTGCAAGTGGTCAAGAAATCTCATTCTGTTCTCCACCCACTTGCCACTCTACAAAATGCTTGCAGACAGACCTGCCTTTGCTGCTGGCTTTCCTCTAGGTGGCGAGTGTACTTGTTTGCTGCTTTGTAAGTTCGGTGGATTATTCCAAGACCATTTGACTAGCATGGGTTAAAGCAGTAAACTGGATCTCCGTGTTCCTCTACTTTATATACATTATGATTCTGTATATGAAACCATAAAACTCAGGACAGATTTATACATATGCCATGCTGCATATTTTCATAGAAATGCTTTTCCAGGCACCTGTAATACACTGATATATGTGAGCAGTTTGCTAAAGTTTATTTCTCATAGATCTCTCTTAAACTGCATGTAAAGTGACATTTTATGGTTTAACTTTTGTTTTCATGACACAGCCCCAATTTGCATCTCTGCCATAGCATTCAGGACTTCCCTGCTTACAGCATGTGTATTTCCCTGTCCTTGAAGCATGTCTTCGGGAAGCTAGTTCTAAAGACCCCAGTTTGGCATCTTTCCTGAAGAAGCCAATCCTTCTGTGACTGTCTTGTGGAAATGGACTTGAATTATTCACATCCCATATTCAACTTGCTTATGGGGTATTCATGCAAAGAAAGAGAGTGGTCTCATTCTTGGTGTGGTCACAGCCCTCGGCATGACAGCGGCTGTGATATCTCATTGCCCATTTCCCGAGTGGTTTTTGCCTGGGGTTAACTCAGCCTTTCTGACCTGTACTTCCTTCCATCAAGTTCTGAAACAAAATAGAAAAGAAAGAAATGCACATCCACCAAGTTTCTTCTATGAGGCAGACTCTTTATGAAGCACTTTGCAGATCTATAATCTCACTAAAGACCTGCACATTTGGTAGTATTGACCTTATTAAAGGAAATAGTTGCAGAAAGATTAAATACATTGACCAAGGTCGTCACAGCTAATGAATGGTGAAGCCAGGTTTCAAGTTCAGATCTACTGATCACAGATCTTTCCGTTGCACCAAGCCCTCCAGCATCCAAGGCACTCAAAGGGGTTCTAGGTGGGCATAGTGTAACCTTGTCATCTCCATCTTACTTATAGGAAGCCATTTATTTGAATGGTCATTCAACAAACATTTTATTAAGTGTATCTTATGTGCTAGGCACTGTGGTAGGTGATGCATGTGAGCTAGCTACAACTACATATATTTAAAAGGACTCCAAAAAACTTAGTTTTATATATATATATATATATATATATATATATACACACACATATATGTATATATATATATACATATATGTATATATATATATACATATATGTATATATATATACATATATGTATATATATAAAAAACTAAGTTTTTATATTTATATATATACACACACATATATATACATAAATATACACATATATACATAAATACATATAAAGAGAGACAGAGATAGACAGTCAGTCAGTCTCATTCTGTCACCCAGGCTGGAATGCAGTGGTACAAACACAGCTCACTGCATCCTCGGCCTCCTGGGCTCAAGAAGTCCCCCTGCTTCAGTGTCCTGAGTAGCTGAGACCACAGGCATGCACCACCATGTCTAGCTATTTGTATTATTATTTTAGAAACAGGGTCTCGCGATTTTGCCCTGGCTGGTCAAGAACTCCTGGACTCAAGTGATTCTCCTGCCTTGCCCTCCCAAAGTACTGGGATTGCAGGCATGAGCCACCATGCCCTGCCCACAGCAATTTTTTAGTTTCAAAAGGATTTCTCACGACTGCCTCCGGCCACTATAAATGTTTTGTAAGGAAACACTGACTCACATAGTGACTATTTTCTTCCTGTGACTCCAGTTGTCCCAGGCTCATATTGGGCACACTCAGAGGAGGTGCTTGCTGAACATTTTGGAGTGAATCAATGAATAGATGCATTCACGACAGCCCTAAAGAATATATGGCACATGTTTGTTTGCTTATGTGCATTCTCCACAGGCCAGTGCTGTGTATCTCCATTGCCTGCCACAGCACCTGGAACAGATTGGAGGCTTGCTGAATGAGTATATGAGTCAACAGATAGTTAATATCAGACCAATTTAGGCACAATTAGAAACAATCATCAGATGCATCAGAAATATCACCAGAGTCATGAGTGTGAGAGGAGTGAGGCACAAGCCTCAGGTGCAAAATTTAAGGGGACACCAAAAAAACTTAGTAATCAAGATAAATAGCATTTTAATGCAATATTTGAAGTATTCAAGACAGAATCTGAATGGACTAAGACCAGGATAAGTCAATGAGATGCATCAACCAAATGAAGAGCTGGATCCTGTCTCTGTTTAAAATTTTTATTTTTTCATCCTTTCTTGCATTGATTTTGGCTTTTAAAAATATTGCATGAAAATATTACTTATCTCAATCACTGAGATTTTGGCACCTCTTAAATTTTGTGCCCAAGGTGAATGCCTCAATTGCCTTAACCTAGCCCTGGCTCTGTAAAGCCAATAGCAGTAACTGAAATTCCTTGATGTCAGATTATATGAAAGGTACTTTGTGCACATAAAGTTGCAGAAGGTCCCCAAAAGGTCTCGTCTGGAAAGTGCTGTTCTGATCTCTGTTTCACAGATAGGGTGGCTCAGACTTGAGGAGACAAGTCTCAGGACACACTCCTGAGTTGTTACAGATGAATCACAGAGGCACCTGAGAGATTGAGCTTCTCAGTCCCCAAGGGGTGCTGTCTAGAAGCTTTGGTTACAGAGACCCATGGAAGGCTGCCTCCAACCAGATGAAGCCTAATGCATTTACCCCAGCATGCTGCACAAATACCATATCCCACTGATTCCTGCCATTATAAGAAGCAGGATGATTTTATGTACCATGTTCCTGCTGCCAAGATGACAGCAATTGTAAGGTGCTCACAATTGTAAGATATATCCCAACTTAAGAGATTTTATCATGCAAAGAAGTGCATTTTGGAATTAGATGATATGCGTTATTATCATATCCCAAGTGACCATGATATTGAAAAAAGTTGGGGAGACTGTACTCAAGGGTACACTGCAATAACAGACATAACAGGATTTTGGCATTCTCCAAATATCCAGAAGTCCATTCACCACCCCCAGGCTGTCAAAAGCTGCTGTGATTCCTGCAATGAGACAAACTTTAACAGAAAAGCAGAGGATGCTTAAAAAGGAGACTACTTCATTTGCCTTCTGGAGCGATTTCCCTGCAAGAGGGAAGATTGCAGTATTAGTTGTCTGGTTATATTATTATTGGGTGGGTTCAGAATTTTATCTACTTACAAAATTATTTGGAACCACAGATTAAGGAAAGAGGGCTGATGCAGTGCAGCTGATGTGAGACTCAGAATCTCTTTTAGTTACCAGCCTCTATTTAAAGAAAATCTATGTTGAGCTCCAGAGATTCCCTAGCTGTCATCCAGGGCGTCATAGGATGGTTTTGGGTTTATTATATAACACTAAACTGTCCATATTATTCCACATCATACTGATCTGCCTACCTCATCAGGCAACTATCAGCACACCTAATTAATTTCATCCCAAAATATTACATTAACATTTATTTAGACTTGTTCACAGTGCTACATTGATCCCTGTCAGCCACTGGCTTCCTAACCATTTTAGGGCATGATCGCAAAACAGCTGAGCCTGCCTCCCATCATGTACTTTTCTAAAACATATCTACCCAGCACAGACACAAATCAGCCCACAGCGGTAGAGCAAGCGCGACAGCATTAGACTTGCATGATTTGCTTAAAAGGCTTGAAATTCTGCCTCATGTCATTTTTATCAAAATTCCAAATCAGATGTAGTAAAGAGTAAAACATCCTTTTTGCTGGCATTCAAAAGACTATGGAGAGATTAATATGGAGGGGCATGGCCTGAAGCCAGACTGCCCAGCTTTAAACTCAGCTTTGCCTCTTACTATGCCTCAGTGTCTTCACTTGTGAAATGAGGATAATAACAGTTGCTACCTGTTAAGATTGTTATGAGGATTTCCAGGGCTAATACCTGTAAAGCACTTAGATCATTGTGCAACAAGGGGCACATAAGATTGGCTGGCATTTCTGACCATAGGCAGCCCCAGCTCAGGGTTTCCACACTCAGACAGTCATCAGAGCTTGTCTATTCACCCAAGGGGTGTGATCCTGCAGTTCTGAGGCTGCTGTATAAATGGATTTGCTTCTCCTCTCCTGCTCTGACCTTTCCTTCTTCAACATTGGATGGATGCAGTTGTCACCTGGAAGGTGGTTCCTGATTGATAATGATGGGCCTTTAACTTATTGTGCCCAGTGCATGGCAGGCACTTGATAAGTTTGGGTAAAATCAGGCAAAAGGCCAATGCCTCCTTTGCAGACCTGTGGTATGTCTGTAAGTGCTTCCATTTTCTCTGCTCCATGGTGAGGTATCCTCTCCCTTCCTCACTGGAAAAATTGTTAAAGCAGCAAGCTGCCCTCACTGGGCTCTCGAGGGATCAGGGAGACCAGAGACCAGCTGTTCACATAGATATGTGAATTCCCTTGAATGTCCTCTAAAGCTTACTGGGTAGAATGCCAATGTTAGCATTCATGTCCATGAGCATTTCTCAAGGGAATATGAGAAACTTCAGATCACGTTTGAAATATCTAAGGTAATAAAACTAATAAAACTCATTCACAGAAGCCAGTCGCCCTTTATTTAGAATCTTCACATATCAGAGATGATGGGCCTATATGACAGAGCGTTCTGTGCAAGAAAGAAGCCCACTTTTTATCCTGTCAGGAAAAGAGGTGGACAAGGAGTGGAAATAAAGTTATAAAAAGTTATCAGAGCCTTAGGAGAAGAAGGATCTGTTCAATGCTGAGTGCATTTTGAGTATACTTTTGAGTTGGGGAAATTGGATCTGAGGGAACAAAGGGGACTGTACTAGTTGTTTATTGATGCATAAAAATTACGTCAATGCTCAGTGGTTTAAAACAATATTTAGTTTCACACAGTTTCTGTGGATCAGGAATTTGGAAGCAGCTTCACTGGGGTTCTGGCTCAAGGTTCCACAAAAGTAAGGTCTACTTTCAAGATGGCTCACTCACATGGCCATGGCAGAAGGCTCAGTTCCTCACCATGGGGCCTCTCTGCAGGCTGCTAGAATATCTTCACGACTTGACAGCCAACTTCCACTGGAGTGAGAGATCCAAGAGAGAGTGAGCACAGAGAAAGCCGCAGTGCCTTTATATCACAGTCTTTGAAGTGATCTCCTGTGCTGATGTTCTAGGGCTGCCATAGCAAAGTGACACAAACTGGTGGCTTAAAACAATAAAAAAGTATTCCCTGTCACATCTGGAGGTGAAACATTCAAAATCAAGATGTCAGCAGAGCTGTGCTCCCTCTGAAGGTTCTAGGGGAGGAATCCTTCCTTGCATCTTCCTCATTCCTGGTGGCCACCATCAATCCTTGGCATTCCTTGGCTTGTAAATGCATCATTCCAATATCTGCCTCCATCTTCACATGGCTGTCTTCTGTCGGTGTATCTCTTTGTCTGAGAGCACCAGTCATTGGATTAGGGCCAGCCATAATGACCTCATCTTAACTAATTATATCTGCAAAGACCCTATTTCTTAATAAGGTCACATTCTGAGGTTCTGATGGACATCAAATTTGTGCGGTGGGTGTGGGTGTTTCTATGCAATCCACTCTACCCACCATCATTTCTGTTTTGTTTTATTAATTAGCACTAAGTCGTAAGTCCAGGCCACACTCAAGAAGAGGGGAATTAGGCTCTGCCTCTTTTGTGGACATATTTTGAAACTACCTCAAGCACAGTGTTACACTTCCATTCCAGAAACCTGTTATGCTGGGACTTTCTAGTCTCATGTGAGGTTGTATGGCTCAGTGAAAAGAGATAAGAATATTTACAGACATTCCATGTTATTTAATGACAATGGATACCTAGAAAACGCTATTTTAAGTGAGTTATCTTAAAATGAAAACCAAAATTCATTTAAAGATGAGTGAAAATATTTTGACTTGGATTTTACATTGAAAATTTATTTAAAAATTAGTATATTTTACTTAAATTTGAAAAATATTTCAGGTAATAAATATAACTATTCACTAATTCTTGAAGGATAAATTGTCATGTTTCAACTTTTGTTACAATTTTTCTAATAAAAATTACATGATTTCACAACATATTCTTTACTTAATTTTGACTTTCTCAACATCACAAAAAGGGTTATTTTACAAATTTCAAGTATTTTATCAATATTCCCTAATTCTATTGGGATTCATGGCATTCTCTTCTGGAAGCCTAAACTATCATTATCCTTAAAAATTTCCTCTTCTTCAAATAAGATCTAGTAATGTTTCTGTCACATCATCATATCAATAATTCTGCGTGTGATTCCAGCAGTTCTTCAACATCACTTTTTTAAACTTCATGAATCTCCCATTTCTGGGGGAAATTTAAAAATTTACCTTATAATCAATTTACAGAGCATTTTTATAAGACTATTTTATAAAAATTGGTGAGAGATCAGTTATGATGTTGACTAAGATTCCAGTGGTAAGTCGAGACTGATTTTGAATGGGGACTGATTTTTTAAGGGGTCAATTCAGTGATGACTATTTTCATGCTATTGTGAATTTACTTTTCTGTAAAACTTTGCAACTGTGGAGACTCTAATCATGAAAACCAGGTAATAAGAACTCCCTGAATTTTTCTCTTCTTTCTACAGCTACGCTTCTATCCTCCTAAAGATAGCATTAAAATCTTTCTATCTTCTTTAATGCAATACCAAAAAAAGTAATAATATTAGAATTACTTTGAAGGGAAGTATATTGCTGTAGGGAAAGGTTGGCATATATAATTAGACACTATTACTAGGATCTATTTGAGTCATGAACTTCTTCACTGAAGATGAGCACACATCATTTCAGATAACCAAGAGAAGATCTGGTACCTTGATTCCAAGGGAGACTTCACGTGGGGGAAAAAAAATCAACCAGCAACTGGATGATTCCATTTTAACCTGCCCTGTAGCAGAGGTCTAAAATTTGTTCTTCAAAAGTCCCATGAAGTCTTAAACCAGTGTGCAAGGCAAAAACCAGTGTAACAAAAATAAATGACAGGATGTCTTTTCTTATAAATGTCACGGTTTATTCAAAGGCTGTGTAATTAGAGAGTTGTCAACTTAGTAAGTTTTCTGAGCCTAACATTAGAGGCCCAGCCGTGAGAAGCTGTCTACCTTTCTTTAGAGAATGGCTCCTTCCCACAGCAACCCACTCCAGTCCGACTTTACCCATTCAGAATGTGCTAGATGCCTGGAGTTCCTCGCTGTCTTCAAAAACAGATTGCTTCCACTGCTGGAGATGTCTCCACAGTTTGTTTCTTCTGCAGCTGTTTTTCTTTAACCTTCACTTTAGCTTGTTTCTGGGTGAATTTTGGCTATCACTTCAGTATCTCCATCAATCCCAACTTCAACACATTCACAATGAATTTTTAGCAATGGAGATGGTCACTGTACTTATCATTTGCACATAACTTAATAAGCCTGCATATGTGCATTCCCCTTGTTCAACTTCTGGAATTAACCCATTCTGCATAGTTCCCATTCTGCACATTTTTCTGCACCAGAAATGAATTTTTAGTTGTCTCTCAGAAGTTCATTTATGAAAACTGAAAGCCAGCTGAAGATATGGGGTCAGGTTGTGTTGTTCCATACCATATACTGTTAACTTTCTCAGACTAAATGTTGCCATTTTCATTGATATGACTCTTACTAAAAGCAAAAAAAAAAGGTTTAATATGAAAGAAAAATAAATGATCAGTTATACATATTTCTCTGTGTAAGTGTATATGTGAAAGAGAGTTTCATGCCAACGATGCCTTATCTTTTACAAGGATATGTTTCCAACAAGTAAACCTAGTGACCGTGACTTTTCAAAACTGCGCATGATGTAACATATAATGACTGCTCACTCTAAAACTGCACACATTCTGATAGTGAACACAGAGTTATCTGACATGGTGCAGTGCTCAACTCAATCTCGGTAGTGTTTAATGGATAAACAGGATATATTTTTACATTTCTGCAGCTGTTGCTCACAGGCAGCCAGTTCTTTAGATCTTCAGATTTTCTCTATAATTGTGTCACGCCATCCATAAGCAGAGTTCCTTGTCCCAGAATCAGTGTATCTTCTTGAGCCTGATCCTATTCTAACAGCATCCTTTGTGATTGTTTTTGTT
Source organism: Homo sapiens (assembly GCF_000001405.40). Classification (NCBI taxonomy): domain Eukaryota; kingdom Metazoa; phylum Chordata; class Mammalia; order Primates; family Hominidae; genus Homo; species Homo sapiens. The sequence continues at coordinate 51,842,261 of NC_000017.11, read as the reverse complement.
TTTTCTCTTTAAAAAAAATAAGTGTTATATGTAGATAGTAACTGTAGCTGACCCTGTTGGCTATATACTTAAAATCTGACCTTCTCTTCTTCATTGATGAAGTACTGATTTTGTTCAGGTAGGCCCTCTCAGAAAACATGACCCTATCCCTCTTGGGGGACAAATTCCAAATAGTCTCAGACTATCACAGGAATCCCATACTGCTTATAAGTGACTGGGTTTAGAGCTATGCACACAGACCTTGTTCAGACCAGTGAAATGAGAAAGTGTCAGAGCATTTATGGGAAATAGTTCCTTGGTCTTAAAAAGAGGCAGAAGGAAAAGACAGCCCCTTCTCTTCCTCTTGTCATTGGCATGCCTGGATATGATGCATGGAACTGCTGATGAAGCAAAACTTGGAAAGGAAGACAGGGTCACAGTGAAGTGGAGTCAGGGTCCTAATATACCCTCCCTGGAGCTTTCCTGACCTGTGGACACCTTGCTCTGGGAGACAATAAATCATAAATTTAAGCTGGTTAAGTCCAGGTTTTCTGCTCTTTTTGCCAAAGCGGTTTGAAAAAGTAGCCAAAATAATAAATCAACCCATACTGTGTGCTTTGCTTGGAGGGAGTTTCTGCCCATGTTTACTTGGTGATTTTGAAGACTAACCAAGGTTTCTTTGAAGTGAAATGAACTCTAGTCCAATTTCTCTTGAAACCTTGTACATACATCCTGCTATTTATCCTATTTATTGGAGTTTATTTGCAGGTTTGTCTTCCCACACTTACCTTGGAAATTCCCCTGTGGAGGAGCCAGATGTGCACCAGAAACACTGCCATGAGCACCAGTCAGTAAAATGTCACTAGCAAAGAAGATGCACTCTTTTGCACACTGGTTTACTGGGGAAGATGCTGCCAGAGTTAGAGACAATACTAGTGTCATAGCTGTGTGTGGAGGCCATGAAACCAGGAAAGGGGACTATGAAAATTAACTATCAGTATGTATCTACACACAGTCACATAAGATGGCAACTGTGAATGACATGCGGACTGAAGATGGCAACTATGAATGAAGGCTTAAGGGTGGTGTGGGAGGGTGAGGTCTGGACATACTGCTGTAGGAAAGGGAATGGAAGGAACCAAAAGAGCTAGTCTTTCTTATGGGTAAACAAAAGGGACTTGGCATATAAGAAACTGGTTCTCTCCAGGAAAGCAGGATCCTGATTACCTGGTTGATAAAACTGAAGGCCGTTACCATCTCTCCCTACTCCCATCACTTAGCCTTCCAGAATATTACTTCAGCTCTGCTTCTGAGCAAGCACATGGGTCTCATGAAAGGGACTCAGCTCTGGTTTGCTTTCTGTTTCTTAAATGATAAACTGTGAGTTTGTTCTCCCTGAAGTCTGCCTCTGTTACTGCTTTGGTTTCAATGCTGGTCTGTTTTGTTTAAGATATCTGTAGCCACAGCCACACTTTTTTTCACTGTGGTTTTGATATCGTATTTTCATACTCAAAACTTCTTGGCCTTCCGCTCATAGTCAGTTTCCTAGAGATGATAGCTTCTCCATTTGTACTTTCCTCTGTACTTGTATGATCCATGGGAATCTCAGACTCAATATATTCAAAACTGAAATCATCATCCTTCCCATCCTCAAGCTAAGACCTACTCTCCAGAGTCAAAAACACAGGAAAGAGTCTTAATTTCTCCCTCCCTCTATCTATCACCTACCAACTCTGTGTTATTATAGATATAAGAAACTATAGTACGTGTGTGTGTGTGTGTGTGTGTGTGTGTGTGTGTGTGTATTAAAGGTTGGGATTGAGTTCAGAGTTCAAGTACATTACAAAAATCTATTGTTGGGACAGAAATGCCCTAATATAATGCAATCAGAAGTACTGCATTCTGCCTTTTTGTCCACATCAGATATCTAATGAATGCATGTCAATTATCCAGTTTGCCCAGAAAGGCAACAAACTCAGTAAAAACAGCATGAGCTCTGTGGTAAAGCCTGAGTGTGAAACCCTATCTTGATCCTTGCTAGCAGTGTGCTCTCAAACTAAAGAAATAGCACTTAGTGGGGTCCGTATTAAATACTTCACCTGCCTCACCAGTGAGGTGGGCACTATCATTATCCACTTTCCCAGGTGAAAATCCTGAGGCGTAACATGATTAGTTCAAGGTCACACAGTTAAGTTATGGACCCAATATTCAAATCTAGTTATGCTAGACTCCAAAACAGGTATACTTAAACACTATACTCTATTTACTTTATGCACATGAGCCCGAGTTTTTATCTGTAAAAGGAGTTGAGTATTTACTTTCTAGCGTAAGTGTAAGGAATAAATGATACAATAGAAGGAAGAAACTTGCAACAATGTCTGACACCGAGTAACACTTTATCTAAATGTTAGAGACCCATTGCTCATTGACTAGCAGTGTGTTGCTGATTCCTGGAATTGATTTTCATGTGGATTCCTCTGCCAGAGCTATATTTGCATCTCTTCCAAAGTTTTCTAATTTTATATTTCAGTCTTCTTTCCATTTAGGATTTTGGTTTATTTTAGTTAGTCGATTATAGGCCAATCTCTCTACCAAGCTATAAGCCCCTCCAGGGTCCCCTGTCATTACTTTATATGTCTAGTTATCAGTTCATACCTGGAGCAGAATGAGTACTTACCTAATATCTGAGGAATCAATCAATGAATTTTTTACTTCATTTCTGTTTTTAACTGCCTCTTCTACAAAGTAGTTCCTTTTTTTTTTTTTTTTTTTTTTTTTTTTTGAGAAGGAGTCTTGCTCTGTTGCTCTGTCACCCAGGCTGGAGTGCAGTGGTGCGATCTGGGCTCACTGCAAGCTCCGCCTCCCAGGTTCATGCCATTCTCCTGCCTCAGCCTCCCCAGCAGCTGGGACTACAGGCTCATGCCACCACGCCCGGCTAATTTTTTTGTATTTTAAGTAGAGACGGGGTTTCACCGTGTTAGCCAGGAAGGTCTCGATCTCCTGACCTCGTGATCCGCCCACCTTGGACTCCCAAAGTGCTGGGATTACAGGCATGAGCCACCGTGCCCGGCCAAGGTAGTGCCTTCTTAATCACAACATTCTGCACATGGTAGGGAAGCACTGGATATGTTCAAAGCCTGTTGCTTCTTTTGCTTAACAATGAACATGCAATTGACTAAGGATGGAAACCATGATTTTATGCATTTGTGTCTCTTCCAGCAAACATTTTGTGTAGTGCCTGCCTTGTGCTAGGTACTGTGTTAGACATCAAGACTACAAATGAAAATAAAACAAAATCAATCTCTGACTTTGGTGGTAAGCACACGATTTTGTAGGAAAGAAAATAAAAAATGAAAACAAAATAGCTTTATTATTCATAGAGTCTATAAAGGGCACAATGATGGTAGATGAGTAGGAGTGATTCAATCTTTGATAGGAGAAGTGGAGATGAGAAGGGCAGGAGCAGGGTCATGGGAGGTGCTGGAGAACTAATCTGCAGGCTCCCTTGAGCATAACTGTGTGTTTTCCAACGATCTTCTTTGTGTTTGAGAAGTACAGGGTATGTATATAGAGATATTTGCTATGTAAAGGGGAAGGGCTCTTGCTTTACTATGCAGTGTCTCATTGAATTTCTATGGAAGTTTTGATAATGCATGAAGTCGTTCCATAAAATAATTGTCAGTCTTCAAAGAAACCAAGAAACAAGGCTCTTTTCCTCTGAGTGTTAACTGCATTCAGCGCCTCATGGCAATTAAAGCAGTCCCATCCCCTGTAGTTGAGTTAGTGCACAAGCCACTTCATACATTTATTTCTCAGGATTGCTGAAGCTACAGCAGTCCTAAGAACCACATTTTCATGGAGGTGGGGGGTTGGAGGCAAATGTGTGTTGATTTAGAAGCTACTGGTTCCATCAGGATCTTTTCTACAATAGAAATATGAAATATGCCAGAACATTAAGATATCAAGGATAGATATACAAAAGACATAGGTTAATGCTGAGACTCAGGCAAGATGGTTTAGTAGAAATGCCCTAAATTCAGAACGCAGAGCCAGGAATCTTGATTTCAGTCTGTCATTTGCTTCTTCTGTTGACTTAGAGGTAAATCAGCTATCTCCCTGGGGCTTAGATTTTTTAAATCTGTTAATGTATATTTGTAAAATGAATGAATTAGTGGAAGAATGTAAGATGAGGATCATAATACCTGCACCACCTACTTCATAAGAGTTTTAAACAAGGTAATTAATTACACGTTGGAAAGATAAAAGGCTTCAAGACACTTGCCCTCCAATTTTTAAATCAGTGGTGATAAATATCACTGTAAGGATTTCAGAGTCTGAGAATGTACAAATGCTTTCATCATCCAAATTTGCCCTTGACCAGGAGAAATGTTAACTTGAAGAGCAGATGTTATATTGCATTTTTATTAGGTAATTAACTGATTTGAAACTCCAAATATCTAGCCTCCCATGGACCTGACTCAAAAATAAAATTTAAAAGTTAAAAATAATGGAAAGCTTTCAGTAGCACTGAAATAATGACAAATAACTATAATAATCCCTCATATAGGTATACTTGGCATATATAAAATATTTTACATTTTCACATTTGATCATGCACAAACAAAAGGCACTCTCTGATGAAGCAGTGGTTCCAGCTAATGCTTTCAGGGAAACATTGCATAGTGGGAAAGACAAATGCTTTGGAATAAAGGAGGCCTGGTTTCCAATCCTGACTTGTACCACCAATGTCATTTCAGATAATTATTTCGTAACTCTAAGCCATAATTTCCAGACATCAGTGAAATGGGTCTAGCCTTTCATACCCAATATCGTAATGTGGTCATGAGAATCACATGAAATTTTATGTACTTAATCCATCCATCTAATTTGCCAAAAGGTAGACCTTCAGAAATGTCAGCCCTCACGTCATCCCCACTGTAATTGGTAGAAGAAGGTCCTACTTTTATAACAGGTACCAGGATAATGCTAAAAGAGGAGGTTCATATTTTCTGGACACCGGACTTGCAAAGGAAAGCTGTGCAAAGGCCCGCTAACTCAGTTTTGCCTTCAGGATCTCTTCCTTGGAGGATCTTCCTGAAGGCTTGGAGCTTACATAGCACTAACCTCAATCTTTTCACTGACCTTCCCAAGTTGTGTGTATGTGTGTGCATGTGTGTTTGTGTGTGTGTGTGTGTGTGTGTGTTGTCTGAACTCAAATCAATGTATACATATTGTTTCTTATGGCATTATAAATGCTCATACAATATTTCACTCCCACATCCTTCTTTCTCCCCAGCCTTACACCCCCTTTCCCTCCTTCATTACTCCTTATGCCCTGCCAAGTAAAACCTTCCAATGGAAAGAGGTAAGTATATACACTAAGAATTAAAACGCATAACAAGCTCCTTTCTCTCTCTTATACTCAAGTATATTCCTCTTTGGGGAGTATTTACTGTACCCACACCCTCCCTATCAAACCCCTCCCCATCAATTGCCTCCCTCCTTTGTGCCATCACAGTTTTATAACATTCAACATGTTATATGCGGTTATTTTTTTACAAGTCTCTTTTCCTCATACACTGAGAGATCCTTAACAAAGGTGTCCAAATCACTTGGCCTCGGCACTTCACAAATGTTAAGCATTTGCGAATGCATGAACCCATGTCTTTTTCTTCTCTCAGAGCCTTTACTACCTGGTGGGGAAGGGTGGGGGCTCCCCACAGGCGAGTGGGGGAAAGACCTGGGTTACCCAAGTGCCCCGTGCCTGTGCTGTGGTACCTCTGCCCTTAGACAGCTTGGCCATGGCTGCCTCCATCCTGTGAGCTCACTGCAAAGGAGAAACCTGACTTCTTTACCAGACTGCCTTTGCCTCCACGTTGGGTCCTGCTACCTTTCTCAAAGTGCTTTTACATAGAGCACCTCACCAAATTTACAAAGGATTCATGGGGTCTTTGGAAGAAAGATCACAAGAGGAGTAATGACAGTTTTTCTTAAGAGTGTGTTTACCTAAAATGGCAGTGAGAAATGGAGAACCAACCTTTAGCCTATAGACAGGATGCCTTGCTTTTTGGCCAAGTCAACAAAGACTGTTGTAGTCCTATTTGTGTTTGCTTCTCAGTCCCTTCCCAGTCCATGAATGAAAAGTGTGTATGGAAACATAAACCTGCACTGACAGGTATATTGATGATGGCTGAGAGTATAAATCTGTTACATCCTATTTAATTTTTTTTTCTGTTCCTCCTTCTCTTTCCTCTCCTTGCCCTTGGGTCTTAATCACCATCATCATCAACACCATTATCATGGCTTTATTCCATCTCATGCCTTTATTCATGTTCTTCCTTCCATTCCTCTTCTATGTGGCTAATTCTTACCCTTCTAGCTCAAATGTCATCTTCTCTGACCTTCCTTGCAACCCTTCTCTGCTGCAGTAGCATTTTGTCTATTACACTCTTATGGCACTGAGCACTAGCACTGCCTATTAGGTTGGTTAAGTAGCTGACTTCCCACTTAAATCAAAGGCAGGTGTTATATGTTATTTTTTTATAAAACACATAAAGTACTTAGAGCACTGCCTGGAGGCAGACAAACTCAATAACTGTTAGGAATTATTGTTGCTGGTATTAAACCCCCTCCCATTGCTCCATTTCTTGGCACCAAGGAGGTACAATGTGAATGTTTATTTTGTTGAATCGAAAGATAACAACGCCTTTCTTAGAAACCTAATTTCATTTTGCCTTCTGCTAGTTTGCTTTCAGTGCCTATACTGAACTCACCATGTAGCAGAGGAGGAAAGCCTGATTGCTGAATGGCAGTGGCAAGCCATAGATAGCTGGGATGTTTAAGAAGTACAGCTGTGTTGTCAGCAGGCCACAGTTCCACCGCTGAAGTGCCACAAAGTAAATCTTGACTCACAAAATATATGGGTCAAGGGAAAGTGGTCTCTCTTCTCAACCGTATACTCCAAGGCATAGCCTCTACTAAAATGCCAACCTTGCTGCCTGCTGCTGAAAGCATCTGCCCCACCTTGTGTACCCAGCATGTATCGCTCTCTGTGGTTAACTCTTAACTCTTCCAGTGGGAGGGGCTTAGACTACCTGCAAATGGGGGCTGACATCAGTCTAGGAATAAATACCTCCCTGAGAAGCTGATGTCCAGTTGCAAGATGTTTATCTACAACACCATTGAGCAGCCGGGGCACAAGGTCAGATTGCTTTTGCTGCTTTTTTGAGAATTCTCTCATATTCTTCCTATATACAGCTAGAGTAGCAGGGAAGGGTTGGTCCCATTCCCAGAGCACAACCTCACACTATATCTGGCCAACTCAGCTCCTGGGAACCGTTGTCTGTCAGAGGACCGAATAGAATTGTCATACTGATCCTCTGCCCATAAATTTGCCCAATAAAGTCTGCTTTTGCATGACACTAGGATGGTTGCCATTACCTCTAGTCCCCACTAATGAGTATCTTTAATTCCCTCGACAACCATATAAAGTAAGTTTAATTGGCACCTTTTAGCAGTTGAGGAATCTGGAGCTCAACTAATTTCAACAACGTGCTCAAGGACTCACAGTAAGTGGAGAAGTATGGGTTCAAAGTCACATTTGTGTGACACTAAAGCCTTATTACTTTGTCACCTGCCTCATGTGGAAGCTTCTGCTCCTCATGGGGAAGGGAGATCATGTGCTACATGATCCTCACAGCTCCTTGCCAGCCCAGGAGCATGGAGTCTGCTGGCATCTCTGAACCTGCAGTTAAAGAGAAAGTGGAACATTAGTGGCTCGATTTTATTATGATCATTTGGACAACAAGCGACTTCCCTTTCTTCTAAGTAATTGCCATTGTACAGATGATGTCTTTCAGGGGCATGAACAGAGAATCTGAGGAAGGAGGCAGGTCCATGAAGAGTGTCCATTCTTTTCCTGTTTTCCCATGAAATCCCAAAAAGTGCTACATGCAGTTACTTTATGAATTGAAGTCTGGGAAAAATCTCTAAATCATTCTCATGCATGCATCATATGTTGCTTTTCAAAGGGAAAGGATATGCATTAAAGATTTGTTCAGTCTTAAACCTGCTTTTGAGCATCCAAGATCAATTTGAAGGCTGATTAAGTTGTGCTCTATAGATTTCTATAGTCAAGTTCATCAAGGCATCCATTCCTCTTCCCCTAATGATGCTGAACCCCAAGTTCTTCTCTGAAGTGCTTTAATTTTCACTTGGCCATTGCAAAAAGACAGTGACTTAATAAACTGTAAATAGGAAAAGAAAGTTACATAAATCATCTTCGCATCCTTTTCCATGGTCGTACCATGACTATTCTTTCCTCATTACAGTGCCTCCAGTGGCTTCTCCGTACTTGGCAGTGGAAATTAAATTATAAACCATATTTTCAGCAATGTGATACACCAATAAAAAGATAAAATCATCAGGATAAATAACAAAGATGAATTTATGTCAACACAGCACAATATTATTTTACCCTGTGTTACCATAATTTTCTCCCAGCTGATTCTTTAGATCTTTTGGAAGATGGTTGCTTTCTAATATATATATACATATTTCAGAACTACTGTCTATCAATGAAAATTTTACAAAACTGACTTCCAGGAAAAGACTACTACACAGTACCCTTTTCTTATACTCTGACAGACAGTCCTGCCTTTCAAAATGATAAGATAATGAGTTTGTGGTTTGAACACAGCTCTGTGTTTTAAAGGTAGCATTGAAAATTAAAGTGAAGTATTAATTAAAGATTAATCAAAAGTGCTAGACCTCTAGTAAGTTCAGTGCTTTTTGCTTAATTCTGAATGGCCCACTTTGAAAGAGTATTTCAATTGAGCTAGAATTTTAATCAGCTGGCTAGAAGTTGGGAGAACAAGAGGAATAATCCTGAGGGTAAATGTTTAAAAATGCATCAAAGGCTGTTGGAAAATAAGCTCTTAATCTGTGTCATGTTGGAGGGAAAGAATGTTGACAAGAGGACAGGATGCATTGGTTTATCCTGGCCTCCAGGGTGGTGACATTCCTGAGATCCATCAGTGAGAATGGCCAGCCGGCTCCCCTTTCAGAACAAGCTACTCTCACTAATGCTCAAGGGAGAAGCCTGGATACCTGGAGGACTTCATCGTCATTCTCCCAGCAGAGGCACTAAGGGAAGAGCAGAGGAATCTACACCTGTGTTTGGTTCCAGAGGGCCTCTTTAAATTCAGCACCCCTCTCAGCTGGAAGGGCCTCTCCATCCATTCCAGAAACTCCTGTGTGGCTGGTGCTGACCTGCCTGTAGCTCTCATAGAATTTTGGATCTTAGAACTGAAAAGAACCTCAGAAGCCTCCACCCATACTTCCCTGCCTCCATTTGAAGCATGGATCACCTCTATAGGTGATGTGCTGCTTGATTACCTCCAGTGATAGGAAACTCACTTCTCCCCAAGGCCACTCATTTCACTGTTGCGTAGCTTATACCCCATGTCCTTTCTTGTGTTGTTCAAAATTTATCTCCAGTAATGTGATCCTTATCTTCAATCTCTGGAGACTAAACATATATGTGAAATTGCTGCTTCACAAGCCAGTGCTGCTGATACTTAAAGAAAATCACCTTAAAGCTCCTGGTTTTTCTCCAGATAAATCCTCGATGGTCATCAGGCAATCTGCTACTGACATTCCTGTTCAGTTTCCAGGTACTGAGGTTGAATGCAAAGAGCCCAGGTATAACTGGATGAGTGATTCTGCCCAACACTTACCAGATTCTTCCTTCAGATCCATCATGAGCATCTTTAAGCCTTTGAGTCATCACCTGTATAAAGGTGTTATGTGAGATTAAATAAGCTGATGCACATAACATTGTTTTGCAACACACCTGTAAGCACATGTCTGAGGAAACCCTCACCTTACACATGGTATCAACTACCTCTATTCTAAAATTACCGGGTTATATACATGTGTTGTCAGTCACCCTCCCTAGAAGGACTATGTATCAGAATACTCCACACTAGTCCTCCTCCTCCTCCTTCTAAAATAGTTATTGCTTATCATGTTCAGGAATTGAGTGTTACTATAGCATTCAGTCTTCACAACAATCCATGAGGCAGGGCTATTGCTATCCCCACATTACAGATGAAGAAAGAGAAGTGAGGAAACCCTTGCCCAGGTGGCACTGGGGGTGTGGAAGAGCCAGATTCAAACCCAGGTCTCTCTGACAATGGGTTCAACTGAAGGCCCTGAAGCACCTAGAAGTTGGCCTGGGGAAAACAGGAATGGGAATCTTCTAGGAAATCTCCCTCTTCTAGGAGCGGAGTCCCATTGCCAGATCTTGTCAACGAGGGAGCAAGCTTGGAGTGGGATTTTGGTAGGCATCAGTTGCCTATCTAGCAACCCCTTCCCTCCCTTCTTTCTTAATAGTAGAATCTGAATGTCTTTGCCCCCTGTAATAAAGCATGGTTGGTCTAAGCTAACCATGACTATCACATTCTTCCTTGTCAGATCCTTTTGCAACTAGCGGTGACCTTATAACCCTGTCCAGTCAGTGAAAAATAAGGTGGAAGGAAGGTCTTTTTCTGCTGCTGCTGCTGCTGCTGCTGCTGCTGCTGCTGCTGCTGCTGCTGCTGCTGCTGCTGCTGCTTTTTCTTTTCTCCTTGGAACAATCCATTTTGAAGATGCCTTCCTCTTTTTTGTTTTCCTTTTCTTCTTGGAAAAATAAATTGAAAAGATGTGCTACTTGGAGCCATTGATAGTCTTATTGGTCATTGACAGTGACCTTTAGACAACCAACTTTAAGATAAAAAGTAAACTCACAAAACATGGGAAGATAGAGGCTGAATCCTTACTGATACTTTGAGCCACCACAGCAACCCTGAAATCACCTATTCCTGCCCCATACTTCTTGTCACATGACAAGAATCTGAATTGCAAACAACAGCATCCACTGTAGTCAGGAATCTGAACTGCAAACAGCTTCCACTGTGGCTAGTTCAAATTTTAAAAAACAATAATTTAAAAGGATGTTAGGGGACTTGCAGACTCTCCATGAGGGCCAGAGAGAGCCAAGCTTTAAAACTACAGAGACAAGAACAATGTCCAACCATGCCATGGGAACTGTTTCAATGCAAGCATTACCATCAGAGCTATTGCTCTCAGCTCCAGTTCTGCACGTGCTGGAATGCTGGAAGCTCTGCTTGGCTCCTTGGAAGAAGTAGCAGCCTCTTCCGTGATGAATCTCAGAATAGTGAGTGCCCACACATGGCCACCCCCTCACATTGCTCACTCATGAATCCAAGTCTTACATGGGTATATTCGATTGATATAGGTTGGTGCAAAAGTAACTGCAGTTTTTGCCATTACTTTCAATGGCAAAAATAGAACCCAAGTTCAGGCCTGTGGTCTAGCTGTGAAGGAGTCTGAAAATACCAGTTTTCTAGTCTCCTGTTTTTGAGCAGGGAGGACTTGTAATATGAGATTTAACTAAAATATGGGGAAGATATGGAGCAGCCACAAATGGCAAATATCTACTAGATGACACAAACACATCATCATTCCTTAAGCCAGTGTCAGTCAAGTATTCTGTTTCGTGTCTCTCTCTCCCCTCTGTCAGGTGTTAAGTAAGCAGAGAGGCTGCATGTTGGCCTCTTTGCTGAAGCAGAAATGCCAGCTTTCTATCCCTGGAACACTTGGGCCCTGACCCTGCAAGCTCAGGGTTGTGACAGAGCCATTTAATGAGGTGAATTCCTAAAGTCATTCAAGAGTTGCAACTTTCTGGCATCAACTGATCATAAACTCTTCATGAATAAAAACAATAGAAACTACAAAACATGGAAGCATAGAATTGTAAGGCTGGAATGGATCTCAGAAATTGTTTGTTTTTTTTTTAAGTCCAATACTTTTTCTAAATCAGGTACATCTGAGAGAGAGAGAAAAAGAGATTGAGAGAGAGAACAAAAAGGCATCCCTGGTCTACTGTGCAGGAATCTTATCCATTCCTACATTCAGAGACTTTTCTGGGATCCCAGTGCACTCTTCATGCTCAGTCACCTATGTGTAAATACTCTCTTGACTTTTTTCTTTTTTTTCTTTTTCTTTTTTTTTTTTTTTTTTTTTGAGATGGAGTCTTGCTCTGTTGCCAGCCTGGAGTACAGTGGCGCAATCTCAGCTCACTGCAACCTCTGCCTCCCGGGTTCAAGCGATTCTCCTGCATCAGCCTCCCAAGTAGCTGGGATGACAGGCATGCGCCAACACACCCGGCTAATTTTTGTATTTTTAGTAGAGATGGGGTTTCACCATATTGGCCAGAATGGTCTCGATCTCTTAACCTCGTGATCTGCCTACCTCAGTCTCCCATAGTGCTAGGATTACAGGCGTGAGCCACCGCGCCCGGCCTTTTGAGCTATTTATGTCTATATTGACCCCTTTCTTTCTGTGGGTTGGGCTACTTCTAAACTTCATAACAAAGTTTGAAACACCTTATGTTCTAGGAAAGAACAAGGGCTTATAAATCAGCCTAGCCTGGACTCCAATCCTGTTTGAATGAGTCCTTGATTGAGCAAACAACTTGCTCAAACCAGTTTCCTTGTTTGAAAAACTGGGGTGATAATTATAAGCACCTCACTGGACTGTATGAGAATTAAAATGCTGCTATGCTAAAGAAGGCATCTAGCACATGCCTGGCATATACTAGGTACCTAAGTAAATGCTACTTTCCCTTCTCTTTCCCTTTGTGGTCTTTCTGCTTAGAGGGCTGTACTGATTGTCAATTGCATACGTCCCTCATGACTCCTTTTCCTAAGTATTAGCATGAAGCTTTTCAACGTAGCTCCTCATGGCTGCCTTCATTTGCATGGCACTGTCTTTGCAAGATGTCACAGGGGTAATCTTTTGAACCCCCATGGAACACAGCCTCAGCACCTCACTGTTCAGTTTCTGTAACAGCTTGGACAATCCATACGTATAATGAATCTTTACAGCCACCAAAGCTACGGACTTGGTAAAGATTTCAAACATTTTAAAAATTAAAGGAGGAAACTGCAGGGAAGCTGCAATGGGCTGCTTAGAGGATTCCAGACACATCCATGGGGGCAGTCTTTGAGCTGTTACCCTTAGGCAAGGATTGGCAAACGTTTTTCTGTAAACAACCAAACAGTACATATTTTAGGCATGCTCTTTTTTTGCTCTCCTTTGTTTTTTTGTTTTATCCCTTAAAAATATGACAACCATTCTCAGCTTGCAGGGCCATACAAACACAGGCTATGAGCTGGAACTGACCTTGGGGGGTGGTTTACTGACTTAAGTAACAACCAGACATCTTAATAAAATCACGGAATGAAACTCTTCACCTGTGATGTAATGAAAATAGCTAACATTTAGTGAGCCCTGGCTATGTGCCATGCACTATTTTAACATAACTCTTCATATCAATGAGGTATTTTTATTATTCACATATTATTAATGAGAAAAAGACAAAAAAGATGAAGCAACTCAACATAAATGTTTACCAGTAAATCTTTGAAAGATTTATTCCATGAACAAAATGCATTTAGCTATGACAGCACCCTACTGGAAAGTTTGAGCATAAAAATTGTTTTGTTTTCCATGTTTGTTGTTCTTGAAGCTTTGATTCCTCTTGGAGTGTCTTGAGTTAGTTTTTATATTTGTTTCAATGGTGGAATTTACTGGGAGGTAGTCTAAATATGTGGGAAAGTAAAAGTTTGGGATGCCTTATTTTGGCTATAATAAGTCCTAGGAATTCGTTCATTCAGTAAATTTTTTTTTTAGTATCTACCCAATGCCAAGCCCCACATAAAACATTAAGAGTAGGGACAATAATACATTAAGGTCTCTGACCCCATGAAACTCATGGTCAGAGGAGGAAGATCAACATGTATGCAGAGAAATGAAAGCAATTTAACAAATGCTTGCATACAGTTATGTGCACAGGAGCAGGAAGAATGGGCAAGAGAATATCCAGACTAGCTAGGACATGTGGGAGACTTCAGAGAGAAGACTGGGTGCAGATAGATGTTCTGAGTTTGAAGAGGCCAAGGCTGTATATAACCTCCACGAAAACCACTGTCTGCAGTGCCCAGCCATAGGCCACCCCCTTAGACCTCCTAACTCCCTAGTCACAAGAGGCTGTGTTAGTTTGTACAACACCAGACACAGTAACAGATGAATTCTACAATCTCAGTGACTTTGTACAGTAGAAATTTATTTCTTGCTCACTCTAAGTCCAAACAGTGGCAATGGGAAGAGGGGTGTAGTGGAAGTTCATGTATTCAGAGATGGAGGCTGAAGAAGTGGCTGCCATCTTCAATGCAAGGTTTCCAAGTTTGTCCTGGGTGTTGACATCCTGCCAGCATATGAGAGAAGAGAACAAAAAGGGGAGAGTTTTATGGGCCAGGCTTGAAGGTGGTCCACATTATTTCTGACTACATTCTGTTAGCCAGAACTCCCATGGCCAAACCTAAGTTTAAGGAAAGCTGGGAGATGCAGTTCATTTTGTGTACAGGAGGAAACAGAACCAGGCTTGGTAAAGAGCTAGCCAGTCTGTGCCACAGAGCCTCCTCAACCACCAAGTACTCACAGAGCCCATAGGATGTGTTAACTCTATGTCTAAAGATGGGACTAGTAACGATTACCTGCCAGCAAGAGATTAATCATCTATAGCTACTTTAATGCAATCATGAAATAAATATATAGACACTGTGTATGCTGTTAGCTAGTAAAAGGTGTAAGAGTTTGCCAAAATATGTCCCTAAAGCTCTAGTTCTGTGAGATTTTCTTTCCAAAAAGTGTTCCTCAAGTAAGAAAGCTTGTAATGTCTACATGTTATCATATTCCATCAATTCTAAGACCAACATTTTTTCACATTTTAACATCTTTAGTGATACATTTTATAATAGGCTTCTTACAGTTTAATTGTGTGTGTGTGTATGTGTGTGTGTATGTGTGTGTGTGTGTGTGTGTGCGTGTTTCTCTCCTAGTGGTGCATAGTATGCACAAAAGCAAATGAAATGCTCTGAGAAGTCCTGCAGATTGAAAATAAAAGGGGGTGGTAGTGATATAGTCTGTTTAACTTTGTGTCTCCCAAAGGTATTGGAAAATAATTTTTATGTCACTACTATCCATTAGATTGAATGTTCCATGGTATTCACTTTGCCAAAACTGGTAAAAACGGTGAGAGCTTTGAGTTCAGTGCCAGGTGGAGTAGCTGTCTGCTGGGTCCAGGTTTGCTAGGAAGGCCTCATAAAGAAAGTAAAACCTTGAGGAGATGAATCATGAGGGTCCCAGTAGGAAATGATAGCACTTATTAGGAGAACTTGAGGCGAGTTTGGTAGAGGGACTGTTTGCAAACGTGTGTGCAGGGTGTAGAGAAACCACAGGGAGAATGCAGTGTCCAGCACTGGCTGTCACTGCCTTTAGCTATTTGAATGAGAGGGCTAGGTAGAGAGGGCTGCCTTGAGGGCAGCAGTGACCTCAGTTGAGGGACATAGCCAGACCAATGAGACCCTGAGTAGGGAGAGGACAATAGAATAAATACCCTGGCTTCTTATTCCTTCCTCACTCCAGTCTCCTGCCAGGGCCCCTCATTGGCCAAACCCAACTAGCAGCCTGAGAGTAAGGGAGCCACTGCTGACCCTAAAGGCCGGCCTCCCAGAGGAGAAACAGGTGGGAAAGAGTGGAGGCAGGAGCTAGGGGTAACTCTGAATGTCCACACAAGCAGGGCTCTGAAGGATGCATGGAAAATGAATTAAGCATGATTAAATCCACCCAGGGAAAATCTGGTCACCTTCCAACTGCCTCATTGCTTCATAGCTTATGAAGTCCTTTCATATCATCTTTCATTTGCTGTCACAACAGCCCGTGAGGTACACAGAGCAGGAGTAATTATCCATATTTTACACAAGAAGAAGCTGCTTTCCTCACGTTGGAGCTGGAAAGGTCACGTTGGAACCTGAAGGCAGAATTTCCCGGAACCAACCTGGTGCAATTTCCACCATGTCAATGATGAACTTTGCTGACGGTGTCCCAGAAGGGTCATCTCCATGAAAGGACGTTGTCATTAGTCACTTGCTGCTTCACTTTCCAGTAGATAGTACACTTCAGTTCTTCCACGTGTATATAGCACTTTATAATTTCCATCCGCAGTATAAAAAGGTCATAGAAAATCCACAGAAACCTCAGGCCTCCCAGGAGCTGAAAGGCCATTCTACTGGGCAGGCCCCATTCCTCTGTACCCACTTCAGCAAGTAGTTATTACCATTGCTATTTTGCACAATGCAAAGATGAAATACACACAATGTATTAAGACAGATTATAAGTGCGTAGAGTGAAAGAACAATAAAGTACGCTGAGAAAATTGAGAAATTAAGTGCTATGGGCATATGGGCATGCTAAGATTGATACAGAAGTCCTATCTTGGAGTATCAGGGAAGGCAACTGGTTCAGTCTGTCCGAGCCACCGTCTATACTGCCTGTTGTGCAACGTTCGAATCATTTTGTTGTGTTTCCTTTATCATGGAAGAGGTAGCTTTTATCTGAGCCTTAGAAAAGGCAAAGGTTAGGATGAGCAAAAATGGGAGAGAGTCATAGGCAAGACACTATGTTTGTATGTAATGAGTATGCAATTGAAAACAGAAACGTGCAAAAGTGAAATATGTGAAGTCCAGTTGATGTACATGTTGTGTAACAGGTTTGGTGTTCCTGGTTCAAAAGATGGAATTCTGAAGTCAGACTAACTGGGTTAAGTCCGTGCTCTGATGCTCACTAGCTGTGTGACCTTGGGCAAGTTACTTAACCTCTCTGTGCCTGCTTTTTCATCTATAATAGGCAGCACATATAAAACAGACAAGGTTCACACCCCATAGGGTTCTTATGGGATTACATAAGTTAATTCATGAGCAGTGCTGAGAAGAGGGCCTGGTAAAGAGTATATTCTACATTAATAATTTTAATAATGTTACAAAGATGGTCCCAGCAGAGTTAAAAAAAAAAGAAGGAAAAAAGCATCAAAGCCTAATTTAACTTCAGCTTTTGACACAGTTTTCGATAATATACCTTCAGCAGTTTTATGCATTCTTTAATCCTCTTCTTTTCTTACACATGTGGACACACAGTCAACAGGAAAATGCAGCGAGGCTCTGATTGAGCTGAGAAAGCATTGTTTTGACATGGCTAATGATTTCCATTTTTGTTCCTATTAGATTAGATTGGCAGACTTACGCTTCCTCTTGCTAGATTCAGCTCTTTCATTTTTGTTTTCCACTCATGATCACTAAATAATAAAGAAAATGCAACAAAATGATCCGAAAGTTAAACAGCAGGCAGTATAGACAGTGGTACTAACAAACCGAACCAGCGGCTAGCCAGCACCGCTGCCAAGGCCACGCCTGCAAATGGCCATTGCTTAGTAAAGTGAGGAAGTCAGAATTTATGAAGCAACAGTGAGAGATGTCACACAGTGGTATATGATCAGTCCACCATAGTTTAAGAATATAGATAAAACACACAAACGTGCACATATTTCAAGAGGCCGATATCCCAAAGTCTAGGAGCAGTTGCCCAAAGGCCTGGAGGGAGGAAATGCCCAAAGAATAAAAGATTCAACGCATAACTATGATTAGAGTGCAGGGCTGGGGTCAGGGTGTTATCGTTTTAAACAAGGATGAGATCAGTGCTGGTCTGAGCCATATTGAAGTCTGAGGCAAAAGGGAAAAATCAATAAGACTGATCTTGCCTTTATTTAAAGTTTTAAAGTTTTGTTCATCCTAGGGTTTTTGGCATTAAAACTTCTGAATTTTTAAGTACATTACAAGTTATTTTAAGCACGTTGCAAGTTATTTATTTTAAGTACATTACAATGTTATTTATTTTGATTATTGAATGTTGGTGCCTTTTGAAATTGTGCAGGGAGATGGGTGCCTCTCTTCCCCACACCAGCCAATCCCTGGCCCTGCTAGAGTGTAAACTACCTGAAGGGATGTATTAAATGAGATCTTTGAACTCATCTGGCACAAGCTTAAATCCTGGCTCAGATCTGATCCCAGCCACATCCTGAATACGTTACCATGGGTAATTTATCTCCTTTTTAAACGTTTGGTTTATTTCTCAGTAAAAGAGCCATGAAACCTAACTCATATGTTCATTCATCTACCAACAAATATTTATTGAGCACCTATTATGTTATTGAGGCATAGGCAATATAAGTTAACAAAACAAAACATCTCTATTGTTATGATGTTTTCATCTTAGTTTGAGAGAGCAATGATCAGTAAAAATAATATGAAATATCATGTAGCCTAGTTATGGTAAATGCTTAGAAGAAAAATAAACCAGGGTGGAGTGACAGTGATGGCAGCAGAGAGGGGTAAGAAAGAAGGACAAGCTTTGAGAAAGGTTATAAAGAGGAATAAGTGAGACAGTTATGTCTAATGTGTCACAATGCCTAACATAGCCTAATTACTTAATAAATGATTTATGTTGCTCTAGCTAGAAAAAGAAAAGTTTGGAATGACAGGTTGGGACCCACAGACATGGCTATGCTGCTACCTATGAAGCTGAAACTCCAGAACTCTGGGCAGTTCTAACAATTCTACCACTAAGAGCACTAACTGCACAGACACAGTGTTCAAGTCTTAAGAGTTGTCATCATCCACTGGTTCAGCTGTGGGAGCATGAAGGTCTCTGGCTCTGAGACCTGGAAAATGGAGTAATCAGAAAAGTTCCACCCTGTTCTCCCTCTACAGTGAGCACAACTAGGCTTCATCCTGTTCCTTCCCGAGAGAACAGAGGAGAACCCAGATATGCAGAAGAGAGTAAAAATGATGGGCAGAACTGGAAAGCAGCCCCTTGGCAGTTGGTATCCAAAGTGAACATGATTCCTTTCCAAAGCAGCGTCCAACCACGAGTAGAGGACACCAGCAAAGCCGTCGCCCTTGGCTGGAACTGGAGGGCTGCTCCTTACTCTGAACTGCAGTGACTTGAGTGCATACACCCACCGTGGCTTCCTGGAGTCTGCTGATCTGTCCTGGCCCAGCCATGTGGCCCTTTGCTGAGGTTCTGATGTGACCGCCTGGGCATTTCGCTAACTCCTTTCCTGGCTGTTGGCTTTCAGCACAGCAACATGTAAAGAAAGGAAAGATCCCTCTTCTTCATCTGGACTTTCGATGTCTGTTAAAAATCAGAGAAAACACAAAAAGGAAAACAAAAGTAAAATAAGTAAATAAATAAAGCGCTGCCCAGGTTAGAAAAGGCAGGGCTTGGGGAAATGTTTAAAATCTCTCTGTTGATAAAACCTCTAGTGGATTATTAAGCAGCAAAAGTGGGTGGGGGAGGGCAGTTGAGTAAGGCTGTGTCTCCTCCTTAGGCCATTGTAGAAGGATTCTGGCTGTCATTCCATCTAGAAGCACCAAAAATTTCACAAATGAATCATGACCTTTCATTCGTTTGAGTCTTCTCACATGATATTTGGACCCCCCATCAAATACCTTCTTCCCTCCTTTTCTGCCTGCCTAACACCTTTCAATTCTTCAAAACCTAGAGCAGATTTCCAAGAGGGACCCATGACCAAGTCCAGTTAGATGCCCCCTTTTATGTGTCTCTAGTGCACCATGCTACACATTCTTCCTACTTACATTTATTGAGTACCTACTATGTGCCAGACACTGTTACAGTTACTAGAAATACTGAACCAAACCAGATTCCATTCTAATGGAGTGAAGGACAGTAAACACCTAAACAATTTATATATGTCCAGAAAAATTAAGCAGGAGAGTAGTAATAATGGGAGAATGCAGGTAGTAATAATGAGTGAGTGTGGTCAAGGATGGTTTTTTTGTTTTTTGTTTGTTTTTTTGTTTTTGTTTTTGTTTTTGTTTTGTTTTTTTGAGACAAAGTCTTGCTCTGTCACCCAGGCTGGAGTGCAGTGGTGGATCCTGGCTCATGCAACCTCTCCCTCCCAGTTCGAGCTATTCTCGTGTCTCAGCCTCCTGAGTAGCTGGGATTACAGGCACACGCCACCACACCCAGCTAATTTTTGTATTATTAGTAGAGACAGAGTTTTCAATGTTGGCCAGGCTAGTTGTGGTGACCTCAGGTGATCTGCCTGCCTCAGCCTCCCAAACTGCTTGGATTACAGGTGTGAGCCACCACACCTGGCCAAGGATGGGGTTTTTAATATGAGATATGAGCAAAGGCCTAAAGAAAGTGAGGGATGATCTATGTGTATATCTGTAGAAAGGATAGTCTAGGCCAGGATTGGTGTCAAAGTCTCTGTAAAAACTCTCAGGTGAGTGTGTGCTGGAAGTCATCAGGGCCAAGCAAGGAGGCTGATGTGTGTGGGCTGGGCTGGAAAGGGGTGACCACAGGTCATACTAGTATGCCCATTTTACAAATGAGAAAATTGAAGCTCAAGAATCTAGAGCCAATTGCCAAAGGTCACAGCCAATAGATAACAGAATCGGGAGTCAAACTTAGGTCTTCTGACTCTAAGCTCTGTGCTTTTCTGCCCTATTAAAGTAGCTTGGTATTAAGTAGTCTTCAGGTATAAGTGGAAGGTAGAGAGCAGAGAGTATCCAGGACCAGATTATCCAGAACCTTGTGAGGACTTCAGATTTTACACTGAGTGAAATGAGAAGCCACTGAGGAGCTCTGAGCAGAGGAGTGACATGTTCTGACTTCAGTTTTTACAAGTTCTTCCTGACCCCTGGATGTAGACTAGACTGGATGGGAGTGAATGTAAAAGCAGGAAAGCCAATTAGGAGGCTATTCAAATTAGTTCTGGGGAGAGCTGGTAATCATTTGGACCAAGGGAGCAGCTGCGGGGAGACGACAAATGATCAGATTCATGATGTATTTGAGAGTAAAGCTGGCATGATTTGCAGATAGATGGACTGCAAGATATAAGAGAAACTGAGGAGTCAGTGATGATTCCAAGGTTTAGTGGATGGTCGTTCAATATTGACTTTCCCTCTTTCCACCTGTCCATGGCACTTGGCCTACTTCAAGGTGGTTAGGGATTCACCTGTCTCTATTTCCTTTTTAACTGTGGGCTCCCATGAAGGGAAGGAGCTTTTTCATTTGGTTTCATCTACCCAGCATCTAGCACCTGAATATCCAGCACTTAGCATCTAGTACCTGGCATTGCACAATAAATATTGGGAGGGAGGGAGGGAGGGAAGGGAGGAAGGAAAGGAAGGAAGGAAGGAAGGGAGGGAGGGAGGGAGGAAGGAAGGGAGAGAGGGAGGGAGGGAGGGAGGGAGGGAGGGAGGGAGGGAGGAATTAAGGGAGGGAGGGAGCATGGATCTTTGAAGAAATTAATCAGCTACAGCTCTTCTACTAAGGAGTTCCACCTGGGGTAACAATCCTCAAGATTTCTACTGGATTTGCTATCCAAAATAAATCACTGCTCAGTTATTCTACCAAAAAGAAACACTTCTGCATCCAGTTTGTGGTAAGAATAATAACTGATGTACAAGTTAGATGCAATGTATTATCTAACATAACCCTCACACTAATTCTGGGACGTGCTCTAAATGAGTAGATACTAGTATGCCCATTTTACAAATGAGAAAATTGAAGCTCAAGAATCTAGAGCCAATTGCCAAAGGTCACAGCCAATAGATAACAGAATCGGGAGTCAAACTTAGGTCTTCTGACTCTAAGCTCTGTGCTTTTCTGCCCTATTAAAGTAGCTTGGTATTAAGTAGTCTTCAGGTATAAGTGGAAATTTTCAAATATGATTCAGAATACAGGAAATGGGTTTGTGCGTCAGAGATTTCATCTAGACATGAGAAAGAACTTTCTCAATAAAAAGACTATCTGATAGAAAGAGAGAACAGGTTCAAACTAGGAGCTTAACTTTGTACAGGAAAATCGGCGGGCGGGGGGGGGGGGGTAGGGGAATCCCCAGGTTTATAAAACAAGTTCATTGCCTTCAGAAGATTATACCCCATGAGTCATCCGACAAACATTGACTGAATACCCACTGTGTGTCAGTTGGGGAGGTTCACTGTACATGCACAAGAAAAGAACGCATTGGAGTGGGAAATTGTGTAGGTGCAAACAACATTCTAAGAACTCACAGTTGAAGGGGGTATTACCTGGGGGGGGGGGGGCGGCGCTCAGGTTCATGTTCTGGAGTCAGACTTCTTGGGTTCAAATTCTGGCAACTTGCAAGCTGTGGAACTTGGGACAAGTCATTTAACCTCTCTGTGCCTCATCTACATTACAGGAACAATGGCAGTAACAGCCTCATCAGGTTCTTATAATGATTAAGTGAGAAAATGTATATGGGAACTCAGCACAGAGTAAACCCTCAAACAAGGACAGACAGAGACAGAGACAAAGGGAGAGACAGAGAGGGGGATAAACAAAGAGGAACAGGCAGACAGAGACAGAGAAATCGAGAAACAGAGGGAGAGAAAGACAGAGACAGAGAGCATACATTTCCCAGTAGGGAGCAGGATTTGAGTAGAGCTCTGGAGGCTGAGTCTGGAGGCAACAGGAAGAGAGGGGAGAGTTATTCACTGGACTGGAAGCCCCTCCGTGTTCTAGGCTCTGGCCCAGCTGGAAAGAGAATCCCACCTGCACTACTTCCTCTTAGAAGAAATATGAGCACAGGCTTTGGGGCCTTGGGAAACTGCTGGAAAGTTACTTTATTTTTAGGCTGCAAATCTGCTAGGTGACTTCAGAAGGTGACCACATTTCAGTTCCATTAGCTCATCAGCAGTTTCTTAATGAGGCTAATTAGCCCCAAACAGCTCCCATCCCTGCAGGGCTCTGCCAAGAGCTTGGTTTTGTGTAAGCCAGCGAGCCTGTGACCTCTGTCAGTGGCTAAGAGGCCTGTTTCCTGGGCATAATTTCATCAAAGCTTAATGCTTCAAGACATCTCATAGTAAGGGTTTGTGGTGCCATGGATCTCGGGAGCCACCAAGGTGAGGATCAGCTCTGTGGCCAGGAAGGAGGCTGCCCCAAGTGCAGATTAAATCAAGTGGCCAATACCAACGCTTGACCAGAAAGAAGGCATCCACAAGAGATCTAACTCAGGAAGTTTAAAGTGTATATGGATGGTTTCCTCAGTACCCACACTTGCTGACACCAGCACACAAAATAAATACATATTTAAATTCACATTTAGTAATTCCAAGCAAGAGACCTAAACTAGCAGTGATTTTCTAAGATGCTGTTTTTCTCAATTATAAAACTGGGCAGATAGCCATGGTTGCTTATGACTTGTTTTTTTAGCATCCTTTTTATGGACCTCAGGATGATACATCACAGCCTCTTTCCTGCCCCATGAGTAAATTGTACAAAGGAGGCTTTTGATGTGGGAGCCTTATGTTGGGCAGCTAAAACAGTAACTATGATAACAGCTGCATTTATAGTGTTACTACATGCCAGGGACTTCATTACATGCTTTATCCACATCATCTTACTTAACCTCTTGACACCCGTGAGGTAAGGGCTATTATTATTCTTGTTTTACACATGGAGAAGCTAAGAATCTGCAGGAGGGAAATAAAAGAGCCCAATATCCCATGGTTTGTCAGTGGCAGAGGCACCATGGAAACCCAGGTCTTTCTGAAGCCAAAGCTGGTGAATTTAATGTTGCACATCTACCCTGAAAGAAAAGGAACACATTAGGTGTGACTTCTGCACTCAGAGAACCATCATCACGAAAGCGATCCCTCCTTCAGGAGTCAGTGAAGTAGTGTGGAGAACACAGGGCCCTAGGAACCAAGGATCAGAGTTCTAGTCTCAGCTCATACTTCCTAGGAGGCACAAAGCAAATCCTTTTGCCTCCCTAGATGCTTGTTTCTTCAACAGCTAAAAGAAGGGTTGGTTTAGAAAGATGTAATGCCAGCGTTGGAAGGGCATTTAGGACATCATTCTACGATGTGCTGCGGTAATACAAGCAAATAAGATATACTTAAATAAAAAGAGTCAGATGCTAATTTTGGCAGCTGTCAGTTTTGTGAATATTGCAAAGAAAAATAACTTTCTTTTAGTGCAGACTTAAAAAAGAAAGATTTACTCAGCTAACTTATTTCCTTTCTTATTTAAATGAGTTCCCAATTACAAAGTGAGGTAAGATAAGGATTACAATTCTGTCGTGACAGTTGAATGGAGTGAGGCTCAGAGAGGTTAAGTGACTTACTTAGGATCACACAGCAATTCAACAGCAGAGATAAACAAGGGTTGACTTGTATCACTTGAAAGACCATTCTGGCAGCAGCCTTGTCACAGCTATACTTGGCAAACACATACACTACACAAAGGCAGTCAGATGATGATACTAACAGCAGTGAAAATGATGGAGAAAGCAATGTTGGGTTGTATAGACTGCTGGACATGGAATCAAGCTAGGTTACAATTCCAGCTCTGCCACTTACTAATTACACCACGGTGGGCAAATTCTTTGACTATGCTTGTCTTTATATGGTAGTTTCCTTCCTATATTCCCTTAACCCCTCTGTGACTCAGTTTCCTTATCTGTAGACTGGGCGTGAGCATATCTTCTGCACTGCTACCTACCGATATGAAGGGATGTACCACTGCAAAGATATGGGACAAACCAGCTTTGGTCTTCTGCCCCATGCATGCCTTCTAGATCTGAGGATGTCGGCCTACCTCATCAAAGGAAACAAACCCATGTATGCATCGATACAGTTAACTAGTTCAAGCAAGTGACAAAGGGGCTACAGGTTCTGGCTTTAAATTCAGTTGGCCCAGTGTTCGTAGGTGGCAGGCATGCTGTGTGTTCCCTTGTGCCCAGCTTCAGGCATCCCACTGAGCCTGAGGAGGGTAGCATCCTCCCAGGCTTTTTATCTGCATAAAGAGTCTGCCATGCATCCCTCCCCACCATCACTTACAGGAGAAAAGTAAGGCCTAGGGCAGAGGTTGGCAAACTTTCTCTTAAAGAGACAAATATTTTAGACTTGCAGATCATAGGATCTCTGTCTCAACTACTCAACTCTGCTATGAAAGCAGGCACAGACAATATGTAAACCAATGGGTGTGGCTGCATTCCAGTGAAACTTTATTTACAAAAACATGTGGATGGTAGTTTGTTGACCTCTGGCTTGGGGAAAAAGCAGCCCCACTTGATGATCCATAAAAAACCCTTCATCTGTTGTGCATTTCCATACCAGTTCTCCCATTTACTCCTCCCAGCCATCCTGTGTGGATAAGATTCTTTCTAAGAGCAAGTTTGGAAGCCAAAGCTCAGAACAATTAAAGGGTTTGGCAAGGTTAATTACAGCCAGTCAGGATGGGCTAATGGCTTTAACAAACATCTCCAATATCTCAGTAGATAACACAAGAAAGGCTTATTCCTTGCTTATACTATAGCCCAATGTGGGATGACAGGACTTTGGTGGAAGGGAGGACTCTGCTCCATGCAGTCATCCAGGAACCAAGCTCCTTCCACCAAGAGCAGCAACTCAATATTTTTGTGCCGTGGTCCTCTTTGACAGTCTGGTGTGGCTATGGACCCTTCTCTGAATAATGTTTGTAATTGAATAAAATATACAACAAATTTGTAATATGGTAATATGTGTGCTTCTGTATCAATGCATTATAAAACAAGATCTTTCAGCTGCTCCAATAACTGCTATAATTACAAAGTAGTGATGAGTAAAAATAATATTTTGAGATAGTTGATGTAATAAGTATTTCTGATTTGTATTAGAAAATTAGTTGTGGATACCAATAACACTACAATAGTTGGTGCTTACATTCATAATGAAAAAAATGCTTTCAATTAGAGGTTAGTGACAATAAAGAGGCCATTTTTCATGGAAAGCAGTTTGGAGGTTCCTCCAAAAAACTAAAAACAGAGCTACCATATGATCCAGCAATCCCACTGCTGGGTATATACCCAAAAGAAAGGAAGTCAGTATATTGAAGAAATATCTGGACTCCCATATCTATTGCAGCACTGTTCACAATAGCTAAGATTTGGAGCAACCTAAGTGTCCATCAGCAGATGACTGGATAAAGAAAATGTGGCACACATACATAGTGTAGTACTATTCAGCCATGAAAAATAATGCAGTCCTGTCAATTGCACCAACATGGATGGAATGGAAGATCATTATGTGAGGTGAAATAAGTCAGGCACAGACAAACATTGCATGTCCTCACTTATTTGTGTGATCTAAAAGTCAAAACAATTAAACTCAGAGAGTAAAAGAGTGATTACCAGAAGCTGGAAAGGGTAGCAGGGGGCCGGGGGGAGGTGGAGATGGTTAATGGGTACAAAAAAATTAGAAAGAATGAACAAGATCTACTATTTGATAGCACAACAGGGTAACTTTGGTCAATAAAAATTTAATTGTATACATTAAAATAACTACAAGAGTGTAGTTGGGTTGTTTGTAACACAAAGGATAAATGTTTGAGGAGGTGGATACGCCATTCTCCATGATGTGCTTATTTCACATTGCAAGCCTGTATCAAAACATCTCGTGTATCCCATTATATTTATATATTTTTATACACACACACACACACACACTGTGTACCTGCAAAACTTAAAAATAAATTTTTAAAGAGGACATTTTTTCTCTCTCAAATTCCAGTATCCACTGACCTCTTGGGGATCTAGGGACTTAAGTTTAAGAACTCCTGATTCATTATCTCAGTCAGATTTCAGAATTCTCCCCTGGATTTTACCGGCAGATGGTAAAAAGGAGCATGGATGGAAGGTCTCATGGATGGCTTAGGGGCCTGATCATTTCACCTGCAGCTCACTGCCAGGCACTAAGTGACAGGACTCTACCAATCCATGGTAAGAGGCAGGGAGGAGTTCACTGTATGAATTTTATCTGTACCAGGAATTAGAGGAGAACTATGTGGCAGTGAGCCCCAGAAGTCTTTCTCACTCTGGTGAAGCAGGGCTTGAACACTGACTCTCAGGCAACGGAACAATGCTGTCTTCAGTAATCCAAGCTGCCTCAATAATTGGACACGCAACCCAAACCATCTCACTTCCTTTAGTCCAGGGTTTCTTCACATCAGCACTTTTGATAATTGTGCAGGATAATTCTTTGTTGTAGAAGGCTTTCCCTTGTACCATAGGGCATTCATCATCATCCCTGGCCTCTGCTTACTAGATGCCAGTAGCACCCACCTGGGGTGACAGCCAAAAATGTCCCCAGATACTTTCAAACGTCCCCAGGCAGGAGGCGGGGGTGGAGCTGCTTCTAGATGAGCACTGCTGTTTTAGTCTCTTTACCTAATTGTTGGTGTTTAGTACTGTCTCTGGAATGTTCAACGCAACTCAGAAAGAAAAGCCAACAAGACACCAGAAATTTCACTACACCTTTCCCTGAACTCCCACCCCTGTACCTTTGGCCGGATGTTTAAGAGAGACAAGAGAGAATCTGGGCCAGCTACACAGTGATGTGAAATTTGCTCAGTACAGGTAACTTAGCATTTCATTGGCAACAAGTGGAATTTAATGGGGGTTGGAGTGGTTGCCCAGCTCCACTGAGCAAAAACAGCTAGGAAACTGAACAAAAAAGGTTGTTAAATTTGTTATGGACAGAGGGCTGTAAAATGTTTCACATTGACTCAGAAACAGAAGAACTGGTTTTGCCAGGCACATGACCTTGATCAAATTGCTTAGTCTTGATTATACTAAGGGTTCCATGGAACAGGAGCACCAGAAAACCTAGTTTTATGAAATATTAATAGGTGTTCAGAGAAAGCAGTTTCTCTTTCATGGTTATATGTTTCAGCAAACATATTTAAACAAAATTAAGCAGGTTTCCTTACCGCAGGACTTACAACAGCCTTTAATTTGCCTTGCCCTTTTTTCTAAGTAGGCAACATAGCATTTCCCACTCGTACATTTCTTCATAGAGTATCTTGAGGGACTAATATTTTCCCAAAACACATTTTATATAAAATGCCTCTGGAGCCTCTAGGCCTCAATTTCTTCACACTCCCACTGGAGTAGTAACATTTGCCTTAGCGACCTTCCAGAGCTGTTGGAAGAAGAGATTAAGAAGACACTTGAGAAAGTGCTTTGTAAACTCTGAAGAGTTATAAAAGTTTAAGAGGTCATTATTAATGCATATTTATTAATAATTTAATACTAATAAAATTTTGCCCACCTTACTTCAATGTTGAGTTAATGAATGTGACAATTGAAGTAACTGAGGCCCCAAGAGGTTAAGGTCTTGCCGAAGATCATGCAGCTAGAAATGAAGTCACAGACCAGATTAATTAAAATGACAAATACCAAAGCACTCTGAGCTCTGGAAAAGCACTCTCTGCAATGTCAGTGGGTTCTGTCCTTGGCATGGTTATGATTTTGACTGTAGCAGGAAACAAGGCAGTAGAAAATTAAACAGTGGCATAAGCCACCTGAGAGCTTGGAAACATTGAAGAAAGAGTGCTAGATTTAGGGTCAGAGCTAGGCTTGAGCCCTCTGCATTTGACTTGACCTTTTGAGCCTTTATTCTCCTATCTACAAAGTAGGAATTTTTTTTATAATACCTGCTTCCCATGAGTGGTTGGAAAAGCCGGTATATCCTATGGGACATTAGGATTCTAGTGTGGGAGTGGAGCCATTCGGAGGGGAAAGCTTTCACCCTCACTGTGTAATTGCACACAGCTTTATCGAGAATCCACTAAAGCTCCAGCTCTCTCTCATGGGCAGGTCCCTTCACAGAAGGCAAGAGAAGCAGGTGGAATGATCCTAGACCTTCAGGTGAAACATGCAAACAACCATGGAAAATAACACTGACCTTAGGGTCACCTGAGAGTGAGTTACTGGAGTTCTGAACAGGTCCTGATCATCTGAAAGTGCTCCATGGGGGAGGAGGGGCATGTGCTGACCACTTCTTATTTCACATGTAAGCACAGGCGTGGCCCCTTACAGCAGCCTGGGTGAATGGGGCAGGCCAGCGCCTGATGGAAGCCAACGGATTTATGCCAAGACTGCAGCAATTTAAAAACCTGCACCGTAGGTGTGCAGTACTGAAGCTCCACGTTCTGATATAATGGCACAATTATGTCTCAGCATTGATGCAGTGCTTTATGCTTTTGAAGTGTTTTACAACCATTAATTACCTGGACTATTAATGTGCCAGATACCATCACTAGAGGAAGCTGCTTCCTTCAGAGCACAGTGCTTTTGTTCCTCTCCTGGTGGTATAATTTTTAATCTGTTATCTATGACCCTCTTTTCTATTCACCTTGTGCTTTTTCTGTTCACTCTGTGCTTCTTCTATTATCCGATTTAGTCCAAGTGAAATTTTAATGCCAATTGAACTTTTTAAAGTAAATAAATAACCTGATCATGTGTATTTCTAAACAGACCCTGACATAAAAGGAAGGCTCACCTATTGTGACTGTTCTCTTAGTTGAAAATGGGGAGCTATTTGGGAGATGGTTAAGCAGGTCCCCTCATCCTGATGGCTCTCATCAGTACTCCAAGAGTGCTGTCAGCAATCCTCCCCTGAGCTATTTCTTGCCTTTCCTTGTACTCAAGCCATAGACAGGCAATCAGCCTGAGAGCAGGTGGGACTCAGGACAGCATTACAAAAGGATATCTCAGTGCCCAAAGATAGGACTCCTTAGACAAAGAAAATCTGATGCTTATACTTTTTATACCAGAGGGCAGGAGAAGAGTTTAGATAATTAATTTCCTTCTCCATCAATTACCTTATCACCTAAACATTTCTTGAATCCATCCAGAGATCTCCAGCTTTGCTCTCAATATCTTCTTCAAGGCCTCAACATCCATGGATTAGTGTAGCCAGTGGGGTGCTAGTAAATGTTTACCAATCAACTGGAGAAAGCACAGCAGAAGCCTTGGTTTGTAGTGTTTGCCAATTTCAGTGGTGTAAATATTTTCACTATGGTGAATTTCACAGCAACATGATGACACTAAACATGGGATTGGAAACAGATGCACAGTAGGACACCATTTTATGCTATCTCTACCATATAGATGCAACCAATGCTAATGTACTCCAGAAAAAAACGTAAAATTATGAAAAGAATTAGTAAACGTATTACCGTTGTTTTTAATATCTTTAAATGTCTTCAATTATAAGTTTATATAACTTAATTTGTAGTAGTGCTAGGTTTAATACTTGGCTTGCAAAATTCCTAAAAATTTGGCAATCAGCATGAGCTGGTACAGGTGGGCTTCCGCATATTAGTGACTGCAGCAACCTTTTAGCGGTGCCATTGCCTTCCAGACAAAGGCAGGAACACATCTGCTGTTGAACAGGTTGAGTGTATTGCTGTTTCTATGAGGGACAATGCATAGTGTGAGATATCATGAGGCATATCAGCAAGAGGTGCTAGGAGGGACTTACAGGATTCAGATTTAGATACTTTGGAGGACAGTTCAAGGAAGCAGGGCTTCACTCTGGACTGTGTGCTGTCAGGAAATGGGGCTAGTTCTAAGATTGCATATCCTAGTAAATCTTATCTACACAGCTGGAAGAATGCAGCAGGGTTAAAACTGTAATTAGTAAACCATTACTAATAAATCATAGTAAATCATGCTACTATAAAGACACATGCACACATATGTTTATTGCGGCACTATTCACAATAGCAAAGACTTGGAACCAACCCAAATGTCCATCAATGATAGACTGGATTAAGAAAATGTGGCACATATACACCATGGAATACTATGCAGCCATACAAAAGGATGAGTTCATGTCCTTTTCAGGGACATGAATGAAGCTGGAAACCATCATTCTCAGCAAGCTATCACAAGGACAGAGAACTAAACACCACATGTTCTCACTCATAGGTGGAAACTGAACAATGAGATTACTTGGACACAGGGTGGGGAACATCACACACTGGGGCCTGTCGGGAGGGGGCTGGAGTAGGGATAGCATTAGGAGAAATACCTAATGTAAATGATGAGTTGATGGGTACAGCAAACCAACATGACACATGTATACCTATGTATCAAACCTGCACGTTGTGCACATGTACCCTAGAACTTAAAGTATAATAAAAAAATCAGCCACTCATATTAGCCAAGAAAGGGGACTGTTTGGTCATTTTTATAGTGTGGATGATGTTCATGCTTTTTGTTTGCATTCAGAATTTTTTTTTTTTTTTTTTCGAGATGGAGTCTGTCATCCAGGCTGGAGTGCAGTGGCACAACCTTGGCTCACTGCAACCTCTCCCTCCTGGGTTCCAGCGATTCTCCGACCTCAGCCTCCCGACTAGCTGGGATTACAGGCACCCACCACCATGCCCGGCTAATTTTTGTATTTTCAGTACAGACGTGGTTTCGCCATGTTGGCCAGGCTGGTCTCAAACTCCTGACCTCAGGTAATCTGCCATGCTGGGATTACAGGCGTAAGCCACTGTGCCCAACCTGTGTTCAGAAATTATTATAGGGTGATCTTGTTTTTTGACTTGACCCATTGGAATTGCAGTGGCCTTGTCTGGTGTGGTTGGAGAAAATATTTATTTTGATCAAGCAAGCATCAAGTCCTGGCTGATAGTCCCAGCCCAGCTCCTGGAGGGTAAGGGGCCACTTTTTCTCAACAGGGAACCTCATCCCCAATCTTGTGTCACCCTAATGTGTCTTTCCATACTGCTGAATTTTTTTAAATGCTGATTTGATCATGTCATATCTCCACTTACAAACTCTCCAATTGATCTCCTTTGTCCTTCAAATAAAATGGAAGCTTCCGGGGCTTCTTCTTGAGCTGCATCTTTAGGCAAGTCCTGCCTGACACTTCCCAGCTCCTCTGCATAGCACGTTTCACCACCATTGTCTGCCTGTGCCTTGGAATGCCCTTCCTCTCTTCCCTCAGCCCTCTCGCTCTTGCCCTGATTCCATACAGAACTTGCTCATACTTTAAGGCCCATCTCACTGCCACCTTCTGCAGGAAGCCTTCTCTGACATCCATGCCCCATTCCTGTCCAGGCTAGAAACCCTTCTTGGTGCTCCAAAAAAATCACTTAATTAACTCAATAAATATTTAGTGAATGTTTTCTTTTTCAAGCTTTGTTTGAGGATCTAAGAATTCAGCTAGAAATCAGACAGACATGGTTCCTGCTTTCTTGGATTTTATATTCTAATGAAAAGAGATAAGCAATCACTTTTGTTTAAAAGTGACAAACTGAGAAACATAACCAATGTTGATCAATATTCTGTATAGATTTAAGATTGGGGTCTATGGGAAATGACTGGATGACTACTACAGACCGGGTCTTTCTGCAGAGGTGACAATTTGAGGCTGAAAGCTAAATGACAGCATTCTGTCCCATGTTTTGGCCTCATGATCTGATTATGGACCCATTTCCCTTCCAAGATGGATGATGGCTTATATGTATCACTTCATTCCTTGCCCCCAACCAAATATAGATGTTTAATGAATATCTGAGGAATCAAAGGCCAGCTCTTTGTCATTCCTTATTGCAGCCCCTGCATTATATTTGACATAATTCACTGGACTCAGTTGTGATTCACTGAAGGAAAATCACCCCCAACCTCAACCCAGCACATCCTTCCCTTCTGCACCCCAGCACCATGATCATGGGGTCATTCTCACCTGCCTGCTGTTAATATCTTCCCCGATATGTCCACATATCTAAATCTTACCCACTATAAAGCCCAGTGAGGTCCTCCATTGTTCAGGAAAGCTTTGCCAGCTACTGAGGAGTTTGTCAGTCCTGCAGCATCCGTCGTCTGTATCATATGATGGTCCTCGATACCAGGATGTTGCAGAGAAGCTGCTGGATGTGCTACAAAGAGCATGTTAGTAAAGCCCAAGAGATCTTAATTTAAATCCTGGCTCTAGCACTGTCCTTCTGTGGGACAGAGACAAGTCATTTAACCTTTCTGAATCTGTTTTTTGCATCTCTTCTGTGGGCAAGCTTCCTTGAGATAAAGGGCTATACTTTTCTTAGGTATAATAATTTTGGTATAAATGACATATAGCCACAATGTTGGTATGTTACTTATCTTTGTAACCCCAGCATTGAACACAGTGCCTGACACATAATAGGTGTTTAGAAATGTCTGTGGAATAAATGAATGGGAATGATCACATCTACCTTCATCAGGGAGTGTTTATGAGAAAACTGATTTCAAGGGTCTAATAAGCAATAGGTCAAAATAAACTGTTTTCATTCTTACATTAGCCTCTATTTTTTCCCTATCACTTTTGTTCCTTTTATTTGCATCATTGTATTTTTTTTTTTTATTTAGGTCTCATAGTGCTATGAGAAGATCTAGATGCCAAGTCAGGGCTTAATAAACTTCAGTTTACTGATTTAAAGCTATAAAGTTATTAGTAATATGAGAAACTCAATAGCTTTGAAAAACAGAATACATTTAGAAAGGAAGCCTTAAAGATATTGAAAATGAATTTTGTTTGTCTTCAAAGATGTCATTTTTGAAATTATAAATATAGTGCATATTCTTTAAAGTAAATTTGGGAAATACAGAAAAGTAGGAAAATAACAATATACTCTAGTTCTCCTACCTAAACGTAATCATTGTTGACATTTAGTATACTTTACTTTTAGACATGTGTAATTTTGCTTAGTTGAGACATGCTATATGGACAATTTTGCTCGCTTTTTCCACTTACAATATTATAGGCACTTTCCAAGCTATTGTTGTATTTTAATGGCTGCATTATATTCCATCTAGCAGATGCATTATAGTTCACTTGAGCCTTTCCTGTCATTGGTCATTTATTTGCTTTCTATTAGCTTCTATTGTAAATAATAGCAGTAAGCTTTTCTAGGGACAAGGAGTCTTGCCCTAAAACAAAACAAAATCAAAAGTTCAAGAAACAGAGATGCAGATGTACATTTGAAATTGCCTGTAGAACTTTTGGATGGGTAAACAAGAAAAAGGAAAAAAAGCTATACGTACTGCTAAAAGGAAAATAAAATTTCTTAGATCCAAACTCTATTGGTATAGGTTGAAAAGTCAGAGAAAGAGGATTTCAGAAGTTAATTAGGAAATAACAAGCAAATTGAGTAAATTGCCTAATTTAAACCCATTAGATAAACATTTATTGCAATACAAAATCTTGATGACTGTAATTAACACATTTATAAACTCTCTAAGAAACTTTAAAACCTTTCTTCAATTGACTGAAAACCAGCAGCTTTTTCAAGCAGAGCTTATGGCTAGGCTGACATGTTCCCTGGGCTGTGAGATTGGTCAGCAAATTCCCTAAGCCTAATATTCTTAAACCTGGTCTTACCTCTCAGATCTGTAGTGAGAACAATGGGATATGACAGTGGAAACTTTATTTTTCATTCATTACATCTATTGAGGTATAACTTGCATTTAGAAATGCACACAGATCTTAAGAGGATATATTGGCAGATTTTTATCCATGTTGATACCCCTATGTTACCTCCACCAGATCCAGACACAGAACATTCCCAGCACCCTGCAAGGTTCCACTAATGTTCCCCATCAGCCATAGCCGCTGGCACTATTAAGACCTCAATCACTATTTTGCCTGTTCTTGAATTTCACATAAGTGAAATCATGTAGTCTGGACTCTTTTTTTGTCTGACTTCTTTTGCACATCATTGTATCTGTTAAGATTTACCCATGTTTGTTTTGTGAAGCAGTAGTTCATTCTTTTTCACTGCTGTGTAATATTCCATGTTGTCACCATACCGCAATGTAAGCACTCATTCTACCACTTAGGAAGGTTTTTGTTATTTCTATTTTGCGCTATTATTAAAAAAGGTGGCATGAACATTTTTATGTCTTTTGGTGGACAACAGATATAAGCATTTAAGTGTTCTACAAATTAGTGGTGAGAAAACAGATCTAAGAGCTAGAGGACCTAAGTTCTTGTTGGAGTTCTGCCATTTCCTAGTTGTGTGATTTTAGACAAATCATTTCATGTCACTGGTTCTAAATTTCCTTAACAATAAAATGAATAAGGGCTTTTCACTCTGAGAATGCATGGCCTTCTGACTAAATACCTGTGTAACCTGAAAGAAAGTCCTTTCATTTCTGTGGGCCTCAGTTTCATTATCTATAAAATAAAGCAGCGAAAGCAAATGCTCTCCAGGGTCTCCTCCAGCTGCAAATTCCATGCTTCAGAAGCGTTCACCATGGTGTGCCTCCTAGAGACAACCATTGCTTTCTACAGGGAAATGCCCAAGTGTCCCAGACGTGGCATTTCTTTCCAAGAGCCACTAGCCAACAAAAGAACTTGGAAGCAGAAGGCACAGGTTTGCATCTCAACTAATACCTTAGACATGCACTTTAATCTGCCTTGGTTTTCTCATCTGTAAAATGGGGATAATGAAATTTGACTTTCTTCCCTTCAAGCCTGTTACATGATCCCCTGCTCCTTAGCTTCCTTCAACAAGACCACAGTCACTCTCAAGGGAACTCTTACTATCTTGTTAAACCAGGTACTAGCCAGCACCACATAACATAATGCCTGTTATCTTATAGGTGCTCAGCAACAATTTCCCCAATGAAGGAAAGTGCTTTGAATACTATACATTATTATCACACATTATATTCCTTGTGCTGATGGAATTCAGTCTCAAGGTAGATTCATGTATGCAACATGAAATTATGCATTGCCTATTTTGTACATTAAATTATGCTTCTTGTTGTGGGGATTCAAAACATAAAGCATGGTCTTGATCCTTGAAGAGATGCATCATTCAATTCAACAAACATTTATTTCCTGAACACCTGTTACTGTACCAGGCATAGTGCCAAGTGCTAGAAATAGAAGGAAAAACAACATATAATTCTTTTTTCTTTCTCATTTTTATTTGTTTATTGTATTTCCCATTAATTTACTTGTTCAGTGAGATGTTTTTCCCCATGCAATCCACCAAACGAGTTGATAGCCTATGATAGACATGTAAACAGATTATTAACGATTGCATATAATTGTTGGTTTAATGAAAGTGTAAATTGAGCTCTATGGAAGCAAAAGTAGGAACACTGAGAAAGCCTCCCAAAATGGGTCACATTTAATCAGGCCTTAAAGAATGAACTGAATTCAGCCACATAGAACTAGTCTTCTAACTGACCTTCCTGCTTCCCTCTTTCTCCTCCCTCTAATATAGTCTCTACAAAACTGCTCAATTCTTTAAATGAGGATTGAGGTATGTCACACTGCTATGTAAAACCCCTTAGTGATCTCCCAATGCTCCTGGGAGAAAACTCAAGCTCCTCACCATACCACAAAGCTCTGAAGGTTCTGGACCCTGACTCTTGCTCTACTCTCACCCTTGCTCATTAAGTGCAGCGGCCTCCTTTCTGCTCCTGGGCCAAGCTCTTTCCTTCCTCCAAGCCCTAGCCTTTGCTATGCCCTCTGCCAGAGGGCTCTTCTACACACTGTTTGCACAGCTGGTTTGTTCTCATCCTTCAGATCTAACTTCACCACTGTCTTCCTCATTTGCTCAGTCATAAAGGTCCTCAATCCAGACTACACCAAAAACTCCCTGGGGAATGAATTGTCTAGAAAAGGCAAATCTATAGAAAGAAGATCAGTGGTTGCCCAGGGGTGGGAGTGGGGAGTTACTGTAAATGGGTGGGAGGAAGCTTTTTGGGTGATGGAAATGTTCTAAAACTGAACTATGGAGATGGTTGCACAATTCTGCAATTTACTAAAAACTGTCGAATTGTACACTTACAGTGGGTGAATTTTATGGTATGTAAATTATTCTTCAATAAAACTGTTTTTAAAAATGTTCTTGGGGAGTTTTTAAAATACTAGAACTTGGACCTCATTCCCAGAAATTCTGATTTGATTGATCTGAGAATGGGGCCCAGGCACCCATAAGTTTGGAAGTTCTCCAAAGGATTCTGATGTATAGCCACAGCTGAGAACCACTGCCTTATCTTGTCACCCTGGTTATTGCCTTCACAGCACTGTAATTGTCTTCGTTACTCAATTGTTTACTCAGTATTTGTCCTTCTCAGGAATTATAATAAAATCTCCCTTAAGGGAGAGACTTTTACTCAATCACCTTTGAATCCCCAATCGCTAGCACACAGTAGCTGCATAATATGTTTATTAAGTTAATGAATAGAATAGTGGAAGATGGAAGGAAAGCCCTCACTAAGGCACAGAAACATGAAAGAACATGGCATGTTAACATGGCATGCTTGCCAAACAACTGCCCAGAGTGGCAAACGTAGCTGGAACTAAGATGTTTCTGTGAAAATCATGCAGACAGTGCTGAAAGGGACCGCTGAGACCAGGCGTCCCAGCAAGACAGTCACATAACCCTGCAAGGCAATGTGGAAAGACCTCAGACTCAGGAAATGCAGGTGCCCCACAGAGGAGCCCAGCAATATGGAATGGAAAGTTCAGGAAAAGTACTGTCTCTCCCTTCCCTAGTTCTCCACCCTCAAAGTGGGAAAATTTGCAATTAAGGAACTTAAGACCTTCTGGCAAAAAGAGGGTTAAAGAAAGTGCTATAAATCTATGCTTTAAAACCCTTATGGTTGATTTTGCATTCTCTAAGGTAATAAAACAAAGACAAGTTACTAAATAATAAAATATAAATAGCATCACATACGTATTTAATTAGTAAAAATGAGCTAGAAAGTTTTCAGGCCCCCTCCTCCATTTTCAGTGGGATGTGTGTAACTTTATTTCTCCTGGAAAAGCACATTCATTTGTTCTCTTTGGTGCTCTATTCAAGCTGCAAGAGTGAAAATGGAAACTAAGGCAGAGTCTTAGTGAAGACTGGGAGTCTATATTAATAGAAACAGAGACTTATTTCAATAAGGGGAAAACAAAATGTCTGACCTGAAGTCAAAAGTTGACCATGAATGAGATACAGGGAGCAGTTTCAAAAGAGAAGACCCAATAAATAAAAGGAGAGTCTAGTCTGAGAGGATCTTGTGGGGAGAGCAAGGTAAGCAAGATGGGATGGAACTTGCTCAGAGCTCAGTAAGCGAGCAGCATTCTGTGAAGAGGATGAAAGAGAAGCATTGGAAACAAATGCGGACAGTGATAGGTCAAAATTTATGAATGATTGGCTAATTTTGTGTGGCAGGTGTTATCAATGACTTTCTTTTCTTGTTCTCTTTTTTCCTCCAGATTAATTTATAGAAATTTGTATTTTTTAATAGGCTTGACATTGAAGGAGATAAGTTTAGAAAGCACAAAGATTGTTAAAAATCATCATAGATAGGACTAATTTACCATTTAAATATGTGCCAGGCACCATTCTATAAACTGTATAATAAATAATTTATTATGCACAGTGACTCTATGAGATGGACACTAATTAATATGAAGAAACTGGGGGATAGAGAGGTTTAGCAACTTGGTCAAGATCACACGGCCAGTGAGTATCCAAGTCATACCATGAACCAAATAGCTCAGCTCCTGGGCCTATGCACTTAACTACTACACAATTCATACGAAATACAACGTAGAAGAAAGACTCTTTGATTATCATTGCTTTGCCTGCTTTTTCTTCTCTGACAAAAGGAAAGATGCTCGATTCCTTGCAGCTCAGTAACTTACAGGTTCACTGCGGTGAAAGTGAAAACCATTGAAAAGTAAATTTAATTAGTTCGCTGGTAATTATTGTCTGACTAAATTATACTTTAAAATTTAATATTCCAATCACCACTTAATTAGCAAACTGAGTCGTAGAGGATAGCCTTATGCTCCTAAACTGACTAAAGCTGGAACTTAAAAATCAGCATTGTACACATTTCTCCTTTTCCTAAAATGTAGTGTTTCTTTGCTTATTCCTTCACACCACCCAAAAAAGGTAGAAATAAACCAACAGTTTTCCATGATTTCAAAATAGGCAGACATTTTTTTGGTGGCTATATTAGATTGCAAGTCTAGGAGAGAGACTGAGAAGCCGGGATTTGGAGAGAAGAGGGAGTAAGGAGAAAGTGTAGTCTCCAGCTGAGGCCTGGAATGTAGGAATGCAGGAGCGGGAGATGCTGTGGGCAGAGCTGTCCAGTCCTGCTGCTACTTTGGGACAGTAAAGGCTCAGGAAAAGGAGGCCCCATCGCAGGAGGATGGAAGGTAGGGCCACTTCTGCTACAGTAATCGCTAGGCAGAAAACCCCATCCTTATCAGCTTCTCAAGGCAGAAACCCCAAACCCATCTCCTTGAACAGCCTTCCTGCAAGATGATCCTAGTTGCGCACAAATCAGAGAGTTGAAAACTATCCATTTTCTGGGAGATCTCAAGTGATGTCAGGGAAAATAAGGAAGAAACTGGTTTGCTCTGTGTTAGCCTAATCCCCCCATTTAAACCCGGAGTAGCATGTTAATTCTGTAGCCAGAAGAGTGTCTTGTCATAACTGGCAGGGTCCTGAGATTTTGGAATATGAGTCTTGCTGTCTGCTACTCCGCACTTAATGTCAACGAGATGACTGTTTTATTACTTCTGGGAAAGAAATGGGGCACTTAAATACAGGCAGATTCAGCAGAGCCTGGAAGCAGATAGAGCTTGACTCCTTGGAAGTAGGTACAGGTTGCAGAGCTGTTGGCTGTTAGATATCATGGCTTAATGAGTATGGCATGGACATGGCAAGGCCCTTCCTCACCACAGCTGTCAGTGTCATCTGCACATGAAGTGGAGGTGGGGACACTCTGGGGACATCCCTAGCCATCTGCCCCTCAGGCTGAATCCAGACTCAGCAACCTTCCTCCCAACTTCAGGATTAATTCCCAGATGTCCTTTTTCTCAAATGTAGGGAGTGCTTCTGGTTGTTTTTTTTTTTTTTTTTTTTTTTCAGACATCAGGCACAAATGATCCAAGCAGAGCCTGCAGAGTACATTAGACTCGGTCTGAAGGCACTAGCCTGAGGGGAAAGAATTTCCCCATGTGAAAAGTGTCTTTCTTCTACAGATTCCAGGTATTGACTCTGCCAGGCATTTATGAAGATCACATGAGTTAGACAAAGCCTTTTTGGAGAGTGCATGGCAGAGTGAGCTCTTTCCCACTTGGCAAATGAGAAAATGGAAGTTCAGGGAGATTACATAAATTGCTCCACTATCATGTGATGAAAAACAGAACCAGGATGGAAACCAGGTGTGCCTGATTCCAAATCATTCCCTGCTAGGATACTGTCTCCCTGAGAGGAAATTAATGAGACATAGTGTAACAGGCAGAACTCAACTCTACCCCAAGCCCTAGCTAAATCCATAGATAGGCATGATCAGTAATAGTTGGCTTTCCACCTGAAGTTCTAAAGCAGCCTCAGAATCATTCACAGGGTATGCCAAGCAGTCACTTTCCACCACTTGGAACCCAGATGAAGAATAATGCTATTTGCCGTCTCTCAGTCATGATACCCAACTGTAGGCATCTAGACCACACCCTGCACCTCCTTCCCAGGAAGCTTCTTCAGTTGGGGTCTATCAGTAATTGTTCTCTGAGCAGTGTCTTCGGTAATGAAATTGAGACTTCAAAAAGAAAATCTTACATGTGTCAAATACAAGAACCACTATGGGAATTACACAACTTACGCACCATGATCAAAGACTTCCTGGTGTCACTGGGTTAGATCCCTATCATAAAACATGGGTTGTCTGGCACTAGAATGCCTTCTTCTTACTGCACTATAATTTTCATGAAGTTCTGCTCTACACCTGGAATCATCCAGAACAAAATGCCAGCGGAAGAGAACTGTAGTGATGTAGACACAGCATCTACCACACTGCTTACTCTTCTTTCTAGATTTCGTTTCTGAGGAAGGTATCTGATCACACTTTTTTTTTTCATTGTCTGTCCCCACAGAACAATTCTACAGCCCATATAAGATTCACGTATATGGAAGACAAAACTGAAGAGCCTGTTTTTTTTTAATTTTTTTCCTCTAGTGTGAAAATTAGAAAGCACACTCACGCTGTTAAGAAAGCCCATGACAGCCTGCCAACAATGAAGCTACTGTCTTATCTTTCCTAGATGATACTTGTAAATTGCAAGAGGGAGAAAATAATTCTCCCCAGTCCCCAAGGGCGACTGGAGATTTACTGACGACCACAAGTTGGATGGGTGGACCTTTCATGCATCCTATTGTCCGTTAGTCAACAGCTCTGACTACTCCTCACCCAAACGAAAGTGAACATGTGTGTGGTTTTACACTCTCTTCTCTGTGGAAGCTGCCACTGGGGACCAGATGTCTCTTGCCACGACAAAGCACTTTCCTTGTTTATCCTCATCACATCCCATCATAGGAGAGAGAGAAGATGCTTGAAGGGTTTGGGAGGCAGAAGTGACCTCCAGTCCCTGAGGGAAAGGCAGGTCCATTCCACACTCAGAGATCCATGCCTACAAAAACACAAGAGATTCTCAGGCAGACCAGGCACTCCTAGGATAGAGCTGTAAGGGGAATGACAGAGCACCAGGTAGGACCAGAGAGGGCAAGTACTTCTTCTGGGCCCACCTGCCGAATTTGATGAAGGCTGGGAGTCAAAGGTGGATACCCCCAAAATCCATTAATCTAGGAAAGATATCTGAGCCTAAAAATGGAATCTGAAGACAGAAAGATCTACTCAGTTGAATAGATTTAACTTCAGATGCTATTTCTTCAACACATGCCATAATTCATTGATTCTAATATA
Organism: Homo sapiens; assembly: GCF_000001405.40. Taxonomy (NCBI): domain Eukaryota; kingdom Metazoa; phylum Chordata; class Mammalia; order Primates; family Hominidae; genus Homo; species Homo sapiens. The sequence goes on along the minus strand of NC_000017.11, from coordinate 51,800,731 downwards.
CATTTTCCATATTTTAACATCTTCAAAATTAAGATATGTCTTATAATTGATGATCTGTCATAGTTAACTTGGTAATGTTTTTCTTGTTGTATATTAAATAATGGTGTCTCTTACAATCTATAGCATCATAGATTTTATGAAGTATGGTTAACTTAGCCAAGGTTGTAAGGTACTGTGCTGAGTAACTTTAAAGGAATTATCTCATTTGGTTCTTGTTTTTTTATAGAAGGTTTATTGAGACACCATAAAATTCTTCCATTTCAGGTGTATAATTTAATGTTTTTTTTGTACATCCACAGAGTTGTGCAACCACCACCATGATCAATTTTCAAACATTTTAATCACTCCATTAAGAAATGCATTAGAAGTCACCCCCATTTCCCTCTGACCCACCCAGACTTAGACAACCACTAATCTACTTTCTAGCTCTATAGATTGCCTATTATAGACATTTTACATAAATGGAATCATACGTAGCCGTTTGTGTCTGTTTTCCTGCATTTAACGTAATGTTTTCAAGGTTCATTCATGTTGTAGCATGTACCGGTACTTCATTCCTTTCTGTGTCTGAATAATATTTCATTATATGAGTCTACTACATTTTATTTTCTACTAATCAGTTGATGAACATCCAGGTTGTTTTCACCCTTTGGCTATTATGACTAATGATGTTATGAACATTTGTGTGGACATACATTTTTATTTCTCTTGGGCATATACCTAGGAGTGGAAGTGTTGTATCAAAAGGTAACTCTATGCTTAACTTTTTGAGGAACTTCCAAACTGTTTTCTAAAGTGGCTGCACCAACATACATTTCTCCAAGCAGTCTATGAGGCTTCCAGTTTCTCCGCATCCTCATCAACACTTGTCATCATCTGACTTTTTTATTTCAACCACCCTAGTGGGAATGAAATGGCATCTCACTGTGGGTTTAACTTGCTTTACCCTGATCATTATTAATGTGACCATTCTTTTTATGTGCCTATGAGACATTTGTATATCTTCTTTGGATAATATACTCAGTTTTTGCAACAAACTTTTATTGAGCCTTTACCCTAGTCTAGTCATGTAAGAGACTTATTTCATCAAAGGCCCTAATTATTTACTGTATTCTATTTTCATACTCTTTGCCACATAATTTGGTAGCACTCTCTCCTTTTGACCCTGAACTTAGCCACATGACTTGCTGTGGCCAAGGAAATGTTAGGATATTGTACCCAGGGGAGTCTGTTGGAGGATGAGATTCATGGTGGAGAGCCAAGTTGCCCCATCATCCCAACAAAGACCATGCTAGATCAGCCAACAGCCAGTAAATCCCCAGATAGATGAGCAAACAAAGTGAGTTTAGCAGAGCTGCCTAGATGACTTACAGATAACCACAGAAACATGAGCAAATCCAGCTAAAATCACCAGAACCTCAAAGACTTATAAACTAAATAAATTGTTATCTGCCACTGGGGGTTTATGGTTATTTATTTTGCAGCATTGTTAAGGAACTAAATAACTGATATAAGACAGTGTCTTAAATACTGAGGATAAAAAGATGAAAGAAGTGATTCATGCCTTCCAAGAACCATATTGAATTGGGGAAAGCAGAAAAGTACCAGCAAGTGGTACTTTGCTGTGTTGCAAAAGACATTTGGACACTCCTTTGACCAAGTAGCTATGACTGCCCATTTTTCAGAAGAAAGCTTTCAGAGTTTGTGGGACAAAACTTCCTAGCTACTCCCCACTGTTTCCCCACCCTGTGCATTTGACTGGCTCCCCTTGATGTTCACTGCAATGTATCCTGTACCCACATCATGTTCTTCCTGGAGCCATTAAAAATGTTTGGTGATGCGCAGAGTTGGCATAAAATTTTAATTATGAATCTTGGTTGCCCAAATTAGTGTACTAGCATAACTTTAATTAAAACTTACTGCTTTATATTCCTCTCAAGTCCTGCCCTGATAAAATGTTTTATTATCCCTCCAAGTCTGCGTCTTCAGCCTTCTCTGACTTCTCTTGCCTTTTCCTTGAGGCCTTTTGGGTTGGCCATACTTGTGCTTCCCACTAGTGACAATGCAACTTTAAACCAATTTAAAAAAATTCTCAAGCTGCATTAGCTTTTATGATCGTGTTTTCTATCTTGACATTTTATCAATCATTTTCACTATGCCTGGCACAGTTAGATGTGCCAAAAAGGAGTAACTTAAGCTGCATCTCTCAAGTAAAATTATTTTTGTATTTTTTTTGTGTGTGTTCTAAACCATCTCCTTCAAACCAGTAGCCTCTTATTAGGGATATTGTAAACCAGAAGTTTTAGCCATTTTAGGGATGTAGATAAATGCCATTGGGCATGTATGAAAGTTACAGAATTTCTTGCCTGAAACAGACACAGATGCACATGCACAACAGTATTCATACATTTTCAGAGGCTGATCTCTAAAGCTTTAGGGTCTTCCTAGCGCCTTGAGGTGCCCACCTAAATAACGTAGAAGGAACCTGAGCTTCTATAAGGAAGGAGGATTACATATTTTTGATCAATAAATGTGCTTGCCCAGCCAAATGTCCATGTGTTGTATTATGAATATAGAAAAATAGGAAGGAAGCTGTGGCCATCATTAAGGGACAGGGCATGTGCATTGTGCGAAGGAGCAAAACAAAAGAGGTGAAGGCATTTATTTCTAGTCTCGTAGTCCCATTTCTGTCAGGGCTTTGCTTAAGGCAAGTCACTTCCTCTCCCAGAGCCACTGTGTCCTCTTCAATAAAAACTACAGGGAGGGGTGGATATTTGAACTGTGATCAGTAGCCCCTAGATGCTAGTCGTGGATGTGTGGTAGATTAGCTACTCTTGTCAAATATAGATTTCGTTCTTTTTTTTTTTTTTTTTTTTTTTTTGAGATGGAGCCTTGCTCTGTCACCCAGGCAGGTGTGCAGTGGCGCAATCTCCGCTCACTGCAACCTCTGCCTCCTAGGTTCAAGTAATTCTCCTGCCTCAGCCTGAGTAGCTGGGATTACAGGCGCATGCCACCATGCCCGGCTAATTTTTGTATTTTTAATAGAGATGGGGTTTCACCATGTTGGTCAGGCTGGTCTCGAAATCCTGACCTCGTGATCCGCCTGCCTCAGCTTCCCAAAGTGCTGGGATTACAGGTGTGAGCCACTGCGCCTGGCCTCTTCCTTTCTTTTTAAGGGAGTGGAGGGGTTTACCTCTTGATAATTCTGATTCAGTATGCCAGGGGTGGTGGGGCCTGGGAGTCTGTGATTTCTAAATGCCCCCAAGATGGTCAGTAGGCATAGTCAAGTTTAAGAACGACTGGATTCAATGATCCTCAGGTCAGGTCACCTCATGAGTTAGTGGAGGGCGGGGTGTGCGTGTGTGCGTGCACGCGTGCGTGCGCGCGCATGCGCCTGCGTGCTATGATTTAGAACAAGATAGAGTTTGAAGCCTGACCGTGGGAAGTCCACAGAAACAGCAGCACACTGTACTGTGTGGACAACTGGATATCCTTTTTCATGCTGCTTTAATGCCCTCAGTGCCTATTTCATGTCCAAGTTGGCTGTGTCATCCACCAACCGCTGGAGCTACCCATGACAAGGCTGCCTGCCTCTCTGATGCTGGAGATGCACTCTGGAGCTGTGCAAAGGCTCTCTTGGTCCATCTTCCTTCTGATGGGCAGCTGTTCTGGCAGAAACAGCTGGCAGATGGTCTGTGGCTAGAAATCTAAGTGTGTATGAGATGCTTCTGGCAGTAAAAAGGAGGCCTTTAAAGATGAGAATAATGACTGAATAATTGTTAGGGAGGTCACCCTAACAATTATCCTCATCTTTAAAGACACCTATTCTATAGTTTATAGAAGAAAATGCCAATGTCTCTAATTGCTGTGGGAGCTGGCTTTGCTGTGACCTCTCCAGGCCTTGTGGGTGGTCTGTGTGAAAGTAGAGGGCTCCTTGCATGGATGCAAGCGGGCTTAGCAATGGACAAGACTACAGGGAGTTGGAGAGGAAGAGGATGAAATGACAGATGTTACATTAAAGTTAGGAGAATGACTTCCCTCATTTGAAGAGTTCCAGACACCCTAACTATAGGTAGAGAAGCCCAGAGCAATACAATTTTGTGACTATTGTTGTGGACTTACATTTAACCCAAAGTTAAAGTGCTCTAGGATTCATGAGTTTTACTCAAATTACCTAAAAAAGTACTAAGACTAGGGAGTAATAGGTCTACTAATCTGTTTTGTTGACTCAATCTCTTCCCTATCTCCCCCACCCCATAGAATATAGATTTCTCTGCACAATGGCCTAGAATGGCCTCAGGACAGTGCAGACAGGACACTTGAACTTGCAATCCCTGGGGGTGAGGGGAGCACACTGGCCTTCTTTGAAGTCTTTGCACACTGCAGTAGAAATGGCACTGGGTCTATGATAGGGCAGGTGATCTAGGTCAGGCTTTCTCATTAACTTCCATGAGATCGCAGACAAGGCACTTCCCCTTTTCTGGGCCTCAGTGGTCGCCTCTAAAAAAAAAGAACAGGATTGGAACACAGACTCTGTACAATGCTTTCCATCGGTAACATCTAACTCCATGTTAGGGGTCCTCGGGTGGCGTTAGGAAAGAAGGTGAAGGACCAGGTCATCACAGAGATGTCAGCAAAAACACTGGATGAAAAATCAGCACCCCCAGGTTCCAGTCTCACTGCTGCTATTTACTAGAAACCTCTGTCTCATTCCAGACTGCAAGCCCCGTTCTATAAAATAAAGCTCCTGATCAATAGCTCTGCTTTCTGTGCCTTTTTTATGCCATGATTTTCTTGTGCTTTGAATTCTCTCTCACTTCAATCTACCCACAAAATCTATTTTTGGAAAGCAGGGAGATTTGACACATTTGGAAGCATTAGTATGTGGACACTCACACCTATTCCTTCCTACAACTGCCCAGGACACTGATGCCCTGTGACCACCACGAGTGAGGATGAAGGCCATGCAGAGGTCACCTTGTGCCTCCCTGGGGTCAGCCCTGAGCTCTGTCAGCACTGGACAGATCTGTGAGAAATTATTTTTAGTAAAGGCACTTGGGTCCTTTACCTCCTGGAGGAAGTGATGCCAAGAAACACAGACCTGCACCAAAGGCACCTTTGTTCTGTTAATATAAAACAAAACCTCAGTCACCCACAATTCTTGTAGCCACTGTATTCTGAGTCATTAAATCTTCTGGTTGACTATGTGGCAAATACTTTTTCCTTTTCTCTGGCCAAAAGCCCTTCCAAAAATGTGTTTCCTTTTCTCTGGCTAAAAAGCCCTTCCAAAAATGTGTTTCCTTTTCTCTGGCTAAAAAGCTCTTCCAAAATGTGTAACTCCATTGCTCCTCTTTGGTAATCAGAACACATTAGTGAGAACAGAATTGTGTTTAGATGGCTACAGTTCCTGGGGCCTTGCTGCCATCATTTCGAATGTTGGTCCTCACTGTTTTATCTTATGGTGTAGATGGCACCAGAGACAGCTTTGAGTATGGATCAAGCCCAGGAAGGTCCTCAGGAAGTGCATTTTTAGAAATGAGATCTAAGAAAATAAGCATTTACTAAGCAGGGGCTGTATGTCAGACTCTGGGCCGGGTACTTTACACACATTTTATCCTCCCACCCACACAATGAAGCTTCACATTGGCCTTTTTCAGTAAATGAAACTGAGCCATAGAGAAGTTAAAACTTCTGGAAAATCTGGAAGTGAACCCAGCCTCTTTCCTGATGCCATCCTGCATTCTTTGTGGTCTCTTTCTCCCAAAGCAGAACTAGCAAAAACAGTTCTGATCAACTGAGAGTCCCAGATAATTCCCTCTAGTTAACTAAGATTTTACAATAAACCCTATTTAAAGTGAGGATTTCACATGTTTGAAAATCCTCAAGTATCTTGCCTTACAGACATGGAAATGCCTTTGGTTAAACTGCAATTACTACATTTCCTGGGTTGTACTCTTTAGTTTTTAATTTCTCAACTTTTTCACCCCACTGTAGATTTATTATATTTACCTTTGAAACTCTGACAATCTCTATTCCAGTGCTTTGCACACAGGCCCAAAATAAATATTTGTTGAAAGAATAAGGAAATTGATGATGTTGAATGTTATATGTAGTGTATATATAGATATATAACACATGATACTTATATGGTTTTATGTCTTTGGTGTTATTTAGTAAATATCATATGATTAAATTTTAAATAAAAATAGAACCCTAGTTGACTAGGAGGAGGAGTCTTACAGCCCAATACAGAGAAATTAAAATTAATACAATATAGTGGGGTGACACCTGCCAACCCAGGGGTAAAATGACGTAGTCTCCGCATCCACCTCAACCACAATTAGCTATATGACCTTCAACCAAGCATGTAGCCTCTCTGACCTCAGTTTTCTACTGGTAGAATGAAGAAGGGGCACTTCCAGCAGCTTTCTTTCCAGTTCTTACACCCCTGTCTATACATGGGAGCATGCAGGCAGCATAATGCCCTGTTAACAGGCTCATTTTTGTTGTTCACAATGGAACCAGAAACCAACTAAAAACACACCTTTCCCTCTTGTGATATTCAAGAAATTCAAGGTGACTGGTGTAATTAACTTCTCTCCATGGGCCTTTCGAGACCCAACGAAAACCCTGGCAGGAAAGCAGTTGTTTTAATTTGCAAATATCTGTCCTGCCTAGTTCAATTCAGCTTTTTTCCGAACACCTACCTGGCATCTGTTGACTTTGCAGAGGTGGGTCCCACAGTCACCATTTGCCATTTGATGTGTTGTGTACAAAGAGAAAAGGACTCTGAAAAGCAAATCCTCATCAGACTGCATTGGATGTCCAGAATCTGAGCATGCTCAGGCATTGGAAGGCAGATGGAGGCACAGCAGGTAGGTAAATGATAACCCCACACTGAATGCACAGTTGACAAAGAAAGGTCAGAAATGAGATGGTAAGGAAAGAAAGCACAAGGAACACCAAACATCTGTCTGAAAGACACAAGGGAAAAGAAATTGTCTCTCCTCTACAGATACCATGTGGGTCTCTATACTAATTTACCAATCAACAGCTGTTCAGCGATTCTACTGTCCATTGTGCAGGAGACAAGTTTATTACCAAGCTACAGCAAATGTCTCTGCACTCAACCTCTAACCAAACAAACTTTTTGTTTTATCCCTCCATCTGAGCCAACAGTTTCAACACAGGACAAAACCTGGTTTCTGTGGGGTATCCAGCCTCTTGGGTGATAATGTAATAAGTTTTTAGCAAATTAAAGATTGTCAGGGATTATCATTCCAGTCTTGATTCAGTTTGTTGCAGTCTGTGGTCCTTCCTCCTTTTCAACATGTGGCTAACTGATAGGGGCAAGCAAATAACCCTAAACCCACCCCCATCATGTGAAACTGCAACCACATGGTTTCCATAACATATTATTTTTTGTTTCCTTGATTTTTTCCCCCAATGGCCATTCATACAAAGGAAGTTGTCAGGACATTCAGGCAGTGCAAGAAGTTCATAGCCCAGCATTCTCCCCATTCCCCTCCACCCCAAGTTTATGTTAAACCATAAAGCGAAATTTTCCATTTCTTGAATTCACATGTGAGGCATCCTGGGTCCTCTGCATTGGCCATAGAGAGAGAAGAAAGATGGAACAGCATAGACAGGGATAATGTGACTGGAGTAATCAACTTTTCTCCATGGACCTCACCACAACCATCAAAATTCTTAGAAGAAAAGCAGTTCCTTAACGGTCTGCATTTCTCTTCTTTGCTCTTGCATTAAATATGGCCAACCTTGGGCAAGTTGCTTACACCCTTGAACCTCTGCTTCCTCTCCAGTGAAATGCAGGCAATAATATATACCGTATAGTCTTTTGGAGAATACAAATTTATGCGAATTTGAGATAATGTTAAGATGACAAAGAGCTGTATAAACAATATTGCTCTATTGCTATATAGTTGTCATAAGAGTTAAACAAGATATTGATCGTCTCTAAAGTTTACTCACACATGATTTATGACTCCTCACTGTATAATGCAGACCAGCCTCTCTACTGGTTGTGTTGATCTTGGTGCTTATTTTCCTTTCTTTTCTTTTTCAGATGTATGAAAGCGTAATTAATAGCTACCGGTTCATTTATTTTTTAAAACAATTAACAGCATGCTAGGATGATTGTTTTGCACAAATCTAGCAACTAAGGCTAGGCTTCTACATGAAGCTTAATTCATTAATTTTGTCTTTGCTTTCTATCTAACTGAATTGCCTTTTCATAATGTAGGTATTCAGACAAACATATGCTGCCACCAATCTTCTATTGCTCAAGTACTTTGAAGCTGTTAAATGATTTGATTATGCTTAGCTATGATCACATACCTCCTATTTGCAAGTGAGTTTATCAGGTCTTGTTTCAATGCTTACTGAGCCTCTGTCTTGTGCAAAACATTGAGATGGAGATGGAGAAGCAACAGGGATTTTGAAACTAAACAGAATTGGTCTCTATTTCTAGCTCCACCATTTGCTGTCTTCATTGCTTGGAGGAAGTTGCTTAGCCTCTGTATGCCTGTTTTCTCTTTGGTAAAACCGAGAAAGTAATATCCTTCTCTTCTATGAGAATTACCTGTGATAGCTATAAAGCATCTGGCATAATACCTGAACTTGGAGTAGACACAATATAGCATCTCTTTATTTATTTCTCTCTCACTTGTTGTCTCCTTCCTTCCCAGCCCCACCCATCATGCATGTTTCTCTGTGCAAAGATTATATAAGTGTCTATTGTCAAGAGCTTAACATCTAATAGAACAGAAATACGCATAAAGAATTTTAATACAAATCAGAATTACATAGGTTCTAAAATAAAGGTTCAAGCAAAGTTCCATGGAAACACAGTGGAAGTGGATTAATCCCAAAAATTTGAAAAGATTTACAGGGTCTTCAAAAGCTATTAAAAGAAAGAATTCTATGAATAGTAAGTGGGAAAAATAGAACATTCACTTAGGTAGTTAACTCAAAACAGCTGATTCCACCACAGTACCATGAGAAATTCATTTGTGTCTGGTCATCTGAGTTGGTGGCGCCACAGTGAACATGATGCCCCAGACATGGGGATTCATCTCCTTATGGACCACAGATGAGTTTCCTTAGGGTCTTCGTCATTGACAGTTTCCCTAAAGTGGGCCAGAAAGAATGGAATTGATTCAGGCAATCCAAAAAAATTATGTTGATATTCTCCTGTTATAATCAGTTACCAAGTCTAGCACTTGCAAGGGGAGAATTCACAGGGAATTTTATTTAACAAACATTAGTTGAACACCCACTGTGCACCAGGCACTCTGCATTCCAATCAAAATGAATATACAGATGGAATATTAATTTTAACTTTGTAAATGAAGATAGAAATATGAGCATTCCTTGTTATATTATCATTTGATTGCATGAATTGGTTTTGAATAGAAATTTAAAATGGGGAACTGTTCTATTAGGTAATATTAAACTGGTACAATAGATGAGTCATGAAATTTGGAATGCCTAGACCTTAGTCTAGCTCTTCTATTTACTAGGAGGTATGTGGCAAGAGTACCATTACCATTACCATGCACAGAGAACAAACTATATTCTGGGTACTTACATAAACTCACTTATCTTTCCAAAAGTGCTTTGAGGTATGTATCTTCGTTCTCATTTTACAAATGCAGAAACTAAGGCTAAATCAAGTCAAGTAACTTGTCCCAAATCACATGTCATGTAGCTGGGGAAGCCTGGAATTAAACCTCAGTCTGTCTCACTTCAAAGTGCATCCTCTTAAGCAGTATACTGTGCTGCTTCCATGCAAGTTGGCTCCTGAATAAGTTTCCATGCCCCCAAAACAGAGATAATATTGAAGGTGGTGATGTACTGCAAAACACTATACAGATGTTGGTCATTACTTTAAAGTGGCATTTAGTTCATTGTTAACAAATGTTAATATGAATGAGATGCACAGATGGTAGAACCTTTAAAATTGATCCACCTACTCATCTTACCTTGTCATGGTAACAGAATGAATTTGAGACTAAGTTTATCTGGACACACACTTAAGGCCACCAATATATTTTTTATTCCATTGTTTTTCCCAGTGTAAAGATGAGTAGACGGAATCTCTGCCCTCAAGGTACTCACAGCTGCTTGCATTTGCAGGCAAATAAATTGCAGTTCATTTTTGGTGAATTCATGAAAAGAAATGTGTTCAAGGTAGACAAATAGCAGAGAGAAAAGAATGCTCACTAGAACTGGGAAAGTGACAGGTCAGGAGGGTGAATCATTATGGATTTGCCAAATGCAAGAGGTATAATCCCAACCACGTATCCATTCAGCCAGAGATTTATTAACTGCAACTCAGAGGACAGTTGCTACAACAGGCATGTCATCCTGTTTCACGCAGGAGCCAGGTTCCAGCAGCAGGCACATTAGATCTGCTGAGTTCCCTTCTCTTCGCATCATTGAGGCAAGTTATCATGGGCCCAGCTGAACAAGGGAAATCAGAGGCTCGGGCTCCAGCAAAGCAGCACATTAAACCAGGGTCCCTGGCTCTGGAAACTCTAGTTTTTGCAGATTTAGAAAGCTACCACTCAGAGTGAGTCCTGGCTCCCCACTTGGTTAGTCCAAGCATCTGATGCACGATGGCTCCTCCCATTTCCAGCAACCAAGGAGGCCACTAAGTTAGACACTGACCCAGCTTCACCCAGCAGAGCAAGGCTGGAGCTGGCTGCTGCTGGCACAACCTGTGGACTCCCGGGAGGGCCCTTAGGGTAATGGGATGTAAGATAATGTGACTCATACAGAGAAGAGGTCTAGGGACATCACCGATCTTCATCCCTTAGTGAGCCATCTCCACAATATCTCCTAAGGCTAAGAACCAGAGTCATTTGCTGGGTTTCACAGGCCCCTTACAAGGGTAAAGGTGAGGTGGACCTACTATCCTATGCATGGAAAATGGAAAATGAGTTTCTAAGTGTGAGTGTCATGAGCACCTGTGTATGAGCACTTGGCATGTGAAACAGGCTTAGGGAACCATTACAGGATGAGGTCAGAGAAGGCTTCCCCAAGGAAGGGAGGATATGTTAGTCAGGTGGAGTGGAGGCAAGAGTGGGCAGAGAAACAGGCTTCAAAACTGAGGGAGTATCATGAGCACACACTCAGAGGCAGCAGGTGGTGAGCTCAGGGAGCTGTAAACCATGCAGCATGTGCTAGAGTGTTGCATGCAAAGGAGGTGGCCTTGGAGAAGCTGCTACTTGCCAGGATTTGTTGATGGAACATAGAAGAAACTCATGATGAAATACTAAGCTTTCATCTATAAGCTGCAGCTATAATCTGTTAGTACACAATAAATTACAAATAAATATAGCATCAAAGCATTACCATGATGTAAATGTCTCTTATTAGAAAACTGTAATTGGGCCGGGCACGGTGGCTCACGCCTGTAATCCCAGCACTGTGGGAGGCCAGCGTGGGTGGATCTCCTGAGGTCATAAGTTCGAGACCAGCCTGACCAACGTGGTGAAACCCCCTCTCTACTAAAAGTACAAAAATTAGCCAGGTGTGGTGGCGCACGCTTGTAGTTCCCAGCTACTCAGGAGGCTGAGGCAGGAGAATTGCTTGAACCCAGGAGGCAGAGGCTGCAGTGATCCAAGCTGAGATCGCGCCACTGCACTCCAGCCTGGGTGATTGAGAGAGACTCTATCTCAAAAAAAGAAAGAAAGAAAACTGTAATTGAAAATTAAATTGTATGACAAACACTATACATGCCATTGAATGTTAGAGGAAAGGAAGAAAGAAAGAGTGGATTTATTTAGTTATTCTGTAGGTGTACATTCTATCTAGAGGTATTGAGGTAGGTTTTTATCCCAATCTTTCAGGGGAGGAAACTGAGGCTTGTGGGAGGCAGAAGAGTAAATTACTTTGCCCAGAATCACAGATAATTCTGTGTAGAATCAGGACTTTAATCTGTGTCTATTCACTTCCAAAGCTGCTGCTTTTGCCTTCTAAGAACCATTGAAGTGTTCAAGGGAAATCATCCTAAAGGAGGAGATATGGGACTCTGTGGAAATGCTCTACAGTAGGTTTGTTTGTTTTTTAAAGATTATTTTTGCTGATACATAATAATTGCACGTATTTATGGAGTGTATGTGATATTTTGATACATGCATCCAATGTGTAATGATCGAATCAGGGTAATTAGGATATCCACCCCCTCAAACATTTAGATGGAGGTCATCATGTTAAATGAAATAAGCTAGGCACAGAAAGACAAATATGGTAGATATTTACAGAACATTTCACCCAGTGGCTGCAGAATACACATTTGTTTCCTCAGCACTTGGACCATTGTCAATGGTAGACCATATGTTATGACACAAAACAAGTCTTAAAACATTCAAAAAACTTGAAATACTATCAAGCATCTTCTCTGGTCATAATAGAATAAAACTAGAAATCAACAACAAGAGGAATTTCAGAAACTAAACAAATACATGGAAATTAAACAATCTGCTTCTGAATGACCAGAGGATCAATAAAGAAATTCAGAAGGAAATTGAAAAAAATATTGGAGCAAATGATAATGGAAACACAACATACCCAAAAGCAGCAAAAGGAGTACTAACAGGGAAGTTTATGGCTCCAAGTGCCTGCATCAAAAAAGAAGAAAAATTTCAAATAAGCAACCTAACCATGTATCTTAAAGAACTAGAAAAGCAAGAGCAAACCAACCCTAAAATTAGTAGAAGAAAAGAAATAATAAATAACAGAGCAGAAATAAATGAAATTGAAATGAAAACAATACAAAATATCAATGAAACAAAAAGTTGGATTTTTGAAAAGTTAAACAAAATAGACAAACTTCTAGGCAGACTAAGAAAAAAAGAAAATCCGAATAAAATCAGAAATGAAAAAGGAGACGTTAAAACTGATACCACTGAGGCCAGGGGGAGTGGCTTACGCCTGTAATCCTAGCACTTTGGAAGGCAGAGGTGGATCACTTGAGGTCAGGAGTTCGAGACCAGCCTGACCAACATGGTGAAACCCCATCTCTACTAAAAATACACACACACAAATATAGCCAGGCATGGTGGTGTGCACCTGTAGTCCAATCTACTCGGGAGGCTGAGGCAGGAGAATCACTTGAGCCTGGGAAGTGGAGGTTGCAGTGAGCTGAGATTGTACCACTGCACTCAAGCCTGGGTGACAGAGAGGAGGGTGTCTCAAAAAAAAAAAGGAAAAAAAAGAAAAATAGAAAAAACCATGATATCAGTGAAATTCAAAGGATTATTACTAGCTACTATGAGCAACTATATGCTAATAAGTTGGATAATCTAGGAGAAATGGAAAAATCCCTAAACACATACAACCTACCAACATTGAATCATGAAGAAATTCAAAGGCTGAAAAGACAAATAACAAGTAATAAGATAAAAGCCATAGTTGAAAGTCTCCCAGTAAAAGCCTGGAACCTGATTGGCTTCACTGCTGAATCCTACTCAAATAATTCCAAAAAATGGAGAAGGGAATACTTCCAAGTTCATTCTATGAGGCCAGTATTACCCTGATACCAAAACCAGACAAAGACACATCAAAGAAAGACAACTGCAGGCCGATATCCCTAATGAATATTGATGCAAAAATCCTCAACAAAATATTAGCAAACCAAATTCAACAGTATATTAGAAAGATCATACATCATGGCCAAGTGAGATTATCCCTGGGATGCAAAGATGGTTCAACCTACCAAATCAATCAGTATAATACATCATGTCAACAGAATGAAGGACAAAAACAATATGATTATTTCCAAAAATGCTGAAAAAACATTTTATAAAATTCAACATTCCTTCATGATAAAAATCCTCAAAAAACTAGGTATAGAAAGAACGTACCTCACCATAATAAAAGCTATATATGACAGACCCACATCTAGTATCATACTGAATGGGGAAAATCTGAAAGCCCTTCCTCCAAGAACTGGAACATAACAAGAATGCCCACTTTTCAGTAATATGTTGAGTAATATGTTAGTACTCAATGTTTTTACTCAACATATTACTGGAATTCCTAGCAAGAGCAATCAGGCAAGAGAAAGATATAAAGGGCATCCAAATTGGAAAGGAAGAAGTCAAATTATCCTTGTTTGCAGATGATATGATCTTTGGTTTGTTGGTTGTTTTGAGACAGAGTCTCACTCTGTCACGCAGGCTGCAGTGCAGTGGCACAATCTCAGCTCACTAAAACCTCTGCCTCCCGGACTCAAGTGATTCTTGTACTTCAGCCTCCCAAATAGCTGGGATTAAAGTCAAACATCACCATGCCTGTCTAATTTTTGTATTTTTCATAGAGACAGTGTTTCACTGTGTTGCCTAGGCTGGCCTTGAACTCCTAAGCTCAAGTGATCTGCCTGCCTCAGCCTCCCAAAGTGCTGGGATTACAGCCACGAGCCAATGCGTCCTCCCTGACCTTATATTTGGAAAAGCCTAAAGACCACACACACACACACACACACACACAGACACACAAAGATGTTAGAACGCATTAAAAAATCAGTAAAGTAGAAGGATACAAAATCAACATACAAAAATCAGTAGCATTTCTATATGCCAACAATGAACAATCTGAAAAAGAAATCAAAAAAGTAATCTTATTTACAATAGCCACAAATAAAATTAAATACCTAGGAATTTAAATACCAAATAAGTGAAAGATCTCTATAACGAAAACAATAAAACACTGATGAAAGAAACTGAAGAGGACACCAAAAAAATGGAAAGTGGAAAGATATTCCATGTTCATGGATTGGAAGACTCCATATTGTTACAATGTCCATACTGCCCAAGGCAATCTACAGATTCAATGTGATCCCTATTAAAATACCAATGGCATTCTTTACAGAAATAGAAAAAATAATCCTTAAATTTATATGGAACCATAAAAGACCCAAAATAGCCAAATCTCTCCTGAGCAAAAAGAAGAAAACTGGAGGAATCACAATACCTAACATCAAATTATACTACTGAGCTCTAGTAACCAAAACAGCATGGTACTGGCATAAAAACAGACACATAGGCCAGTTGAACAGAACAAAGGGTACTCTATTTTTGGTTTTTATTGAGGAACCTCCAAACTGTTCTCCATAGTAGTTGTACTAATTTACATTCCCAACAGTGTACCAGGGTTCCCTTTTCTCTACATCTTCACTGGCGTTTGTTATTGCCTGTATTTTGGATATAAGCAATTTTTAACTGGGGTGAGATGATATCTCACTGTAGTTTTGATTTGCATTTCTCTGATGATCAGTGATGTTGAGCAACTCTTTATATTTCTATTTACTATTTGTATGTCTTCTTTTGAGAAATGTCTATTCAAATATTTTGCTCATTTTTAAGTTGGATTACATTTTTTCCTATAGAGTTATTTGAACTCTTTATATATTCTGACAAGGGATTAATAACCACGAAATCAGTATATCGAAGAGACATCTACACTCTCATGTTTGTAACAGCTCTGTTCACAATAGCCAAGATTTGGAAGCAACCTAAGTGTCCATCAGCAGATGAATGGATAAAAAATGTGGTACATATACACAATGGAGTGCTATTCAGCCATAAAAAAAGAATGAGATCATGTCACTGGCAACAACACAGGTGGAACTGGAGATCATTATGTTAAGTGAAATAAGCCAGGCATGGAAAGACAAACATTGCATGTTCTCACTTATTTGTGGGATCTAAAAATCAAAACAATTGAATTCATGGAGATAGAGAATAGAAGGATCATTTTCCAAAGCTGGGAAGCATAGTGGGGGACTTCGGGGTGGTCCAGATGGTTAAGGGATACAAAAAAACTAGAATGAAAGAATAAGACCTAGTATTTGATAGCACAACAGGGTGACCATAGTCAATAATAATTGAAGTATACATTTTTAAATAAAGAGTATAATTGGATCATTTGTAACACAAAAGATAAGTGCTTGAGGGGATGGATACTCCGTTCTCCATGATGTGATTGTTATGCATTGCATGCCTGTAACAAAACATCTCTTGTACTGCATAAATACATACACCTACTGTGTACCCACAAAACCTAAAAATAAAAAATTATATTAAAAGACAAATATGGCATGTTCTCACTAATGTGTGGGAGCTAGAAAAAGTTGTTCTCATGGAGGTTGAGTGTCTAATGGTAATTACCAGAGGCTGGGAAGGGGCGGAAGACAGAGATAAACAGAGGTCGGTTAGTGGATAAAAAATCCATTCAGACAGAATAAGTCCTAGTGTTCCATAGTAGGTTTTGATGAGAGCTGTTTTAAACTGACATATTTTAAATTAAACCTCCCTAATTTCCAAAACCAGGCATAACTGCCTTCCATGTTTCCCTCACACCTTTCAGAGGCTAATGAGAATCACAGTGCTGCAGGGTTCTCCTGGGCTCTGGGCAGCAGCTGGATGGCGTGCTCCTTCCTGGCTGAGAAGATAAATGTCACCTCCACATACATGGGTTTGCCAGCTCCATGGGGTCCAGCCAGCTCCTCTGAGAACTCCCAGAGTTCACAATGGGCACTTGGCCTTGGGTAACTGAAGCTGTCTGGTTTGCTTCCCTGCCTGAAGAATGGGAATAATAATATTTAACCCCTAGACAAGGAGAGGTAGAGAAGGGGGGTCAGGTACCATATACACAGTGCTGCCTGCTAGGTGAAGCAGTTCCCTCCCTGTACCATCCCCGCTGCACTCCACTTCCCTGGCAGGCCCCTCCTCTTTCAAGGAGCCCAGTAGGCAGATTCTAAAGATGGAGAGCAGGCCAGCTCTCCAGCCTTGCTCCTACACAGCTGTGTATGGGAACTGCTGTGCTGTCTGCTCAGCGGCCCCCTCACACCTGCTCTCTCTGGGCCAGGATGAACCTCAGAACCTCAGCCTCCTGGTCCCACTGCAGAACCTCAGCACCTAACAGAGCCCACCCTCTTCTGCCATTTGTATCTGAGAAAGAACTGACTCTGGAAATTCTCATTTATCCAAGGAAAAGGACCCCCCTTTAAACCAACCAGACCTTCACCTCACCTCACTGCCTTTTCTTTTCTTGTCTCCTTTTCTTTTCTCTATTTCTTTCTTTTCAGTTCTTTTTTTCCTTCTTCTTTCTTATTCTCCTTGCCTGCCTCAGTATAGGGAATAGAAAAAGCCTGGATTGGAGTTAGGTGGTCCTTACTGAGAATTCCAACTCCAACATTAATCAGCAATAATGGGAAAGCGACTTGACCTTGCTGGGGTTTGGTTTCTTTATGTGTATAATGTAGACAGTGGTTGCTAGTTTGTATATTTGTTGTGAAGACTAAATGTGAAAATCTGAGTTTTTATTTAGCCATTAATAAGTACCATGTAATTAATTCATTAATCAGAGTACCCAGGGTGTGTGAAACACTGTTCTACATTTTGAGAATAGAGCAATGAGTAAAAGCAACATGAGCTTTCATACTTCTCTAATGGGCCATTCAATAAGTATTCATTTTCAATGTAGTTCCTGCTTTGGGGGCATTACCCTGCTTATCATTGTCCCTGAAATATGGGAAGGAAAGAAAAAAAAATCATTTCTCTTCAGCCAGTAAAACAACTCCAGGGAAAAGAGATGACTATTTAGACAACAGTCAGCTGGGTGATTGTAGATAAAAAGTCTACTTCCCATATTATGTCACTCAGCATTCATGGTTGCAAGCAACAGAAATCAACTCTGGCTGTCTTATGCAAAATGGAGATTTTTCTGGAAGGAGATTGGTGGGAAATTAGAAGAGCAGACTTGGAGCAAGGGAAGTCAAGCATCAGAGACAACCACATGCTGGTCAGGAGGCTGTCAGTGACACTGATACGTCACTGCTACCATCACTGCTCTACCACTGCTGGGTCAAGCTGATGTCTGCCAAGCCACCATTTGCTATCACATACTCAGGATGCAACATCCTGCCTCCCTGCTGAACCAGGAATATTGGAAGGATCTAAGCTCCAAGTTTCCAGAGTGGAGGACAGGCATTGAGAATTGCTTTCCTGCCAAGATCATACACACTGGAGGAGAGACAGCATCCCTCTTGGTCAAGGGGGTTGGACGCTGGACAATCAGAAAATGGACACACATCTATCATACTTTTCTTTCTGTTTTCCTGGCTCCATGGAGAATGAAGAGATGAAAGAAGCAAGCTTGGCCTTTTCTTATCAGAAAGAAATGAACCAATGCTGGATACCATCTGCCATTGTTAAAAGGAAGATTCTAGTCCAGTGGGCCTTCATTTCATTTTGATGGAGAAAATGTTTTCTCCATGAAGATCCCTAGTATCAAACCTGTTCTGCAAAGAGACCTCACTGATGAGCTGGTTTGTCATCTGTGATTACAGCATCCAGGTGCTTGTGTGATGGATGGGAAGCCTAGATTTTCAGGCAGCTGTTATAATGCTGCTTAGCATATAAACAGATAAAAATATTTTCATTTTTCCCATATGACAAAAGATTGGTGATTCCCAAAGGTGAGAACAAGTTAGTAGTACATTCTTTGGAGTATTCAGATGACCACGGGGCAAAAGTCTTTTCAAATTAAGTCTCTGAGTATTTAATAAATGTCTGCTTTTCCACATTAGGTTGGGTACTGAAAGAAATAAAATATTCAGCAAACAGTCTGATTGGGGAAAGAGACTAATGTACATGGAATGAATTAGAACATCGGAAGACAGTGCACAAACTCAGGCTTGAGAGTCAGATAAGTCAAATCCCAGTCCTGCCACTTACTGGCTGTTAAGATTTGGAGCAAATCTTCTGAGCCCTGTTTCCTCATCTACAAAATAGGAATAATAACAATACCTATCTCAATGTTATCTAATACCTACCTCATTATATAAGACATAAAATGGTATACATATATTGTTAAGGATTATGCCTAGCACATAGTAAGAATTCAAAAACTGTTACATGTCATGATTGTTCTAACAGCAAAGTCTATATGGCATAGGGATAAAGGTGGGACTTAAAGGGGAAAAGAAAAGGGAGGTGTCACATGCAGACAGAGAAACAGATACAAAGACATCTTTATTAGCCATTCATTGAGTCCTATTGTGTTTCTGGTTCTGTAGATGACAAATGAATTGGTCCACTTTCAAGGAACTCAAAGTCCAGTGGAGGAAATGAACAAGTAGATTTTCATCATTATTAATGCAAGTGAGTTCAGATAATAAGAGGCCATTTGATCTAGAGCCTCCATTGAAGACTTCCCCTCTGGACTCATGGCCAAATAGCATCTCTTTTCCTTATTTAACCTGCTGGAAAAAACAAAACACCTTGCTTCTAGAGCCTATTTCCGAACTCATGACAATCCCACATCTCCATCTTCAAATGCATCCCAATTATGGAGAAAGTGCCATGAATAGCAGCCAACATTTTACAACACTCAGTAAATGTCAAGAACTGTGCTGGATTTATCTCAGATATTATAATAATATCCACAACAGTCCTTCTCAGGAATTATTTTTATTCCCATTTTACAGATGAGAAAGGTAAGGCTCAGAGATGATAAATGACTTGTCCAAGCATGTCTTTACCATTGGAGTCCCTTCTTGATCTCGTCCTTACTAAGCTGATCAGATTCATCTTGTCACGCCTTCCCTCCCAGTTCTTCCTCCCCAAGCTCTATGCTCCAACCATCCTGAACTACTTATGATAGACACATATTTAGAAGAGAGTGTCAACAAACTGCAGCCCACTGGCCAAATATGGCTCTCTGCCTCCTTTTGTAAATAGTTTTATTAGCCCACTGCCATGCCCATTTACTTACATGTTGTCATGCTACCACAACAGAGTTGAAGCCATATGACCACAAATCCTAAGATCTTTGCTTCCTTGCTCTTCACGGAAAATGTTTGCTGACACTTGCTTTAGAATTCGAAACCTCCAGGCTCTTGCTCACACTGTTCTTTCTGCCAGGTGTGCCATTTCTTTCACCAGGACATAATAAGATTTGACTTTTGACTCAATACCCTCTGAGAAGACGTCCCTAATTTTTCGAGGAGTTAGTCACTTTCTCTCTTGAGTTGCCACTGCTCCGTGTGTACTTCTACTCTTGCATTTGTCATATTTTATTGCAGTTGTTCATTTAGGTGTCCATGTGACCTTGCATCCTTACCCCTCATCATGCCACTCAATTCCTTGAATATATTGGGCTCTCACTTAATATGTATGGAAAGAAAATGAAGTCCTTGCTGATTTCCCTGCTTCTTAGCATACTGTGGTCAAATAATGAGGGGATCTCAGAAACAGTGTGGTGGCCAGAAAGAGGCACTGGGAGCTGGAAGCCAAGACTCGGAAAATGTGCTGTCTCATCTTTAGTTCTCTCATCTTACCTCCCAAGTAGCACTGAGCAAGTCTCTCCACCTTGATGAGCCTGCATGCCTTCCTCTGCACCATGAAAGGATTGAACTAGATTATCTCAAATGTCCCTCCCTGCCCTAAAAATTCTATGAGACTCTGATGTCTATGACTGAAGTTTAGCACTCTAAAATACAGTCAGGAAGACATCTAAGTCACAAACTCTCTTTTGTTGTCAAAGGAGGTTTTGCTAGAAAGAAGCCCAAGAATGTTCTAGAAGTCCAGGTTGAATGTCTATGATTACACTCTAGAATCTATTTAAAGTTTTTTTTCTGTTAAAAAGTATTAATTGCCAAATCGTGATGTTCCTTCCTGTTTTATGTGTGTTAGATCAGAACACTACTCACTCAGCATCCACAGGGAGAGATATAGCCTCTGGATACTACATATGGCAAAGCCAAGCCAGAAAGGGGTGGCTGATGTCGCTGAGGTGCCCACCATCATCCAACCGCAGGCAGCACTTCCCAGCCCCAAGTTTCCAGCCTTCTCCTGAGGCACATTCCCTAACTTGTCTATGACAAGAGGCACATGAATTACTTTCCAAGGTACAGATTTTCAGGTTCCTCACCTAAATCCATGAATTTGAATCACCTAGATTGGGGCCAAGGAAGCTGTGTGTTTCACAAACAGCTGCAGTGGTTCAACAGGAAAGCTTGGGAATCCCGACATAGAAGTCTGACTCCAAATGTGAAGTTCCACTGGATCCTAAGCCACAGAGGTTTGGGGTCACTGTTTGGTTGAAATGGCAAGTCCATTTGTCACCCAAACAAAGGGTAATTCCAGGAAAGCATTTGCTGGAGGGGATGCATTTTTCAAGACCTGCTGCAGCACCTTCAGATTAGGCTCATTTGCACACCTGCATATTTTCCCCCAATTTTCCAGCGTAACCCTGTGTGAATCATTGCAGTTTTGCTAATTGAATCTGAGAGCACCTGTTTCTTAATCAATATTAATGCATCACATGGACGCAGAATTTGTAATGAGTCATTCTAGGGGGAAGAATGATGAAATTCAAAAAAAGTATTCACTATTCATCTGCAACCTGATAACTTGTGGCCAGAATTCCATCTGGGAAGATGTAGGGCAGAGCAGGGGTAACAAACAGGGAGCCCCGAGACACCAGGCCCCTCCACAGGGCTCTCGAGGCACTTACCTTTCTCCCATTTTTGGAAAGGGAAAACAGTGCCTATAACCTGCCAACTCCCAAACACCTGTTCTGTTGCACCCTGGAAGTCCCCTTCTCTGGTTCTGAGGGCTTCAGTATTATTATAGTTTTCTGTTTCTTCGCAGTCCCCAGGCTCTGTACTTCCTGCCACAGACTCTCTCTTGATCTTGCTGTAGATAAAATGGTGCTAATTCAGCTGGCTGATGGAGGTCAGCACCTTCCAGGAGGTAGAAGCCTGAGTTCCTGGGTCCAACTCTGACCCAAGAACACGAGGCTCCAGTGTTTCTATTTCCTCAGCAGTTTCCGCTAAGCAGTTTATTTCTCCAGGAAACACCCCTCTCCTCCCTGAGCAGCCTGAGCTAGAGGCCCCATTTCTGGGATCCCCTGCATTTGTTGTACCTTCTAGCATACTCTCCTCTGATTGTTTCGGAAACAGAAAGTGCCCTGCTCATCTCTGAGTCCCATGCCTCGCACAAGGCCTGGGAAAATGTAGGCACTTTACCAGTTTGAGTTGAACAAATGATTGACACTGAATTATTTCCTCTGCGTAAAGGTGTTAGATGTGATTTTACAGCCATCAGGACTATTACCATGTGGTCAAGGTGTGTTTTCTGCAATCCCATCTAAGTTAATGGAACAAAACCTACTAGCAAAGTGTTAAATCCTGTAAGACCTCATCATCTGGATCACCTATTCGGTGGCCTTATCCTTAGAAAGCTATCTGAAGAGTACTCATATAGCGATCTATGCCCCTGAGCAAGCTTACAGGCAAGGCCAGCTGACCAAGCTTGACTTCCACAGCATGCTGGGTCTGAAGGGCTGTGAGCTGTGCCTCTGGTGCTTCTCCAGTCCATCAGTTGAGTCTGGGGAGAGCTTTTCATGTGCCCAATAGCGGCTTTGTCCCATGAAACAGGACCTTCAGAGTTGATGGGTCCCAAAAAGACTAACCCAAGGTAAACAAACACCCAGAAGAAGACAGCATAAATCTGAAGGCTGCTATTATTTAGAATGAGAGTGCACTTTCTGAAGACTATGTCCTTTACCCAAGACAGCTCTCTTTACTATCATTTGTCAACAAAAGGTACTTGGACTCGGAGAGCAAAGGGGAACATACATTCCTGAAGGATCTTTTCTATCTAAACTGAGGGGAGTGCTGTGAGCCAATCCTGCCTCACAACAGATGAGGCTCCATCAATAACCACATTATTTGTATCTATATATAATATTTATGGACAGTGAGAGACAGGGTCTTGCTCTGTTGCCCAGGCTAGAGTGCAGTGGCACAATTATGGCTCACTACAGCCTCAACCTCCCAGGCTCAAGCAATCCTTCCACCTCAGCCTCCAGAGTAGCAGGGACCACAGGTACATACCACCACGCCTGGCTAAATATTTTTGCTTTTTGTAAAGACAAGATCTTGCCATGTTGCCCAAGCTGGTCTTGAGCTCTTAGGCTCAAGCAGTCCACCCGAAGTGCTGGGATTACAGGCGTGAACCCCTGCGCCTGGCCTATAAATATTAATATCTGCAATTTGGCCATTGTTTCATCTTGTGCCCAGCCTGGGAGCTATGCTATAATATTTAAGATGACTATACACATATCTGATCATTCCCTTTATAGTTGTCCCTCAGTATACACAGGGGATTGGTTCCAGGACTTCTAAGTCTATCCAAATCTGCTCATACTCAAGTCCTGTAGTGGGCTCAGCAGAACTCTTGTACAAAAAAATCGGCCCTCCATATATGTGGGTTTTATATCCCTCAAATACTGTATTTTTGATCTGCATTTGGTTAAAGAAAATCTGTGTACAAGTGAAATACGTTGTTTTTATTAGTCAAGCTCTAAACTGTCCTGAAATATTTCTTGATCTCTCAGCTGGCCCATCTCAAAGCCAACTCAATATCACCACTTGGATCTTTCACAGGAACTCTAAACTCAAATGTCCAGAATCAAACCAATGGCCTTATTTCCAAACCAAGGCCTCCTCCCATCCTTCCTATCGCAGTAAATGCTACTACTATTCACACAATTGTAAGCCAGAAACCTACAAATCATATTTGATTTCTCTCTCTTTTTTCCTCTCATTTTGTTCAGTCTATAAACTGTTTCCAACATGAATTCTCTTGCAGTGGATTCATCCCTTCCCTATTCCCTTTGGGTTTTATTTTCATCAGGGTTCTATGGCTACCTAACTACCAACTGCCTCTGGCTTCCTCTGGCTGTGAGAGTCTGCTCTGCCCAATCGCAGGCAGGCCTGGAGTGCCAGGAACGGTTCTTGGCCCTTGGTGTCTGAAAAACCTGACTCCCACGCCCCGCTACACAGATGAGATTCTCCAGGACTGAATTGTCCAATACGTGTAGGTACTAGCTACATGTGACTACTGAGGTCTTGAAATGGGGCTAGTGCAAACAACTGACATTTTAACTTTACTTAATGTGGACTAATTTAAATTGAAAAACAGATACTCAGTTCAGTTACTGGAAAGCTTTCAAATTTGTTAGTATGACCTAAGTGTATGAATATTTTTTTCAACTACAAGTTTTATGAAATTTAAACACAGATCAAGTACTAATAAGAAAATCTGGTACTCAAGTTGAGATGTGCTGGATTTTGGAGACTTTGTATTAAAAATGCATGTAAAATATTAATAATTTTTATTTTGACTACCTGTTGAAATGATCATCTTTGGGATAGATTGAGCTAAATGGTCTATATTCTTAAAACTGATTTTACCTGTTTTATTCTTTTGTTAATGTGGCTACTATAAAATTTTATTTTTTATATTTATTTATCTTTTCTTAGAGTCTCACCTCGTTGCTGAGGCTGGGGTGCAGTGGCGCATTCTCAACCCACTACAATCTCCATCTCCCAGGTTCAAGCGATTCTCCTGCCTCAGCCTCCCGAGTAGCTGGGGCTACTCACACCAGGTCAGGCTCATGCACCACTATGCCCAGCTAAATTTTTGTATTTTTAGTAGAGACAGGCTTTTGCCACGTTGGTCAGGCTGGTATCAAACTCCTGACCTCAGGTGATCTGCCTGCCTCAGCTCTAATCCATTCTTTACACAACAGCTAGGGTGACCTTTGTGAAAGCCAAATCTCAGTGTATCTCACTCTTGCTTTAAGGCTTTCAATGGCTTCTCATTTCTAAGATCTTCTCTAGACCTTAGAAAACACCTAGGGTATTCTCAATCTGACCCACAAGATCCTGCACAATTGGCCTACCTTACCAGCTGCATCTTGCCATATGTCCCATTCCCCTTCTGTTTCTCTGTTTCAGCCACACCTGCCTCCCTTCAGGTTCCCAAGTACCACGTGAAGAGATCATCCCTCATTCTTCCCCACATACATACTCTGCTTGGCCTCTTCCTGCTAATCCCTGAGTCCTGTTTAAATATTACTTGCTCAGAGAAAACAACCTTCAACTTCCAGACAAGACTATGTCGTGCTCCCTGTTAGACATTCTCCCAGCATCCCACGCTTCTTTGCTTTGTCCTTATTGCCATGTAATTGTGCATTTCATTGTTAAATGCCTTTCTCCACCACTAAAATACATACTTGATGAGGACTCTTATTTAAAACCTGGGCCCTGACACATAGTAGATACACAATAAATATGTGTGGAATAAATAAAAGAACAGCTTTGCTATTTACAATAGATTCTTACTTGTGTTGGAGATGGCTATAGTAAATAACATTCCCTACCCACCCCCCTTGTACCCTGCATGGCTTAAATTAAGAGAAAGACCCAGGAGTCAGGTGAAAGCCAAAACGTTAGCTTTATGGATGATGAAAACTGTGTAGGGGATCCAGCTAACATATGCTGCAAAGTGAATTTGAGAGCATTGTCCACACCATCACCCCAAATTAAACTTACCCTAAACCATCAGGCTGACCTCAGTGAGGACAGGTCTTTACCACTGAAGTCCCAGCACAGCCAAGAGAGTAAACCAGACTGTGCCCTCTCTGTGAGCAGGCCTTTCAGAGCAGATAGCATGGCACTGAGCTTCACAGGCCCAGTCCTTTCACTCAAGTCACCAGTCTCAGAAGTATGCCCCTCCCCCTTTAGAGGAGTGAGAATGGGGCAGAGAGTCCAGAAGTGTTTCTCTGGGAACAGTCCCTTGTCATGAGTCAGGAGGTATGGGGAACAATGGTCTCCCAAGGCCTGGGAACCTGCTTACCCATCTGTAAGAGGAGGGGAATAAATGGCACTGTTGGGAGGGTCAGGTGAATTGGGGTACTTATAAGTGCTTGGAGAAATGGTGCGTAACTATAGGATGTATGTATTAAAAACCTCTGCATGTATCTTGGCTGGCTGGCTGGCATCCTGCTTTCTTTCCTCAACTATCTTTTAATAAAAATAAAAATTACTTGAAAAAACTGGTTTCTGGCCCATGGCCTTGAAGCCTAGAAGATGACCTTGAGTGGGCTGGGCACAGTAGCTCACGCCTGTAATCCCAGTACTTCAGGAGGCCAAGGCAGGTGGATTCCCTGATCTCAGGAGTTCGAGACCAGCCTAGGCAACACGGTGAAACCCCGTCTCTACTAAAAATACAAAAAAAAATTAGCCGGATGTGGTGGTGTGCGCCTGTAGTCCCAGCTACTAGGGAGGCTGAGGCAGGAGAATTGCTTGAACCTGGGAAGTGGAGGTTGCAGTGAGCTGAGATCGCACCGCTGCACTCCACCTTGGGCAACAGAGCGAGACTCCACCTCAAAAAAAAAAAAGACCTTAAATGAAGCAAGGTTTCCACTCACCCCTCCCACCAATCTAGCATTATATTGCTACCCCACTCACAGAATATAATAGCCAAACAGATTGTTTTGCAGGCTTGCGGGCAGGGGGAGAAGCTAATTAAAAATGTGCTAAAGTCCTTTGAAAATTCATAAGTAAGTGCTAAGGTTCTAGTTTGGTGCTTACATTCTGACAGCCTGACAGCTTCATGGGTTGAACTCTTTTGAAAAAGTAACTTTAAAACTTGCATAAATTGCACCTTTTGTATTTTAAGTCACACAGGCATGACAACGTGATTATTCATGACTTTGGAGAATGTTCTTGACAACAAGAGGACATTAATATCCCCAGCCCTATACCAAATTAATAAGAAGCCCTGAGAATCAAAGAGAACAAAGAAGCAGAGGCCCTTCTCCTTAGAAGGAGAGAAGAGTCTGTGCTTTGAAATGTGCTGGGACCTGGGGTGCCACTTATAATAATACAGGTGTGTGTTTCTGGCTAGTAGCTGATAAATATGCTCAGGCAGAAACCACCGAAGAGACAGGTCTGTCTACCAGCAACCGAGCCAACTTGATTTGCTTTGTGTTGCAAGTAGCAATTGGACTTCTGAGAGTTCTGAAAGCAGGAAGGAAAAAGTATACAAGATGCCTGAAACATTCAGATGGAAAGCACAAAAGAATCAAATGGAGGCCCAACATTAAAATGATAGCTACAGTTCATCGAAGTTGTATTATGCATCCAGCACTGTGCTGAAGCACATGACATGGCACCCTGAGGAAGGTATTCTCATCTTTATTTCACAGAGGGGTAAACTGAGGCATGGGCTGGTTAAACAGTTTTCCCGTGGTCACACTGATTATAAGGAGCAGAACCAAGATTTAGACCTGAGCAATCTGGCTTCAAAGGCCCAGTGAGATCCTTTCCATGATGATAATCCTGCAGAAATCTAGCAACTTCTCCACCAGGCTCTGAGGGTGTCTTCCTACTGAATGTCTACTTCATCCTTCTCTCTGCTTCTCAGACAGGAGATGACTAGCCCACAAAGCCTCAGTTTACATCCCCTGTCTCTAAGAGACTACCCCAGATGTAATCTCCCTAGTCCTAGTCCCAAATAAGAAAGACAATTATCTGAGCAGCTCAGCTGCAGTAAAGGATCCATACTTGAGTCAGTCCTCTATAACCAGGGTTGGGAATGTATCACTCCAACCTGGCTTCCAGAATGTTCTACACACTGAGCAACCTTTGATTATGAAAGCTTTTGCATTCTCCTCAGTCTTTTATATCATAGAATCTCTCTTCTCTACTAGGTTACTCAACAGATACTTACCATGTACAAGTCAATATGTTAGTCAGGTAGGAAATAGAAAAGCAACTAAGATGCTGACTCTGTCTTGAAGGAGCTTATGGCCTGGTGGTAGGGATCACTTGCTGGTGTGCACATAAAGCAATGCATGCTGTGTGTGAGTGTTGTGTGCATGAATTACAGAGATGCTAAGTGCTCTAAGAGCCCAGAGAAGGGAGACATCAAAAGGCTGTCTCCCGAGGTGCTCCCCAGAAGCTTCTGTTGGTGGTAGAGAGGTAGAGAAAGCATGGGTTTTAGAGTAAAAGTCTGTTAAAATTCCATTTCATTTTGTGACTTCAACAAGGTACTTGAACTTGAGTCTCAATTTCCACATTTGTAAAATGAGGCTAATACCATGTATCTCACATGACAGTTATGACAATTAAGTTACATAACTGTGTTAGCTGGCCTAGTTCAAAAAAAAAAAAATGCTTCTCTCTTTTCCCTCTCCTTGTCTTCTCTGTTCCCATGGCAATTGTAGGCCTTCCCTCATTTTAACCTGGTGGCTGTGGTGGCTGGCCTGTCTCTGTGTCTGTCTTTCCATCATTCCCATTTGGAAATTCCTCCAGGATTTAGTCAATATTTTAGTTCTCTTCATGGCCTTAATTACTGAAACATGAAATGTTAGGGATATATATATATCAAAAACAGCCAAGTTTAGGAAATCTTATTTTATATCACTTTTTTTTGCTTCGTATCATTCAGCACTTTCATTGTAAAATAATAAGCAAGTGCATATACTCATTTGCATTTATTTGCATATATCTTTATAATTGTTACTTGTGTGTGCATCATAGTATCAGCAGTAATGGTAATACTAGTAATTGTTAATAGTAACTATGAGTACCTAATGTTTGTTAAGTAATTATTATGTGTTATGTACTCTTTCAACTATCTTTACATGTATTACCTTATTTAATCTTCACAACAAAACAGTAGCCACTATTGTTCTCCCCATATACAGATGAGGAAAGTGAGGCACAGAGAGGTTCAGCTATGTATGAGAATGAAATAGAGGAAAGTAAGTAGGAGGAGACATAGGATTCCAGCAGCAATGCAGAGCACTCCACGAGGCATCACAGGGATGGTAATTGAACCCTGATTCTGCAGAGCACGTGGCCACAGATGAGGCACATACACTCTGTGAGAGGCTTTGTCCTCACCTGTGAGATGGGATGCCTGCTCCTACTTCAGAGATTCCTGTGTGGGAACCATAGGAGAATGAGTGTGTGAACACTCTCTGTAAAATGGTAAAGAGCCATATTGATGTTAGCCAGCTTGGTATTGGTCAAGCCTCGCCTCACTGGTCTCCTCCCCTCCTGCCCCATTCTGCCACTCAGAACCTAGGAAACCATTGTTCCAAGTACAAGTTCAATCAGTGCTTGCTAAGTCAACAGGAAAGAGTCAGGGCTGGCTAACATTCACTTTCTCAGATTTAGGAAGAAGTGGCAAGGCTGAGACATAGTGGGACAGCCACCCATGCCAAAAGGGGGAAAGGCAGAACTTGAGATTTCCAAGTGTATGACTACTGAGTTTCATGGAAAATCGGAGTCTCCAGACCCAACATAGCCATTACAGAGAGTAGGCAATGCTGGGTGTGGCATGGGAAAACTCCATTGTCTTAATTCTGGGAGGTGATATAATAGGGAGAAGTCTTAGCACTGGGCAAGCCTGGCTTGGTGACCTGATTTTATCACCATCTTGCTCTGTGATTTTGGACAGGTCAATCATCCTCCATTATAAGGAGCACCTTTTCACATCTATAAAACAAGTGTAACATTAGTGATATAGTTTGGATATTTGTCCCAGTCCAAATCTCACGTTGAAATATAATCTCCAGTATTGGAGATGGAGCCTAGTGGGAGGTGTTTGGATCATAGGGGTGGATCCCTCATGAATGGCTTGGTGAAGAGTGAGCTCTCACTCTGGGTTCACAGGAGATCTGGTCTTTTTTTTTTTTTTTTTTTTTTTTTTGAGACGGAGTCTTACTCTGTCGCCAGACTGGAGAGCAGTGGTACGATCTCAGCTCACTGCAACCTCCGCTTCCTGGGTTCAAGCGATTCTCCTGCCTCAGCCTCCTGAGTAGCTGGGACTACAGACATGCACCACCACGCCAGGCTAATTTTTGTATTTTTAGTAGAGATGGGGTTTCACCATGTTGGCCAGGATGGTCTCGATCTCTTGACCTCGTGATCTGCCTGCCTCAGCCTCCCAAAGTGCTGTGAATACAGGCGTGAGCCACTGCGCCCGGCTGAGATCTGGTCTTTGTAAAAGTGTGTGGCACCTCCCCCACCACTATCTCTCTCTTGCTCCCACTTGGCCATGTGAGATGCCTGCTCCCTCTTTGCCCTCCACCATGAATAAAGGCCCCCTGAGGCCTCCCCAGAATCCAAGCTGATGACAGTGCTACACTTCCTCTGCAAGCTGCAGAACCATGAGCCAACTAAACCTCTTTTCTTTATAAATTACCCAGCCTCAGGTATTTGTGTATAGCAATGCAAGAACAGCCTAATACAATCAGTACCAGCTCACAGGATTACTGTGATGACTCAGTGAGATACTGTGCTCAGCACAGGGTCTTGCACATAGGAAACAGAGGAAACAGTTGAGCAAATTTGCACAATACAGTTTAGCAAATATTAGTATTAATGGTGGTATTATTTCGTGCCCCTCCAAGCCTAGGGTCTCGGGGGAGGGTTTGTGTCTCCTTAGTTTTCATTGTTTAGGGGTTCTTTGTTTCTCCATAGCATATGGAGAAAACATAGGATATTATAGCCATATTTGGTAACTTGCTGGTCACCACAGATAACTATGATTTAGAGAATAACGTAGAAGTCATGCCTGGAAAGCTTTTTATTTCTGGGCGGGGCGGGGAGGGTGTCAGGAATGCATTTTACAATGTGCAGCTACTGTGCATTCTTATGAATTAAAAACAGACAGGCACACCCAAATAGCTCTAGGGAAAAAAAAAAAACTACAGAGGCTATTTTTAAAAGGTTTAACCTCAGTCCTATAAAAGAGCAACAGAGATATAGAATCTTAGATTTGGGAGGAAGCCTCCTAGATCTCCTTCCTGTCTAGCCTTTCTACACCAGATCCTCCAGCAACTGGCCTAAAAAAGACTCAGAGTAGCAACTTTATGGCCTCAGAGTAACAGAGGATGCACCCATTTCTTGAGCATAAATGGACCCCCATATTTACACACTGCCCCACATTGCTATTTGATCATTGCCTGTGGCTGAATTGCGGCTGCCCTCCCATCATCAACCACGTTGGCTTCTCTTATATCCCCTCTTTACCTGGTCTGGGGCTGAACAATCAATTCATGTTGATCAACCGTTTTAGGATGCACTGGTGAGTGCCCAGGAAGTAGTGTTTAACTCACTAGCTATATTGAATACACTTTTTCTCTGGTCTAGTTCAAACAGAAGGATGACTGGAAATATATCTTTGATGCACTGTGCTGGTCTCATAGGATTTATGTGAGCCTGAATCCACCCCCTTTTACATATAGCTGATGTCTACCAATTCTGCTAGACTGATGTCAGGGTTTTATTTCCTTCCCAGAAATGTTTCTGAGTACCCTTTAACCCACTCCCCATCACCCCCAAATACACACACACGGTGTGAGTCATTAACTTCCTCTACATATTTCACTACGTCCCTTTGCAAACCTCTGTCTTAGCACTTACCATTTTGTACAGAATTGTGTATTTACTCCTCAGTCCCCACAAGAGAGATGAGTCTCTCTTTTATCTTTGTATTATATTTCTAGTTCTAGCACACTGCCTGGCACCTTGTGATTGCTTAAGAAATGCTGGGTGAGTGACCCAGTGTGCCCAGTAGTGGCAAAAACTCCACCTTCAGCTCTCCCACCCCACCAGCTTGCCATGGATCCTGGGGTGTAATCTCAAGGGAATCTGTCCATCCATTTTAAAAACTATGAGCAGGCTAAATATTAGTCATCCGAATGCTGTTTTCTCATTGAGTTGCCTTAACAAATGGCAAGAACAGATGGCATTCAAGACATGTTGTCATTATAAAAGTATAAAAATGTTATTTGTTTTTAAAATTAAAAAAAATACATGCACATCATTGCAGACAATTTCAAGAGCAGCCCTGGAAAAACCGTGTGGAGAAGAAATACTGTGTTTTTTTCTTCTCAGTCTTGCCATGTCATCAGTTTTCATCATTGGCCCTTTCCTTTCTGAAAACGAGATGAACTCTCAAAATTGAGTTTTGAGACAAGTTTGATTTTCCTTTGTCCTAGCTGGAAAGAGAGCTTTAACAGAGATCACATACCCACTATGTGCCAAGTACTAGCTTACATGACTTGCAGTGTAGCCTCACAGGGTTTGTGCCACATTGTTTAATAAGCATAAGCAAAGTTTTCTATAAAGTTAAAGCAGCAGCAATGGAGAGAAGGTAACTGTCATCACTGTGGACTTGATATAGTGCCAGGAACTGAAATTTAAAGTCAGGAACCCTGGCCTCATAAATGTCTCTCCCCATGTAAGCAGATGACATCCTCATTGCAGAAAAAGTACCAGCCAGCAACTCTTGCTGGCTTGCCTTATTGAAAGTTGAGCACTAAGATCAATAGAGCAATATTTTATGAAATTCAATTTATCAGAAGATTTGATGTCTTAAAGATGATGGAATGTCTTATTTATTGGCAATCGTAGAAACTTCAGGAATGTTTGGCACACTGAATGGTAAAGCCCAAAGTTGATTTGAAATTTCCTGTCCTTGAAAGAAGACAGTGATGGAGAGTCGCTTTTGAAAGCTGAATCTCAATCCCAAACCTTTGCAGCTATTGTACAAGCAGGCCAAGATCCCAGGCCAAAATGAAAGTGTCGTGTGCCATGAGTTTTAAGAACTGCTGCTACCAGAAGCAAAATAAAAGATAAACAAGAAAAAAAAAAAAAAAGCACATCTTTATGTGGATCCAGGCTACAAAAAATGTTAGCCTTTATCCCTACCCCGAACTTTTCCCGAAGGAAATTGTGGCAAATAATCAGGTTAAAACTGAGAGTCACTAAATGCAATGTAGTATCCCGGCTTGGATTCTGGAATAGAAACCAGACATAAGTGAAAAAACTGGTAAGATCCAAATAAAGTCTGTAGTTTAGTTCAGCGCTCCCCAACCCCCAGGCCATGGACCACTCCCCAATGCTCACATTACTGCCTGAGCTCTACCTCCTGTCAGATCAGTGGCAGCATTAGATTCTCTTAAGAGCATGAACCCTATTATTAACTAAGCATGTGAGAGATTTGAGTTGTGTCCACCTTATGAGAATCTAATGACTGATGATCTGTCACTGTCTCCCATCACCCCCAGATGGGACCATCTAGTTGCAAAAAAAAAAAGCTCGGGGCTCCCACTGCTTTTACATTATGATGAGTTGTGTAATTGTTTCATTATATGTTACAATGTAATAATAATAGAAATAAAGTGCACAATAAATGTAATGTGCTTCGATCATCCCAAAGCTGTCCCCCCACCCCTAGATCCCTAGAAAAATAGTCTTCCACAAAACCAGTCCCTGATGCCAAAAAGGTGGGGGATCACTGGTTTAGTTGATAGTGGTGAAACAATATTACCTTATTAGTTGTAACAAATGTACAATGATTACATAAGATGTCAACATTAGGGGAAGCTGGGTGAGGGATATATGGAAATCTGTGTACTATCTTTGCAACTTTTCTGCAGACCTACTGAAATTATTCCAAAATATCAAGTTTGTTTTACAAATTTAAGAGGCTCAAAGCCAGAGTCACTGAGGATGAGTACTAAAAATAATGTGAGATATGAAATCCACCTAATGATGAATGAAGTATGAGTGTGAAACTCCCCTCTTCTTCTATTAGTAGCTAACCATGTGATTAAGCTAAACTCCCTGAGCCTCAGTTTTCTCATCTCTAAATACAGGCATAATTAAATCCTCCTCATGCAATTATTATAAAGATCAAATGAGAGAACATTTAAAATGAACTTGCAGTTAGTAAACACTCAGTGCACAATAGTTGGATTTAGTCAATGGCCAAGACAAGGTAAAAGTCAACAGTTAGAGATTTTTTAAATAGCAACTGATCTCTACCAAGGCACCTCCCAAGACTTCTGGACAATGAGTTTTATTGCAAGGATGGAGCAAGCTAACGGGCATTGCCAGTCATTGCCTATCGAGGACCTCTGGCAGGATGTTGAACTTAGCACAATCCACTTCTCACCTTAAGTAAACACTTCCTAATTAACATATTATAATTTTGAGCTCTCTGATTCATGGAAAATTTTTCTTTTCACAATTATTTTCCCAAGTTACTTGAGTTAACAGCAACCTTACTTTCCTGACTAAAGTCCATTTTAGATAAGAATTGCTTCAAGGGAAAGAATCCTGATTCTGTTTATAACTTATTTTTTCTTATCTTTGGTGTTGGAGAAATAAAAATAAGCAAAAATAAGCAAACTGACATATTCATTTATCTCCCCACTTCCCTGCAAATAGATAGATTGCCCAGCAAATTAAATGTCAGCTAAGGAAACCACAGCTCAGAGAAGTTAAGCAACCTGCCCAACACCATGAAGCTAAGAGCAAAGGAGCCAGAACTTGAACCTGACCCCAGGAGCTGTCCTTTCTCCTACTATGTTGCCTGTCCACTCCACTGGAATCAAGTTGAAAAATGCTAGTGAAACCAGTATTTCCCACCTGGTTCTCCCTGCCAGATCAGAGCCTTCCAGCATGGTTAGATAGCATGCTGGAGCTTCATCAGCTCTCACATGGAGACTTGTGGAATTCATTTTCATCCACTTCTAACTTTAAAACCAAATAAGTACCTTATTTTGGGGTGCAGATTATAGAATCAAGCAATTCCAGCAAGCCTGAACATGGAGTCCTTGCTCTTAGAGGGTCTACCTTGAGCTGGAGCCTTTTAAAGAGATATCATTGGCTAGGGCTGCCTTTGGCTCCACCACCAAGTGCCTGGTTTTTTCTCATACCTCGTAGGCAACCCTGAATTAGGATGAGTTTACAGCACCATTGCTTACTTCCGAGCATTCCTGAACCCTTTTGCTGCCCGGCATTCCTGTTTTTGAATTGCATCTGTTTGTTTCACCTTCAGGACCACCTGCTTTCTCAGGCTGGATTTCACACTTGGCACTGCTTACCTCGTAGTGATCTCAGCTTCTCTCTTCAGCTGTAATTTACTCTTGGCTCTCAGACTACTTACCCCTGACTCTTCCAGATATCCATCTGTCTGTCTGGTCAGAGCCATCTCAGCCCTCCAGACTCTCCCTGGTACCTTCTAGTTCTTGACATTTCTGCTGGATTGTCTATACCCAACCCCCCCTAAACACATGCATGCACACACACATACACACACACACACACACACACACACACACACAGGGAGCTGCCTGCCTTGCAAGCTCTCATTAGCATTAAATGCCAAGTTTCAGGAATAACCAGCCTTCTTGGTTACAACTAAAATGGAGATCGCTGCATTAATGCAGTAATGGAAATATAATGAAGGAATTTATTGTCCCTGAAAGACAATATCTGCCACACAAACCCCATGGGATATCTCCAGACAGTAAGTACAGCTCCACGCCTCTAATTCTCTGGCCCATAATTATCTTGGGAAGACGGTGACCCTGCAGTTCTCTCTATTAAGAGTATATTTCCTTACAAAATGAACTGTGCTGTATTGAATTGCATCATTTTGATCACTAGAAATTGACATATTGGGCTCATTAGCCAGGAAGTTGGATAGTTAATTTATGAGGTTTCTCGGAGCCTGTCCCAGACCACTCATTGAGGGAGCTAAACAGCCCACGATGAGATAGAAGAAAGTTACTCCAGCAGAGTGGCTTTATTTTTCTCTCATTACAGAGATAATGAACAGAAAACTTCTCTGGTACAGATATTGCTTCCCACCCCTTCTCCCCCCAACCCCAAAATGATTTTGCTTTATTGCAACCAGATACCATTTGATGGGTGAACAGTCTTATTCTGCTCATTAGCACCATTTTTCATTTAAAATCTTCAACTGCTGAGATAAAAAGATGATCTAAGTCTTTGCCTTTATCTTTAATATTTAAAACTGTTCACACAACCTTTTAAAAATCAAATATTGATGCTGCTACCTGTTGTTCTTCAAAGTGGAGCAGTTATATTGCAGGCCCTTCACAGTAAGCCTGCCTTTATTAGAAATGAGAATGGGGATGTTAAGGAGACGTTTATTTCCCTCTCTGTGGCCTCTGCCCCCATCCCTATAGGTGGAGAGCTAGGAAGAGCATTTGGTTCTTAATCAAGAAATGTGCTGAGGCAGCCACTTGAAAGCACCTAGTGGGCAGGCTGGCAAGAAATACGGAGATGCTAGGAGCATCCTCAGGGTCGATTCTGCAGAATGGTACTGGGCCCTTGGAGTCATGTAGCCTCCTAGGCTCTCAGCCATAGGCCAGCTTCCTACAACCTCTGCAACCTAGATTCTTGGGGAACCGCAGTTGTGGGCAATGGGATGGTTCCACACTGCCCTCTAGTGACTAGGTTCAGAAGCTACATGTATCACACAGTCCATTGCATTCAGCAATTCAAGGAGGACCTGCCCTGTCCTGTGTCAGGGACTGGGGATATGGAGGTGAAGGAGACACATAGCCTTTTCTCCAAGGATTTCTCATAGTGGGACATGGGGGCAGATAATTACAAAGCTATGTTTATGTGTTATTACGCTTAAGTTAAGGAAGTCATAGGAACTCAGGGAAGCATCATCACCAAGCCTGTGGGGTTTCAAAGGACTTTGAGGAGGTGGTCTTGACAAATGAGAAGGGGCTTTGCAAGCCTAGGAAAAGGAGATGCAGCTCAGAGCCTGATTGTGAAGGGCCTGTTGTGCCACTACAAGATTGTTGGCATGAGCAGTCAGGAGACAATGATAAGAGTTTCATAGAGATACTGTGTATCATCCATTTAAGATGCACATTTTTTTCATGTTTCAACATCTCTTTAGGAGGCCTCCTACAAACAATGGCATATTTTATTTTATTTTATTTTATTTGTAGAGTTTTTTTTTTTTTACTTTCATGGTGGTTCATAAAATCAGGATATATTTCACAACCTATGGCATATTTCAGGAAATATGGTAAAATAAGGGCTTAAGTTGGGCCATGTCTGGGGGACAGAGAGGAGGGGTCAGAATAAGATGAGGGATAGAATAAGATACATTAGCAGAGACAGAGAGAATGGGCAGATTACAGAGGGTTTTTAGGAGGTGGAATTTCTTTAAATTGTTGAATGAGTGTATGTCAGAGGTGAAGAAGGAGAAGAAGGAAAGGTTACTCTGCTAAGTGTGTGTGTGTATATAAGCAACTGAAAGGAACTCATGAAAATAAGTTTTGCTGTGAGCATTTAAGTTCATTGACAGTAAAAGAGGTAGGGGGATTGCATAGCAGAAATGCACCATGAAATCACCTCATCGAGTGGAAATCTGAGAGGCTTTTCAGTGGACTAGAATGGTGAATGTGGGACGGAAAGGGTGTTAAAATGGGTCAGATGATTTCATTTGGACCCTCTGGGTTTATGATTGTCTTCTGTGTATAGAAAACAGGAGCACAGAATTGCATTTAATTGTCTCTAATTCATCTGGTGAACATGCTTTCCTGATATTAGCTGGATCAATTGTACAAATAACTTCAGAACCACTCAATACTTTTGTCATGGATGAGATGGAAGGTTCCATTTGCTTTCCCGTGCTGGATAACCAGAGAGCTGATTTTAGGGTCATTAGATGGCAATAAAGACTCCCCACCCCCACAGCACATGCTCCACCGACTTCCCTCAGTAGGCATTTCACTATATTAAAGACGCAAACTGGCTGATGTAACCATTGCTTTGAAGCCATGAAATGGAATGTCAGTTGCAGAAAGTGAGCCACATATTTCTGAGATATTGATTATTGCAATATAAATCTTCTCACCCCTAAGGTAAAATCCTAGCTGGTGCTGTGAGCTACTTGATAATCATGACATTGGGCTTTTCTTGGGTTTTGATTTTTATGTTTTATTCCTATTAGGCAAAGACCAGGCAAGAGGGAGAAGACCATTGAAAGAGGTGCGGTGGGAGTGGAGGTGGGGATGCACATCACAGAGGAGGCACCAAGAGTGGGGGCTTGCCTCGATATAGAAATGTAGCAACTCTGGAGAATTGGTGTCACAGGGCAGAGCATAAAAGCAGGACATTATTTCCTCGGAAAAGTGTCTTTTTAAAACATGATTTGTTTCATTTTGCAGTGGAAAGGGTTGGACAGATGTGCATTCAAATTCTCCCTCCTTTTCTTGCTAGTGTATGACCTGAGCAAGTTATTTAACCCCTCAGAGTCTGGTGTTCCTTATTTGTGACTCAGAGATAGTAATACTTCCTACCATACAGATTTTGGTGGAAAGTAAATAATAGAACTATGTGAAGCCCTAGCAAAGAATCTGTCACACAGTGGGTGTTTGGCACCTACTGTCACCGATCTTCTGTGCAAACCCCTCCCCGCAGCTGCTCCTGTTCCAATCACTCTGGGAACACTGGACTCATGACAATTGCCACTCCCTTTGTGTGCCTTATATTTGCCCATTCCCAAGTCTTCACTGATTTTATTCCCTATTCTAGGCATCTCCAGATGCCTACATCCTACCCGTGCTCAAAGACACATTTCAAATGCCCACTCCTCTGGGAAATGCCTGTTGTACCCCTGGACACAAATCATCTCTCCTCCTTAGAGCCAATAACCCATGCTCCAACACCCATTTCAAATGCCTACTCCTCCAGGAAATGCCCCAGTACCCATGGACAAAAATCATCTCTCCTCCTTACAGCCAATACAGCAGCTCACCAGGCATGGGCTCTTTCACATGTATTATCTATTACACTTACAGATCTGTGGCCTATTTACCCTCACTGAGCCTCAGTTTCTTCATCAAATGGTGATAATAAAAATATCCACTTCATGAGGTAGTGGCAAGGATCAAGTTGCTAATGCATGCATAGTTGCAGCCATATAGAGCTCTGTAGATGGTAGTGATATTGATGGATTATTATTATTAGTATATCTAGATATGATCTCTAGTTAGAAAATGCAGTCTCCTTGGTTGCTTGCTTCTAGAAAGGATGCATGCAGTTTCTAGAAACTGGTGTCTTTTTCTATGGTCACACCTCACTTGTTAAGGGCTTCAGTTGTAAATAGCATCAGTGGTAAATCCAATAATAAGTGCCTGAAGGGTAGAGACCTGTTTGGATTTTGGTTGTGGATGATGTCTATATATCAGTTTAGGACCCTACGCCTTGCTTCCACGGCACAGCAAATGTTCATTACACTTGCAGAGCCACTGAGAAATGCAAATACTTGAAAACTGGACAGCAATGTGAAATACCAAATGCATAGTCATTAACTGACAAAACTAGGAGCTTTGATGAATAGAATAAATGATTGACCTTCAAGATGGGAGCAAGGATTAGGTAATCTTGGGAGGAGGAAGAAGCAGTGAAATGAAAGCCCCTGGGAATTCTTCCATCATCTCCCAACAAATATACCTGTGAACAAAAGGTTTCCCACTTTTATGTCATTTATCTTTTCAGTTTTTTTAAATGATTTTCAGATTCAACCAAATTCTTAGGAGAGATATTAAGAGGTTTATAATTTAGATAATGGGACACATTATGTATTCCTAGTAAATAGCACTAAGCTATGCACTACTGAGTTTCAACATCAATAGATTCTAACTGCCAACCCAGGCAACTGTCACTTGGCTGCTCCCAGGGTGGTTGGCCCATAAAACTTGCAATATGAATCACACACTCAAAAAGAAAAAAACCTCAACAGATAGAGGGCTATCTGTCTGTTTTGGGGGTAGGAAACAAATATAAGTTACTGGCATTAGATGCCTAATTTATTCATGGAGTGTTTAAGCCTCCTCAGAGCCTGGTATCCTCAGCAGCTGCCCAGCCGGCCACTCCTTAATATAGCTGTGTTCGCATAAGGGAGGGCAGCTTGGGAAGGAAGACTGACCCGACCAGGCTGCACTTCCAGTATGGCAGCCACTAGCCACATGCCGCGATTGAAATGTGGTGAGTTCGAATTGTAATGTGTTTTGAGTATAAAATACATATTAAATTTCCAAGATTTATGAAAAATGAATATAAAACACCTCATTCATAATTATTATATCGATTACATGTTGAAATAATATTTTGGATATATTGGGTTACATGAAATAAACTCCTAATGTTAATCTCACTGTTTTGTTTCATTAATGTGGCTACTAGAAAATTTAAAAATTACAGATGTAGCTTGCCTTCTGTTTCTTTTGGATAGCTGCTGTATTGGACAGGACTCTTGTAGCACACATCCCAGGTTATACCATCAGATGTGATTGTCTACAGAGTCTTTCATTTCATTTTAAAAATGATTCTGTTTATTTTTAAAATTCAAACAATATGAAAGAGCACAAAATGAAAAGTAAGTCTCGCATCCCATCCCCTCCTTTTCCTGCATTTCTCTCTGTTCCTCCTCCAGAGGCCATCTCCCAGTGTCCTGAATACTGCCCCAAAGACATCCAAGAGATGAGAGATGATGCTCCTCCATACCGCCACCATCTCCACCGCTCCCTGCTGTCACACACCTGGCCTGTCTCACTGATTTACCCTGTCTGCTGACCACTGTGGCTGTCTTCAGTGTGTCCTAGAGCACAGCAGTCATAGTGAGAGAGAGCCTATAGGGGCAAGGACACCATGGGAAATAAATGTTACATACTTAACTTGCATACAATGAAATGACGAATGAGCAAAGACTTACTATCTAATTATCCCCCAAACATTTGCTATTTCTACTTTGAAAAACTGGCATCAAGGATTCTGACATCTGACCAGTGATGACCACACGGGGAATGTTAAGAAGGATCTATGGACCCTGCCAGTGTCCTGTGTGCCACTGTGTTCCACAGGCACCCCTTAAAAGGCATTTTCCTCTTTGGAGATAAAATAACTGGAGATCGGGAGTTATTTGCCTGAAGCCCTGTGAATCAGGGATTGAATTAAATGACATTAAACTAGAAATAAGCTTTCTAAGGCAAGTTTTAGTATGTTAATTAAAGCAGCCTAACCTTGAATTTTCGTAGTTTAGGGAAAAACAGTGGCCTGAAGATGAATCAATGTATAACCCACTACATATATTTAGAAAGAGCTTTAGTGCTATATCTTTATAATTATCAAAGCAATTCCTTAAGGCACGAAGGGAGGATGGAGAAAGGATAAAAAAAAAGTCACTCTATATTACTGTACCCCTTCCCCACTGCACTGAAGAACTGTCAGACTCAGCTCAAATGAACATCAAAGGAAGCTCAGGAGAGGAAGACATCAGATTCCTGAGTCCCACCTCAGACCTACTGAGGCAGAATGGGGGGTGGAGCTTGGACCAGGTACCCAGATGATGCTCAAAGCAAAACCTTATCCATTTTCATCCAACAAATGGAAACCAAACATTGTTCAGGTGCTGAGATATGGCAGGAATCAAGACTGGTAAATAGACATCCAATCATGCCTATATTATCCTTACCAAAAAAAATAAATATATTAAATATAGATTATTATATATAATAAAATATTAAATATTTTATATATTACATATTTACATATATTAAATATATTTGATATATTAAAATATATTTTAAGCACACACACACACACACACACACACACACACAGAGCAAAGAAGTGTACTCAACCCAATCTTGATTTCGGCTGGCATAGATAGCCAAGGTGAGCCCCCAACTCATGAAAGGAGCAGCAGCACAGGCAATTCCATTGGGGGCATACTGCTAATCAATCAGCTGGTACCATCTTGGTTCCAATAACTTTATCCAGTTGGCATAAGACTCCAGCCACTCACTAAGAAGTAAGAAAAAAAAATTGATCCAGACAACCAACAATGAGGGGCTTGACAAGAACTCTCCAGGCTCTCCACATGCTAGTGGGCTAAGGTTTAAAGCCGAATTTTAACCCAGGTAAAGGAATTGGAGAACTAAACCAGAAACCCACACTGAACTGGGGTCATACGGATTAGGCCTGCTTGTTGACACTTAAGAGAAGCACAGTGAAGCATAAGGAGATTGACTTTGAAATCGGACAGTCTTGCATTCACAGTCTGGCTCTTGAACCCACTGGCCATATGAGCTGAGCATGTGGCACCACCCTCTTACTGGAAAATGGGAAGCTCATGCTGACCTCGAAGGTTTTGTGTCAGGATTTTTAATGTTCATAAGGCAGCTAAGCAGACACAGAAGACAAATTAACAAATTTAAATTTTGTTTATAATACTAAATTATTAAAATAACAATATTAAACTAATAAAACCATTGGTTGGCAGTGGTGGTTCAGTAGGAAAGAAATACATGGGACTCACCCCCCGGAAACCTACATACCAGGATTGTGAGGGAAAAACTCATTCCAGATACCACTCTCTGAAGTGTGCCTTCCTGGTCAGAGGCTGGGCAGCCTGAAATAGGTGAAGGGCTTCAGCGCCAATGACTACGTGTGGCAAGAACATGTTCAGCCTAATGCCAGCCATGAGCCCATGGTATCCTTGGGTTGGATGGAGGAAAGGGAGCATTCTCTTGATTTAGCCCACGCCTTAGTGAACCAAGCAATATCTTTCACACCTGTTCTCTGTGTCTTTTGTCATTACCAAGATCAATCAAGTTGAAGAGATGCTTCACTGCAATGGTGCTACCTAGCATCCCTGCAGAGTGTGCAAATAAATCATGTATTATTTGAAGAGTCAATATTATCAAAAACAGATTCAATGCTTTTAATAATAATATGATTTAATATAATAAGCAGTGCATGTGATCATTTCATCTAGTTTTTCAGTGTAGATGCCAAAATCCTATCCTTTTTACAGAGGAAACACAGGCTGACTCAGATGGATAGGTAAGAGAAAGATCAGCGTAAACTTAGCATTACTAAGGGAAAAAAACCCACTATTTTCCCTGCAGGGTTAAGAGTAGTGGGTGAGATCTCAGAAGTACATCAACTCTCCTACCCAATCCCACCAATGGTAACTCGAAGCAGATCGCTCCAGTCTGGTTCCATTTTCTTATTTACCTACATCTAAGCCACTCTTTTCCTAACAGCCCCAGCCTACGAGCTCCAAATATTTCCCTTCTGCTTTCTTTCAAAGATGCATTGCAAAAGAAAAAAAAAAGGCCTACTCCTAAAGCTCCACACCCTCTGCCACCATGCTCTTATCTAGCCTCTAATCTTTTCCATTTCTAATCAATACTATGAAAGCTACATAGCATAAAACA
Source organism: Homo sapiens (assembly GCF_000001405.40). Taxonomy (NCBI): domain Eukaryota; kingdom Metazoa; phylum Chordata; class Mammalia; order Primates; family Hominidae; genus Homo; species Homo sapiens. Next base: position 51,757,756 of record NC_000017.11, on the reverse strand, counting down.
TCTGGACAAACAGTGAGAAGAGCCCAGTATCTAGATACATGTCATGTAAATGGCAGGTCCAGATGTCAACTTGAATTGTTTCTGTTTTTCTATAGGCTATGGTAGTTGTGTATACACACACTTATTATAGTACTCTAGCATTTCTAACTTTGAGTCAGTATTCTTAGGTACCCTCAGCATAAGATAATTTAAAGGAAAAGCAAGAGAATAAGAGGAGGGGGAAGAGTGCTACATAAAGCAAGAAACACTCAGTGGGTTGATTTCTAATCTTGGGTTTGCTACTTGTTTGCATAATCCTGGACAACTCACTCAACCACTCTGTGTCTCAGTTTCCTGGTTTATTGAATAAGAGCTTGATGATCTCTGAAGTCCTTTAGCTTTAGAATCCATACGCCCCTAAGTTTGCTAATCTGTGTGTCTGCTATGCTGCACTGAAGCCAATGATTTGACTCCAGTTTTTGGTACTAATTTTTTTTTCTTGCGTCGATGCTTCCAGAGTGCCCATGTGAGCAGGCAGCACACTGGCTTTTTGTATTCACTCTTTACAAATCAGCCCTTTGATCTCTTGAGCTACTTTGCAGAAAACTAGACTAAGTGGTGTTCTTAAATCTCAGACTCACTAATTACATTGCAAAGAAAGCCTATTACACACCTCAGCAGAGTGGCCAGAGACATATAACAGGAAACTTCGGTTGCAAAGAAAGGTCACCTAATTCATGACACGGCCGTTGAATCTTCTTCACTGAGTGGCCTCCCAACATTTTGGGCTCAGCCACCCAGTTGCTCAGCCAACACTAGGAGAGGCAGGTATGACCCATCTCTCAACTCCCAGCAAGCGGGGACTGGAACTGCCCTGCCACCCTGGGTCTAGACCAGGTCTGGATACATTAAACCCAACCTGGCATATCCATGCAGACATCATATTTTAATTAAGAATTGATCCCTAACCCCAGAAGCTTTTTAAAAACTACCTCATCTCATGGCTGGGCACAGTGGCTCACACCTGTAATCCCAACACTTTGGGAGGCCAAGACGGGCGGATCATGAGGTCAGGAAATCAAGACCATCCTGGCTAACACGGTGAAACCCCGTCTCTACTAAAAAATACAAAAAAAAAAAGTTAGCCAGGCATGGTGGCGGGCGCCTGTAGTCCCAGCTACTCCGGAGGCTGAAGCAGGAGAATGGCGTGAACCCGGGAGGCGGAGCTTGCAGCAGTGAGCCGAGATGGCGCCACTGCACTCCATCCTGGGCGACAGAGCAAAGACTCAAAAAAAAAAAAAAAAACAACTACCTCATTTCCCCAGCACTCAGCACTCTTCCTACCAACTTCTGACTTCTTCTCTTTTAAAGAGCTATAGAATGTGCAGTCAAATAGGCCTGGGCTAGAATTCTGGGACTGCCAATTTCTAACTGTGGTGCTTTAAGTAAAAATCCTTTAACCCCTTTGAGCTTCTGTCTCCTCATATGCAGAATATGGATAATGCCTTCCTCACCTGGGCAGCATAAGGGTGAAATGAGATGATGATGGAAAGGGACTGAGTACACAGCCCAGAGTACACCACAGTCAAGCCGCTGTTGTGGATGTTGTGGTCTATCAGCTCCCAGCGTGTTTATAGTTATGTATTTTTATAGTTATAGTAAAAGAAAATCTGTTGATTCAAGCTCATTCTTGTTGGTTAAAAAAAAAAAAAATCTGCTGAAGAAGACTGTATCCCAAATCTCAAAGGCAAGAATGCCGGCTCTTCTATGTTACCAGTGAACAGGGCCCAGGTGCCAATTCCATATAGAATAGTAAATAAATAAAAAGGACATTATGAAATTTCTGAAATGTACATGGTCACTGAGAAATGGGAGTGCACCCTCTCTACAGTGACTTTGAAGCTACTCCTTGAGACCCTGGGAAGAGCATGAGCTTGGGTCATGAAGACTTGAATTCTAGTCCCCTCACTTATTCCTTTTGTATCTTTGAGTAGAATTCTTAGCCGACCTGTACCTGGTTTTCTAATCTAAAAAGTGGTACAACATCTGACACATAGTAAATCCTCCAATTAGTAGGTGTCCTCCACCCTTCCTTTCCTAACTAACTGGGTTAAGAATGCAAGTAGCTCCTGTACACGTCAGATAGGCCATCTCTTCCTTCTGCATGACTGAAATTCTATTTCCTCTCAGCTACTCCATTTTTAGTGTTATATTTCCATTTAAGCTGTAGAGAATTATTTTTTACTATATTAGAGGAGATCTGAGTCAGACTGCCTTGAGAGAGAACATATCGGAAACCTCACATAATCTTTGTGTCACATCAAGCAAGTAGCTACTTATTGAATCTTTTGGAATTTCTGAAGGTAAGATTTCCTCTAGCTTAGCTTTCTGCAGTAAACATCCACCCTACAAGCGCTATCTCCATTAAACCAAAAGACCTTTGACATGTGTATTTTGTGAATTGGTCTTTATAAAAAGATATACCTCTTCCTCTTTGTTATCTCAAAATATGAGTTTATACAACATCTAAGACCCAAAACAATAGGGGATTTACATCAAAATAATCTCCATGGTCCCATCTATACTCAAGGATAAACCTGCCTTGTTCTTTAACAAGAAAAGTTAAATTATTTCTTTATAATTGTTCTATCATTCAGATGTACATCTTTTCAAACTGGTTCTCCTTCTATGTGACTGACATTTGGAAAACAGTCTTTGTGTAGCTGACTTTTAAAATTATGTGATGTAGGAAATATATAGATAAAATGCATATGTGTTTGTATCATATATAATATACATATGTGTATATATAATATATACAGATATAGATAATGTAGCTATATAATATATGCATGTATATATACACACACGCATATTTGTATTATATATATAACCCTTTATGTGTGGTATCAGAACAACTATTTGGTTAAGAGCTATTTGAACTGATGTAATAAAGAAGGCAAATAGAATTTGAAAATAAGTGTAGTGGTTAATTGATGTGTTAACTTGGCTGGGCCATGGCACTCAAATATTTGGTCAAACATTAATTGGGATATTTCTGTGAGAATGTCTATGGATGAGATAAACATTTAAATCAGTGGAATTTGAGTAAAGCAGATTGCCCTGCATAAGGTTGATGGGCCTCATCCAATCAGTGGAAGGCCTCAAGAGATCAAAAAGACTGACCTCCCTGAATGAAAAGGAATTCTGCAGGGTACCTTCAGAGGTAAACTACAGCATCAGCTCTTGCCTCCAGCCTGCAGGCTTTTGGACTTGCCAATGTCCATAATTAGATGAGACAATTTCTTAAAATCTCTTTATTTTACGTGATATATATATATATATATATATATATATATATATATATATATATATATCACACACACACAGTAGTATGTATGTGTGTGTGCGCATGTGTTGTCTCTTTATTTTACCCGTCTTTATACATATATATGTACACACACACACACACACACACACACACACACACACTATTCTGTTTCTCTAGAGAACCCTGAGTAAACAGTAAGTAATCCTAAACATCCTGAGCTCCAAACTACTGTGAGGCTCCTACACTCTCAACCCACCTCTTGAAGAAAATGCTGTAATATTACATTGTTAAATAACCAGCTGTGGCTGGGAGTGGTGACTCATGCCTGTAATCCCAGCACTTTGGGAGGCCGAGGCAGGTGGATCACCTGAGGTCAGGAGTTCGAGACCAGCCTGGCCAACATGGTGAAACCCCGTCTCTACTAAAAATATAAAAATTAGCTGGGCGTGATGGCAGGTACCTGTAATCCCAGCTACTTGGGAGGCTGTGGAGGGAGAATCACTTGAACCCGGGAGGTGGAGGTTGCAGTGAGCCAAGATCACGCCACTGCACTCCAGCCTGGGCGACAGAGTGAGACTCCGTATCAAAAAACAGAAACAAAAACTGCACAACCTAATAATTTCCAGTGGTTAAAAGCACAGGCTTTAGAGCCAAAGATAGCTGAGGTCAAGTTCTGGCCCCCGACTGATGGCAGTTTGCTTCTATGGAAAGTGCCATAGAAACCAGGTAAGACAGGTATGCCCTGTGGGAGGCCTTCCCTCCACATATGGGTTTAGCCTAATATCTTCCCACTGAGAATAAGCAAATGGTGCTGGGTTTGGTGAGGGAGAAATTGTGATGATTAACAGAGAAAATTCAGGTTCAGAATTTACCGCCACCCCCTGTGGCACCCAGTAAAGTTCTAACCAAGATGCCATCTTTATGAACAGGATTGTGGCTGAATTTCAAAGAATGAAAATTTTTCCTACCTTAAAAATGCATTGACCAAATTTATTTCCCTCTAAACATGATAGTGTCACCAGAATGAAAAAAGATGACCCCATTTATTAGAGGCCCCAAATCACTGACTGCTGCAAAGCACTGTGTTTGCTATGCAAAGACATCTAATTTTGCAAAATAAATACACCAGGCATACAATTTTTGCTTTGCAAAAGAACATAGTGCTTCTAGATGGTCTCAAGTTATCAAGATAATATTGATTGACATACAACCTGGACAGGCACATCTGTGGAGCACCTATTACCTGCTTCCCTCAATATACGTAGCTCCAACCAGTCTCAAACCAGTATGAATTCCGCAGGTGAGGAAATTGAGGGACTTCCTTGACCTTCAGGTTTCTCGAAGCCTCCTCCTGGGATGAACTTCAGCAGGCTAGCATCCAATTATAGTCCTCTCTTTTCCTGAAAAAGATCCCACTTTTTCTGGAACTGCCTAAGATCTGCAAATAGAGACTGGAGAAGAAATGAAAATCCCCAACATATTTTTTATTTACTTGTTTTTTATTTTATTTATTTATTTATTTATTTTTGAGATGCAGTCTCACTCTGTCACCCAGGCTGCAGTGCAGTGGCGCGATCTCAGCCACTGCAACCTCTGCCTCCTGGGTTCAAGTGATTCTCCTGCCTCAGCCTTCCGAGTAGCTGCAGGTGCCTGCTACCACACCCCGCTAATTGTATTTTTAGTAGAGACGGGGTTTCGCCATGTTGGCCAGGCTGGTCTCAAGCCCCTGACCTCAGGTGATCCGCCTGCCTCGACCTCCCAAAATGTTAGGATTACAGGCATGAGCCAAAGTACCTGGCCCCCCAAAGTATTTTTTTTTAATCTGAAATGAGCAAGGACACTTGCATTTGCTTACATCGAGATCATTAGTCTTGGAATCAGAAGACCTGGGTTTGCCACCTGCCACTGTGTGATTCTGGATAAGTTACTGAACCTTCACCAGCCCCCGCTTACTTCCTTTGCTGGTAAAATGGACATCACACCCATCTCACACCTTATTTTGCAGTGAATTAAGGTAAAACAAAAAGAACTGTGAGGCAGCCAGAGGCAACCTGGATATCCCCTGCAGCTTCAACTTCTCCATTCTGTTTTGTTTCCTGGTCTGTATAATATAACTTTTTCCAACATGCTGCGCACCCAAATAGTTCATTGAAAACACAGTAATTAGCATTCGAGATAAAATGGCACTGCTGCAATGTTAATTACTGCGGTGCAGATGTACCCTCAGATATCATACATAACGTTGTCAAGCCTTTATTTTTAAATTAAAGTGCAACAAACCATGCCCTGGCTACACAGCTTTTTTTGATTAATACAAATTAATGTTATTTCGGTATCTATGGGAAGAGTGGGGAAAAGGGGGTGTTGCATCTCGTTGTAAGAACACATAGGAAAATGATAGCAGTTATGGATTGCCCATAACTTTGTGCCCCCATTCAGGTCTCTCCATAATGGAGTGTGAGCTCCATGATGGCAGGGAGAGGGACTGGCTTTGTTCAAAGTCATACTGTCCCCAGCTCCTAGCACACTGTTAGGTGCATTGAATGTTTTGTTCTGAGTAAATGGCCAAGCGAATGAATGAATGAAGACAGAGCCATGTATGCAGAAGGGGTCTGGAAGTGAGATCGAAGAACTAGAAGGCACATTGGTGTATTCCTGCTTCTGGTTTGGGGTTTGCTTCATGGCCTTCAATATGATCTTGCATTCTCCTCATGTCTAGCACCTTAAAATCCAAAATGAGAGGCCAGTGAATCATCACAAGGCAGAAGTTAGCTCCAGTTCTTCATTATGACATTTAGCAAGCAACATTATATTCCACCAGGCTCTGGGAATTGGGGAAGACATGGGGAAGAAAGATCAACGAGAATCCTTCAATATCACCTAGGCACCCATGCCATAATAGCCAAGAGTAAGGGAAGGAAGAGAATGAACACGTGTGACCATCACATATATTAGTTAATTATCACAACCTCGTGAGGGCAATTTTTACCAACTTTTTATTGTTGTAAAATACATATGACATACAATTTACCATCTTAACCATTTTAAGTGTACAATTCAATGGTGTTAAGTACATTCATATTGTTGTACAACCATCACCACCATCTGTTTCCAGAACTCTTTTTATTTTGCAAAACTGAAACTTTATACTCATTAAATACTAACTCTCTCTTCCTCCCTCCCTCAGTCCCTGGCAATCACGATTCTACTTTCTGTTTCTATGATTTTGGCTACTTTAGATATAGCATACAAGTGGAATCCATTTACATTTAAAGTAATTACTGATAAGAAGGGACTTTGTCATTTTGCTATTTGTTTCAATATGCCTTATAGCTTTTTTGTCTGCCATTTTCATGGAGGAAATTCTGTTACCTCTATGGTTAAGAAAACTGAAGCTTCAAGAAATTCAGTAAACTACCCTAGGTCGCAAGAGGCAGACTGAGAATCTTTTGACTCCAGGGCCCCTGATTTTTCCACCTACTTGTGCCAGTGTGTTTCCCAAGTACTGGGAAAATTCACACAAGCATAAAATGTAGTCAGTGCCTTGATTCAATGGGCAATAATTTTCTTGAGAACATTAGACAGACATAGATGAAAGGATTTCTAGAAGTGTTAGGAAGCCCAAGATACTTGCCCAATGGCACAAAGCATGCATGTCATAGGAACTTGGAGCAATGTTTTTTGTTGCCTTTTATACCACAGAATGTCACTAGATTGAATCCCATGGTTCTGTGCTTAATGTCATTTGAAGGGAATTACAGAGATCCAGCCCTGCTCTGTGGGATCTACTCCCCATAGCAGATGGATGCAGCAATACATAGTAAATGCTGTAATAATGTGTACACTATTTGACCTGGAATTTGCATAATGAAATATCTCTGGATTCGTGAAAAGATTTATCCATGAGGATGTTTATTACAGATTTTTTTTACAATAATGAAAAAGTGAAAGGGCTGTAAAGATTCAACAATCAGCTAAACATTTTTACAAGGAAATATGATGTAGATATTTCAAAGTGATATTGCTAAAGAATAGTTAATGACATGGAAATATCTATATGTTAGAATAACATAAAAAGTCATATATAATATACATATATGCAAGTGAAAAGTCTATATTATATATTTATAATGCACATATATAAAATCTCATTAAATTATGGGTCTATAAGTATGAGTGTGAAAATTATATATATGCCAAAATATTAGTGGTGATTCCTGTTTAATTGTGAAATTGTGGTCGATTTGCTGTCCCATATCTTTCGAACCATATAATAATGCCTATGTATTATCTTAATAATTAGAAAAAATAGGTTATATTTAGAGATGGAAGTCACGTCTAACACAAATCTGTCTTGAGCTATTGTACTGAAAAGGAAGTTATGGGAAATGAAAAGTTCTGATTATCTCACACTAACTAAATATACATTTATTTGAGGCTGGAGAACAGGAGTGAAGTCATTGGCATGGATCATTTGGTTGCAAGGAATAGATAACTTGAGGTTTAAAAATGTATTGGTAAGGTGTAGAATATTAGAAAGTACAGTTCAGGCCTCTTGAAGGAACTAGAACGAAGAGACACAAAGATATCTGAAGCGAAGTAGTTATTCTCCCCATTCCCTCCCCCGTTCCCCAGTGTGTGGTCTCCTCTGTCAATGTTGGGACATCTGCCTCAGTCCTCTCTCTCTGATCTGACTTTCTCTGCTTAACAGTATGGTTGGCACTCAGGCGACCTTGCAGTTCAGGAACTCAACGGAGAGTTTCTGTTGATAGTTCCAGATTTCACAGGAGAAAGAAGATGACTGACTTAGTGTCTATCAGTTCCCTTTTGCTGCATAACAAACCACCCCAAAATTTAGAGACTTAAATAATCATTTAGCTCCAAGCCTATGGGTCAGTGGACATTTCTGACCTGGGCCAGGCTAAGCTGATCTCAGCTGGGCCAGTCAGCTAGTGGATCAGCCACAGAGTAGCCCGTCTAGACGGCCTCTCCTGGGATGGCTCTCCTCACTGTGGCCCCATCCTCCAGCAGGCTAGCCCAGGCTCATTTGCATGGTAGTTTCACGGCTCCACGAAGAAGTGAAGAAAACACGCATGCCCTCAAGGTCTACTCTCAGGACTAGCATGTTGTGTGCAGCACATGCTGTTGGCCAAAGTAAGTGACAAGGCCAGCCCAGACTCGACGTAGAGAAATAGCCTCTTATCTAGATGACAGCAGTTACAAAATTACATTGTTGGGAGTGTAGTTATAGGGAGGGGAAGAATTCCTGTCATTTTTGTAAACTGCACATAATCTCTAGGGGCCTAGGCTGACATGAGCTCCATGCAGTCGCTGCACCACATTGCCATTTCCATATAATGCCATTGGTCGATGTACCAGGGAAAGGTGAGTCTGGGGAATCCACTATTTCAACCTGGAAGTGACACTTGTCATGACCCCTCCCAACCCATGGCCCCTATCAGTCACATGGGCTCCATTCTACAGTAAGGTGGCAGGAAACAAAATGAGTCACTGGAATATTTGGTGAGCATTATGGTCTCTGCCACAGTGAACAACTCAAGAGCTAATCATTCACAACACCAGTGTCAGAAAGGTGGAAAAGAGGCAGGTAAAAGATAGTGCTATAGAGCACATATATGAAAACCACATCTAATGAAGGTGTCAGAAGGTACAGGAAGCCCTTCAGGAATCACTAGGGCTGAAGGCTTGGCCCAAAGTCAGAGTAAGCAGGAAGAAAATCCAAATAGTTCAGCCTCCTGTAACCCAGAAACACTCCTTCCAGACTCATTCAAAGTCTCCCTAAGCTCTAGATCCTACTCCCAGAGCTAAGTCAACCCAAGAGAGTAAGAAAGTAGAGTTTCAGATGGGAATGAGTGTTCTAGAATCAATTGTTGTTGAGGTCACAGTCAGGAAAATGAAGCTGAACATCAAGTCCCAGCAAGAAAAGAAGGAAAAGGAATGCCAAGCAGTCATGTTAGCAGTTTGAAGGGGCTGGAGCAAGATGGAATCAGGAATAAGGAGTAAGTCTAGGAATCTATGAAATTGGAAGTTTGAGTGAATCCCTTTAGTTTACCACTTGAGGCCCACAAGCTATGAGGATTCTGTGCAATGTCTGGTTGCAGGGCAGGACACACCAGATAGGACGCTTGAGAATTCAGACCTAGGCTTTCCATCTCCCATGAGCGTCTGCTTCTAGTCACTCATTTTCTCTTCCCTGTCTCATTTGGCCTTCTTAATATCTCACCCCTTGCTAACTGCTTTCTCCAATTTCTCACAGCTGAGATTTAGAACTCTTGCAGTATCTTTCCATTCCAAATCCTTATAGTAAGAAGGACAAATTCATTTTTTATAAAATACAATGCACAAAATATTAATCACAAATGATGAAAAGTCTCCTTCAAGTTCTTACCTCAAATTCCTAAGCCATCATGTGGTTTATGCCTCACAGAAATTACCATAGATCCCACATATACCCTCTGGGGCAGCTGCCACGCCCTACTCCACATGTGGATTTAGCCCATCTTCCCATCAAGAGGAAGCAAAAGGTGTTGATCCAAGCACCATGCTGGGTTTGGGGAGGCATAGAAGAAGGAGGGCCTTGCTTGACCTGTTGCTAATTGCCTTGCAGGTCAGTGGGACCATGTACAACACTGGAAGACACGTATCCCTTCGCCTGGACAAGGAGCACTTGGTCAACATATCTGGAGGGCCCATGACATACAGCCACCGGCTGGAGGAGATCCGACTACACTTTGGGAGTGAGGACAGCCAAGGGTCGGAGCACCTCCTCAATGGACAGGCCTTCTCTGGGGAGGTATGTTAGTCTGTCAAAGTACTAAGGTTAAATGTCAACTTATAAGATTGGGTGCCTGTTTGTGTCCAAGATGGGATAACATAACAAAGGGATTCGCTCTAATCTATGAAATGAGAAGGCCCATGCCTTCTTTCTCCATCTGTCTTTTGCAAATTGACATCGAAGTCAATAACAAGCTTCTAGTATTTTCCAGGGAAGGCTACAATGAAACTAGCTCTTTCCTTCTGAGACAATGTTGCAGCTCTCTTGAGACTCATGTCCAGTGATATTTCTAGAGCATTATTTCAACCCCAAATCCTCACCTTATATATATAATACATCTTTACTTACACCTATCTGGGCGATCAGCCTCTCACGTGTCACATATGATAGCACAGATTCCATAACTTTTCTTTTGAATATAATGAGTCATATTTGCATAAAACTATAACATACTGTGAAATAAGTGTCAGGCAACTCAATAGTTTTCCTGAGTTTCTGCAAAATGGAAACGTCACTGTGTGCCACCATCAACCCAGACAGAACTCAGGCCACAGCAGAGAGCCCAACCACAGTTTCATTTATAGGACAAGAGCTACAGTTTAAACAGTTGTCATCTGTGGTGTGACACTTCACAAGTAGGGTGTAGGTAATTTGATCTGTTTTACCCCCGTTATACTGGAGGGTGTTTATGAACTAGAGATCAGGGGTCCTTACAGGCTAAATGCCCTGTGACTAGGTTTCTGCTTAAGAGTCCTCAATAACTGATGTTAGGAAGGCTTTGAAATTACAAAAATATGTATTGCATGTGGTGTTTTTATTTTTTTAAAGATCATGTATAAATCTGGCCTTATTTTTAGTGTGTTAAGGCCAAGCACTAAGAAACAGACCCACAATCTTAATGAGTCCAGCAGCCAGATTTTAATGTGCATCCAAAATGTGTCACTAAGAGCCTGCCTAGGCACTCAGCTAGTTACCAGGGATACAGAGATTTAAAAAAAGGGCTCCTACCACAGAGGAGCTCAAAGAGTGCTACATTCAAGTCATTAAAGTATAATGTCATGCTGTAATGGGGATGTACAAAGGCCCTGGCAAACTCAAAGGAAGAAGTGGTAAATTTTGCTTGAAGGGGTCAGGAGAAGCTTCACAGAGAAGGTGCCCCTTGAACTGGGCTGTAAAGAGAGGCAATGATGAACAATTTTAAGACCATCAGCTTTGGAGTCCAGTGACCTGAGTTTTGTAGTCTTGCTTTGATACACACTGTGTGATCTTGGGATGTTACTTGAGCCTTCTAAGGCACAGTTTAGACACCTCCATTTTAAAAATTAAGTGGGATTCCAGATGTAAAAACACTGAAAGTACTCAATGATTGATAAACAACAATGACAAAGCAGGAAATGAGGGCTAGTGCGAGCAAAAGCCCCGAGGCATGTCAGGGCAGTGTGTGCTAGAGAAGCTGCATGATTTCATCTAGCATTTTATCTGTGATCTGTTAATCATGACTCTATAAACAATAGGGTTGAGCTGTAGTATGGGTCTCCCTCCTGGATCTGTAGGGAAAAAAAATACTAGGATTGATTAGGGATGTCTGCCAAAGGCATTGTAATGCCAGGCTCCCAAGTTGCAGATTCTGAACTAGAGTACAACAAGAAATGTAATGAAAGCAGGACAGAAAGTCACAATTTGAGCATAACTGGGTACTGCCGGTCTGAATTAGAGAATATTCAAAATTAGATGAATTCTTCCTCTTAAGTTATTTTAAGGTTTGTAATTATTTTATCTGTTGACTTACTTGCTCATTTTTTTGTTTGCTGTTATTTCTTTTTCTCCCCCATATTCTGTCATATTCCAGCACCTATCACAACACTGCTTCAGAGTAGAAATATTTGTTAAATGAATAATTGATAAAATGTAGATGTTTACTAGGCTAAAATCTTTACATTGTATTATTCTTTAGTGACACTTGTTTCTTCAGTATATGATAAGGGTGCTTTGTAACTTATACGTGAACCACAATTTTAGAGTAAATGAGTGCTTCCAAAATCCTTAAGGGAAACATATAGTAATTTGATCTCTTAGTGTATGAATTTTCCTAGACCTACACCAGACCACAGGTATCAGGTGCACCAAAGAATTTGCATTTTAAAAGTTCCCAGGAGAGTCTGACGATTAGGTTTGTGAAGCACTTCCACAATGGTACATTATTATGTGTTCCCAGTGAAGAAAGCAATGAGTGAAGAAAGCATGTAAGCAGGGTTGCAAATCACAATGAACTGGGAAGCCTTGTCAAAATATTTTCCTCTCAGTCCTTCCCAAAACCAACTGAATCAGTCTCAGGATATAGGATCCAGGTTTGTACATTTGTAAAACTTTCCCCAAGAGATTTTGGTTAGCGACCACTGTGACAATTTTAGGTGAAACTCCGCCTGAATTATCCCAGTTTTCTAAACAAAGGGGACTTAATCAACAAAATCACACTGCTAAAAAGGGGGGAAGGCACACACATTGGTAATTGTCCCCTGGAAATGGCAAGGCTGGGATGCTATCTAGACTAATGAGACTTGGAGAACAGCTTCCCAAGTAGGGTGGTCACACACACACATCCACTGCTCCAATGTAGGCTTGAGCACTGGCCTCAGCATAGGTATAATCTACCTTGCCCTGGGTAGATGCAGTCATCGTATCACATTTCTTTCCAAGCCTCTCAATGTCAGGGGTCTATAGACGAACTGGTATGGGTTTAGGTGCAAGAGACCAGAATTTCAGAGTCCCCGAAACAATGCTATATGCAAAGTAGTGCGATAAGCAGTTGACTTTTGAGATCCCATTTACGGATTTCAGCAAGCAAGAAGAGTTTGGCATCTTCTGTGTAGCATAAGGGAAGACACCTATGGCCAATGGGTGGTAGCTACAAAAAGATGGAATTCAGCTGCATATGTGTTCTAACGATGAAAACGATACAGTGATGAAATGAGTTTGCCTCTGAAAATTGTGACTTCATATTACTGGAATTATTTTATTTATTTATTTATTTATTTAGAGAGAAAGGGTCTTACTCTGTTACCCAGGCTGAAGTACAGTGGTAGCACCATCACAGTTCACTGTAACCTCTAACTCCTGGGCTCAATCAATTCTTTTGTCTTGGCCCCCCCACAAAGTGCTAGGATTATAGGTGTGATCCACTGCACTCAGCCCCATTACTGGAGTTATTAAGCACTGAACAGAATTTGGTGACTCCATAAAGGTGACTCACATTCGAATGAGCAGGGGAAACTGTCAGTTTTAATGTATCTTCTGATGCTGAAATTCTATACAATCCATAATTTTTTTTTTTTTTTTGAGATGGAGTCTCGCTGTGTCACCCAGGCTGAAGTGCAGTGCCATGATCTCGGTTCACTGCAACCTCCACCTCCTGGGTTCAAGCGATTCTCCTACCTCAGCCTCTCTAGTAGCTGGGATTACAGGTGTGCACCACCACACCTGGCTAATTTTTTTCAGTACAGGTGAGGTTTCACTATGTTGGCCAGGCTGGTCTTGAATTCCTGACCTCAAGTGATCTGCCCACCTCGGCCTCCCGAAGTGCTGAGATTACAGGCGTGAGCCACTGCACCAATCCATGATTTTCTTATAGAAATTTCCTTCAATTGTATTCTACTGAGGATTAGCCTCAGTAAAAGTCAACATATCTCACCCTGAAGGTTAACTTTTTAAAAAATGAATTTCAACTTTTATTATAGATTAAAGTGTACACATGCAGGTTTGTTATGTGGGTAGATTGCGCGAATCTGGTTAACTTAATTTTTATTTTGTGCTACCTTCAAAGCCACCTTTGGCCTCTATTTTTGGCTATCCTTTGAGAGGACCCAAGTAGACACTTCTAGCAAGAAAGCATGTGTTTATTTTGTTGACAGTGAATGATCACATTGCCATCTGCCCTATCTATCACTGCTGATCGTGATAAGTCAATTAATGCCAGGCATTTTCCTTGGCACAGTGCAACAGTCGTTATCTGAAGAGCTATAGATTAATTGCAGTCTTGTCTAGTGAGGTTATTGTAATTGATGGTAATCATTTGCTTTGTTTTATAAAGCTGCATGGATGTATGACATAGTCAGCAACTGCATTTTTATAAAAATTACTCATGTCCTACACAGAGAACTCCTGGATTCCTTGTTGGGGATTGGTGATAAATGAGCACATTCAGGGATTCAAATGTCTCCATTTCTTTAAGAAGGAAAAATGAACTGTTTTTAATAAGTAAGACCCTTAGCTTGCTAATCATGTCTAAATGGTTAGATTAATGTCCAGTATAAAGTAGGATATTTATGAAAAGAAGAAAATACATTAGCCAGGGAAAAAATAATATTTGAAAAGAAACATGCCTTAGATTCCATTGCAGTAGTGGGGGCTGGACAAGAAGAATCTTCCTGATTTGGGATACATTAGACAAGTTCATTTAAAAATCCTTCCTTAAGTTCTTCTTTTCAAGGGGGCAGAAGGGTACACGGAGAATTGTACCAGCCACTTCATGCAAGATCTATAGCCAGTTCCTCCTGTTAATTTCATCCACTCTTCACATGCTCTTGTGCTTCTGCCATGTGGTGGGCTCCGAGCTAGGCATGGGCCAGAGTGCAGCTTCTGCCCACAGATGTGTAAAGTCTATTGAGGGATGTATATTGATAATACCACATAATGTGGATTATATTTGAAGCTTATTCCAGAAGGGGATTATGAAATAGCTCTCACTAGATAGCATTAAGCAAAGAATGGGTGAGCAGCTGTGCAACCTGACCCACTTGCTGCTCCCTCTGACAGCAAGATAGAAACACCTTGACCTTGCTAGCTCTCAGCCTCTGGAATCTCTGATCCTGCTCAAAACACATCTGAGAGAGGGAAAAGTCCATAGCTGTTGCTATGGTGATATAGATAGGATGTGTTTCATTAAAAGGGGAGAATTAAAGTCATATGTAAAATATGGGGCTTTCTCTCTTGCTTTCTCTCTCTCTCTCAGTGGCTCTGAATCAGAAAAGAGAAAACAATTATCTCAGAACCAACAACTGAAACAAAACAACAGAAAATGCAGGCCTTGTCCTCTTCCAGGAATCAATTATTTGCATCCTTGAGAGGCTGGTTTCACTAAAGCAACACAAATTTGTAGGAATAAGCAACTAACATCAAATTGTCCTGAAGTGTGCTAGGGTATGAAAAGTGCTGAGGAGAACATCCTTGAGAGCCAGGGCCCCATTAGGCAATGAATGGCTTGTGAGGAGTGCTCAGGCAATGTAATTAGCACTTTGCTGCTCTGCCACGACCTCCTGGTAGAGATGCTCCATTGACACAATTGGAGATTGAGAGGAAATGAGGATTGGGATGTATAAGGACAGGTACATGGACAATACATATGGAAGTGCTACTTATATGCCATGGTGAAGCTGCTCCCTCTACTCTGAATGCCAGCCCCATCTCCCTTCCCCCATCCACCACAGTTCCCCATCATAGCTTCCCAAGCCCCTTTCTCTCCTCCCAGACAGGAAGGTGCTGCCTCCTTTTGACTTCCAGAGGATCCTGTGTATTCATCTATTACAGGGGTTTACAAACCATACCCTGTGGACCAAGTCCAGCCTAGGAGCTAAGAATGGTTTACATTTTTAAAGGATGCTATTAAAAAGAGAGAAACTGACCGACCACATGCAGCTTGCAGAAGCCAAAATATTTACTACCTGGCCTTTTTAGCTGACCCCAATCTATTATGTTGCCCATCACTGTGGGTTTTGTAACTGTTTAATCTCACTTCTATTGGAACCATAGTCCTTTGTTGATGGGAATTTTATATTGATCATTGCTGTGTTCCCAACACCTCATACATTGTCTGGACTTGAGGATAGTCAATAAATATTTACTGAATGAGGGAATAAATGACCTTGGTAAACCTCTTAAGGACAAGACCTATTCATCTTTGCATGCCATGCACCTAGCACAGTGCCTGACATACAGTCAGTGCTTAAGTGGTGTTTGTGGAATGAGTCATTAAACCACTGAATCAACAACTCAGTCAACCATTTGTGTCCCAGGAACAAAAATCTTATAGGCATTTTTTTCCCTGAAATTCTAAAGTATGTTGCCTCCATTCACTATACAGAAATATACAGCCCCATTTAACTTGAAGATGGAGTGTTTATATGAAGGCTACCCAAAGCATTAAATTCCATTAGAAACTGTAAAAGAGGAAGAGTGGTTCAGTTTGCAGTTACTACTAAGACATGTTCTGGAATTTCTCTGGGAAAGAAATATGCTTTCAGAAATTCAAAATGTATTTAGAAGGCACCCCACCTAGCCCTATCCCAAATGTGGTAAAGGACACAAAAGGATTGAACAATTAAGCGCTACCCTGGAGGGATTTAAGAGCCACTGGAAGGACAAGGCACAGACTTGAGTTAGTTACTGTGCAGCACAATCTAGAGCTCACCCAGTCATGCCCATAGGTGGCTGCAGAATCTCACTGCCAACACTTGGCCACTGTTCACATGCTTTGTGGTTTACCTTCATTCATTCATCCAGTTAACAAATATTGATTGTCTATTATGTGCTACAGTGAATAAAACAAATAAAAATGTCTACCTGTAAGGTGCTTATAGTCTAGCGGGGGGAGACAGATAATAAATAATAAACATAATAAATGAGTAAATTTACATGTAAATTTAGAATATGATAAATGCTATGGAGAGAGAACTAGAGCAAAACAAGAGAGATCAGAGAATGAGGAGTGGAAGGAGTGAGCTACAAGTTTAAATAGTGTGGCCAGTATAGGCCTCAGTGAGAAGATGACATTTGTGAGGTTGCCAGGGAGATGTCTGGGGAAGGACATTCCAGGCAGAGGCAATCGCCAGTACCATGATTTTGAAGTGGGAGGGAGCTGTGAGCATGCAAGGAAGAGCGGAAGCAGCATGAGCACATGTGTGAGTGATGGGGAAGGAGGTCGGAGAGGTCAGAGCAGGGCCAGAGGCTGCTGCAGACCACGTGGGTCCTCTCTATGTGCACTTTGTATGGACTTTGGTTTTTACTCTGAATAAATTCCAAAGCACAGAGACAGAAATTCTCCCATTTGATCATAAACCTCAAGGCGGTTGCTCTCAATGTTACCACCTTCTTGGGGAAACAAAGGCCCAAGACCATCCAGGCAATAAATAACCAAGATTGGACTTAGTTCGGGTCTTCTGATTCATAACACTGCCTAATATAGCCCACAATTTATCCATAAACCCAATACGAATGATTACGCATCTGCTCTGGGCCCTAGCTTGGTAGGGAAATTCAAAGACTGATAGGCCATAGTGCCTACCTGTAAGGAGCCTACAGTATAGTAGAGGATCCTGTCTTTCCAATCAGACTGTTAACTCCCTACAGTCACAGAGTATGTTGTAGTTTTTAAATATCTCCCCATACACATAATGGGCACAGGGTACGTATTGCTGAGTAGAGATTAAATGAGTAAATGAAGATAATTTAAGAATGTAGCTTTCAAAGTACCTAGATTATACCCAATAGATCATGAATTAAATTGTATAGTCATAATGGCAAACCTAATAAAGTTGTCAATATTAACAGAGGTTCTAGAATTTTTTATGTTAAATTATTCACAAATACAAGGTAAGTAAATTCGGAGTACCTGGGAGAAATAATGGAACAATTGAGAACCTGTGTACCAGAAAAATTCATTTAGATTCCTCATTTCAGCCCTGGAATTACTCCTAGGATCAGACTAAGGAGCTTTGCCAATGCTAGACATCAAATTTCTAGATTCTAAGAGCCAGTCCCACCAGAGTGAGCAAACTGGCCTTCGAGAAGCAAAGCAGAGGCAGAAGCTCAGATGGTGGTAGGGCACATTACAGCAATACCAGCAAGCATATGATGACTCTGATCTAAGGAGAGGAAGTTCTCCCTCTGGACATTTTTATAATTACTTCTGGGAAAGCACAGCCCAATCAAGTCAGCAGTTCCTGAATTGCCAGTATTGGATAGTCACTAGTGCAGCCTAAGAGAGAGGGCATTGCATTAGAAGACAGCCTCCTGCGGTCAACTCATTATCCCATTGACTCCAGCCTAATCTGCATCATAACTCTGGCCTGGACCCCCAGGATGGCATATGACAGCCACCATCCTCCTCCACTTGACTCTGATCTCCCTGCTGATGCTTCATCGGAAGAAAGGAGGAAGGTGTTACATTACAAAAGACAATATTAAAGACAGGCATTAACTGGAATTTGATCAGGGTTCTGCCTCAGACCTGTCACCATGGAGACCATGGCTATTATCATTTTACAAGTGTTGAATGAGGCCTTCGTTTATTTAGTAACCAGTGACACTGCAGTTACAGGCATGAGTACCGCTCACAACATTTCCGTGAACTAGCTGTGTTTTTTAACTCATTTCCAACGCTGCAGGAATAAAATCAATTTGAAAAAGAGGTGTTAAATAAGAATGACCTATATTCGTTGGGACTCTGATACTATCAGTGGCCAATGAAAATTTGTAGAGGTTCCACGAAAGGTCACATCTCTCACTTCCAGACATAGACCTGGACTTGGAAAGGACAAGTCTACTCCAAGTGTCCATCTAAAGTGACAGTGTCAGAGGAGGAACTTTTGAGGCCATCTCTTCCAGCATACCCCCTGTGTGTACAAAGGAAAAATCAAATGCCAGAAAGGGCAAGAGACCTGCCCAAGGTCACAGAGATTTAGCGGCAGAATTAGGACCAGAACCCAAGTTTCCTGACTCTTAATTGGGGATTTTTAACTTTTTAAATAAAATTTAGAATTCTGTCAAATCCCAAGATTCAAAAAACCTTCTTAGGTCACCTGGTTTAGTCACCTCATAGAGCAAATAGAGCCTGAGAATCACATTTCCTGCATTTGTGAGCACAGCCCCATCGCAAGGGCATCTATAGAGTCAGCCTCAAAACAGCAAAGACATTGGGAGATTATTTCACAAAACATAAGCCATGATGAGCATCCACAAGGAAGTGGATCTAGAAATCACCAAATCACCCCTGAGAAAAGACCACCAATGTGAGAGCGAGCCATAATAGTGCCTGATTGAGATAAATGTGAGAATTAAAGATTGGAAGACTAAAATATAGTGTCTTAAATGTTCTTCCTTGGTCTCAATATGAAAAGGCAATCATACTATTGCATTAAGAACCTAAGAACAGAAGCAATGCTTTTGTGCAGTTTAAATCTCCCCCGCCCACATTCCCCCATAACCCTCCAGAACAGTTCAGTAATATTAAATATAAGTAATCCAGATAATATTGCTAAATTAAATCATTCGATGTCTAGCTGCTCCATGGATGTGCTGCTCTACAATTCAAAATAAGGCCATTTAAAACCACCGGATCCATTTGCACTGACATATCGATAAACTTTTGCTGAAACAAAGCTAATCATTTCAATGGTGCCAACTTAATTGCTCGCCAGTTGACAGATAATAAACAGACCTGAGGATTAAAATATGAACTAATTACTGTACTCAATTCCATTTACTTGATTTCATGTTCCATTAATTTTTTGCATCATTTCTGGTGGAAGCCTTAGATTTATGGTTGCCCCAAATGAATTATGCCACTTAGTTGCCTGTGCCATGCTCATATTCAGAATTGGTTGGAAAGGGCAGAATTCTGGGCAGTAAATATTTAGCCGAAGCAGCCTAGGATATAGTAAGTGAAGGTGATTATCCATTCCCAAATACCAGCCACAGTCAGCCTCTATAAATCTATCCCCATCTCTGCAGTAAAAGGGCAACAGTAGGGTTACTGTCATGATTATTCATTGGATCTGCTGGTGAGAGGCACACTCCAAGAGCAATGGTTGGCTTGGCCTGGAAGGGGGGCTGTAGGGAAGCAGGGACAAACACACTAAGGGAAGGACAATGGCCTAAGAGTTGGACACTTGGGCCACCAGACAGAAGGCAACATTTTGACTTAGAAGATCTGACTTCAGCACTCCTCTCTGCCACTTATTGGCTGTGTGATCTTGGAAAAGGCAGAATTCAGTAAACTGCTTTGGCTTTTTGAGTCTCTTAAACTGGGAGATGGAGCTAATTGTGCTGGTTCTATATATATATTATAGGGTAATTGTGCAATGCAAAGAAAACTCTTCTGTGATAGGGCTTTTTAAGCCATAAAGTGCTGTACAAGTCAGTTAGTTATTGGCTAGCCAATAACTAAGTTCTAAGGTTCACCTTAGAACTCATCTAGCCCAAACTGAAGATAAGATACATTAGCATAACCACGGTGAACTAAAATGACTTCTACCATCAGCTGTAATTTATTGAGCATGTACTGTGTCTCAGGCATTGTGCTTAGGGCCTTATCACACCCAGTCCTCACAATAAGCTTTTGAGCTAGCACTTATTAGCACCATTTTATATTCAAGGAACAGAAACCTCGAGAGGTTAAAGAACCTGCTTTCAGTTGCATGGTTGGTCCAGGGAAGAGAACCCAGGTCTCTGACTCCAGCTATGCACTGAGTGACCTTAGACAGTCACCTTACCTCTCTGGCTCTGCCACTAAGTAGCTGCTTGATCCTGGGTAAGTCCATTCTTCTAATCATAAGTGCCTGATTGTGTTACCTGAGATGATCTTCCAGTTCCTCTCAATTCTGCATCAGCCTTAAGAACAGTCTGCACTGTTTCTAGCTGTAAAGTGAGACAGGAGCCTATTTCTCCAAGTAGTACAGCAGCGGTGTGAAATATGACACAGCATCATTCTGTGTTCCTGCGGAGGACCTTCATTCCTTCATTCACCTTCTCCTCCCAGATGGACAGCTACTGGGAAGTTACAGTTCCCAGATGGAAGCTACTGTACATGCAGATGTACAGTTACATTTTTTCTCTCTTCTTTATAACAAGCAAGGCATTTTATGTGTGTAAATTTGTGTATAAACACATCTGTTTGCCTCTGCAAAGCACAAGAAACCATATTCCTTAGTCTCAGAGGTAGCTTGGGTGAATTCGTCATCTTGCTTTGGATCTATTTGCTGAGCTAGAAATTTCTGGACTCAGCCTTGGAAATGAATCCTGCAGGAGCTATTTGGCAAAATGAGCTTAGCCAGGAGGTTTTAAATCACACTCCCAGCCAGGAAAAAGGGGAAGGCCCAGGGGCCACCAGATATCTGCATCAGGACTTAGCATCCTGGCACCAGTTTTTCAAATCAAGTAATTGTGTCTGCTTTGGGAAAGACTAATTGTGTGTGGACTCAAATGGTCATCCCGGAACAGCTGCTGTTTCTGTAAAGTCCTCTGTGGGGGTCAAGCATTTTCTACCTGTTGCAGCTGCCTCTCTAGGGCTAATGTGTTCCCATGACCCAGGTTAAGGGCCATGACCTACTTGCATGAGCAGCTGTTAATTGTGGAAGTGAAAATTGATGGAATTATTCATTCCTGTGTTTGAATCCTGGCTCTATCAGCTGTGACCCTAGGCAATTTATTCAACCTCCTTGTGCCCCAATTTCCTCATTAATGGGACAAATATGAGTGATGTCCATTCTACAGGGTGGTTTCCCCCAGTTTTGTTGAGGTATGGTTTGCATACAAAAAAAATTTAAGAATTTAAACTGTACAATATGATGCTTTTTCACAAATACATAGTTGTGTAACCATGACCAAAATGGTCTAGAACGCTTCCATCAACCCAAAAAGTTTCTGTGTTCTTCTGTAGTCCTTCCCTCCTACCCTAGCCCCGGCAATCACTGATTTGCAATCACTAGAGTTTTGCCTTTCCTGGATTTCAATCCGTGGACTTATACAGTATATAGTCTTTTTTTTTTTACTTTGTTTTTTAAGTTATACAGTAGAATTAACTTTTTTATTTTGGCATAAAGTTCTCTGAAGTTTAACAGGTATATAGATTTGGATGACCATCAGCACAATCAGGAGACAGAACAGTTTCACTTTGCAGAGTAGTTTTATGGATTAAGGGGATCAATGTATAAAAAGTGCTCAGAATAGTTGTTTGCACAGAATGAGTGCTCAAAAATGGTTGTTTTTATTAGCAATGACATGCTTCTTCAAGCTGCATCATCTGTGGTTCACATTTTTTTCCAAATAATTTCAACTTTTATTTTAGATTCGGGGTGGGGGGTACATGTTCGTGTTTGTTGCTTGGGTATATCTCGCGATGCTGAGGTTTGGGATACAGATGATCCCATCACCCAGGTACTGAGCATAGTACCCATCAGTCAGTTCTTCAACGCTTGCTTCCCTCTCTCCCTGCCCCTCCAGTAGTCCTCAGTGTCTGTCGGTGCCATTGAGTACCCAACGTTTAGCTCCCACTTATGAGTGAGAACAGGCAGTATTTGATTTTCTGTTCCTACATTAATTCACTTAGGATAATGGCCTCCAGCTGCATCCATGTTACTGCAAAAGACATGATTCTGTTCTTTTTTATGGCTGTGTAATATTCCACATTGCATATATACAGGGTCAGCATTTCTATCCTCCATCCATATCTAACAAGAATCCAGAGTAGCACCCATGCAGAAGGTGAAATTCTTAAAAATTACATGAGCAGTTGTGAGTTGGTTCCTGAAACCCTTATTCTAAGAAGATGGGTTAAGGGCCCTTCTAATGCTGTTTTCTTATCAGTGTCAAGGCATCCTGCTGTAAGGCTGCCAGGAGAAAAAGCCTCCTCCTTCTTTCCCTTTTGCCTTCCGCCATGGGATGACACAGCATTCCTCCCCTCCAGAGGATGCAGCCTCCACCAGAGAACTGAGCCTGCTGGTGTGTTGATCTTGGACTCCCCATCCTCCAGAACGGTGAAAAATAAATTTCTGCTCTTTATAAATTACCCCATCTCAGATATTCTGATGAATGGACTAAGACATTCACTCAGGCCTGCAGAAGACAGTCAAGCCCCTACTAACCACACTTAATTGTGGAGAAAACCCATCAGCCTGAGGTCCTGCAAGGAATCGCCCTCCCATTCCTGGCCTCCAGGTGGTGCCCTTCCCTGCCCCCAGATGGCAGTTTATTATTGCAAAGAAGACCCGCAAATAGAATATTCCTCATTCCTTGTGAGTTTGAAGCAAAGCCCTGAGCTGTCTAAATAGGATGATCACCTGCCCTGCCTTGCCCGAACAGTCCAGTCTGACACCAGTTAAGTCCTGGTATAACTGTAATATTATAGTACATCCTTTCACCTTCAAAAGTCCTCCAGTTTGCACAATGAATCATATGCTCACCCTACGACTAGGTGACCTTTGGCAAGCCACTTAATCTCTCTAGATCTCTTTTCCTTCATCCAGAAATGAAAGGACTAGAGTAGCTCTTCCAGCACCAAGAGGCCTATGGAAGTAAAATCTTCTTGCACAAGTTTGCCATCACGTATAAACCATTGATTAAGGAGTCATGATGCTATCTTGAGAGTCAGAAACATTGATGTGTAATAAATTATTTGTGTTACATTGGAACCCCCCCCCCCCAACCAAAGATTGAGTACACACTTTGTAACCATCCTCATACCTCCTTTAAGGTAAAATCTTGGGAAATTAAGACATTTGATGAAAAAGTAAAGCTCAGATTGTTCTGCTCACTTGGATCTGCGACCTTTTCTTGTCGCAATATTGAACCTCCTGCTCCTGCCACTACCATACTAGTAGCTTTCACACACACAAACCCCATCACACCTCAGTCATTTTGCACCTCCCAGGTAAAACGCCCCTGTGATTAATAAGGTATTTTACTAGAAACTCTAGGTTCCCCTTGAACCATTTTGCTTTGTAGAATTAATTACAAGTTAAATGATTTCTTTGCATTGAACACCCCTAGGAAGCAACCCCAGGAATTTATCAGCATCATCTACTTAGGTTTTGTTTCAATTCTGGTCTTTAGAGAGCCGAAACAGTAAGAAGATTCTGTCACCTCCAACTCCTCCGTGAATCCTATTGGTGTCGGCATTTAGCCTCCTTTGCCATCAAACAAAAGAGAGAATGTTTCTGCTCCAAAAAGCAGTTGCAAGCTTTGCTTTTAAAACCTCAGGGGCATCCAAACACTCAATCCTACAAAGCTCTAGTGCCGCTTCTGGAGTATTCATTTAGCTTGATTTACATTATTTTAATTTTCTTAGGGGTGTCTTTACTAGCTGGAGGGTGATATTTCCCCCTTAATTAAAGAACAAGTTGATTCCAAAGCACTCAAAACAAGCCCCTTTCAAATCCTGTCTCGCTTGTCACTTTCTCCTGCTGTTCCCTGTCTTCTGAGTGCTTTTCAGCTTCCCAGCCTCCCTGCCTTCTCAAACTGGAAACGAGACGGAACAACAGTGAGGCGAAGCGTGGCTTTCAATGGAGCCAGCCAGCCCTTGGCTTTAATTCATCTAATTCCCTGGAGCGTGTGGCAATTTGGGGAGGACCAGGTAGTGTTATTGCTATCTCATAGAAAAGCTATATTAAGTTAGTAAAATTCAACAAAAATTCATATAACTAAGCCAGGAACTGTGCTACCTTAGGGCTGCACCCAAGAACAAATCCTGCCACTGTCCTCTGGGGGCTCTAGTTCCTGACGGCATCTTAGGTAAAGTGCTTTGGGGGGCAAGTAACAGAAACGCACTCAAATGGGGTTAAACTAAAAGGGGGATTTACTAGAATACCTTTGGGATATGTCATAGAACTCAAGGGTAACTGGACAAATGAAGGAACTGGAAGCCAAAACTGAAACAAGGTTATAAGCCAGGGACTCACTCCTACTCCATTGCCCATCTCTGCATGACGGCCTTATTCTCAATTCTCCCCATGAGCTGTCTTTTTTTTATTTTTTATTTTCTGTGTATATAGAGGGCAGAAATGGTCCCACTTCAGCTCCCAAGTTTATGTTCCTTTGGCGCAAGACCTTCTTGTACTGACTAGCTGTCTGGCTCTTTATCCCAATTCCACATTCTCCAAAGAAGAAATTTGGTTTTCCCCGAGAGGATCTGATGTCCTCTCTGACCCAATCAGCTATCCATGTGGGATGAGGTAGATAAATAGGTCTTGGTTACCTGCCTGTATGGTGGGGAGAACAGTTATCTGGTGAAGGCAGACACTGTCGGTTATGCAGACACCCTAAAAGATGTCTGCCACAGTGGGAAGATAGACAGTTCTATTCAGATCAGCCTGACAAAATTCACAAGCTCAAGTGCTGTTGACACATCCGACTCAAATTAGGGGGATGGAGAAGGCTTTCTGACATAAGCCGGATCTTGAAAGAGAAGCATGAACATAACTGAAATAGGATAAAAGCATCCCAGACAAACAGGAGTGTCACCCATTAATAGAAAGAATAACTATAAGCAATCCATAATGTACACTCAAAGAATTTAGCATCTTGTAATTGAGTGTCACAACAGTCTTCCTCATCACAGGGACTCAGTGGCACATCACAGCCATGTGACTCATCTTCCTGGCTGCTAACATTGTTCTCCCTCTCCTTCGTTTCTGCCAGTCAATGTAAAAATCACAGGGTGGGCTCAGATGAGTTGCTCAGGCGTTAACATTAGCTTCAAGCAAGCACATTTGAATGACAGCTCTACCACCTACTGTGTGCCTTCTGATAAGTTATCTAGGCTCTTCCTGAGTGAGAAGAATGGTAATAATAATAATAATGATGTCAACCTCAAAGGGCTGTTGTTGGGATAAAATGAGTTAGTATGAGATAACCTTAGCACTGGATCTGGCACAGAGTGCTAGCACTTTGGGAGGCTGAGGCAGGCAAATCACTTGAGGCCAGGAGTTCGAGACCAGCCTGGCCAACATGTTGAAACCCTGTCTCTACTAAAAATACAATTAGCCCGGTGTGGTGGTGGGTGTCTGTAATCCCAGCTACTCGGGAGGCTGAGGCACAAGAATTGCTTGAATCCAGGAGGTGGAGGTTGTAACAAGCCAAGATCTTGCCACCATACTCCAGCCTCGGCAACAGAGTGAGACCCTGTCTCAAAATAAATAAATAAATAAATCTTTTTTTTTTTTTTTTTTTTACCAGCCCCTTTCCTCTGTGTCTTTTCCAGTAGTAGGCTGATGAGATGTCATAGATTTTAAAAATGCGGACTTTAGGTATGTGGTCTAACATAGGGACAGAATAGTTAAAACAAGGACTCCCCCCACCACCAAAGGAAGTTTTCTAACATAATTGTCCATCAGATATGTCCACATCTCTTGTCTCCCTGTCAGTTTCTAGAACTCAGAGCAAAAAGAATTGTTTATATTGTTCCAGATTACTCATTGACCAGAATCCATTTCCCTTTCTTTTTTTCTTGAGACGGAGTCTCGTCCTGTCGCCAGGCTGGAGTGCAGTGGTACAATCTCGGCTCACTGCAACCTCCACCTCCCGGGTTCAAGTGATTCTCCTGCCTCAGCCTCCAGAGTAGCTGAAACTACAGGCACATGCCACCATGCCCAGCTAATTTTTGTATTTTTAGTAGAGATGGGGTTTCACCATGTTGGCCACGATGGTCTCCATCTCTTGACCTCATGATCTACCCACCTTGGCCTCCCAAAGTGCTGGGATTACAGGCATAAGCCACTGTGCCTGGCCCCATTTCCCTTTCTTGATATGGAGCCTGTTAGGTGTGCACCATCATGTTCAGCCAATCTTTCTAGCTCCCTGTCATCCACACCCAGTCAGGGACCGTCTTATCCGGGCAAAGGAGATTGGTCTATAACAACTCTATTTAGTATCGGTCCTTTCCAAGGTACTAAAACAACCCAAGCACTTTTTTTTTTTTTTATCCCTGTGTTGACTTATCTTTTTAACAGTCCCAGATGTAGGACACTTTCCAAAAACCTTTTGAATATTTAAGTCTGAGATATCCCCACTGGGATAGTTTTCCCATTATTAATGTTTTGAAAAATGTCAACAGGTTAGAAACACATAGCTTTCTTGCACAGAGGCTAAGCTTCATCAACATTGCAGGTTATATTATTTAATTTTTGTGCTCATTTTAATTAAAAGTTTAGTTACAGTGGACCTTTAATATGGAAGATGCATTTTTTTCATACTGGCATGTATTTGATTTCTTTTCTAAAGGAAAAAGAATGTTTGCTTGAGTTCAGAGCTGGGGTCAGGGTTTAATTTACAAAACCACTACTTTCTTAGCTATAGCATGACTCGCTTTATTGCAAACACATGTTAATTCCTTTAACCTCCCTTAAGTCCCTGTTGATTTTCTGGCCACATTTACAAAACATTTCTATGAGGAAATAATGCCCAAAAAGTGTAGAAAAGGAATCCAACTAAGGAAAATAGATTCCTACATTACAGTCTGACCAGTGTCTCTGATGCCTTCCTCATCAAAGAAACAGAAGAATGACTAATCCAAAATAATGAATAATCCAAAACTCTGTATAATGAATAATATTAATTCCTCACAGATACCTATTTGAGTTCCTACTGTGTGAATTATTTTGCCAATCTCTAGGTTCAATTATGAGTAATTCATAATTCTTGCCCTCAGGGAGCTTCCATTCTAGTAAGGAGATATTTACAGTCTTTCTTTGCTGATGTTGTGCTAGGAGAAGGCACTGTCTACAATAGGAGTCCTCCACACTGGAGCCACTGCTAGAGGATTGTGGGTACATCCAGATTGCTTAGACTTGACTCTTGGCTCTGCTCCTGGTACTAGCCTTAGGAAAGTTATTTACCACTCCCTGCCTCAGTTTACTCATCTGTAAAATGAGAATTATTGTGGTACTAACTTAGGCCTCACTGATGCATTTTCTATGCTGATTCATTGGCCATTTAGGAGAGATTCCTATTCAAGACTTATTTCCCTTTATCTGACCACATGGATTGACTTGCCTTTTATTTTCTCTGAAAAGAAATGCAACCTCAATATCCACATCCACCTCATTAGAGAAAGCAGAGATGTATGAGGTTTAGTAGAAACTATATGATATCATATAACTCATGCCAGCTGGTAGGAGGCATGATGCATATGCCTCTTTAGTCACCAGCAAATGAAGAGGGAGCAGAAGAATTTGCTAATACCTGAAATTTAGGCAGTGTCTAAAGCGTGGAGCAAAGGAATTGATTGCTTGTCAACTTGGCAGTGATAACTGTCAGAAAAAAACAACCTTAAGGAGATGGGTGCTAAAGAGTCACAGTTGCCTATTGGCTTTTCAAGCATGCCCAGTTAGCTTAAGAAAGTTTCCAAGCCCATATGAAAAGTCCATATGCAGTGGGCTTCCCTCTAACCCACGTGCCAATACTTCTAGGGACTGGGGCACCTACTCACTCACTGTGTGTTTGTTTGTGTGTGTGCATGTGTGTGTGGTGATACACACACACACACAAAAAAGTTTAAGCATCTGAAAAGATGACATTGAATAAAACCTTAGAGAAGTGAGGGAGATGACCATGAGCGTAAAAAGGAGAACAGTTTCTCCATAAGGAGCTGCCAGCACCAAGGCCTAAGTGTGGAGTGTGCTTGGTGTGTTTGAGGAATAGCAAGGTGTAGGGTGGGGCTAGAGGTCAAATGGGGGACAGATTGTGCAGATTGTGTGGGCCAGTGTTGGGACTGTGGCTTTCCCTCTGGTGGAACGGGAGTCACTGGAGGGTTTTGAAAAGGGGAGAGGCATGGTCTGATCATGCCAAGTTTGCTCCTGCACTGGAAGCTGTTCCCTCTCTCTAGCATGCTCCTCCCCCTGGTCTTTTCATGGCCAACTCCTTATTATTTGGATATCAGCTGAAACTGTCCCTAACCACCCAGTCACTCACAATCACATCACTTAGTTTTGATTCTCTGCTCAAAACTGATCATTCATTGATAATTTTTCATGTTTATTTACTCCATTATTTTCTATCTCCTTTTACTTAAAAGCAAGCTCTGCTAATTCCCCTCCTCTTCAGTGTGGTGGGCAGGACTTAGTAACTTCCTTCCAAAGAAAAGCAAATGGAAAATAATATCTTCACAGAGAAGGAACCTGGCAGACACCACCTGGGCCAAGTGATCAAAGCTAACTGCACCAGGGACGTCTTGTGGATATTGGGTACCTCTGATGCGAAGAGAAGGGCACTTTCCCCTGTGATATGTATCCAAAAATCCATAAGCCCAGAATAATTGTAAGAGAGCATCAGACAAACATAAACTGAGGGACATTCTACAAAATATCTGATAAGTACCCGTCAAAAGTGTGAAGATCGTGAAAAGCAAGGAAAGACTGAGGATCTATCACAGATTGGAGGAGACTGAATAGAGATGACAACTAATTGTATGTGAGATCCTGGATTATATCCTGCAACAGAAAAAGGACAGTAGTAGAAAAAGTAGTAGAAACTGAACATAGTCTCTAATTTAGTTCATAGTGTTGTGCCAATGTTAACTTCTTAGTTTCAATAAAAAAAAAAAGTTAAGGGAAGATGGATGAAAGTTATATGCAAACTTCCTGTACTATCTTAACTCTTCTACAGATCAAAATTATTTCAAAATAAAAAGTATTTAAAGGTCTGGCACAGTGGCTTACACCTATAATCCCAGAAATTTTGGAGGCTAAGGCAGGGATCACTTGAGCCCAGGAGTTCAAGACCAGCCTAGGTAACATAGCAAGACCTTGTCTCTACCAAACAACAACAACAAAAAATTAGCTGGGTGTGGTGGCATGCACCTGTAGTCTCAGCTACTCAAGGGACTGAGGTGGGAAGATTGCTTGAGCCCAAGTGTTCAAGGCTGCAGTGAACTATGATCATGCCACTGCATTCCAGCATAGGTGACAGTGAGACCCCGTCCTTAAAAAAATTTTTTTAAGTCTTTAAAAAAAAAAAGTTCTGCAAAAGTCTTTTATTTTTAAAAAAGAAAGTTCTGCAATAACAGGGGCATCGTCTGTCTTTTTTCACTGCTGTGTTCCTAATGTTTAGAATCATAATAGGCACTCAATAAATATTTGATAAATAAATAGGATGGACATGAAGTAAAATCAGTGATAGCATCTTTAAAAAAATTAATGAAGCATTTAAAGTGCTTTATCAAACTCAAAGTACTTTGCAAGTTGCTATTTACAAATGTAAGGAAATATCATTATTATCCTATTTTGATTTTTAGAATAGGAGAAGGACTGCCCACTTCCTGAGGCATAGCTGTAAAAAGTGACAGCTTAGCCCAGGACCCACATGAGCCACTGTATGTGATCAAGGCATTTCTGGGCATCACTCACATGGAGCCATCTCTGTTCATAAAGATCTTCTGAATCAAAGGCTCTGAGACAAAAGAAACTTCATTTTAAAGTAAAAAAAAAAATCGTCTTGGTGACATCTCATTAATCTGGGTTCATTAAAAATGTGTGGGATACCCCTCCTACTCCACAGGTGATTATTACTCTGAAAACACTCATCAGAGATGGGGGGAAGACCTTTCCTCCTGAAGAATTAAAAGTGAAAGCAGGAGATTACATCCTCTCCACTCCCTTCCTCCTCACCCCCGACAAATGCCAACTGCTCTGTGAAAGGTGTCCTCAGAAGGCTCTGGTAGGAGATAGTCCATTGCTGAGGAGTCTCCACTTTTGAAAATACAAACTTGCCTCCCCCAAGATGGTGTGGAGGCAACAGGGAGAGAGATGAAGAGGTTTAGCAAATAGCTGAAGAGTGGGTGGCATTGAGACAAGGCTGCAATTGACATGCATCACACACCCATGATGTCCATCTATCCAGCTGCCTACAACAAACAGGGAAGCAGCTGATGAAACCAGCAGGCCACTAACTGAGAATCAGAAGACCTGAGTTCTGATCCCACCTGTGCCACCAAATGATTTCATTAAAGTTCATTTCCCCTTTCTGAGCCTCTTGTTTGTCAAATGAGGGCAGTTCTCTGAAAAATCTCTAAAGTCTTTTTCTGGCTCATTCTAGATACATGTTAAATATTTTTAAGTACTCTGTTCTATGCTTGTCATAGTAGGGGAACAGAATATATATAGAATATGCTCTGTGCTTTCCAAAGGCTACCAGTATAGTTAAGGGGAAAAAATAGATATCCATTGGAGAGTTAAGTAACAACACAAGGCCTAGTTGATTAAGTATAGACAGATAATGCTACAGATTTTTTTATATATATTTTAAAAATTTTCAACTGGCAAATTTAAAATGTATTTATTTTTGGTGTATAACATGTTTTGAAATATGCTTATTTTGTGGATGGGTTAAATCAGTCTAATTAACACGTACATCATCTTGCACACTTATCGTTTTCTTGTGGTGAGAATACTTAAAAATCTACTCGCTCAGCAACTTTGAAGTATACAGTGCAGTATGTTGTTATTAACTACAGTCACTGTGTTATACAATAGATCTCTTGAACTTATTCCTCCTATCTAAACTGAAATTTTGAATCCTTTGACCAACATCAGGATTATTTTAAAAGGAGAGCAAGGGGTTACCTGGAATAGTGTAGATCAGCCTCTCAGAGAAAGTGGGACTCGTGCTGGACTTAAAGGAGGCATCACATTTACATAAACAGAGAATGAGTATTTCCCAGTTTCTTCTCTGAAAACCACGTTTATCCAGGCCTTTGCATAGGCATTCATCTGCCCAGAACGCTCCATCCTCCTGCCCTGTTTGCCTATCAAATCCTACTTCTCTTTCAAGATTCAGTTTAAATGTGCACCTGAGCTATGAAGACTTCTCCAACCCCACCAGCATCACTACTTTCACTCCCCGACAGGTGAATGACTCTTTGGGGCTCTGGCAGAATGTGTAAGTGTGTTCTCATTACACTTCACATTTTTTTGTACCTAGAGGGTCTTCCCACCCCCAAGACAGTTCAGGGTTCCTGTCTCGCTTAGAACACAGTGTCCAGCATAGAGTAGGCACTCAATAAATAATGAATGCACAAGTGCACACATATATGTATAAAGAGCAAGCCCAGGGCCCATTACAGCTGACTGTGAACATCTGCCTTCTACTCAAGCCTGAGAAACAAGCATGTGGGATGGGTGCAGAGAAAGGGCAGAGAAATCTCAAGAGAAAAAGGGTCTCTCTCAGTGAGCTGACACACCCCCCCAGGATGCTGGAGAAGGAGAGAGAAACCAAAAATCATTCTTTATCAATCAGCCAGCAAGTGGCCACTGGGTACCTCCCTTTGCCCTCTCCCACATCCTAGGGATGTGTGGAGACACCCAAGAGGGCTGCACTGCTGGCCCTGCCACAGAGAGGGTTACTGGGAAAGCTTTCCTTGCCTTGTTGATATGCTGGGCCACTAGTGGTACACACTTCCCTCCCTGAAAAGTAAGTGGCTCACGCTGATGTAACCTTGACATTTAGTGAAACTAAAAAAGAGGAAGGTGTGCATTCTATTAAAGTTCAAGCCGACAGCAATGAGAAAACCAAGAAACCAAGCCAACTTACTGGTCCTTTCTCATATGGGTTATTCAAAAGCTATTTTCAAAGGGGCTCCGGCCCACTCATCAATCCTTGGCCTGTCCAGGTGCAAATAAAGAGAAGCACACCAGCTGGTCACAGCAACTTGTGTCCTGTCCTGTGCAGAAGCCACTGAGATATCTACATGGAGCAGGGGCTTTGGAATCAGATTACAGTCCTGTCATTTACTGATTGTGTGGCCTTAGACTTCACCTCTTCGAGTCTCAGGCTGACTATTTGTGAAATTGGATATAATTCCTTTTTTGCTGGCTCATTATAAGGAATGCATATGGTGACTGTTGAGGACCATAAAACTGCTCCTACCAGAGCTGGCTCCTTGTAGGCACTCAACAGTGAAAACTGTTATGACTACATTAGCTATTACTATGCCCTTTATCTTCAGGTATTTACTGAGCGGCCAGTAGACTCACACCAATGTGCTGCGCCCTGGGGAAGCACAAAGATATTTAAGAGGGGAATTGCATGGAAGGAATGGAATTTTCCCTGGGTCTTCAGGGATAGGCATGGTTTAGTTTCATTCTCAAGTCAGGAAGAGAAATACTCTCTTTTACATTGTATTTTCAGTTGCAAACCTTCATCTCTTTAGAGAGCAGATAATTGTTTTTCCACATTGCACAGATATCATAATGATATTCTGAGAAAACAAAATTTAAAAAAAGGAAAAATTTACCCACCGTTTTCCACCCCAACAAATCAAAGCTGCTTTTGATTTCTGAAGTTCAGAGTGAGTGCAGTTTTATTAAGCAAAGACAGAGTGAGGAATAACTTTTCATTCAGAAGTGGTTGGGCCTCTTTTACCTCATCCAAAGCATGGAAATTCTAGCCCATCTTATACTTTTGTTGGCAACTGCCGGTGTTTATAGTGAGCCCATTCTGAACATTCAGGTTATTTGAAAGTGCATATCCCAACTAGACCCTCCTAAGCACATATATGGAAAAGTTTCCTTAAGCAGGAAATAAGCAGGCAGAACCAAATAGCCTCAATACATCTCCCAACCAAGGAATGTCACTTATTTTGGCAATATTTCATATTCCATCCATTACAGAATTCATGAGAATGGGTGTGTCTGCCACTCTGCAAGGACAGTAATAGAAACTGCACTTGCTGGAAGTTCTTTCTTTCATTTAAAATAACTGTTTACTGAATCTCACACTTTCTAATTCTATCCAAAACCTCATTCCTCTCCAGCCCCCTCAAAATTCCAAACTTCCAGTCCCCCCTCATCCTCCTGATTACTATTTGTCAGGCCTGTTCATCTGCCCTGCAGCACCGTTGGGAGCCAGAACCCAGGGCAAGGGATGTCAGAGCCCTTGGCTTCTCTCGCAGGTGCCCAGGGCAATGCCAGGTACCCCATGGGCACCCAGTAAACATGGGCTGGCTGGCTGCAGTGGTGCCCCAGCTAATGAGTGCAAGGCTTTTAATCTGTACTCAGAAATGTGAGGACAGATGGAAAAGAGGGCAGAGGGGAAAAACAGCTTCACACTGAAGTCCAGATAGCATTGCACAGCGCATGCAGCAGACATGAAGGATTCTGATTTCGGCAAAGATAAAAGGGTCAGCAAGCATGCTATCTGAATGACAAGTAGGCTAAAAAAGATTTCAGTCTAATTCTGCTTTTTCCCCATCAAAGGAAAGATGAACTGAGTTTCAAAAAGCTTCCCCAGAGACCATATGTATGTCATTCCTTGATATTATACAATGTTATTTCCCTAAAGTGTGTGTCTTTCCCATAGATGATATCTGCGGGAGCACTCAGTAGATGCCGTCTTGTCCTGCATGGTACCCATCACCACATCCCAGGCACCAATCCCAGGCACCAGTAGCACTTACCAAGTGTTCACATCCTAGGTTCTGAACCACGTTTCTCATACGGAATCCATCCTTTTCTTGAACCTTTTGGCTTCAACTTCATGATTCATCCTCCAATTTCATCCCTAGCCTCACCTTTTGAACTTGACATTCAGCGCTAATTTTTAGCTGTAACCTTGATCCTCCCTGTCACAGTTCAAGTTCTCCCACCAACTACATGTGCTAGTCTAGGTTGAGTAAGCACATGCCCAGGATTGACTCATCCCTCACATTCTTCTTTCCTTGGGCTCTTATTGGGCAACTGTCCCATTTGGTCCAGTCCCACACATGGGAAGCAGGCAGCATCTTGAAAGGCTCATTAATAAAGCTGAGTGTTGTTGGTCTAATTACACTTTTCCAATCTTTGCCTCAACAGGAGGGAAACTAACTTGAGGAGGAGTCTATATTTTACAGACAGTGGTATTGGCAGGGACGGGGGATGGTAAACCCTAGATTTGCTATGAAGAAAATCTGCACTGGGGGCCTAGATGATATAACCAAAGGAGAAAGTACCAAAGTAAGAAGACAAATGGGTTTTTAACCCAGTTCTACCAGTGACCATGTGGCTTTGGGCAAATCACTTCCTGATCCAGGCTTCATTTTCCCTTCATAAAATGGAGGGATTTTGCCACATGATCTCCCAAATGCCCTCCAGGTTTAATATGCTTTGATTCTTTTACTGTAGTCTGTCTTTCTGAGATTCCATTCTCTCATTTGGAAAATAGTGATAATATGTCTAGTTGAAATGTCCTCCCAAGGCTAATGTGAGTGTCAAATAAGAAACTGTATGAAAGTCCATGGCACACTGTTAATTTTGGTAAAGGAGCAAGGGGACAGGGGGCCCTGAGGCCATCACACAACCTACTGTTTAGCAGAGTTACTTACATGAGCTGTGACTGCAAAAATATATCCCTCTTTCTCATTTCTTCAATTAAAGAAAACTTAGAAAACACATGAAATAGAACCAGATTACAGGATACCCATATCAGTCCTGTTGAAAAGATGCTTCTTAAGGGTAAAATGTCACACACACCTACAAATTTGCAATGGACCTTAATGTTGGAGCAAGGAGGTGGGCCACTGGAATTAGGCCAGATCATTGAAGTGGCTGGGGAGGCATGAGGGAGAATAAGCATTCATACAGTGCTATTGCCTTCTAGTCACTCTCGGTGCATTAGACAATTCAGCTGTCTCTGAAATCATGCTGTAAAAGCATAATTCATTATTATTATTATTATATGTTTTTTAACACCAGCAAATTCTCCAGTTCTCCAAACACCAGCTGACGGTTCTACAATTTAATTCAATTCTAAGATTTATCTACCTAAAGTTAACATCAGATCGCAAGAGTTAAAGTGTTTAGTTACATCAGACTCCTCCTACTTCAGAGGCCAATCATAAGTCTAGGCCTCAAACTGACTAAGCAACTATAAATCCTACAACCCCTCTTCATGTTTGATAATTTGCTAGAATGACTCACAGAACTCAAGGAAACATAATAACTCTGGTTTATTATAAAGGATACAACTCAGGAGCAGCGACATGGAACAGGTACACAGTGTAAGGTTGCAGCAGGACTAGGGCAGGGGCGAGGAATATGCAGAATATGCATGAAGCTTCTAGGCCTTCTTTGGGTGCACCACCGTCTCAGCACCTCAATATGTTCACCAATCGGGAAGCTCATCAAATCTCGCGAAGACTTTTTTTAAAAATAATTATGACCCCTCACCAGATGGATAGGATTTTTTTTTTTAATTCATACATCTTAAAGTTTATTTTCAACTGGCCAGGTGCGGTGGCTCACGCTTGTAATCCCAACACTTTGGGAAGCCAAAGTGGGCAGATCACTTGAGCTCAGGAGTTCGAGAATAGCCTGGCCAGCAAGTGAAACCCATCTCTACTAAAAATAGAAAAATTAGCTAGGTGTGGTGGCAGGCGCCTGTGTAATCCCAGTTACTTGGAAGGTTGAGGCAGGAGAATCACCTGAACCTAGGAGGTAGAGGTTGCAGTGAGCCACTGCACTCTAGCCTGAGTGACAGAACGAGATTCTGTCTCAAAAATAAATAAAATAAAGTTTATTTATTTTTGAGATGAAGTCTCACTCTGGCCCCCAGGCTGCAGTGCAATGGCATGATCTCAGTTCACCGCAACCTCCACCTCCCAGGTTCAAGTGATTCTCCAGCCTCAGCCTCCCCAGTAGCTGGGATCACAGGCTCGCGCCACCATGCCAGGCTAATTTTTTTGTATTTTTAGTAGAGACGGGGTTTCGCCATGTTGGCCAGGCTGGTCTCAAACTCCTGACCTTAGGTGATCCGTCCACCTCAGCCTCCCAAAGTGCTGGGATTACAGGCATGAGCCACCACGCCCAGCCTAATAAAGTTTATGTTTAACTGACAAATAATAATTGTGTATATATGTGGGATACAATGTGATGTTTTGATCTAGGCATACATTGTAGAAAGAGTAAATCAAGCTAATTGACATATCCATCACCTCACATCATTTTTTTATGGTGAGAATGTTAACAATCTATTAGCAATTTTAAAGTATACATACATTATTATTAACTGTGGTCACCATAGAGCAGAGCATAATAGATCACTAAAACCTATTCCTTCAGTCTACCTGAAATTTTCTACCCTTTCTCCTTCCCTCTCTCCACCAACCTCTGGTAACTACCTTTCTACTCTGTTTCTATGACACTGACTTTTTAGATTGTACATATAGGTGAGATCAGTTGGTATTCATCATTCTGTGCCTGGCTTATTTCAGTTAGCATAATGTCCTCCAGTTCCATCCATGTTGTTGCAAAACACATAATTTCCTTCCTTTTTAAGGCTGTATAGTATTCCATTGTGTATATATACCATATTTTCTTTATGTGTTGATGGACATTTGTTGTTCAAGACTTTTTATAGAGCTTATATCTCCAGTTTTCAGACTGGTGGATGGGACTGAAGTTTCAACCCTCTACTGAGTTGGTTCTGGTGACCAGCCTCTTCCTGAGGCTATCTAGGGTCCCCACCTTAAGTCACCTCATTAGCATAAACTCAGATATGATTAAAAGTGTTCATTATGAATAACAAAAGATACTCTTATTCAGGCATGTCCACTGCTTCCAGTATATAATACTGTGCTATAAAAGGAAGTGCAGAAGACTTCCTCACTGCAGTAGGTTTCCAAAGATGGCAGGAACCTATTGCATAGATTACTCAATAGAATAATTCATTCTAGATGTCCCATCCTACTTAAGATTCCTCCTGCCTACATATTCCAGGCCAGAAATCCCAAGAGTTTTAGAAATTCTGTGGCAAGAACCACAGACAAAAACCAAATAATATTTCTTATTATACCACAATTATTATTACTCTTAGTATTATTATCATCCTTTCAGTGCTGGAAAACCAGGGTTCAGAGATTTTATGCCTATTATGTTCTAGAGTTGAGCACCAAACTCCAGCCTATCTGGATCAAAGCCCACTTCATTGCCTCCTTAAAAGGCTGCAAAAGTTTTTTGTTTTGTTTTGTTTTTTTGTGACAGGCCCTGGCTCTGCCACCCAGGCTGCAGTTGTGGGATTACAGCTCACTCCAGCCTTGAACTCCTGGGCTTGTGATACACCCCCCACCTCAACTTCCTGAGTAGCTGGGATTACAGGCTCATGCCACCATGCCTGGCTAACTTTTTTTTACTTTTTGTAAAGATACGATCTCACTATGCTGCCCAGGATTGTCTCAAACTCCTGGCCTCAAGTAATTCTCCCACCTCAGCCTCTCAAAGTGCTGGGATTTCAAGCAAAGCCACCACACCCAGCCAATACTTAACCTTTTAAATCACCCCAACATAAGACTGGGATATCATGAATGAAAGATATCTGATGGGTCTTAACTTCTCTTGAACAGAGGCAGCTCTTCTTCCTATTTGTAAACATGCCAAAAACATTTTCTGAGACCTGCTGTGTCCCAAATTTGTATTAGATGCTGGGCTACGGGGGAAATACACCATGGATCTTCCCTTCAATTCCCCAATGACTCAACTTTCTAGTCTACTTTTCAGCAACAAGCGAACCTCAGGTGTCACCTAGGTTCAGTGGTGAGAGGTGTAGCTATTGCACAAGTTTTGTGAGGACAAGTTGAAAAGAACAAGGAGGAGCCATCTGGGAGTTTAAAATTTCATGCCTTCATGCCTCAATTTGCAGGCGATGTCATGCATCATTTATGTGGGGGTTCTGGTGGCATTTATTTTATTCAAAGCCCATTTATCCTGGACTTTTTCCAGTACTGTGTGAGATTTTATGATTCATCAAATCCCTCTTCTCCGTAATGTAGTTTTGCACACATGCTGATGTGTGGTATGCTCAGATGAGCTCTCAGAAGGGAATAAAGAGCTGGAGTGAGGTCAGAGGAAAGTGTGACCAATTTTGGACCTGGCCATGCTTCCCATGTGTGATGCTGTGCTATAAGTAGAGGTATAGAAGACATCCTCAGGGCAGTAGTATGAGATATGGAGAAAAGAAAAAACAAAGTGTTTTTTTCTATCCTCTCATTCAACAATCAACACTTCTGTGACCTCTGGTTGCCAAAACACGTGAGGATTTCTTCCCACGGTCAACCAAGCAATCAATTCTGCAGCAGACACCAGCTGGGTATTCTCTTATTCAATTCAATTCTGACACTATCTACTTGGAGATAGCAACAGACCCCACAGATGGAGGGCTTAGTTTTCCCCCCACTTCAGAGGCCAAATAATAAGCACAGGTTGTAACCCATGTTCCCATGACCACTTTTTTGGGTTCAATTAATTTGCTAGAGCAGCTCACAGAAATCAGAGAAACATTTACCAGTTTACTACAAAGGGTATTACAAAAGATAAAAATGAAGAGCCGGGGGGAATAACTGTATAGGGCAAGGTATGGGGAAGGGTTGAGGAGCTTCTGTGCCCTCTCCAAGCCCACTGCCTTCCAGGAACCTCTAGAACTCAGTGCTTTTGAGTGTTTATTGGAGGCTTCCTTACCTAGGCACAATTGATTAAGTCATTGGTCATTGGTGATTAGCTCAACCTTCGGCCTCTCTCTTCTTCCTGGAGGTTGAGGTGGAGCTGAAAGTTCCAATACTTTATTTTTATTTATTTATCTATTTATTTTTACTGTAAGCTGCTTTGGCTTTTATTTCATTTTAAATCTTTTTTTCATTTTAAATCTTTTTTTCATAAATTATTGGGGTACAGGTGGTATTTGGTTACATGACTAAGTTCCTTAGTGGTGATTTGTGAGATTTTGGTGCTCCCATCACCTGAGCAGTATACACTGCACCATATTTGTATGTCTTTTGTCCCTCGTCCCCCTCCTCCTCTTCCCCCCAAGTCCCCAAAGTCCATTGTATCATTCTTATGCCTTTACGTCTTCAGAGCTTAGCTCCCACATATCCGTGAGAACATACAATGATTTTCCATTCCTGAGTTACTTCACTTAAAATAATAGTCTCCAATCTCATCCAAGTCGCAAATCCTGTTAATTCATTCCTTTTTATGGCTGAGTGAGTATTCTATCCTGTATATATATATATATATATATATATATATATATATATATACACACACATATATATACGTGTATATATATACACATATACATATATACATGCATATATGTATACATATATACGTATATATACATGTATATATACGTATATATGTATATATACGTATATATGTATATATACATGCATATATGTATACATATATACATATATACATGTATATATACGTATATATGTATATATACATGCATATATGTGCATATATACATGTATACATGTATATATATACACAAATATATATTTTTATATATTTATGTAATATTATATATATATATATATATATATATATATATACCAGTTTCTTTATCCACTTGTTGATTGACGGGCATTTGGGTTGGTTCCACGATTTTGCGATTGTGAACTGTGCTGCTAGAAATATGCGTGCACAAGTATCTTTTTCGAATAACGACTTCTTTTCCTCTGGATTGCTGGATCAAATAGTAGTACTACTTTTAATCACATGGTTCATTTTCCTGGCCAACAGGCCAATGTTGGGCTAGCCAGGTGCCCACCAAGAGTCATCTCATTAGAACAAAAGATGCTCCTATCACCCAGGAAATTCCAAGGGATTTAGGAGCTCTGTGTCAGAAAATTGGGGTCAAGGACCAAATGCTAAAAAATTCTAGCACCTCTGTCTACAGGGGTATTCGGAGCTCTCTCTCAGGAACTTCAGCAGAAGCCAAGCATTAGAACAAAAAAATTCCCCTAGCACTCCTATCACTCAGGAAATTACAAGGGTTTTAGGAGCTCTGTGCCAGGGACTGGGGACAGAGAACAATATGTATATTTCTTATTATTTCACAAGTGAGGGTTCCAAAGATGGCAGCAACCTATTGCATAGATTACTCAAGTAACACTATAATTCATCTCTCTGTGTCTCATCCCAGTTAAGATCTCCCTGCCAACATTTTCAAAGCTCAGAAGACTATAAACTTGATGAACAAATGCTGGCCCTACCATGACCTTGACCAACCTTGGGCTTTCTGTTGAATGAAAAACCAATTTCCTATCATTGTTCAGTAATAGGTCTTAAGATTGAAGGGTGCATAAAGGAAAGGATTTTATACCTAATTCAACATTTATTGAGGCCTGTAATTCACTAGGGTACACGGCACATGCTTAAATAATTCCCCTACAAGATGCTATGGAGGGAACTGCAGCTTAATGAACCCCAAGTTCATACCTTGGTAAGTGGTGAGACAGTATTTGAACCATGTCACTGACATCACCTTAGGGGCAGCCCTGCTACCCACTCCAACCAGAGCTCAACCCTGGGGGGCTGGCAAGAACCAGGAGGGGACAGAGAAGTTAGCCAATGGGTGAACTTCTTGGCATTTTTTCTCTTCTTTTTTTCTCTGAATAAATATCATTTTTCGAGGCCAAAAAAGGGGAGAGAACCATGAGCATTTTAGACATCCTTTTATTTGGGGGTAGTTTCTTGCCTCAGGTGTGCTTCTCCCAAAAATACTGATCCAGTTCCCTCAGATTAGTCACGTCCAGGCCCAGGGCTCTTCCATCCCAACCCAATTCCCCTGAAAATGATTAAAGAGTCTATAATATATCACTCGATCTCATTTGCTGGATCAAATCTAGAGGGAGAACTGCTGAGTAAGGTGACCCAGGGGACCGTCCCCAGGTGGGGAGCAAAAGAAAGAAAATAGTAGCCATTTTCACAGCGTTTTGTATAGTAGTTATTGATTTAGGAAAACAAACACAAAATTCTGAATCAAATTACCTGGAGGATGATTACCAGAGTCTGGGAAGGGTAGTAGGGGGCTGGAGGGGAGGTGGGAATTGTTAATGGGTTCAAAAAATAATAATTAGAAAGAATGAGGGCCGGGCACGGTGGCTTATGCCTGTAATCCCAATACTTTGGGAGGCCGAGGTGGGCGGATCACCTGAGGTCAGGAGTTCGAGACCAGCCTGGCCAACATGGTGAAACCCCGTCTCTACTAAAAATACAAAAGTTAGCCAGGCGTGGTGGCACATGCCTGTAATCCCAGCTACTCAGAGGCTGTGGCAGGAGAATTGCTTGAGCCTAGGAGGCAGAGTTTGCAGTGAGCTGAGATTGAGCCAGTGTACTCCAGCCTGGGTAACAGAGCGAGACTCCGTCTGAAAAAAAAAAGAATGAATGAACAAGACTACTCTCTGATCACACAATAGGATGACTGTAGTCAATAATAAATTGCACATTTTAAAATAACTTAATTGTACATTTTAAAATAACCGAAAGAGTGTAATTGGATTGTTTGTAACACAAAGGGTAAATACTTGAGGGGATGGATACCTCATTCCCTGTTTTGTGATTATTTCACATTGCATGCCTGTATCAACACATCTCATGTAGCCCAAAAATATATACAAGCATTATGTACCCACAAAAATTTTTAAAAAGGAAAAATTTTTTTAATTACTTGGAAGCTTCTCCCCAAATATGTTTTTTGGTTTTTTTTAAATTTTATTATTATTATATTTTAAGTTTTAGGGTACATGTGCAGGTTTCTTACATATGTATACGTGTGCCATGTTGGTGTGCTGCACCCATTAACTCGTCATTTAGCATTAGGTATATCTCCTAATGCTATCCCTCCCTCCACCCCCCACCCCACAACAGTCCCTGGTGTGTGATGTTCCGCTTCCTGTGTCCATGTGTTCTCATTGTTCAATTCCCACCTATGAGTGAGAACATGAGGTGTTTGGTTTTTTGTCCTTGCAATAGTTTGCTGAGAATGATGGTTTCCAGTTTCATCCGTGTCCCTACAAAGACATGAACTCATCATCCTCCCTTATTTTGTTCTTTTCACCACAACAAACTTAGAATGTGAGAACATAAAGCTATAAGAACTATGATTATTGAAAAGCTAGAATTCTTATAAAGTACTGATAATTTGAGAAAAGGGCTCTTGTGTTACCAGGCTCTGCTATTTTTTTCATTCTCTGAATAATGAGCACCCATTTAGCCGAATCACGAATGTGAAGGAAGAGCCGTAATTTCCAATTCCTCCCTGCCCACTCTCTCCTCAGGCCACAAACTGAAATCATCCCTCATAGGTGTAGATTTAAAAATTGGTGTTCTGCAGATTTCTTTTGTCTGTAATTCCTTCTTCTCTCTCCATCTGAGCACATTCTTGCTTGCATCTAAACTAAGCTTCTCCCATCACCACCGAAGTCCATTGTCTTAGCAAGAGCAATCATCGCCTTCTCAGTCATATCTCCCATGTTTGAAACCAGTGTGTCTCTACCCACCCACCTGAATGTGGCCTCATCAGGTATCTAGAGAAGGTCCAACCTTGTAAAATAACCATAGTGATGAGGACCCCAGCCCACCTCCCAAAGAGCTCCAGAGGGAGGAAGGAAATTATTTTTCTAGGGCAAGTCACAATACTTGGCCCTTTTTATACACTGCCTTAAATCTCACAAACCCCTGTGAGAAGACAGGTATTATTGTACCCATTTTACAGGTGACAAAGGTGAAAGGATACAGAATTTGCCCAAGATTACATAAATTGCAAATGACGGAACTCAGTTTTTTCAGTCAAACTCAATTTTTTCTGGATTGCAAAATCTATGCTTGTTCCCCTATGAGACTTTGCCTCTTTAAGAAAGAGATGGATGGTAACATATAATAATATCACACCCTGCCTCTCAAATTGAAAAGGGGCCTGAAGTACCTTTTATGGAGGCCTCAGGAACTGGTGTCAGTGCTTATACCAGCACAAATGCACACATATACAGACAGAGCAAAAGAAAGAGAGACTGGCCTTTCTCTCCTTAGGGGCACCATGGCAGGGAGCACTCAGTGTTCTTTGACTATAAGAAACGGAAAAGCCACTCTAGTTAATTTAAGGATTAGTTTATTTGAGAGAACACTAAGTAACTCATAGAATCAAGGACCACAAGAAGGTCAGGAACATCAGGTCAGTACCAGGGATCTCCGATTCATTCTTTCTGAGAACTGCCATCAAATTGACTTGTCTTCATTCACCTTCCATTCATATTTCACTCCACCTATAATTCAGATTCCTGGGAGACTGAGTCTGGCCAACCTGTAAGGTCATGAACCTACCCAGGAACAGGGTACCAGGATTGGTGCCCCCCAGGGCCATATGGAAATGCAGTAGGCACAGTTATTCAAAGGAAAGGAAGGGTGCTGTTACCAAGGGAAGAGGGATAAATAAATATATGCTGGGCAAGATAACAACAGATGCCTGTACCCACACTCTACCCTTTGCTCTAGTAAGTAAGCCTAGTGATTAGGGAAGCTAGCTAGCCTTTGGTCCTAGGCTTAAGTGACAACTAAGGAGTGATATTTTTCAAAAGATATAGAACCAAAATTTGTATTTTTTCAGGCCCTATTTTTGTCAAATGACTTACCATCATCAATTGTCCTCAAGTCCTCCCGTTGTCCCCGCTAGATATCATTGATGGGTTCAGTTAATGCATATTTGGAATTGTAACCTTACACTGCCTATTAAACATCTATGCCCTTGCTGTGGTCATGACCCAGCC
Organism: Homo sapiens; assembly: GCF_000001405.40. Taxonomy (NCBI): domain Eukaryota; kingdom Metazoa; phylum Chordata; class Mammalia; order Primates; family Hominidae; genus Homo; species Homo sapiens. The sequence goes on along the minus strand of NC_000017.11, from coordinate 51,713,314 downwards.
AAGAAATGGCCAATTATAGGCTCCTTTTTCCTTCTGACCATGCCTGAAGTCCAGCCGTTGATCCAGCCCCTTAATCAATGATAAGAATGATGCTCAAACCATTCAGTGCATGTGTAAGATCATCTTGAGTAGCAGCTCCCAATCCTTCCACATCTCTAAAGTAGGAAAATACTTCTTTGGGAAGTTACCCGATTGAAGAAGTGAAGTCTTCATGGTCCTGGTGAAAACCTCACCTCCAATTTACTGTTTGGCTGAGTTTCTGTGATGGCCTTCTGCTCTAGAACCAGAGATAGCTTCCCAGCAGGGGCAAGAAAAGAGGATCTGTGGAGGACACAACAGATAATCAGACAGTGGGAACACCAAGTCACAGAGTTCTTGCAGCTGTGTGTCCTGTGCAGACAAAGACACTCACCCTCCTCCTGCCTTTATGGAAGGAAGGTCGTAGGCAATGTTACTTTGTTTTTGGCAAACCCCCAAAAGAAGAAACCACTCCACATAGTCTGAGAGGTAGTATAGTAAGTGTTGTGCGTAGAGACCTCATTAATGGCCAACACCTGTTTTATTTGCAACTCACTATCTTTCTAGTTAAGAAGAGTTCAGAGCCTGACCTGCACACTATATTGGGAGATAAAACAATGAGATGCTCATTCTCAATGTGCCTGGCTTTATGGAGTAGCTTCATTCCTACAAGTGTATTCTGTAGATCAATATCAATCCCCGGTGCCTATTGACTTTACAGCACAGTTCTAGTATTGCTTTATCTTTACAGAGCAAATTTTTATTATCAGAGGCTTCTAATCCTTTAGCTTTAAATGTCTCTATTCCTGCACTTCAGCTTTTCTGAAATTTTTCCAAAGAAAAACATTTTATGAGAAAAAGCTAAATTACTAAGTATATTCATGTGCTATTTCTCCTAATCCTCACAAAAGCCCTGTCATGTTGTGATTTTTCCCTATTTTAAAGATTGGACAACTGAGGTACAAGGCATCATTACTAATGAAAAACTACACAAGGGCTCAACCCATGTCTTCTGATGGGACTGAACCTCAAGTAGCAAGTTATTGCTTCATCTTCAGTGGGTGTTTGTGAAATGCGTAGAAAGGGCATGGAAGCTGCATCATATTCAGTGGACACTGCAAGTGATCTGTTTGCTATTCACTTAACACACATTTGTTGATGACCCATTATGTTCAGAGGTGAACAAGATAGTGTCTGGAGCCTGGGGTAGCTCTCACTTTAGAATAGGCTTGTTTATCAAAGACAACTTTTGTCTTGCCTAAGATCACTCAACAATCTCTATGAGGCAGAAGTTCCTTGGTCCAGTCATGTAGACCTCCTGCCCAGATCCCATCGGTAGCCGCTGCCCCTCTCCCCCAGCAGCTGTGACTTTGTCTGATTACACCTCACAGCCACCGCTTTTCCTGGGGGACTGCCCTCTGCTAACTGCTCAACAGGCTACCACATTCCCACCTCACCCCCAGCAGAAGCCCACGGCCCATGACTAATAGATACATGCCAAGGGGCATCAGAGGCTGATCTTCTTGTCTCAGGTGGAACTAATTTTGTTGTGAGATTCATACTCCAGCGCCCTCCTATGGGCTCAGACTGAAACAATCTGCAGGCAAATCAAAAGCTTTGCTTAGATATTTGTTTCAGCTCTGTCCCGCTTTCCTCCTTCCCCTTTTCTGGGGACCATATCCTCAGGAAAACACTTGAACTAGACTCTCCATCGCAGGCTGTGTCTAAAGGAACCCAACAGAAGACATCTAGTTTGACTTTATTTTGCAGCAGAAGAGTTACAAATTTTTAGTGTCTGAAAAAAAATCTGTGTTTCATGTTTTCACTCATTCAGATTGGGCCTTCTCCTAAAATTAAACAAAACCAGCAAGATTTTGCTTTGCAGGAAAGATCTGTCTTTGCAGGATTTTGTTTGTACTGAGGGTAAGGAAACAGTGATCTCTTAAAATATTCAGGACTACTAAAATACAACAGGTGCATTGCCAGTTTCCTAATAGTATATCTCGAAACCAGAACAACACACCCGCTGATAGGAGTCATGAGTTTTTGCTTTTGAGTAGTGATATGAACCTAAGTGTGAGTTGCATTGAAAATTAATGCGCTGCCTGCCTAATCATTTTCACAGAGCCTTTGGTGAGGTTGATGTTGAGCTTGTTGGATAATTATCTGTTTTTTAAAAATCTAAGCATCCTTTTATACGTCGCGTTTTCTGTTTGCAAGTTTCGCTTCAAGTTTACTGAACCATTTAATTAACTTAAGTGTTTAAACTTCTAGAGGTGTTGATTGATTCTAATCAGCATTTTCTGCTACTCTAATTGAAGGCTTCCTCTCTTGGACTATTGTCAGTGAAGCAAAAAAAAAAAAAAAAAAAAAAAGCAAAATGTTGTTCAGTCTTTGGCATAATCTAACACAAATTTAGTTGGTCCCATGATTGCATGAACTTCAGGAGGCCAGAAGAGAGCCAATTTGTCTATGTTTTTGAAATCGCGGAGCCAGCCCCAGGAAGAGACTGTGCTGCAGGCACAGGGAGGACTTGCAACCTCTGGTGGGGACTTAGACTCCAAGCCAAACCACTTTCAGGTTTGGCAGTTTTCACTCTTCCTGGAAGCTCAGTCGGGGGATGTTTTGCAGGGACCCTTACCACCCAGAGGAAATGATTTTCTCCTTTAATCACTCTTCTTTTCTCAGAAAAACAAAAAATTACCCCCAAACTCCCACCTCCTGTGGTAACACCCCAGGCAAAGGCAAACTTAGTCCCTAGAATAAGAGCTGCCCAATATTAAGTAGGTCTTTCTGCTGGTGGTGAGAAGTCAGGCTTCTGAACTCCAGGTGTTCAGACAACCTGGGTGTTGTGTTTATCTGCCCTTTAAAATTGCTCTGGAGAGAGCAAGAGGGGAGTCCCTGTCAAAACAGCTCAGGGAGCTCCTCCAGCCTGTAGGCACCTGAGACATGGCCCCTCAGCCACTCCCCAACTTCAGCTTTTGAAGACCAGGTTTTCTGCTGCCTTCAAAAAGATTTTCTGGCAAGCTGACTTTGGTCCCTCCTGAGACAATTCTGTTCTAGTTGACTTCTGTTCAGCACAAAATTATGTATTATGGATATTGCATTTTTCTGCTAAGAAAACGTCGGCTGCTAAACTAGATCAAACCGCCCTCCAGTTCTTCAGTGCTGACTCATTTTAATTATTGAACTTTTCTCCCTGGAAAGTACACTCCGTGCTGTTTGTCGAGAAACTGGCAGTTTTAACACAATTTGGAAACTTTTCATAGATGGATCACCCCAGGAAAACAGGCAGCTGATCACCAGAGAAATTCTGCAGTTCAGATTAGTTTGCTGTGTGATGACACTGAAGAAGTGAAATGTATGGGGTTTCTCCCTACCACCCATTCCAACTCCCTGGCTCCTCACAAGACAATGCCACTGCACGCAGCAAGGAGCTCTTGTTTTCTGTGTACTTCTGTGTACTGTGGGGCCCAGCTCTAGATCTGTGACATGCTCACCAGCTCACCTAAGCGAATATAATCCCTGACTCCCTCCCCAAATTTGTTTCTTACCTCCATCTAATTCAGTCATACCTACCTTCTTTCTGCCTGGGGAACACTCCAAGCCATTCCCTACCTGAGGACATTTGCATATGCTATTCTGTCTAGTAAGTTCCACTTCTAGTCTAGGTTGCTTTGCAACCCTGGCTGCACATTAGAATAATTTTAAGCCTTACCTTGAGGTCAATTAAATTTCCACCTCTGGAGGTGGGGTCCACCATCTATTTTTAAAAACTCCCAGGTGATATGAATGCACTTCAAAGGTTGTGAGTCATCACTTTAAATCTTCATGTGGCTGGGTCCTCCCATTGTTCAGGTCTCAGCACCAAGATCCCTTCCCAGAGAAGCATTCCCTAATCATCTTATCTGAAGTAGCCTGAACTCTAAGCCCCCAGAGCTCTCTACATCACTCACTGATTTTATTATCTCTACAGTACTCTTCACTCTCTGAAGTTATCTTTTCTATTTTTTATTTATTGTCTTCCCCACTGTAATTCAAGCTTCAAGAGAGGGATTTGTTCATCTTGTTGACTTCTGTATCAGGACATCTGCCCGATACATAGTAAGTGCTCAAAATATATTTGCTAGATGAGCAAGTAAATGAATAGATGGATATATGAATGAATAGATGAATGAATGAGTTTCTGCCCTCAGAATCTGTATTAGTCAGGGTTCTCTGAAGGGACAGAACTAATAGGATAGGTGTATATATGAAGGAGAGTTTATTAAGGAGTACTGACTCACACAATCACAAGGTGAAGTCCCACAATAGACCGTCTGCAACCTGAGGAGCAGGGAAGCCAGTCCCAGTCCCCAAATCTCAGAAGTTGGGAAGATGACAGAGTGCAGCTTTCAGTCTGTGGCTGAAGGCCCAAGGGCCCCTGGCAAACCACTGGTATAGGTCCAAGAGTCCAAAAGCTGAAGAACTTGGAGTCTGCCGTTCAAGGGCAGGAAGCATCTAGCCCAGGAGAAGGATGAGGATCGGAAGACTCAGCAAGTCTAGTCCTTCCACGTTCTTCTGCCTGCTTTATTCTACCTGCACTGGCAGCTGATTAGATGGAGCCCACTCATATTGAGGGTGGGTCTCCTTCTCCCACTGGCTCAAATGTTAATCTCCTTTGGCAACACCCTCACAGCCATGCCCAGGAAAAATACTTTGCATCCTTCCATGCAATCAAGTTGACACTCAACATTAACCATCACAGAGTCCAAGTTGGTATTTTTGATAGTATACGTCACTGGATAAGAGCTGCCACTCAGCACACCTGGGGAAAAGTATACTTTCTCTACAGACATTATTTTCTACTTTGAGTTCCTCAACATGAGGATGCAAAAAGTTTTAATAAACAACAACAAATTTATTTAACTACAACCTATCACAAGTTGCATATTGATATTGAAAATTCTGTGAAAGTCTAAGTGTTCAGTGCCTCTCCTTCCCTGTGTCCCATCAGCATGGCCATCAGAGCAGCAAGCCAATGCTTTGCCATCCAGCACCTGTGCCCTACCCACCCAGTGCCAAGCCACAGTGGAGGCATGAGAGCTCTTTTCTTTCCCTCTCTATTCGCTCTGCCTCCTTTCGAAGCTCCTGAGAGAAGCATTTAAATAATACACTGGTCTTCAATAATAGAATCTGATTGGAAGGACTGCTGGAGCCCACTTGTAATCACTGAAGCAGCAAGGACAGATCACGTCTTTCATGATTTTCTTCCACTTTTAGTGCCATCTTCCACTCACTTCTACTTCCAGATCCTTCCTAGGTTGGTGTCCTGCTTTAAGTGTCTCCATGAGTGTCTTATCCACTCCAGTGTCTTCATCATGAATTGCCAGCAGCTCATCCTTTGACCAACATGTGTCCCAACTTGGAGAAGCCCGATGAGTTCTGGGAAATCACCACCACCATGTTTCTCTTACTCAGAGCTGCCTCCAGTTTTTCTATAAAACCCAAACCACTATTCTCCAAAACAGAAAAATGGTAGAGCTTCAAATGTGGTCATGAGGTCTTCCAGAAGGGATTCCATTTTCTTGATTAAGGATAGGAACATGAGAAACACACACACACACACACACACACACACACACATATTCATCCACTTTCCTTCCCTGCACACCTGCTCAACAGGCACAATGCCTGTGTTAATTCATTCATATACAATAAATTTATCTTCTTTCCTCCCCTGGTAAGTGGATGAATAATGGCAGACTCTGCCATTTCCTACCATTTTGGCTATTAATGCACATCAGCAAGTGTGTTTCAGCTTCAGGGAACCGAGAGATATTTCTGGCAACCTGTGAGAGCTAATTCACCTTCAGGAGGTGAGTAACCAAATATTTATACCTTATCAGATTCTGACTCATTCTCCACCTTTAAAAGTATGTGTCACAGTGCCTAAAGCTTAGGCTGGGTATCAGGGACATCTAAGGTGCCAGACTGACTCTGCAGTCCAGAGGATTCAGAAATTTGATTTTAGCAGAATCTCTATAAAAAGAATGCTCGGGGAGCCTGGCCCACACTAACCTTATAAGCCAGGACAGTTTCTGAGCATACACATAAGGCTTCACCCCAAGAAGTGGGCTGACCATTCATTCACATGATAAATATTTATTAAGCACCTAGCACATTGCTTCTATGAGAATCTAGGCACCGAGGAACAACAGGGAACAAAAAAAGAACAAAAACTCTTTTGTAATGGAACTTAGTGGGAGAGACAGATAATAGACAAATATGTAAAATATATAAGGATCAAATAGTGACAAGCGCTGTGGGTAAAATAAAGTAGGGGATGAGTTATAGGAAAAGGCGTCCAGTGTGGGGTGGGGATTGCAGTGTTAAATAAGGCAGTCAGGGAAGGCCTCAGCTAGAATGTGACATATGAACAAAGACCTAAAGGAGATGGAAAGGCCAGCTTGCAAGTTTCTAGGTAGAGAGGTTTCCGGCCCTCAGGCAGGAGTGTGCCTGGTGTGTGGCAAGACCACTGTAGCTGGAACCTATGTGTTAGGAGAGAGTGCATAGGATCAAAAAAGTTGGCTAATGTGGAATCCTGAAGGTTTTGGGGGACTGGATCTGGATATGGATTTTCTTCTAAGTGTGATGGGGCCATCAGACATCTTCAAGCAGGGGAGTGGTATGATCTGATTTAGCTTTTAGCAGGTTTTTTCTGGCTGTTAGCCAAGAGAAGACCATAGGGGGCAAAGGCCCCGGCAGGCAGGCCTATTAGGAGGCCACTACAGTCCTCTGGGAAAGAGATGCTGATAGCTTGAACCAGGGCAGTGGCAGCAAAAGGAGAGAGAAGCAACTGGATTCTGCATGCATTTTGAAAGGAGAGCCAACACAAATTACTGCTAGACTTGGTATGCTATGGAGAAAAAGAGAGGAGTCAAGGTTTAGAGCCACAGAAATGTACAGTTTCCATGAGAGCTCATTTCTGGCAAATGGCTTTACTCAGGAATCAAATGCAGACCAGATGGACAGTTAGGTGAGCAGAGAATTATGACAAAGTAATTCATCTCACTGACAACAGCTTTCACTTAAGAGCACTGAGTGTAGGCCAGGCCTTGTGTTAAGCATGAGCTTACATCCTCCGTTTCTTCTTCCAACAGCCCAATGGTAAACATACCATTATCCCCATAAATAAGGAAATTGAGGCTCAGAGCAAAGTGATTTGCCCAGCACTGCGCAGCTACTCGGTGCTGGAACTATGACTTCAACCAGACCTGTCTGACATTCCCTCAACCACTGCGCTACACAGATTCCTACTCAAAATGCTTTTTAACCACACTCAGGAACAATTATGGATTGTTCTTTTTCCTCTAGGGCTTTTTCAACTACTTAACCAATATTCTAGACTGAAAAAAACTACCCCTACCTTGCACAGTGGCAGAGACCCCTGGTCAAATTCTGTCTCTCTGGCCTTTTGTTTTTTCCATCTCTACCTGTCACCTCTACCCTCCGTCAGCAGCTCAGCAGTGGCTTCACAGCTATTGTTGCATCCATTTTGGTTCAAAAGGGTCCTCCCCCTTAAGGTTTGAGAGACACTGTGGGCTACCTGATGGGGTTTAGAGAGCACCTTGCTCTTATGAGCAGTGAGTTTACAACATATGGGTGGATTTCTTTTGAGGCATTTTTTTTTTCAAGTGAATTACCCCAATAAGGATGCTATTTCCTGTCCTCATCTCCGGGTATGAGGAATTTATATTTGTCAGCCTAGGGCACTCACCATATTCTCCATGTTTGTTCAGACGAATGCTTGCTGGGGGCCCTGTATGTGCCAAGCACTGTTTTAGGGAGTGCAGTAGTGAGCAAACTAGACCCAGTTCCTTCTCCCAAGAGGGTGGTAAGCTGGTGGGGCAGCCAGATGTTAAACTAAGGATCCCCTCTGCTATGGTTCAGGGTTGGGGTTTGTGCTCTAAAAGGAAGAAACATTGATCTATGTGTATATATAGAAGCCAGGCCTCACCTGGGAGGTGAGAGAAAGTGTCCCTGAAGAAATGGTGAGTAGGCTGCTATCTGAAGGATGAGCAGTTCTCCCAGGATAGAAGATGGGGAAAGGTACAAGTGGGCCACACGGAAGCCTTGTAATAAGAGGGAACATAGCAAGTTTAAGGAGCAAAGATAGCAAGTCAAGGCTTAATACAAAATGAGCTGGAGAACTGGGAAGAGCTGCGAAGACCTTCCTTAAGAATGTTGATCTTTAGCCGAAGAGGAATAGAATCCACCACTGCAGGGATGAATGAAAAAAAAGATGTGATAGATTTTCTTTTCTTTTTTCTTTTTCTTTTTTTTTTTTTTAGACAGAGTCGCTCTGTCACCCAGGCTGGAGTGGAATGGCGTGATCCTGGCTCACTGCAACCTCCACCTCCACCTCCCAGCTTCAAGCGATTCTCCTGCCTCAGCCTCCCTGATAGCTGGGATTACAGGTGCATGCCATCACACCCGGCTAATTTTTGTATTTTTAGCAGAGATGGGGTTTTGCCATGTTGGCCAGGCTGGTCTTGAACTCCTGACCTTAGGTGATCCACCACTGTCGCCTCCCAAAGTGCTGGGATTACAGGCGTGAGCCATCACACCCAGCTGTGATAGATTTTCTTTTGAAAAGATGACTCTGCCTACACTGTAGAAGATAGAGTGGATGGGCAAGGTGGACAGAGGAGACCACTGACTAGATTATTGCACTGTCTGCACTCACATGATGATCTCATCTTGCCCTGAATTTGCCTGGACAGAGAATCTTAGCATATCTGACCATGAAGAGATCTTAGAGAGCATTCCTTGAGTTCAGCTACATTATTTTACGGATGAAAAATGTGGCCTAGAGAGAAACACTTGCCCAAGACCACAGGGCCACTTAAATTACAAAGTCAACTCTCAAACCAAGGTCTTTTGACTTAACGCCTTGTGCTTGTAACCATTGTTTCAATTGTGTGCTTTTACATGAAGCCTGGGCTCTTTCAAAGTATTGGTTATGTCATATTTAGTATAGAATCTCCAGTGTTTGGTGGGAGTAGCAACTCAGTATATGTTGGATGGATAAATAAATGGCCGGAAGAATAGGTGGATAGATGGATGGATGAATGAATGAATGATAGATGCATGCATGCATTGATGGATGGATGAATGGATGGACGGATAGATGGGTTAGTACATGGATGGATGGATTTGAAAGGATACTGTTTTATAATCCACAAGCTTCCATAGAAACAATCGAAAGAGATCAGTTTTCCTTTAGTGAAAACCATACTTCATAACCTTTCTCGAGTCATGGCAACCTCTCTTGGGCCACAGCATCAATGTGACCCCATAGGACATCCTTCTTATCCAAGTCTGTGCCTGGAAACCTCAGTCCCTGAAAGAAGGTGATAAACTTACTGCAGTTGTTTGGAATGGCAAGCAGCCCGGGACCGGTTAGGTCATGCACTGACTCCTTATTTTTCCTGGAAAGGAGCCTAGCTTGCTAACTTTCCAAATTGAATTTTAAAAACTTTAATTAGGTCACCACAAAGGTTTGTCTCTTTTAATGGCAGAAAGCCCAGTTTCCTAAGTGTTTCCTCAGGAGCCCATCCTTTGCCACCTCACGACTCTTGTACATCGCACACCTCATTAAGGGAGGACCCTGAATGGAATGCTGATGAAATATTACTTGAGTGTCAACAGTATGGAGGTGCTCAGAAAATGGCTCAGAGACTATTGCCAAAATACACCCTTGACACACATCCTCTCATTTTATTCTCAAAACAATATGGATGGGTGGGGTGGGGAGAGAATAAGGCCTTATCTCAATTTTGTAAACAAAGAGAATGAGACCATAGAGTCTAAGGGGCTGGCCCACCCCAGGGCCAATACACAGACTCAGATCTGCTAGGGACACTCCCAGTTTGGAATATCATTATCTTTCCATGGAAAGATATTATCATGGAAAGATAATGATATTCCAAATGTGCTGACTTCCTTGTTGGAGTTATTTAGAACATAATCACTATAACTAATGAACAAAGAAAACATGTTTGTCATCAGCCAACATTTATTGATTACCTATTATGTACAGTACATTTTACCAGAGGCTTATCTCAGGCCAATTGGACATTCCTCTTTGCCCTCCGAGCATGAAACTAGGGACCTCATTCAAGTCCCCAGTCAGCCACTTTCTCCACAATACGACCTAGAGAAAGACACTTAACCTCCCTGAGCTTCAGTCTCCTTCTCTGCTAAACGGGCACAGTGATTTGTATATAACAACCTCCCAGCAGGATACATACAGAACACTCAAAATTGAATTATTTGAGGAGAATGTATTACAAAAAGACCATTCCCAAAGTCCTGGGTAAGGGAGCCACCAGAGATAATGCACTAACCCAGAGATAGAAAGAACCTGGCTGCTACTACTCCAAGGTCTAAAGAGACAAAAGGAAGGAGAGGTTATAGGAACTGGAAGAGGAGAGATTCTTGTAGATTTGGCATCCCTGAGAGAACCAGGGACCCTCTGGACACAGCCAGCCTGAGACAATTTCACAGAGCAGGAACCAGAGTAGAAGGGACCTGATCTCCCTGTCTACCTCCCTCTGGTTTCCTTCCAGGGTGGCCATGGCAGAAACCTTTGATAGCCAGAGGTATGGGAGTCAGTGAGTGCCATGCACACAGTGGGTCTCCCCAGGCAGAGAAAGGCGGAGAGGGAGTCTGGGGTCCAGGTGGAAGCCACCATCACACAGCACCTCCTCTGCCTTCATGAAAGTGATTTATAAAGGTAAAGATTCTCTGTAAAAGAGAAAATGTCAACTAGTATACAAAATTTTCTACAAGCCTGAGAATAAGAATGACCTGTCACCAGCCTTCTATTGGCTATCTTGTGTGCCACCAAGGATGAGAGTGATTGAAAAGCAGAGGCCCAGTAGTTCAAGGCAAGGTCATATAAAGGGCTCCAGATCCAGGCAATGCTGGATCTGAATCTGGGTCTACCGCCAGCTAGCTGAGTAGTCACAGCAAGTCTCCCAACTGCTCTGGGCCTCTGTGCTCTCATCTGGAATGCAGAGACCATAATATCTATCTTGCACAGTGCTGTGAGGTTCAAAGGGAATAGAATAGGAAACTCACAATGCCTGGCACATAATAGGTGCTCAAGAAATATATTGTAAAGTGAACAAATGAATGATTTTTAGGATCCCTTCTGACTCAAGAAATATATTGTAAAGTGAACAAATGAATGATTTTTAGGATCCCTTCTGACTCTCACATGGTAGGGGTCTGATTCTGTAGTCTGGTTGGCAGGTTCTGAGAAGCATTTGTGACATCTGGGTAAGGTGCCAACCTGAGGACAAGACCCAGGGCAGGATGGGGTGGCCGGAGGTACACATGGTGACTACAAGGTCCACAGAAAGAGGTTCTGAGTGGAGACAATGTGTCTCAGAACTCTGTCTCTAGTCGTAAAACCTTTTGTAGAACTGTGGCAGCCTCTAGGTAAATGGAATGTGAATGCAAGCTAGAAAGTTTGATAGAATGTCTAATTTGTCAAAATAGGATTTTTCTGGCAATACATTACAAATGACTGTGAAATTGTTTTCTTGGCCTGTTACCAAACATGGGTGAATAATTGAGAGTTAACTATTATGAGACTTTCATTTGGGGATATAAATAATATTTAAAAGGATTAAGAACTTGAGGGAAGGAAGCTGACATTTGTGAGTATCATGGGATCCTACCAGCTCATATATTAAAGGCCCCAATCTTCGCAGAATTTATTGAGCAGAGGTAAACAAACAAGAAACATAAAAAAAATAAATAAATAAATGAGAGTGTTATGGGTTGAACTGAGTCTCCAAAAAGCTATGTTGCAGTCCTAACCCCCAGAACCTCTGAACGTGACCTTATTTGGAGCCAGGGTCTTTGCAGATGTACTTAATCAAGTTAAGACTAAGTCATACTGAATTAAGGTGGGCCCTGATCCAACAACTGGTGTCCTTATGAGAAGAGGGAAATTGGGACACAGACAGAAGACAACCATGTGAAAACAGAGGCAGAGGCCGGAGTGATGGTGCCGCCCGCCGAGGAACACCAAGGATTGCCAGCAACCACAAGAACCTGGGAGAGAGCATAGCACAGATCCCCTTCCCAGCCTCCAGAAGGAACCAACCCTGCCAGCACCTTGATATCAGACTTTTGAAAAAAAAATTGTTTTTTTAAATTTTAAGTTCTGGGATACATGTGCAGGGCATACAGGGTTGTTTCATAGGTATACGTGTGCCATGGTGATTTGCTGCACCTATCCATCCATCACCTAGGTATTAAGCCCCACATGTATTAGCTATTAATCCTGATGCTCTCCCTCCCTGCTCCCTCCACTCCTACCCCCATAGGCCCCGGGGTGTGTGGTTTCCCTCCCTGTGTCCATGTGTTCTCATTGTTCAGCTCCCACTTATGAGTGAGAACATACAGTGTTTGGTTTTCTGTTCCTGTGTTAGTTTGCTAAGGATAATGGCTTCCAGCTCCATCTATGTCCCTCAGTTTGTGGTGTTCCGACAGCCCAGGAACGTGACCACTTACGGAATGTTAGGCGACGGTAAGTGCTGTCGTGAAAAGCAATCCAGAGAACAGGTGAGAAGGATTAGGAAGGAGAGGTTAGGCAGGCAAGGGAAGCATACAGTCATTGGGACAGGCTTCACGGAGACGTGAAGGTGAGACGAGCAGATGGAAGGCCATGAGGGGGTGAGCCAAGCACAGGTGGGGAACAATGTGGCAGCAGAGGAAGCAGGTGCCGTGGAGGCCCATGGAACTGTGCCATGTTCAAGGAGCACCAAGGAGGCCAATGTGGCCAGAGCATGAGCAAACGGAGGTGGGAGAAGGGGCCAGAGAAGATGTCGGACAAAACCCAGGGGTCTTGTCAGCCATTGCCAGGATTCTGCTCTTGCTCTGAGTGGGGTGGAGAGCTTTGGGAGGGTCTGTGAGCAGTGCAGCGATATTATCTGAAGTATGACTTAAAACATCCCCTCTGGCTGCTGCACTGAGGACAGATGGAAGCAAGACAAAGACAGCAGTGAGACCTGTTAGGCGGCCACTGCAGCAACCCGGCTAAGACTACTTCACTGACCGGGACATTCACCAGTTCTCCAAGGATGCTCTCCTATTTCAAAGGCAGAGCTGGGATTCCCAGTCTAGTTCTCTCTGCAGCATCGTGCAGCCTACCACCTGATGGCCACAACCATGGTGCAAACTTATTCTAACATCTTGAAAGGAAGGAAGGAAAGTACTTTGCATGCCTTCTCCCTTCATCTCTGATGTCTACCCCATGGGGATGTTGCAAGAATCAAATAAAGGAACAGCTGTGGAAACATTTTTGAAAAAGCATGAAGCACTAAATGCAAGAGATCATAATTAATACTAATAGCAGTCACCTCTCTCTCTTTATCCTACAACTGTCTGCTTATAAATACCACCAAAACAATGTCTCATAAAGAGATTGATACCCACATGGGGATGAAGCTGGTATACACATCTGCTGGGGAGAATTTTTCATTGAATAGATTTCATTGTAACAAGATCAGCAATGCCCCGTTACCATGGGCCATCTGTCGGGACATGCAAGTAGACTTGTCATGCAGAACTGGACTGTCAAAGGGAACAGCAGTCTACCAACATGCAATAAAGCAATAGATTTTTTCTGTATTTTTAAAAATGATGACTGTTTTTTCTTATGCTCTCGAGGGATGTCTTCGCTGAAGCTAAGCAAAAACTGAACATGAGGGACCAGTAGCCACCTGCTGGCAGACAAGCATTTGCAGGAATTAGTAGGCCTGGGGGCTGTGTGTGTCTCCGGTTGCAAGAAGGGGAGGAGGTTAGTTCAAAGAAAGCTAGAAAGCACTATGGAGACTCCTCAAACCACCTTACTATCCAGCAACCCCACTTCTGGGTATATACCCAAAGGAAATAATTTTTTTTTTTTTTTTGAGATGGAGTTTCGCTCTTGTCACCCAGGCTGGCATGCAATGGCATGATCTCGGCTCACTGCAAGGTCCACCTCCTGGGTTCAAGCGATTCTCCTGCCTCAGCCTCCCAAGTAGCTGGGATTACAAGTGCCCGCCACCATACCTGGGTAATTTTTTTGTATTTTTAGTAGAGACGGGGTTTCACCATGTTGCCCAGGCTGGTCTCAAACACCTGACCTCAGGTGATCCACCCACCTTGGCCTCCCAAAGTGCTGGGATTACAGGCGTGAGTCACCACACTCGGCCCAGGAAATAAAATTTTTATCCTGAACAGATATTGGCACTCTCGTGTTCACTGCAGCCTTATTCATAATAACCAATATATAGAAACAACATAATGTTCATGAACAGATGAATGGGTAATGAAAATGGAATATCATCCAGCCTTAAAAACAAAGGAAATCCTGCCATTTGCAACATGGATGAACCTGGAAGACATTAGGCTAAGTGATATAAGCCAGGCACAGAAAAGCAAATACTATGTGATGTCTTATATATGGAATCTAAAATAGTCAAGCTCACAGAAGCAGAGAGTAGGTGGTGGTTACCAGGGGTTGGAAGGAGAGGCAAATGAGGAGATCTGGGCAAAGGGTACAGTATCAGTATACAAAATTAATAAATTCTGGAGATTTAATGCACTATAAGTGACAACAGTTAACAATACCGTATTGTGTATTTGAAATTTGTATGAGGGTAGATCTTAAGTGTTCCTATCAAAGAAAAAAGAGAAAAGGTAACTATGTGAGGTGATGGATATGTTAATTAATTTGACTGATTATTTCACAATGTCTACAAATATTAAAAAGTCATTCTGTATACCTTAAATATATACAATTGCCTTCTATCAATTATACCTCAGTAAAGCAGGAAGAAAAACAGAAGGGAGACAAGAACATTAAGGGCACGATGGCATCTCTTTGTCAGATACTGGTCCTAAGTGAAAACTGAAGAAGACTTGTTTCGTCCAGTGACCTTGAAAGGCTTGGAGCACACGCTGCTTCACTTCAGGGTCCAGATGAGCCAGCCAGACGGAAGGTGAGGGAGCAGAGCATTTTCTGAGTTTCTAGGGAGAACATAGCGACAGCAATCAGAAAGGATGGGAAGCAGCAACAGTAGCAGCAGCAGCATCTGCTGTGTCTGGCAAGGTGATGAGGAAGCAGCAGGACCCAGCAGGGAGGCAGGAAAGCAGCATCCCACAGAGGGCAGCAGCTGCTGGACAGAGAGGGGCCACCCCCATAGGACTTCAAGTACATGATGCCACCACAAGTCCAGAGCTAAAGAACAAAATCAGATGGCCACCTGGGCCCCAATTATAAATGACTGGAGGAGACATCAGGGTAGTAGTCAAAAAGGAGGGTGACACCTGCAGATGTGCAGGTTTGGCAAGTAGTGAAATTGGGCATTAAAATTATTCACAGTTCCAGGATGAAGTATCCTGGGGAAATCCAGGTAACAACAATAATAGCTACATTCCTTAGATGTGTACAATATGCCAGGCACTGTACTGAGTGATTTCATTCATGCATTCATTTGTTTATTCATTCAGTGAATATTTATGGGGTGCCTTCTATGTGCCAGGCTGTGTTCTAGTTGCTGGGGATAAACCAGTGTAAAACACGAAGACCCTGGCCCTCATATGGCTTACATTCTAGCAGTTGGAGATAGATACTAATTAATAAATACAACGTCTCATCTACAAGGAGATGTTAACTGCTATGGAAAGAAGAGAAAGCAAAGCAAAGGGTCTTGAGAGTGGCAGGAGGAGGATACAGAACTAATCAGAAGAGTCAGGACAAGCCTCATGGAGGAGGGGACATGAGAGCCAAGACTTGATGTGGTGAGCCATTTGGGGATCTGAGAAGAAAATGTTTGAGCAAAGGGAAGAGCTGGTACAAAGGCCCTGAGGCAGGCACTTGCCCAGTGAATTTGAGGAATGACTAAGAAACTAAGGTAGCTGGAAAGAAATGTGCTGTAGGGGGAGTATCTTAGGCTATAAGCTCAGAGATGAATGGGAAGCCCAAGTCAGGTAGAGCTTTATGTTTAATCCTCACCATGAAGCTAAAATACATGTTACTGTTCCCATTTTACTGATAGGAAGGCAAAGGTACAGAGAGTTTAAGTAATTTGCCCACATGGAGATAGTACATAGGTGATGGTACTAGTACAGTTCAGCTCTAACACGGTGCTTTTTTTTTTTTTCATTACGTTGCATTATTACCTCTTAAGAGGCCCCTGGGAGATACCTACCTGTGTACATAAATTAAAATCAAAGTCCTGTGGTTTACTGATTTCCCAAAGCCAAAACACATAGACACAGATGTATATACATATCAATCTATGGGATGTCTCTTCACTCTATTGTTTTCTTTGCTGTGCAGAAGAATACAGTTGCATCAAACTCGTTTTAGTTTGATGCAACTATATGTTTGTTTTTTGCTGCCTATGCTTTTGTGGTTCTATCCAAGAGGTCCAACAATTCATTGAAATAAATAAACACAGAGACAGAACATGCCAAAATCTGTGGGATACAGCAAAAGTTATGTTAAGGGGACAGTTTATAGTGCTAAACACCAGCCTCAAAAACATAGAAAGATCTCAGATTAACAATCTAACATCACACCTAGAGGAACTAGAAAAACAAGAACGAACTAACCTCAAAGCTAGCAAAAGAGAAGAAATAACTAAAATTGAGCAGAACTGAATGAAATTGGCAACCCAAAAATCCATACAAAGAATCAAAAAATCTAGAAGGTGGCTTTTTGAAAAGATAAAAATCAATAGACCACTAGCTAGATTACCAAAGGAAAAGAGAGAAGATCCAAGTAAGCACAATCAGAAACTGCGAAGGTAACATTACAACAATCCCACAGAAATACATAAATTTCTGAAAACACGCAACCTCCCAAGATTAAACGGAAACCCTGAACAGACCAATATTAAGTTCCAAAATTGAATCAGTAATTTAAAACCTATAACCAAAAAAAGGCCAAATCAGGTGGATTCACAGCCAAATTCTACCATATAAACAAAGGATAGCTGGTACCAACTCTATTGAAACTATTCCAAAAAATCAAGGAGGCGGGACTCCTCCCTAACTCTTTCTACAAAGCCAGCATCACCCTGACACCAAACCCTGGCAAAGATACAACAACAAAAAAGAAAACTAAAGGTCAATATCCCTGATGAACATAGATGTAAAAATCTGCAACGAAATACTAGCAAACCAAATCCAGCAGCACATTAAAAAGTTAATTCACCATGATCAAATAGGCTTCCTTCCTGGGATGCAAGGTTGGTTCAATATATATGAATCAATAGATGTGATTCACCACATAAACAGAATTAAAAACAAAAACCATATGATCATCTCAATAGATATAGAAAAAGATTTTAATAAAATCCAACATCCCTAAGTGATAAAAACCCTCAAGAAACAAGACATCAAAGAAACATACCTCAAAATAATAGGAGCCATCTATGACAAAACCACAGCCAACATTATACTGAATAGGCAAAAGCTGGAAGCATTCCCTTTGACAACTGGAAAAAGTGAAGGATGCTCATTCTCACTACTTCTATTCAACACAGTACTGGAAGTCCTTGCCAGAGCAATCTGGCAAGAAAAAGAAATAAAAGGCATCCAAATAGGAAAAGAAGGAGTCAAACTATCTCTCTTTGCTGATGATATGATACCTAGAAAACCCTAAGGACTCTGTCAAAAAGCTCCTGGCACTGATAAATGACTTCAGTGAGGTTTCAGGATACAAAATCAATGTACAAAAATATAGCATTTCTATACACCGATAACATTCAAGCTGAGAGTCAAATCAAGAACACAATCCCTCTTACAATAGCCACACACAAACACCCACATATATAGTAATACATCTAACCAAAGAGGAGAAAGATCTCTACAAGGAGAATTACAAAAACAAAAACAAAACAAAACAAAAACTGTGAAAGAAATCATACAGGAAACAAATGGAAAAATATTCCATGCTCATGGATTGGAAGAATCAATATTGTTAAAATGGCCATACTGCCCAAAGCAATCTGTAGATTCAATGCTATTCTTATCAAGCTACCATCATTTTTCACAAAAATAGAAAAAACTATTCTAAAATTCATATGGAACCAAAAAAGAACATGAGTAGCCAAAGCAATCCTAAGCAAAAAGAACAAAGCTGGAGGAATCATATTACCCAACTTCAAACTATGCTATAAGGCCACAGTAACCAAAACAGTATGGTACTGGTACAAAAACAGACACATAGAACAATGGGACAGAATAGAGAACTTAGAAATAAGCCATACACCCATGGCTAACTGATATGCAACAAAGTGGGAATAAATAAGCAATGAGAAAAGGACTTCCTATTCAATAAATGGTGCTGGAAAAGCCAGCTAGCCATATGCGGAAGAATGAAACTGGACCCCTACCTTTCACCTATACAAAAGTCAACTCACTCAAGATATATTAATGATGTAAATGTAAGACCTCAAACTGCAAGAATCCCAGAAGAAAACCTAGGAAACACCATTCTGGATGTTAGCCTTGGGATATAGTTTATGAATAAGTCCTCAAAAGCAATTGCAACAAAAACAAAAATTGACAAGTGGGACCGAATTAAACTAAAGATCTTCTACACAGCAAAAGAAGCTATCAACAGAGTAAACAGACCACCCACAGAATTAGAGAAAATATTCACAAACTATGCATCCAACAAAGCTCTGATATCCAGAACCTACAAGAAATTTTAACAACCGAAGAAGCAAAAAAAAAAAAAAACCCCATTAAAAAGTGTGCAAAAGACATGAACAGCCACTTCTCAAAAGAAAATATACAAGTGAACAACAACAACAAAATGTTCCACATCACTAATCATCAGAGGAATGCAAATCAAAACCACAAAGAGATACCATCTCACACAAGTCAGAATGGCTATTATTAAAAAGTCAAAAAACAACAGATACTGGCAAGCTGTGGAGAAAAAGGAAACACTTATACATTATTGGTGGGAATGTAAATTAGTTCTGCCACTTGGAAAGCAATTTGGAGATTTCTTTTTTTTTTTTTTCCGAGACGGAGTTTCGCTCTTGTTGCCCAGGCTGGAGTGCAATGGCATGATCTCAGCTCACTGCAACCTCTGCCTCCCGGGTTCAAGCGATTCTCCTGCCTCAGCCTCCCAAGTAGCCAGGATTGCAGGCATGCACCACCACGCCTAGCTAATTTTGTATTTTCAGTAGAGACAGGATTTCTCCATGTTGGTCAGGCTGGTCTCGAACTCTCAACCTCAGGTGATCCACTCACCTTAGTCTCCCAAAGTGCTGGAATTACAGGTGTGAGCCACTGTGTCCAGCCGGGGGTGAATTTCTTAAAGAACTTAGAACAGAACTACCATTCAACCTCACAATCCCATTATGGGGTATATATCCAAAAGAAAATAAATTGTTCTACCAAAAAGACACATGCACTCCTCTATTCATCACATTAGTATTTACAATAACAAAGACGTGGATCAACCTAGGGGCCCCCCATTAGCAGTGAATCAAATAAAGAAAATATGGTACATATACACCATGAAATGCTACACAGAAATAAAAAAAGAATGAAATCATGATTTTTGCAGGAATATGGATGCAGCTGGAGGCCATTATCCTAAGCAAATTAATGTAGAAACAGAAAACCAAATACTGCATGTTCTCACTTATAAATAGGAGGTAAACATTGGGTACTCATGGACATAAAGATGACAAACACAAACACTGGGGACTGCTAGATGGTCGGGGGTGGATAGGGGGTGAAAAGCTGAAAAACTATTGGGTGCTATGCTCAGTACCTTGGTGATGGGAACAATCATACCCCAAACTCAGCATCATGCAATATACCCAGGTAACCTGCACATATAACCCCAAGTCAAAAATGTTAAAATTATTTTTTTTTAAAGAGAAAAAGATATAATTACCCAGAGGAGTCTAAACTGTTCTAAACCAGCCAAAACCAGCTAAAACTGGCTACCACTGCTTTAAACCAGTTGAAGCCAGCTGAAACTAGTCAAAACAGATGGCTGAAGCCAACTGAAACTGGTCAAAGCTGAATGAAACCAGTCAACATTGGCTGAAGCTGGCTAAAACCAGTCAAAACCAGCTGGAACCAGTTGAGCCCTGCTGAAACTAGTCCAAATTGGCTGAAACTAGTCCAAATTGGCTATAACTAGTAAAAATCTGTTATAACCCATGGAAATTCGCAGAAGCTAGTTGAAACCAGTCAAAACCAAATGAAACTGGCTGAAACTGGCTGAAACCAACTGACTAAGACCTGTTGAAACCGGCCAACACCAGCCAAGACCATTCAAAACCAGTGGAAACAAGTTGAAGCTGGTCGTGGACAGCCAAAACCAGTGATGGCTGCTCAAAACCAGTCAAAGCCAGTCACGGCCAGTTGAAACTGGTCAATTCATAATAACACTCCTTGGTGTTCATTTAAATTAATAAAAAACTTATTTCCACATGAAAACCTGCATACAAATATTTATAGGAGCTTTATTCATAATTGTGAAAACTTAGAAACACCAACATGCCCTTCAATAGGCCAATAATTAATGGATTAACCATGGTGCATCTACACAATGAAATACTATTCATTGATAAACAGAAATGAGAGCTGGAACAAGACAAGGATGTTCACTTTCACTGCATTTATGCAACATAGTACTGGAGTGGTCATGAGCAATTAAGCAAGAGAAAGAAAGAAAATGATTATCCAAGTTGGAAAGGAAGAAATCAAATTATCCTTGTCTGCAAATGAGATAATCTTAGGTTTTAAAAAAACCTATCATTCCCATGGTAAATGGTAAAATAGATAGATAGATAGATAGATAGATAGATAGATAGATAGATAGATAGATAGATAGATAGGATGGATAGGTAGATAGGTAGGTAGATAGAAAACAAACTGTAGCATTACTATATGTTAACAGTGATCAATCTGAAAAAGGAATCAAGAAATCAATCCCATTTACAATAGCTACCAAAAAAAAAAAAAAAACCCTAAGAATAAATTAACCAAAGAAGTAAAAGCTATCTACAAGGAAACCTATAAAACACTAAGAAAAGAAATTGAAGAGGAACAAAAAACTGTAGTGAGATATCCCATGCTCATGAGCTGGAAGAATTAATATTGTTAAACATCTGAACTACCCAGAATGGTCTACTGATTCAAGCAATCCCTATCAAAATACCAATGACATTGTTCATAGAAATAGAAAAAATTCCTAAAATTCATATGGAATCACAATACATCTCAATTAGCTAAAGCACTTTTAGATCAAGTTTTAAGAGCCATGTTTTAAGTATCCCATGGGTTGGGATTTTTTTCTCAGCAACATCTGAAAGTGACTCAGGCCAATATGATAGCAAGGGTGACAAAGGTGTCAAGAACACACACTGGGGAAAGGACAGTCTCTTCAATAAATGGTGTTGGGAAAACTGGATAGTCACATGTAAAAGAATGAAATTAGACCCTTAACTCACACCATGCACCACAATAGCCAACTAAAAGTGGATTAAAGACTTAAATGTAAGACCTGAAACTATGAAACTACTAGAAGAAAACATAAGGCAACATTGGTCTATGACATTAGTTTAGGCAATGATTTTTTTTATATATGAACACAAAAGCACAAGCAACAAAAGCAAATGGGACTACATCAAACTGAAAACCTTTTATGCAGCCAAGGAAATTATCAACAG
This sequence comes from Homo sapiens, assembly GCF_000001405.40. Classification (NCBI taxonomy): domain Eukaryota; kingdom Metazoa; phylum Chordata; class Mammalia; order Primates; family Hominidae; genus Homo; species Homo sapiens. The sequence continues at coordinate 51,691,532 of NC_000017.11, read as the reverse complement.
AGTGTAGAGACAACCTACAGAAGGAAAGTATTAATATTTGTAAAGCATACACCTGATAAGAAGTTGATATCCAAAATGTATAGGAGCTCAAGCAACTCAATAGTAGTAAAAACACCTGATTTAAAAATGGGCAAAGGATTGGAACAGACAGTTCTCAAAATGACATACCGATGACCAATAGGTATATGAAAAAATGTTCAACATCCCTAATCATCAAATGCAAATGAAAATCACAGTGAGATATTACCTCACAACTTAGAATATCTATTATCAAAAAGATGAAACATAACAAGTGTTGGAGAATATGTGCAAAGGATGTGAAGAAAAGGGAACCCTGAAACACTGTTGATGGGAATGCAAATTAGCACAGCCATTACGGAAACAGTATGAAGATTCTTCAAAAAAGTAAAACCACCATATGATCCAGGAATCCCTGTACTGTATATATGCCCAAAGGATATGGAATCAGTATATTGAAATGATATCTGCATCCCATATTTGTTGCAGCATTATTTCTAATAGCTAAGATATGAAATTAACCTAAGTGTCCATCAGTGGAGCAATGGTAAAGAAAATGTAGTGGATATACACAATGGAATACTACTCAGCCTTAAAAAAAAAGGAAGGAAATTCTGTCATTTGAGACAACCTAGATGAATCTGGAAGACATGCTAAGTGAAATAAGCCAGGCACAAATACCACAAGATCTCACTTACATGTTGTATTAGTCCATTTTCATACTGCTATGAAGAAATACCCAAGACTGGGTAATTTATAAAGAAAAAGAGGTTTAATAGACTCACAGTTCCATATGGCTGGGAAGGCCTCACAATCATGGTAGAAGGTGAAAGAGAAGCAAAGGCATGTCTTACATGGCAGCAGGCAAGAGAGCATGTGCAGGGGAACTGCCCTTTGTAAAACCATCAGATCTCATGAGACTTATTCACTATCACAAGAACAGCATGGGAATACCCATCCCCATGATTCGATTACCTCCCACCAGGCCTCTCCCATGACACATGGGGAATAGGGGAGCGATAATTCAAGATGAGATTTGGGTGGGGACATAGCCAAACCATATCACACATGGAATCTTAAAAAGTTAAACTCATAGAAGTGAAGAGAAGAATGTTGGCTACCAGAGGCTGGAGGAAGGTTGGGGGATTAGAGAGATGTCAGTCAAAATATACAAAATTGTAGTTAGAATAATTTCAATAGCCCTACTGTACATGATGACTATAGTTAATAGCAATGTATTGTGGTATTAAAAATTGCTAAGAGAGGGGCCGAGGCATGGTGGCTCACGCCTGTAATCCCAGCACTTTGGGAGGCCAAGGCAGGCGGATCACCTGAGGTCAGGAGTTCAAGATCAGCCTGGCCAACATGGTAAAACCCCATGTCTACTAAAAATACAAAAATTAGCTGGGTGTGTTGGTGTGTTCCTGTAATCCCAGCTACTTGGGAGACTGAGGCAGGAGAATCACTTGAACCTGGGAGGTGGTGGTTGCAGTGAGCCAAGATCATGCCACTGCACTCCAGCCTGGCTGAAAGAGTGAGACTCCATCTCAAAAAAAAAAAAATCGGTAAGAGTAGATTTTAAGTGTTCTCACCACAAACAAGTATACAAAGTAATGCATATGTTAATTAGCCAGATTTAGTCAATCCACAATGTATACATATTTCAAAACATTATCACATTGCACACAATAAACATATTGAATTTTCATTTGTCAGTTAAAAATATAAATAAATTTTAAAATGCTAAAGGAAGGAAGAAAGGGAGGGAAAAAAGAGAAAGAAAAGGCATGTTGCCTGCACCACAGGGCACATGGAGGCTGGGGACAGCTCAAATTGTAAAGGATGTCAGTCTCTATACTGGAAATTGTCACTGGCAATCAGCAGGCCACATAAAATAGAAAGCTGTCCAGCACAAAATCAATGTTCTTCCTTCTGTGGCATCATTTCCTTATATCTCAATAACCCCATTATTATTTCAAATTATATTTATCTCAAAGTAGAAATAAGTACACACGGATCATTCACTTTCTCCTTTGCCAATTTATGACAAATGATATTCCATCACATATTCATGTAATCATTCATTCATTCAAAATCATTGGGCGTGTTTGATGCCATGAAAAAAGAATGGCCCTTGGAATCAAATGGCCCTGGGCTGGAATCCTGACTGCTATGCCACCTCTAGGAGCTTTACATGAAGTTATTTAGCCTCGCTAAGCCTTAGGATTCTCATTTGTAAATGGCCATTTTTAAAATCTCTGCTTTGTAAAGTTCTCAGCATAGTATTTTATATAGCAGATAATAATTGCTGTTATTTTTATTACAAGCTTCCCATATTCCAAAAACTCTAGTGGGTACTAGGGAGGCCAACATAAGTGAGCCAAGGTCTCTGTCCATAGGGTGCTCCCTTTCTCTGAGGGATGATATGGTTGAGAGCACCACATTGGGAGCTGAAACGCCCAGGTTTTAATCTTGGCTCTACTGCGTGCTTAAATCTGTGCCTCCGTTACCCCTTATATAAAATAGAGATAAAAATAGAACTTGCCTCTTAGGGTTATTGTAACAATTACATGAGTCAATATATACAAGTGTTAGGACAACACCTGGCCTGTAATAACAGCCAAATAAGTGCTTGGTAGGATTGTATATGGTAGAAGAGATGGACATGTCAGTAACTAATTGTAATACACATGATAAGTGCTATAATAGAGAAAAGAATACAGGGACAAAGAGGAAAGGATCAGCTCTTCTAAGGTCAAGAAGGGCATCAAAGAGTATAAATACTTGTACTAGGTCTGGAATAAAGTGTAATTCTGCAGGCAGATGGGGAAAGGGATACAATTCAGGCATAGAAGATGGTACTGCAAATCATTTAGGCATGAAATAGTCCATAATAATATAAAACAAGAATAATGATAAAAATAACATTCAATAATATTAGTTCCAAACACAGACATCATCTCACTTAATCCTCACAGCAACCTAAGAAGTAGGGATGAATACTATTTCTATGTTATAGACAAGAAAGCTAAAGCTTAGAGATGTTTAGTGGTTAAACTAGCCAGTCGTGCAAACCGTAATTCAAAAAAGATTACAGCAATGCAGGTCTCCAGATTTTTGGAATGTTATTAATCAATGTATTAGTTATCCATTGCTGCATAATTCATTATCCCAAAATGTAATGACTTAAAAAACATTACCTCACTGTTTCAGGAATCTGGGAGTGGCTTAGCTGGGTAGTTCTGGCTAGGGGTCTTCCGAGAGGTTGTAGTCTGATGTCACCCAAGGCAGAAGTCATCTGAAGGCTTGACTGGGGTAGAAGATTCACTTCCAAGGTGGCTTACTCATATGGGTGGTGAATCAGTGCTGGCTGATGGCTGGAGGCCTCAGTTCCTCACCACACACATTTCCCATAGGGCTGCTTGAGTGTTCACATGACATTGCAGCCATCTCCCCCCAAAGCAGGTGATCCAAGGGAGCATAAGAAGGAAGCTGTGGTGTTTTATGATGTGGCCCTGGAAGTCGCACACTGTCATTTACTTAATATCCTGTTGGTTTCACAGTTCAACTCTACGCAACATGAGAGGGAACCACACAGGAGCATGAATATCAGGTGGCAAGAATCATTAAGGAGTATTCTTGAAGGCTGGATACCACAATTATAACTTTTTTAGAAAACTAGAAACTTTATTGGGTTATCACAGTTTTTATTTTGTTGAGGAAGTTAAAATAAACTCCCAAATAACTTGTCATATATTATCAATAGCATTTTATAAGAGCAAGGACATTTTAATATCAAAAAAGCAATAAGTAAATAATCTCAAAATATAAGCAAGTTGTTTCTATTTGATAGAACCACAGTGATGTCTTTGTTCTCATTTCACTATGGATTGACAAAAACTTGACCCGGAAACCACTGGTACAAACCATAGAGCATGGCCACTATAAGCTATAAAATCTTAAGCTAGTTTCTCTGGGCCTTGCTTTCTTTCATTGATAGAATTCATTCATTCATTCATTCATTCAACATATATTTATTGAGCACCTAGTATGTGCCAGGCTCTATATTAGGCATTGAGAATTTAGCAGTGAACAAAATAGACTAGGTCCCTGTTTCGTGGAATTTACATTCTGGTGAGGGCTTGTAGGTAACAAACAAGAAAATACTACATGGTGATAAATGACTAATTGATATTGAATGACTAAGAATGATCTAAGAAGGAGACATTTTTATGGTGTCATCTAAATGACAAGACCCAGTGAGCCCTGTGAAGATCAAAGGAAGTATATTTTACACAAATGAAATGGTGCAAAATTTCAAACATGGGAATGAGCCTGGTGGATAAGGGATGAATGATACAAAATGAGATCATAAAGGTAAGATGTAGAAAGTCATTGAGGGTTTCAAAAGTCAGGACAATGAGCTTGGATTTTATACGACATGGGATAGAAGCCACTGGAGGTTTTTAAATAGGGGTGTGACATGACCTGGTTTTAAGATTACTTTGGATACAAGAGGGAGAAGTGAGTAGAGAAGAGCCAAAAGTAAGCAGATTAATTAAAACTTGCAGTGGTACAGGTTGGACTTGATGGTAGAATGACGTTGGATGTTTTCAAGTTGGAACTGAAGACTTTGCTGGTGGAGTAGCTGTAGGTAGTGAGAGAAAATAAACAACTAGTATCAAGCTTACTTTTGGGGCTTGAGAGATCAGTGGATGGGGAAGCCATCCACTGATCAAGTGTGAGATGATCAAGTGTGAAATAGGGATAATAATGAAGTTTATTTGGTCATATTACATTTGAGACACTAAGTATACATCCAAGTGGAGAGATTAAGTGGGCAACTTAATCTCAAACTTAACTGCATCTTGGAATTACCTGTAGAGTTAAAACTAATGCCTGGGCCCACTCCTAGAGATCTTGACTTCATTCATCTAGGGTGTAGACATTAAGATTTTTTTTAATATCCTCAAGGTGATTCTAATACATAGAAAACTTTGAGACCACTGACTAAGAGATCTAAGCTAGGGAGAGGTCAATTGAAGGTGTAACTTTGAGTATCTTCAGGGTATAGATGATTCTTAAAAGCCACAGGACTGATTGAGATACTTTGGTGAGATAGTGAGGCTGAAGAAGAGAAAGCCAAGGCCCAAGTCCTAGGGCACCTGTATTAGTCTGTTCTTATGCTGCTAATAAAGATGTACCTGTAACTGGGTAATTTATAAAGGAAAGAGGTTTAATTGACTCACAGGTCCACATAGCTGGGAAGGCCTCACAATCATGGCAGGTGAATGAGGAGCAAAGTCACGTCTTACACGGTGACAAGCAAGAGAGCTTGTGCAGGGTTACTCCCATTTATAAAACCATCAGATCTCATGAGACTTATTCACTACCACAAGAACAGTATGGGGGAAACAGACGCCCCCCCCGACCCATGATTCAATTATCTCCACCTGGCCCTGCCCTTGACCCATGGGGATTATTACAATTCAAGGTGAGATTTGGGTGGGGACACAGCCAAACCGTGTTAGCCCCCCAATCCCTGGGGCACCCCAGGTTTGGAGGTTGAGCAGAGGAGCTGGCAAGGAGCTTAAGCAGCAACAGCCAGCATTGAGCTCAGAATGGGTGTCAGGCCATTTGTATTCCTCTTTGTGGCGTATCAGGTGCCTGTGAGGCAGGAATTAACTTGATCATTTTCCTCCCTCTGACTTTTCTGGGGTTATTTTCCTACAACAGGGACCAGCCTCTTCAACCTTCACCTCTGTTGATTGTTTGGCTGCCACTCAGGCCCATTTCTATTCCCTGGTCAGTGTAATGCAAACCAATTCATTTAGCAGCTGTTCCTCCTTCTGATTGTTTGTTCCAAGACATATTATTTTACATTTGTCCACATTAAACTGCATTTTATCATTCATTATCCCAAGTCCTTCAGTGATCTGGGTCCCTCTGCATTTGATTGCAAGGCTCAGTGATTTGTGGTGCCTGCAAAAGCCATCATTTGCAGATTTGAAATCCTTCTTGCAGGGCCATTACGTGGGTCATTAGCATCAATAACACAGAGCAGTTGTACCTGGCAGCTTTGCAGAGGTAGGAGGAGACACAAGGGGCTGGAGATGGGTTTGTTTTCTTTACCAGAGGACACAAAGACACTCTAGCCCTCCCATCTCCCACTCCCAGCCTATGGGACTTCCCTTCCAGTCCTGATGATGACACAGAGAGAGTCTCAAATGATTTACAGACGGCAAATCTGGGTCTTCATGCCATCTTCCCCATCATTCATAGCCTCCAAAAATCTCAATAATAAACCGTTCACAGCAGCATGCCTCTGGCTATCTCTAATCAAGCTGGGTGTATTTTTCAACCATCCCTAGCCTAATTGTAAGGGATATTTCTGGAGATCAAACATATATTTGTATTTTTAGCATGAGAGTCCTCAGATGGCTATATCTGGTAAACCATATGTCCCTCCTAACATCCTACAATTTGCCTTTGACCCACATGTGAGACCTAAGAAGGTGTTCAAGTGGGTAATGCCTGTCTAATTTTTGCAGTCAGGAATTCAAGGCCAAATGTGGAGCTAAGAAACAAACCACCCACCCCAGGCATCTAGGTATCTCTTTCTCTGCTTCTTTTAATGGCATTTGATTTCATTATTTTCAGCTTACACTTTTTAATATTTTAAGGCATTATAAATTCTCTTTGGAGGAGTGAGATATAATCAAAGAATCCATTTATTTTCTTCACAATCACTTTGAGAGCACCAACTCTGGGCCAGGTGGTGGATCCGGATGTACAGAGGTCATGTAGGCATAAAGAAGTTTCCAATCTCATAGTGAGCAAATTAATACTAAAGAGAACCATTAAGCTTTAAATGTATTTTTAAAATTCTGCTCCTCTGAAGCCCATTCCCACATGTTCTTTTAGTCCCCAGATGTGTCAGCGATGTAAGCTATGCCTTTCAACCAGGGCATGGCACGTTTTGGGTAGTTAAATGATTTGGGAGGCTGGCACTTAGTACTTAATCAGATGCTAGGTGCCCTGCTATGCTAGAAACCAGCCTCCACTCACATGACAATAGCACCCCACTGATAAACACTGGGAACGGTGGGGGTGCACTGGTTTCCTATGGCTACTCTAACACTACCACAAACGTAGTGGCTCAAAACCACACACATTTATTATCTTATAGTTCTGGAGGTCAGAAGCCCAAAGTGGGTTTCACTGAGCTAAGATCAACGTGTTGGTAGGGCTTCATTCTTTCTGGAGGCTGTAGGGCAGAATCCATCTTCAAAGCCAGCAATGGCCAGTTGACGCCTTCTCACACTCATCACACTCCAATCTCTGGTCCCACATTACATCTTCTGTGCTCTCCCTGCTCCACTATTCACTTGGAAGGATCCTTGTGATTATGTTGTGCTCACTTAGATAATCCAGGATAATCTCCCCCTTCTTCTCAAGACCCTTAACTTAATCACATCTGCAAAGTTATTTTTCCATGTAAGGCAACATTTTCACAGGTTCTGGGGATTAGAACATGAACATCTTTAAAGACCTATTTATTCAGCCTGCCGCAGGGTGGGACCAGGCTTAGGAGTCTGAAGGTTCTCTGACAGTCTCAGTCACTAGAGAGTGATCTAGGCAACCCCCAATTATCCTTCCTAGAGTGGTGGTCCTATTAATATTCATTTATCCATGTTAATCCAGTGGAGCACTGGCTGCCACATATCATGAGTTTCAGAGAACACATGTGCACATGCCTTCAGTGGGTGGCTTGTCCCGGGGTTTCTTGCATTTAGTAGCAGCCTTTGCCAGAGAGCACCTTTCATCCTTTATTTCATCTGTCAATAAACGCGAATTCCTTATTTTCACATCATCCACGCTGTCTGAAGTCACCCAAAAGTGAGAAGAAAAGTTCAAAGCTTTACGTATTGCACAAAAAAGAAACTGGTTACACAGATAATTGGGGTATCAACTCCATCAGGAATGGATAATATTAAGACCTCACAGGCGGCTTTACCATTTGCAAAACGTTTTCCCGTCGATTATCTCATTTGGTCCACACAATGGATCTGGAAGCAGTCGGAGCAAGTGAGATTTTTTTAATCACCATTTTACAGAAGAAAAAACTGTGACCAGGAGAGCTTTACTAACTTGTCTAAGGTCACAGAGCTAATAAATTACAGAGCTGTAACTCAGTCCTTGGACTCCAGTTACAGCGGTCATGTCCTCTCCACCACACTGACTCTCAAAGCTCTAAGGAACTGATATGCAAAGCAGAGGCAAATTTTAAACCCATCTTGTCTGTGTCTTAATTGGACCTGTCATTTCTAAGGAGGCACCATGAAGCCATGAAAAGGGTTTAGAATTAAGGGTCAGGCAAAGCTACTTTCCACATCCATATAACTTGGGGATGATGAATTACAGTTTAATGAAGTGTTTTCCAATCTAGCCGATCATTAGAAACCCCTGAAGTGATGGTTAAAAATACAGATTTTCATGTTTCCCCAGACAGTAGGATTCAGTAGGTCCAAGGGAGGGACAAAGACCTCTGGATTTATAATAAGCATGCCTGGTGGTTCTTATAAGCAGGCAAATTTGGGAAATAACCACCCACAGGATTTTTGTGTGAATTAAATGGAATGATGTATGTATCAAGCACCCGCCACTGTGCCTGCTACAGAGGAGCCCTTCATCAACGTCAGGTTTCCCTTCTTTGCCCCACGTTTATCAGGGCGTGTTCCGTCTTTCCATTTCCTTACATTTGGTTATTAATGGTAAGGAGACAAGCTTCTGTTTCCAATGTATATACAAAATTTCAGAATGTTCTCATAGAATATATGGCCATGGGTAGGTGGGGTAAATGGGATGAAGCCTTTGGGTGGTGGCAGTAAATGGTCGCTTAAGAAGGAATCCGCTGGGTTTTTTGAATTCTCTTCATTTTCTGTGTTAACTGTAATTCACCATCCCCTTTCACCTTTATCCAGGGAGCAGGAGTATCTAGCCCAACGCATTTATTTTACTTACCTGCTGATTTATAAAACCCACCTTCTGCCTTGAGCCCTGAGTATATTATACTCATGTAAACAATAAACCCCATATAATCAGTCTTGTCAACCAAACCACATCCCCTGAGATAAATTCAGCCTCCTCACAGTGGCCAGGGGAAGTTTCATTTTGCCAGCGGTTTCAGCTTGTGCCTTGGCCCAACTCTCAGAATAAACACCCACATAAATCCACCTGGCCTCCCATCTTATCAGTGTGGCTGCCCAACCACGTTTTTTAGAAACCCGATGGCAGACTCTGCCCGGAAAACAAATGGCCACTTCATGGCCAGAGTTTTCAAGAGTCTTCTTCCTCAGCTGGGGCTCTGCAAAAAAAGGTGGTCCCTACCTAGAGAACAGGGACCATGTCTTATTTCTATCTGTCCCCAGGATCGAATGCAGTGCCTGGCATTAGGGGAAAACATGGTATGTTGTTGAATTTACAGACCATAGAGCTTGGAGATTTATGGTCAGATTTTTTGCTAAGACAAAAATCAAAGCAATCCTGCATTTCTCCCTTCACCCCAAACAGCCACAGATCAGAAAATCAAATACCCCATGTTCCCACGTCTAAGTGAAGCTTAATAATATGTACCCATGGACCTAGAGTATGGACTTATAGACACTGGAGACGCAGAAGGGTGGCAGGGGGAGGGATGAGAAATTACCTGATGGCTACAATGTATGTTATTTGGGTGATGGTTACACTAAAAGCCCATATTTTACTACTACACAATATAGCCATGTGACAAAACTGCAATTGTACCCCTTACATTTGTATAAAAAGATAAACAGCCACGACTTATTTTTCTCTTACCTTAAACCAGTGGTCTCGATCGAGGACCATATTGCCTTTCAGGGGACATTTGGCAATGTCTAGAGACAGTTAGGGTTGTCATGACTGGGGGTGCTACTGGCGTCTCTAGTGGGTAGAGGCCAGGGATACTACTAGACATCCTACAATGTACAAGGTAGCCCCCACAACAAAGAACTATCCAGCCCAATATATGAACAGTGCCAAGATTGAGAAGCCATCCCTTATATCAACCAATGCTATGCATGGCTAAAATTGGTTCCCCTCTAATTTTCCCACCTGCTATTCTGATGCCAACAGCAGCACTGATGGCATCAGAAAATCAGTTCGTGTTCATTGAAGCAAAGAGAGATGGAAACTCATTTACAGGGCACCCCTGAGGGCCCCAATATTGTGCTAAGCCTGCCCCACGGATTATCTCAATCAATACTTAAAACAATCTATTACCATACCCATTTTGCAGATCAGAAAACAAGAAAATTTAAAATAACTTATCCAGGTTTCCCAGCTAGGAAGAGACAAAGCTGAAATCATACCCAGCTCTTTCTGATTGCAAAGCTAGCCACCTAACCACTGTGCAGATTAAGGCTGGAAGACTGGTTGTGAATAAATAATTGTCATTGACCTTCACCCATCATGCAAATCTTATCTTTCATAGGCACCATAAATATTCCCTACAATATAGATTCTCTTTGGATTTGTACTCTACCCTGGCATTCTGGCTCTCTGGGAATGTTGGGGGGGAAATGGAAGTCTTTTGGTCTCACTGCCAAGCAATAGCATCAATCTGCCCTCTTGCTTGGTCTCCATTCATCACTATCCAAGTGGGTTCCATTCCCTTCATCCAAGTCTTTTAATTTCTCAACCTATGGTCATTCTACACCACAGAAGAGTCCTCAGACTGAGCATGTTATTGAGGGTGCTGTTGACATTCAGGGGAGGACATGTGACCTTGCCCAGAACTATAGTCTTCTGCATCCCACTGTAAATCCTTTAGCATTCTTGACTCCTGGGGAGTAAGTATCAGGAGATGTCCCCTAATTAGTATGACAACCCAAAAGAGATGTTTCCAAACACTCCCTGGGGAACAGGGTGCGGGAGTGTCACTCCCCAACTTTGAGAACCACTGGCTTCCAAATGCTCACCCAGAAATCCACTGTTATACCTGGCCTTCATTATTGCTCACGGATACACATGTAGTCCACCATACACTTGCCCAATTGGTTTAATCTTCCAGAGCTGGGAACCAGAGTTTCTTTGTGTCAGAGCATTTCTCTTTCCCATTCAGAAGGAAGCTGGCAGTCTGGACAGCAACCTGGCTTAAGGCTTTCGACACTGAGATCTGTAGTCATGCCACCTGCTTTCCTTATTTCCAAGCCTATGCATTTACTAGATTTCCTTCCTCCCCAACGGCTGCCACTCAGATCCTACTCACTGGTCAAGCTACTCATATACTCTTCCTCCATGAAGTCTTCCCTGATGAATACAACTGGAAATGATCTTTCCCTCTCTCTTGAAATCCCATATTACTTTATACCAGGGATAGACAATTTTTTTTTCCAGTGAAGGGCCAGATAGTAAACATGTTAGGCTTCGTGGGCCATATGGTCTCAGTTGCAACTACTCAACTCTGCCTTTGTAGTGGGAAAGCAGTCACAGACAATATGCAAACAAATAGGGGTGACTGTTCCAATGAAACATTGTTTACAGATGCTGAAAGTTGAATTTTATATAATTTTCAGTTGTCGTGAAACAGCCTTCTTCAATTGTTTTGGTTTGAGTTTTTTCCCAACCATTTAAAAATGTATAACCATCCTTAGTTCATGGGCCATACAAAAATAGGATATGGCCTGCAGGCTGTTTGCTGAATCTGCTGTACGGCATCTCCTTTTTATTGTGGTTATCACACTCTAGCCCCTCAGACCAGGAACACAGGCTTCACCTCTGTGCTCTTAGAAATACGGAGTCTCCATTTGGGAGGCTGAGGCAGGAGAATCGCTTCAACCCAGGGGTTGGAGGTTGCAGTGAGCTGAGATTGCGCCACTGCACTCCAGCCTGGTGACAAAGCAAGACTCTGTCTTAAAAAAAAAAAAAAAATAGGCCAGGCACGGTGGCTCATGCCTGTAATCCCAGCACTTTGGGAGGCCAAGGCGGGCAGATCACGAGGTCAGGAGATCAAGACCATCCTGGCTAACACGGTGAAACCCCATCTCTACTAAAAATAAAAAAGGAATTAGCTGGGCGTGGTGGTGGGCACTTGTAGTCCCAGCTACTAGGGAGGCTGAGGCAGGAGAATGGTGTGAACCCGGGAGGCGGAGCTTGCAGTGAGCAGAGATCACGCCACTGCACTCCAGCCTGGGTGACAGAGCGAGACTCCATCCCAAAAAAAAAAAAAGAGAAAGAAAAACAGTCTCAGACCCTGCCCCAGACATAATGAATCAGAATCTGCCCCAGACATAATGAATCAGAATCTGCATTTTAACAAGATTGCCAAAGGATTCATATGCACAGTACAGTCTGACATATGATGCTGTGGTTTACTGTATACTTGTTTGTGTCCATGTCCCCCACCCCCACCAATAAATGGTAAACTCTTTGAGGGTGGAGAATGACTGTAGCATACAAATAAGAAATGCAATTGCTTTGGAACATGAAGGAATGAATGAACGGAGAAAGCTTAAGTCTACAGTCAATCCTTGTCCTTCTTTCCCTTCATTCTATTATTAGTCTCTCCCAAAGCTTAGTTTCCTATTTGCTGGCTAATCCATTAGGGAAGGAGAGGGCTTACTGTACCTAAGACTTTCTTTGCTAATTAAGATAAAGAGAGAGACAGAAACTTGGAGGAGACTTCAGATCATCCCAAATTGTTTAATGGAGAAAAAATGCCAATTTTATGCTCCTGGATCTGTCTCTCAGGAGAACTTGCCTGCATCCTTCTCCTTCACATTTTTCTCTTGACTGCATTACACCATTCCTATGGCCCTGTCTTAGATGTTCACCTGTCTTAGAAGCAACTGAGTTATTAATAACTTTCATAGTTCCTGATTTTTACCTGAAATCCCTGGACCAGCAAGGCCAAGTTAATGACCACATACACATGCTGGAGGGCTGCGTATTCGTCATCTGTGTTCCCCACATGGACTGAGGGATTTTCAGTTATAGCCAGAAGCAACAGAAGTAAAATATTTTTTAAACGGCTTTGCTTTTCCGAATAAGTAAATCAGTTATTCAGGCTCAGCCTTTCATCCTTTATTGTTCTATAAACATATATACATATATATTTTTAATTAATTTTAACAGTATAAAAGTAACCATTTTAAAGTGAACAATTTAATGGCACTTAGCACAGTCAAAATGTTATGCAACCACATTTATCTAGTTCCAAAACACTTTCACCATTCCAAAAGGAAACCCCATTATCTATTAAAGTCACTCCCATTTCTCCCTTCCCCAGCTTCTGGCAACCTGTCTCTATGGATTTACCTGTTCTAGATTTTACATATTATTATACAATATGTGAGTTTTTGGTCTGCTTTCTTTCACATAGCATGTTTCCAAGGTTCATCCACATTGTAGCATGTATTGTCATTTCTTCCTTTTCATGGCAGGATAATATTCCATTTTGTGGGTATACCACAAATTGCCCATTCATTCATTGATGGACATTTGGGTTGTTTCTACCTTTTGGTATTGTGAATAGTGCTGCTGTGAACATGGGTGTACAGTTTTCAGTTTGGGTACCTATTTTCAATTGGCAGCCGGTGGGGGGGGGGGTGTATACCTAGGAGTGGCATTGTTGGGTTATATGGTAATTGTATGTTTAACTTTTTGAGGTACCAAATTGTTTTGAGTGCTTACCCCGTACCAAGCACTGAGTTGAAGAGTTCACAAAATAGTTCACTTGGATGACAAACATCTAGAGCCAAGAGGAGACAGAGGGCCACAGTAGTTCAAAAAGTCTTTAGGAATTTATGACAGTTCTCTCTCTCTCTCTACTCCACCCTGTCTCCCTCTTTTTATGTACATATTTGGTTTTTTTTAATTATCAGCAATGATTAATAACAGCAGTAACCACTTCTATTAGTTCATTCTCGCATTGCTATAAAGAAATGCCTGAGACTGGGTACATTATAAGAAAAGAGGTTTCATTGGTTCATGGTTCTGCAGGCTGTACAGGAAGCATGGCAGCATCTGCTTCTGGGGGGGCCTCAGGAAACTTACAATGATGGCAGGAGCAGGTGCCTCTTCATATGGCTGGAGCAGGAGGAAGAGCACAAGGGAGGAGGTACTACACACTTTTAAACAACCACATCTCATGATAACTCACTCACTATCACAAGAACGGCCCACAGTGGATGGTGCTAAACCATTCATGAGAACTCCGCCCACATGATCCAGTAACCTCCCACCAGGCCTCACCTCCAACGCTGAGTATTACAATTGAACATGAGATTTGGGTGGGGACACAGACCCAAACCATATCACCACCATTTATTGAACAAATATTATTCCACATAGTAGATATTATTAACCCATTTTGCAGGCTCAAGTAGCAGAATCAGAATTCAAACCCTGGTCTGTTTGACAACAAAATGTATGCTCTTTCAACACACTACTACATTACCACTTCCTGACAGCAGAAAAAGGAAAGGCTTAAAACAAACACCAGATATCAAATCGAGGCTGCTCTTGGCTGTCAGGAAGCCACAGAGGGCTACTCTGTGGCCATGGACTCTGTGGTAGACCCATCATCACATTTGCAGGCTGGCCTGGGTGGTAAAGAAGAGCACAGTCTCAGGATTACTAAGATAACCCTGGGTTATTTCTACTGTGACAAGTTAAGAGCCCCTGACATGATATGGAACCGAGGTGACTCTGCCTGGAATGGTAGGGTTTTGCAGTTGTAAGTGAAGTGGGTGCACATAACCTGCTAAAAGTGGGGAGTGTTGCATATGATTCACTGTATTTAAGTTAGAGAAGACTAAAAGCTATCTCTAAAAGCAGTATCTGACGCTCACTTTGCAGCCAATAGGGTTTCTGATGTAAGAGCAACAAGGGTAACACTGCACCTACATCTATCTCGGAGCTTCTCAGTCTTGAGTAATCATCAGAAACACCTAGAGGGCTTCTTAAAAACAGATTCCTGGGCCTCACCCCCAGAAATGCTGGTGCAGTAGGTCTGGGTGGGGCCCCAGATTCTGCATGTCTAATATGCTCTCAGGTGATGGCTGTGCTGATGGTGCCACTCACAGCAGACAATCAGAGTGGGGTAGAGGAGTAAGAGCAAGTGAGCAAGAGGGACAACTGTGACAGATTCCCAAAGATGACTTGAACTACTTTGGCCCTCTGGTCTCCTCCTGGCTCTAGATGTTCACCCTCCAAGTACACTATCTCGTGAACTCTTCAACTCGGGGCCTGGCACACATAAGTGCTCAACTTTAAAATATAGGAAAACAGTTTGGTGGTTCCTCAAAAAGTTGAACATAAAAGTACAGAGTCCAGCAATGCCGGTCATAGGTATATACCCAAAATAACTGAAAACACGTACTCAAACTAAAACTTGTACACACATGTTCACAGACTCCACTTAAGTAGCACTAGCCAATCTTATTTGTGCCAAGACTCCCAATAAGCAGCCATTGCTGACTTACCATTAATACTTAGGACCTTACAAGCATCACGGTGCTTCATGTCCCTACAAGATATGTGTAGATCCTTCTCAAAAGCAGAGTGTTCCGATGGGAGTGTCTCTCACATGCAAATGTCTTGCATGTGTCAAGTAAGAGAAAATCTTATTCGTTGGGTACAAAAGTAATTGCGGTCCTTGTTCTTAAAACTTAAAACTAATGGCAAAAACCACAAGTACTTTTGCACCAACCTAAGAGAACTACTGATTGAGAGAATTGGGAGTTGTTGTGTGTTTTTTGTTTTTGTTTTTTTTTTTGAGACGCAGCCTTGCTCTTTCGCCCAGGCTGGAGTACAGTGGCGCAATCTAGGCTCACTGCAACCTCCGCCCCCAGGGTTCAAGCAATTCTCCTGCCTCAGTCTCCTGAGTAGCTGGGATTACAGGTGCCTGCCACCACACCTGGCTAATTTTTTTTTTTTTTTTTTGAGATGGAGTCTTACTCTGTCACCCAGGCTGGAGTGCGGTGGCGCAATCTCAGCTCACTGCAACCTCTGCCTCCTGGGTTCAAGCCATTCTCCCCTGAGTAGCTGGGACTACAGGCACCCAGCACCATGCCCAGCTAATTTTTGTATTTTTAGTAGAGATGGGGTTTTGCCATATTGGCCAGGCTGGTCTCAAACTCCTGACCTCAGGTGATCCACCCGCCTTGGCCTCCCAAAGTGCTAGGATTATAGGCATGAGCCACCATGCCCGACTGAGAACTGGGAATTTTAAAGGGCACGGATCCCATTCACATTGCTCAGGCCATACAGAATAATGACAATTATGCTAATTACTCCTCCAAACCTCATGGCAGTTTGGGGGACTATGCTTTTCCCTCCTCCGGCTGCCTCCATGGGCAGCATCCTCTGCAAAACTACGCTTTCTTACCTCCTTGCCTCTTACAAAGGAGCGCACAGCCTTCTGGAGACAGTTCTGTTTGTTTAAGGCAACGGGGGGCAACAGGCTGTGTGCTGAAGATGAAATGGGAGCCATGTTAATTTCGTGTTAATGACAGCAGCGCAATTTTCTTACAGGAAATAACTAGTTACCTTAATCATTTTAAGTAGTTATTAGCAGCAGCCTAAAAAGGATGGCTATGCTTATCACAATACACGCACAAAGGAAATGAAGACATGAATAACAGGACCTTAAACAGACTTCTGGCATCTTCCTTCTGGGTGGTATTAAATGGTATTAATCTTTTTAACTGACTTCAATCCTGAGTCCACGGCCACGTGATAAAATGTTAAGTGAACTGCTGGAAATAGAGGTGGTCCCCCCAGATTTATTGTGCCAATTTACCAGCAGCGGAAGAGCACACCACTGCGGTGAGAAAAGCCATAGAAAAGAAAGAATGACAGGTAGATGTATGGATTAATTAGTATAATGCAGATAATAGCATCTTTTCCAATATTAATACTTCTTCAGAGGCTGTTCTATATATGCCTCTGGGAAAGAAAAAAGCTAGAATATATTGTTTGCTATTTCATCCCATCCCCCTTGCAAGATAGCAATCAGAGTTAAGAAATGAATAAAACTCAGACAACTTTATCCAGACCACAGCGACACAATAAAAAAGAAAAAGTAACCACAGAAGAAGGATAAAGTGCTTGTTCAAGGGTTTTACAGTTAAGACATGTCAAGTAATTTTTTTCCTAAGTAAGAAGACTATTTTTCTTCCCTGCAGTGGTTGTGCTTGTGAAAGGAATCAGTTGGATCAATTCAGAAAAATCATCTATATCAACAAAGTATATTTAGTGCTTATGGTGTGTCAGAAGCTGTGCTAGGTCCTGGGGAAATAATTTCTATAAACCACTGTCTGGCCCTCAAGCAGCTCTCATTTTACCTGGGAGATGCGCTGTACACAAATCATTGCAATATGAAGCAGTAGAGGCCTTAATAGAGGTATGTTGTGGGCATGATGGTAGCAGAGAGGCATGCATGAGCATCTCTACCTGGAGGGTGAAGCCTGAGCAGGGTTTTGAAGGATGAGTAAGAGTTTTCCAGATGAACCTGGGGGGGAAGGACATTCTAGGAGGAGGGGAAGGTGTGTTTACAGATACAGATGTGCAAACAGTCAGGTCCATGCAGTGGCTTGGCATGGCCGGCTTATGTGGGCTGGGCAGGGAGGTGAATGGTGAAGCTGGAGGTCATGGTGGGCCTTTCAGGCCGGATAAAAGAGCCTGGACATTTCCCATAGGGAACTAAGGTGCCACTGAAGGATTTCGTTTGCAGGGAAGTGAAATGTTTAGACCTAGAGCCATCACAATGGCTATGGAGAGACTGGCTTCGAGAGACATAAGGTTGGAAGCAGCAAGACCAGTTAGGAAGTGATGCAATAATAAGGTGAGAGTACTTGAGGCCCTGATCTGAAGCAGTAGCACTGGGTATAAAGAGGACAGCAATAGTTGCAAGAACCATGAAGTGTATTACAAAAATTCACAGAACTTCATGACTAATGAGCTCTCATGAATAAGGAAGACAAAAGAGTCTCAGTAGGCGCCCAAGTCTATAAATATAGCACTGGGAGGATGATGGCCATGTTAGAGGGGATGAAGGAAGAGGAGGAGATTTGGAGTAGAGTTCAGGGTGGCAGGATAATGAGCTTGACTTGGAATAGGCTATTTGAAGTACAGAATTCCCACTGAGTGCTCATAAGTCCTTCTTGCATAGACACAATGATTCACTACAACCAGCTGAGGTATCTGCATGAATTGCCTGGGGCCATCCCTTGGCTCTACCATCTGGGACATCAAGGTTCCTGCTTACCAAATGCCAAAGGAGAATGAACTCAAGAGAGGATCCAGGGCTGGCTGGGGCTAGGGGGTTCATTTTCTCATCACTGCTCAACCCAGCTCTGAATTCATGGACCAAGAAAGCAAAGAATGGCCCTTTCCTGAAACCATCCAATGTGATAGGCATTAAGGCCACAAGACTGTTCAACTCAGAAAGACCAACAAGAGAGGTGTGTGTTTTGTCTCAGCCAAGACAGAGTCAAGAAAATCCATTTCTTGGGCATGCCTTGGAATAAACTAAGTTGGTGGAGTTCTTCCAAGTCTCCCCTCCTGCAAAGCCACTGGAACTCCCTCCCCACTAGAAAGCAGCCAGAGCTCAGGGAACTCATTTTAACTTTTCCGGGAGAAGACTGAGACTGGCAGGGTGAGGGATCTGGGCTGGTAGAATTCATTTATGTTCAATTCAGCTCCCCTGGGCAGATAGCCCTGGCATGGGAATCAAGAAATGAGCTTTTTCTGAATTTCTGAAGCCCTTTCTGAGACACTGGAGAGGACTCTTAAAATAATGCAGGCTATCTGGAGTTCACTTTCATTCTGGCTTCTGGTTAAGAGCCAGGATCTGATATTGGGCTCCTGGGGTCCAAATTCTAGCTCTTCAACTTATTAGAAAAGTGAGATATTGGGTAAACTACTTAACCTCTAAGTTTTGGTCCCCCGGCCCCCCACCACTCTGCAAAATAGGGGTGATGAAAATGTTATTACCTAACCCCACAGGGGATTCATTGGGAGGCTCAAATAAGATAATGCTTATAAAACACCAAGTACAATGCCTTGGTGTTGTACCCAGTAAATGTTAGCTGCAATACTGTACTCACTTAGGGCAGCTGATCCCAACCCAGGTGCTAGTTACTCGTTTGCAAAACAGTGACTAAAACCATGGGCTGCTAGGGAACTTTATAGCGCTAGCATGCTGTGATCCTGTACACACTGGGCATTGAGCCATCATCGTGGTGGTGGTAGCAGCAGTAGTATTGTTTGTGTGTGACGATCTGTGTGTATTTGGGGGAAGAGGTAATAAGAAATGTGGGAATATGGGTAACTTAAGATTCTTGAGTGCCTATTGCATGTCTGGTGGATACTAGGTGTTTTACATGCACTAACTTATGTAATTCTTACAACAACTGGGGAAATAAACAGTATTATCTCTACCCTAAAGATGAAGTTCAGACAGGTTAACTCAATGCCCTAAGTCACAGTTATGAAGTGGCAAGGCTAGGGTTAGATTTGTAACTCTTCTTACTACTTACAGGCTATGGAGGAACTGCTACAAGCAGAGAAGCTATCATTGAAAGCACAGTCAAGCCCATATTTTAATGTTACTTTAATGTTACAAGATTTCAAAAGGAGGAAGACAGCAAATTCATACAGGAAAATCCAGAAGGCCAGCATGGAGGAGATAGCAATTTAGGAGGGGCGTTCCACTAACAGAAATTACAGCCAAAACAATGGCCATTCCTGGTAGAGACAAACCGCATGGATAAAGACCCAAATGTGGCCGGGCGTGGTGGCTCATGCCTGTAATCCCAGCACTTTTGGAGGCCGAGGCAGGCGGATCATGAAGTCAGGAGATCGACACCATCCTGGCTAACACGGTGAAATCACGTCTTTACTAAAAATACAAAAAATTAGCCAGGCGTGGTGGCGGGCACCTATAGTCCCAGCTACTCAGGAGGCTGAGGCAGGAGAACGGCGTGAACCCGGGAGGTGGAGCTTGCAGTGAGCCAAGATCGCACCACTGCACTCCAGCCTGGGCAACAGAGCGAGATTCCATCTCAAAAACAAAAACAAAAACAAAAAAAATGACCCAAATGTGTGAAACTGTGAGTCATGTTCAGGGGGCATCAAAAAGCCCCTTCAGCAGTAGGTGTATGTTGTAAAGGAGGAGGTGAGAGAAGGCTGGAAAAGTCAGGATTGGACTATGGAGAACCCTGAGGGACAGCTCAGGGCAGGGAGCCTTGAAGGTGGGAAGGAGATAGCATTAGCAGCCGGGAAGAGCCAAAGGCCGGCCCCCAATCAGAACCTGCAGGAAAGGGTTAGTGCTGTGCCTGGGGTAGCTCCTACCTAGAAGACAGAACCTGAGACTTAACAGCTGACAGATACACCAAGCCAGCTGTGCCTATTTCTCCACAGCTGACATGAAGTAAAACACTAACTATAGGAGTGCAAGGGGACTTCATTCCACAGGGGTTCATTTATTTAGCCACCCCCTAAGTCTGATTGACAATCCCAAGTCCCAGAGCACTTCCGTCTATTAGAGGCCAGATAACTTAGTGCTTAACATTTTGTTTTTGGCATCAGACACAAGCTCTTGTTCTATTAAAAACTGTGTGACCTGGATACATTACTTAGCATCTCTAAGGCTCAGTTTCCTTAACTCTAAATTGGAGGTGATAAGGTTCTCATACGTCGATTTTTGCAAGGATCAAATGAGATAATGCATCAGAACAGGCTAACACAGCCCTGGCTCACATTATAGCCCAATAATGTTCACTAGAATTCACTAGTGGTGGTGTTACTCATTGTGGATATAAGAGACAAGCACCTGGAAACTTGGGGAAGTATGGATGCTACAGATAAATCCAGAGAAAGAGCTGGAATGGAGCTCAGGGATCACTGAACCCCTCAGCCAGGGCCCAACAAGAGAAGATTAATTCCCCAGATTCACGCATGAGTTGGTGTCCCAGAGATTCCAGGGGGAAAAAAAAAAAAGGAATGCGGACCCAATCAATCAGGGAAGCTCCCCACAATCCTTGGTGAGAAAGCCCACAAACCAGGTCTAACATGTGGCTCTGCCTTTTACTGACTGAGTGAATTCAAGCAAGTTATTTCACCTCCCCCACTTCAGTTTCCCCATCTGGTAAATGGGGACAGTAATCCCTGCCTGTACACCTGTTGTAAGAACTGAATGAGATGACCTCTGTAGGGCATTGAGGACCCTGCTGGCACATGGGAAACTCTCCTTAAATGGTAGCTACTATAATTCTTTTAAATTGAAGGTCAGGCAAGGGTCCATTTTCATGCTGCTGAGACTGGGTAATTTATAAAGAAAAGAGGTTTAATTGACTCGCAGTTCCACGTGGCTAGGGGAGCCTCACAATCATGGTGGAAGATGAAAGAAGAGCAAAGGGAACATCTTACATGGCAGCTGGCATGAGAACCAAGTGAAAGGGGTTTCCCCTGATAAAACCATCAGAACTCATGAGACTTATTCACTACCATGAGAACAGTATGGGGGAAACCACCCTGTGATTCAATTATCTCCCACCAGGTTCCTCCCACATGTGGGAATTATGGGAGCTAAAATTCAAGATAAGATTTGGGTGGGGACACAGCCAAACCATATTGTGTCCAAAATTGGCGGGTTCTTGGTCTTGCTGACTTCAAGAATGAAGCCACAGACCCTCACGGTGAGTGTTACAGTTTTCAAAGATGGGGTGTCCAGAGTTTCTTCCTTCTGGTGGGTTCGTGGTCTTACTGGCTTCAGGAGTGAAGCTGCAGGCCTTTGCAGTGAGTGTTACAGTTCTTAAAGGTGGTGCATCTGGAGTTGTTCATCCCTCCTGGTGGGTTCATGGTCTCGCTGGCTTCAGGAGTGAAGCTGCAGACCTTCGCGGTGAGTGTTACAGCTCATAAAAGTGGCATGGACCCAAAGAGTGAGCAGCAGCAAGATTTAGTACGAAGAGCGAAAGAACAAAGCTTCCACAGTGTGGAAGGGGACCCGAGAGGGTTGCCACTGCTGGCTGGGGCGGCCTGCTTCTATTCCCTTATCTGACCCCACCCACATCCTGCTGATTGGTCCGTTTTGACAGAGTGCTGATTGGTGCATTTACAATCCTTTAGCTGGACACAAAAGTTCTCCAAGTCCCCACTAGATTAGCTAGACACTGAGCACTGATTGGTGCATCCACAAACCCCAAGCTAGACACAGAGTGCTGATTGGTACATATACAATCCTCCAGCTAGACATAAAAGTTCTCCAAGTCCCCACCCGACTCAGGAGCCCAGCTGGCTTTGCCTAGTGGATCCCACACTGGGCCGCCCGGCAGAGCTGCCATCTGGTCCCGCGCCTGCACTCCTCAGCCCTTGGGCAGTTGATGGGACCGGGCACCACAAGGCCATGCGGGAGCCCACGGCGGGGATGAGGTTGCAGGGTCTTGGGCATGGCAAGCTGCAGGTCCCCAGCCCTGCCCCACAGGGAAGTGGCTGAGGCCCAGCGAGAATTCGAGCTTGGTGCAGGCAGGCCAGCAGTGCTGGGGGACCTGGCGCCCCCTCCACAGCTGCTGGCCCAGGTGCTAAGCCCCTCACTGCCCAGGGCCTGTGATGCCGGCCGGCCGCTCCAAGTGTGGGCGCGCTGAGCCCACGCCCACCCAGAACTCGCGCTGGCCCACGAGTGCAGGCACAGCCCTGGTTCACACCTGCGCCTCTCTCTCCACCCCTCCCCACAAGCAGAGGGAGCTGGCTCTGGCCTCAGCCAGCCCAGAGAGGGGCTCCCACAGTGCAGCAGCGGGCTGAAGGGCTCCTCAAGTGTGGCCAGAGTGGATGCAGAGGCCGAGGAGGTCCCGAGAGCGAGCAAGGGTTGCTAGCACATTGTCACCTCTCAATATCAGGACAGTACACCGGACAAAACAGCAGCTTGACCAAGTCTACAGATCGAAATTAGACTGTGTTTGAGAATCAGAGACCTGAATTTAAGTCTAGATCTGTTGATAAACAACCGAGTGACTTTGGGTCCTCAGCTCCTCCTGTCTGAAAGACAGTTTCAAAGCATCCTGGCCTAATTCACAGAAGGGCTATTGTTTGGGTTCAGAAAGGAAGTGGGCAGGAAGATGCATTGTAATTTATAAAGCTCTGCCTGCAAGAGCTGGGTTTCTCTCTCTCTCTCTGGACTGAGAAATGCTTGAGGCCAAGACTGAGTCTCTTCTTGAAATCGCCCCTCCCTGGTACAGTAGCTGGCATGGCATGCATGCCACCACTCTGTGGATGGGAACCACACTGTACCCACTCGCCCTTGGGAATGCCTCAGACTCCGGCTACCCAAGGGATAAAGACCTTTCCCTCTAGCTGACCCAGTTCTACTGGAAACAACCTTTGCCCTGGCAAAAGACAGAGGCCCCAGAGGGAGCCATGGTATTTGGGGGTAGACCCTTTGCTGAATGGTTGGGCCTGGGTTACAAGGATAGGGAGGAAAGAATGAAAAATGGAATCTGCCCCAGAGAGATTGGGACCGGTGGTTTCCAAGTAAAGCCACAGTGCTCTCACATACACACAGATACACTTGGAATGGATATTGAAGTCTTAATATAGAGTGCCCACACGCCTGTTCCCAAGTGCTGTCAGCAAAATGCTGTCTCTGTTTCCCTCCCAGAGCATATTTTGGAAGCTTAGGACAAGGGCACCATCTGGACTTCCCTGCAGTACAGTGAGAGTAATTTGGCTCTCCCTCCTTCTGTCTCCTTTCCCCACTGTCACCCCCAACTCACCTTTCAGTCACAGGACCAAAGATCCCTCTGTAAAACAAAATCCACTAGGAGAGAAAAGAATCAGCTGCATCCTGCACAGAAGTGACATTCAATGACCACACAGAGTGCAGCAGGAAGGATGTTCTAACCCAAGGTCATTTTTTTTTTTTTTGCTTGCTCAGCAGAAATATGTAGCACAAGGAGCTATCAATCATTCTTCCAATTTACGGATAGGGAAACTGACTTTCCTAGCCACAGCCCTCCATCTGGGCAGTACACACACATATATACCACAAGGGCTGTTTTAAACTGGGTAGGAGGTATTTGGGATTGACATCATGATGGAAGTACTGCAAGCAGTTAGTGGGAGTGGTGCAAAGGTTCTAAAGGCCCTGCAAGCAAGGGGCAATCACACACAATGAAGACTTGCTCAGACCCCACTGTCCATTGACCTCTAGCAACACTGTCTGGGGAGCAGGGGGAGAGCTGGATTCTGAGATTTAACTTGGCCCAAAAGCCCTCCCATCAGAAGTCACAATTCCTTTTTCAATGTGGTGCATTCCTGTGGCTCCCTCCCTCCTATGTGGCATGTAAGAGCCCATAAAACAGATCTCATTGTCCTCTGGCATTTGGCTTCATTTCAAATTGCAGCAATGGGCTGGAATCAATATGACTATCCCTGGATTGTTCAAATTAGTTCCTGAATCATTGCTTTTATACTTTTCCACATAAATGTGGGTACTTTCTTGGTATTTGGTTTTTCTTGCCATTTATTTTCCAATAATTGGATGAAATGTGTCTTGTTTCTTGGAATAAGCTAATACTTTCCTGTGCTTGCCAAAAGTTGTTTTGTGCTCATTAGTCATCTTTTATAATCTTCTTGGGTGCTTTTCCCAATTTTTCAGAAGCCTGTGTTGGGATCTCCTATTCCCTGCAATCTGAATTGATACATCATTTTCTTATTTGCTTTTTTATTTTAAAAAATCACTAAATAATTTGTGGTGCCTTGTATAGTTAAAATATTAATACTCAGATATTCAAATTACTTTTAACTTGTCAAGTACTGGCACATGAGAGAGGTTATTAAATTTGAGTGATATGATTCCAGGATTAGGAATACCTGGCTCACCAAGAACCTGGGCAGGCTCTGGAAGGGCAGGAATAGGGGAAAGTTGGCAGGCAGTTGGTAATGTGATTTCTGGAAGAATCAGACACCACATTGAGAAAAGGCGCTACAGTAAAGGGTCACTTCCCTCTAGAGTTTTCAATCGAGTGTCAGAAACAAACCTGCTGTCATCAACATTCCCTACCCCTGCACGTACAACCCCCTTCTCCATCTTCAAACTTTGGATGACTTTCCACTGTTCTGAGGATAGACAATATTCTTACCAGGGTCTCCAAGCATGAATGTGGTCTGTCCTTACCTTTTTCTCCTGGGTCAGCCTACCTCATTCCCCTTCCCTTCTGGGCTCCAGCCTCTTCCTCTTACACATGGTCTTCCATGATGCTACAGGACACTTGCATATGTGCCTCCTACTGCCTCTAAGGTCTTCCCTCTTTTCATCTCCTCATGCCCAGCACAGTGCCTGGCACATGGGAAACACATACGGGTTTGTTGGAAGAATCAATGAGTGAAGGTTTGAGATATTTTGTTTTGTTTGGATTTGGTTTGATTTGACCTAAGCACGATCAAATGAAGAAACCAGGAGTCACAAAGTGGCTGCCAGGAGACCCTGGGACTAAGCTGCACATTCATATTTTTTGGCCATGGCCTTTGCCTAGCCTTCTCCTCTGTTGAGACAAGCAGCCTGGTCCCATAGTCATCCATTTGCAACCCCAGGCATAAACATGCTGCCTACTGAAACTTTGGTTTAAATATTTGGTTTCAATTCTACATACAGTCACATACCACCTAACAAGATTTCCTTCAATGACAGGCTGCCTATGTGACAGTGGTCCCCTAAGACTACAATATCGTATTTTGATTGAGCCTTTTCTACGTTTAGATACACAAATACTTACCACTGTGTGCAATACAATTGCCTATGGTATTCAGTACGGTAACATGCTGTGCAGATTTGTAGCCTAGGAGCAATAGGCTATACCATATACCATCTGGGTTTATATAAGTACACTCTATGATGTTCACACAATGACAAAATCACCTAATAACACATTTCTCAGAATGCATCCTGGTTTTTAAGCAACATGTGACTATAACTTAATTGACTTTGATGGAAACTCAAGAGGCAACATCCTATATTTCCCATCAGTGTTTTAGAAGAATGACAAAACCCTGTCCTTAAAATCTCCATGTTTTCCAGATAAAGACCCTGAGGTCTAAAAGGGAGCAGTGACTCACCGAGCACACCTACCTACTGAATGACAGAGCTGTCATTCAAACTCAGCCCCTTTGACTCCCAGCCCTGTGCTCTTTCTAATATTCATCCCCTACAGTCAATCCACTGCGGGTTTAATGGCTTTGAAATAAACCAGTGTGTGTTTCTGCTTATTAAGTATCATACTTTATGCAATTAATGTGTACAAAACCAAGCCTAGTTTTGTGAACAGTTTATCCAAATCGCTGCGCAGCTTCATTTATGAGAGGAGAGAAAACCCTCCTCTGTTATCTAATAGATGTTATGTGTCTAATTTTCCATGAATATATCAGTTAGGACAGTAGCCACCTAAAGTGACTCTTCTGAATTAACCCTGAGTGAATAAGATGGCTTTGGCAAGCAGTGTGTGAGGATTCAGTCTTTCCTTCCTCCAGGATGGGGACTAACTGTGAAGTGAGCTAGAAAAGTCTTCTCCGTCAACCCCTTGGTGTGCATCTACTGCAGGTACTGAGAGTCATTGCCCCTGGATATTTGAAAAATCACATTCCTCTCCAATTTAGTTATATCTATACCAGTGAAGCTATAAACTTTTATGAATAACTATAAGAGGATAAAACTTCGCATTGTGGTCTCCCGAAATATCATTCAATCACATTGCCCTCTGGACACCACATTGCTGAAGCTTTCAGAGCCTTTCTCAGCATCACAGAGACATGCTTTGGCCTGAATTGTCTCATGATCATCTAGAAGCTGTCTTCCTTGTTCACTCCAGAGCTCAGACCTCAGGCAAAAGACATCCCAGGCATCAGGTTGAAGCATTAGATTCTATTTTTTTTTTTTTTTTGTATACTTCATCCATTTAAGTGAGAAGTAATTCCACTAAAATGGATGTTAATTTGGTTAGCTCTATCTAAATACAGGTACTCCATATTGAGATGTTCATGTCCCTTTTTTTCTGCTTCATTCAATTGATGTGCTAGATCACATTGGAAGATTTCTCCAGCATTGATTTACCCTTAACTCCTGATATGAGCCCTACTTGATTGTAATAAATTATTTTTAATGCTGTTTTCCACTAGCTAGTATTAATTTTGGCTTTTTGCATATATGATCGTAAAAGATATTGGCCTATTTTCCCCTCAAATATCTGCTGGAATATACTTATAAACCCATCTAGACCAACGCTTTTTTTTGCGTAGGAGATGACCAAAAATAATTCTTGCCTTAACTCAAATGAACTACATAACATTAAATCTCTACAATAATTAAAACAAAGCGAGCCTTTATTAATACTATTTATGTGGGCTCTGGAATGACTTAATATTTAACAAAAATGCCCTACACATACCAGTACAGTGGTTCTCATGGGACAAACTCTTCCACAGAAATAGCAACAATCCTAAAAGAGAAAAGGTATTTGGTATGAGACATGTTCAGTATATCTATTTTCATAATACAAGAATACGAGCTACAGAAAGAAAAGACTGGCAAAATCTTCTTGGTAGTCATCTGACAATAAGATAAAGTAAGATGCAAATGTGAATGATATATGGACTGTCAAGAAATACAGTCCCAAAGTGTGAATGGCCTGACTTTGTTGTTATCTATGGAACTTAACACGTCACTTCATCATTCTAGGGCCTCTCCCTTTATCAGAGCCCCAGCAGCCAGACATTTCTAATAATAATCACTGCAACTCCCATTTAATGAGGGCTTACTTTGTGCCAGGCACTGCATTTGAAGCCTCCTTTATCCCATGTACACCTGAGCTCATTTACATGTTTTGGTTCATTTAA
Organism: Homo sapiens; assembly: GCF_000001405.40. Lineage (NCBI taxonomy): Eukaryota > Metazoa > Chordata > Mammalia > Primates > Hominidae > Homo > Homo sapiens. The sequence goes on along the minus strand of NC_000017.11, from coordinate 51,663,605 downwards.
TCAGCACGATTATTTGAGTGGTTATGTTGTCATCACAGTTTTGCCTGTGAAGAAATTGAAGTTCAAAGAAGACCAGAAGACCCAGGACTTGGAGCCAGAGCCTAACTCTCCTCATCCATGCCCTGTGTTGGGATGAGTTTGAGGTTGCAGGAGCATGGGGAAGAAATAGGCTTAACTAAAATCAGCAGAAGTTTCAAAAGGACCTGCAGACCTCATCTCTCATTCTTGGATGGTGGCAGCCACTGCCTACAAGTCACTTCTGGGAGGATCTAGACGTCGTGCAGGAGGCTCATCCCACTCTGGCTTTCAGCAGCTCCTTTATAAGAAGTTGAAGGATGCGAAGGCCTGGGGAAGGAATCGAGAAAAAGTGGTCTCGAAACGCATTCCAAGTTCCGGGAAAAAAAAAAAGCATCACGGAACTTCCCTGATTCTTTATGTGTTTTATCTCATCTGTTTATCTTGTTTACTTATACCCTGCCAAGTTCCTGAAAGACTGTGTCATTATCTTGTTTCACTCTCATGACAATTCTTAGATAGATGCATCCCTATATTATGCATAAAGAAATAATCAGAGGGGATAAGTAGCCCCACATTACTTGGACAGAAGAGGTATCTGACTAGGCTCAAGGTCTTGCATTTTCCAGCATGATCCTGCACCCAAATATATCACTCTACATTTGTGCAAACTCCCATACAACTTGATGAAAAACATGCTTTAAAATCCAAGTTGTGTTATCTTTTGGGGGAAAATAATTACATTCCATGCTGGTTTTCTAGGTTGGTATGATAGCCAGACCACATTTGGGGATCTTCTGTCAATGAAACTATGGAAAATTATTTTTATTTTTAGCCATAATTGCATTCCATAGCCTACAATGCAGAAAATCTCATCACCGGACAGACCCATGATAGTTACCAAACCTTAGGGTGAGAATGTGGTGGCTGGTAAACATCAAACTGTGTTCTTCTCTGCAGACTGTGTGTGCTCTTATGCATGAAGACAAACTTGTTAATGACTTTCTATAAATAAGTTCTAGCTTATAGTTGTTCCAGCAAAAGCTGCTGAAATGTGATCTCCCCTCAAATACAGAACACCTTTCCTTTTCTCTTTACTTTCCTGTAGAAAGAAACTATTTGCATATGCTAATGTGAAATGAATAGTCACTGTCACTTTTTGTCTGTGTGACCTCAGAAGAGGTGCTTAACCTCTCTGTGCCTTAATGTCTTCACTTCACCTATTTATTTTAGGAACAAATGTGGTAATATGGGTGAGCTGTTTTAGGCTATGGAATATACAGCATTCATCTCTGGACTTCTGGGATCTGGCATAGGGTGGGCATTTGGGACCTATACGTTGACTAGAATTCAGCTCATTTGAGTTGAATATGCCTTGAAAAGTTTAAAGGACTATATAAAGGTAACAATAGTAATCATCATCATTTAAAGGAAAGGGAGAGCTTAATGCTTAGGTTCTCTCAACATGTATTTTCCTATCTGTATAGAACACTTACTGGAAAATATATGACTGGAAGTTCTTTATTCATCTCCCAAATTTAAACTAGCAGCGGTCAGAAAACTACAGTCACAGACCAAATCTAGCCTACGCTGTGTTTCTGTAGCTTTACTGGAACCCAGCCACGCCCATTCTTTTATATTTTGTCCATGACTGCTTTCATATTATAAAAGCAGAATTGAGTAGTTGTGACAGGTACTATACAGTTGGCATAGAAAAATATATTTACTATCTGAATCTTTACAGGAAAAAGTCTGCTGACCCCTGAATTACAGTATGAGCCATTCGGAATGCATTTCTCTTTAAAAGTTCTCGCCTCATTCAGTGTCTGGAACACAGTGGGTGCTCCCCAATAGGTGACACCTTCCTCAAGTTTCCTTGGGAGAACAGACTCAATGTCGGATCCACAAAGGAGACCTGCACATACCTAACCCCTATTTCTGCAGAAGCTGAAGGCTGTATTATCTATTGCTTGCATAATAAATATTGCATAACAACAACAATAGTAGCTTACTATGGAATGGTTACTGCATGCCAGGCCTTGGGCTAAGTGCTTTTTTATATTCGGTTTTATAGAATCATCACACAGTGCTATGAGTATTAGTTATGAATTATTACTATCCCTCTTATAGATGAGAGACTTGCTCATGTAAGGGGACCCAAGGGTGAAACCAGGCTTTGCAACCCACGCAGCCCAATGTGATACTCAGTGTCTTGGTTCCCATTAGAGATAACCTTTGGAATTCCAGACTGTTCTTTAACCAGTTCAGCCAAGCGCCTTGTTCTCTCTGTCCCTTGGGACATCACACTTCATTGTACAATAGACAGCCTGCATTGCTTCATTCATTAACAATTATTTATTTCTGCCTTGATACAGTTAATATGTACCAGGTATAGGAGATGTCACAGGGGCCAATAAGATAGAGCCCATGCCTGGATGAAGCCTAAAGTCAGTCTAGGGAAAGAGGTGAGCATTCATCAGTCACACAACGAATGTCAAGCTAAAACTGTGATATGTATTTTGAAAAGTACAGAGTGCCATGACAGTGGATCATGGGGATCTCCCTCAACAGGTGACCCTTGAGCTGAGATACAAAGGAGTTCATAAGTAGGAGTCAAACAGTGAAGGGAGGGAAGTTTATTCCCTCCCTTCTCTGTTTAAGGGAAGGGAAGCATAAGAAACAGAATAAGCATGTGTTCTAGGAAAGGAGGAAGCCCAGTATATAAGGGAGGCTGAAAGAAAGACACTGAGCAGAGCACAGAAAACAAGGACACATGGTTAGAAAAGCCAGGGGCCCCAGATGTGCATCTTTATGTTACAGGCAAGGGGAAGCCACTGAGGTGTTTAAGCAGGGGTAAGGTGATAGCATTGTCACTGTGAACGCCACGTGTGGTCTTCTGTTCCAAGGCTGCTCTTTTGCGCTCACAAAAGGGCTTCTGCTAATGGAGCATCACGCTGAGAAAGGTGATCTAAGGTCTGAGAACACAGCCTGTTGCCCTCCTGAGGCATGAGGGGTGAGTGAGCAGCCCCCGGCATGCACTAGTGCATCACCTTGCTACCACAAAATGAAAACTCTGAGACCTGTGCAACTGAAGCTGCTCCCAGCTTAACCTATGACAAGTGTGGCTTGTGTCAACTTGGAAGCCTGCTTGCAGCAGGTCTGCTTATTTAACACAGAGGAGTACTTGTCTGTTAGCTTGAAAGCTGAGTTACCGGTCACCAAAGGCCAATGGTTTTCAGGCTTCCACTTCAATTAAGTGCATAGGAGAAACTTTGCCTCTGGTCCTAAGAAAATTCTAGGACATAAGTGAAATTCTTCGTTACCCTTAGGATGGAATCAAGACCCCCTACCTTGGCCTGCCAAGCTCTCCATGGTCTTCTCCTGCCTTCCAATACAATTTCTCCTCATATCACCCTCCCTTACTTAGGAGTTGTTCAATAAACACATGTTGAATGATTGGATCTATGAATGACTGTATAATCATGGGCAAGACATAGCTCCTCTTTGATCCTCATTTTCTTCATTTTTAAAAGTCATGGGCTGAGAACTAAGACCTTGATTTTCTCTAAGACCCCTTCTAAGATTCTATGAGATGCAGAATTGGTATTCATTCAGCAAATGCTTGCCAACATCTCCTCTGAGCCAAATCCCATCACCAGGGATGTGATGATGGATATCCATGCCCTTGAGATGTTTACCCAAAAGTAGACACAGACTCAAAGAGAATAGTTTCAAAATAGCATGTGCTTGAGTATGAACTCAAATAGTCACAGGAACTGGGCACAATCCCACCTCTGCCACTATCTCTCAGAGGCTTGGTGTCCCCATGACTCAAATGGAAATAATGGCACTAACTCATAGAAGTTTTCAAGAATTAAATGAGTTGTTTCTGCTGGCATCGTCTCTCACACAAAGAGGTGTTCGACAAATGTTGGTAATGATCATCCAAAGTGGTGATGATGACTAACTTTAACAATGATATTCAGCACTCATGTGACTGTACTGGGCGTCTATGGTTTACATCTGTTCTGATCACCCGGTACCCATCCCATTTTGGTTGCAAAGTATTTTGAATTTTGATTAGTCAGGGTTCTCCAGACAAACAGAATCAGTAGGCTATATACATAGATATATAAGAGGAGATTTATTGTGGGAATTGGCTCACAATTATGGAAGCCAAGAAGTCCCACAATGTGCAGTCTGCAAGCTGGAGAACCAGGAGGTGCTGATGGTGTAATCCCCAATCCCAAACCACAGGGAGAGAGGTGGTCGCTAGTGTAAGTCCCAGAGTCTAAAATCTGAAGGCCCAAGAACCAGGAGCTCTGATGTCCAGGGGCAAAGAAAGAGGGATGCCCCAGCTGAAGGAAGAGAGAATCCTCCACCTTTTTATTCTATTCATACCTGCAATAGATTGGATGTTGCCCACCCTCGCTGATAAGGCCAGATCTTCTTTACTCAGCCTACTGATTCAAATGCTAATATCTTCTAGAAGCACCCTCACAGGCACACCCAGAAATAATGTTTTTCCTGCTGTCTGGGCATCCCTTTGCCCAGTCAAGTTGCCATATAAAATTAACCATCACAAATTTGCCTCCTGGGTGAGAGCATCATGAGAGCAGAAGGGAGCTGCACTTGGTGTTCAGAGACAGTGTTTCATGGAAGGTGTCCTGGAGAAGGTAAGACACAAAGAGAATAGTTGCAAAATAGCATGTGCTTGAATGTGAACTCAAATAGTCGCAGGAATTGGGCACAATCCCAGCTGAACTATGAGGTAAAGAAGGGTAGGCAAGGCTTCCTCAGTCCCCACTTTGCCCTCCTCCACACCAGAGAGATCTTTCAAAAATGCACATCAGATCAATTGGTTTCTTATTTAACACCTGTGACTTCCTATTGTGTTTGGAATAAAATCAAAGCTCCTCACCATGGTCTACAAAGCCTTGCATGAACTGGTCCCATCTTGAGCCACCTTCATCCTTTCCCAGCCATTCCTAGCCGCTTGTCCCTATCTCAGGCTCTTTGCATTGGCCGTGTTCTCTACAAGTGATATGCTTCCCTCTGATCTTCCCATACCTGGCTCCTGGTCATCAGGATTCAGCTCAAATGTTAGCCTACCCAAAGACTTTTCACCAACCATACTACAGAATGTTGCCCCCACTTCTGCATCCTCGCCCCCATTCTTTCCACTACTACCTTTCAATCTGTAAGTAAGTCAAAATCTTGTTTTGTTTCCTTCAAAGCTATCTTTGCCACCATCTGAAACTATCTCTAGGAGGACAAAGACCTTCTCAGTCTTATTCCAATTGACCTCAGCACATAGTTGGCCCTCAAAGATTTTTTGAACAAATGAATTCCAGGCCCATGTAAAGGATTGAGGTGAGGTGGCCTTTCTGAAATGAGAAGTCAAGTCACATCAGATCATGGAGGACTTCTTAGATATAGAGAATGCACTGCATCATGGCACCAGCCATGTGGGAGCATCATGACAAGACTGGTAGTATTCTCCCTGGAAGACTGCCTGCCATTTCTCAGTCTTGCATTTCCAGGAAGCTTCTCTAGGAGGATACTCGCCTAAAACTAATTTAAAAAATCAAGATTATTAAATAATTTCCAGGAATCCAGGTTTAACCCTTTCACATGGTAATGCCAACTAAACTAGCAGAAGCCCTCAAGGCATCTCTTTAATGAATAGCTTAAATTCTTGAACTTGAACTTGGTGTTTAATTAGCATGTCATCATTAGCCCCCGAAGAGTTTGCTCTCATTGTCCCTGCAGTCTTAGTCAAATCATGCACTTGCTCAGACAGTTGAACAATCACTTATTGATCATCTGTTTCACATCAGACACTGTGATTACTCTGCATAAGCCTTAAAGTTGGGGCTCAGTTAAGGTATAGCTTAGGGCCCATCTAAATTATTCAAAATTCAGACTTTATATGGTTGAGATTTAAAAGTGTTACCTATACATGGCAAAAAGAAATCCATCCACAGGCATCACTTTCAGAACCCATCTGCCAATCTGATACTCTGTCCCTAGCAGGATGTGGTTTGCACATTGCTGCTCCCCAAGCCCAAAGTCATGGTAGGAGAAGCAGTGAACCCTGCTTTTCTCCAGACCCACCTGGACCCATGCATATTGTGAGTGGTTAGTGGGTATTGGGTTAGCATTATTGTGCCTGGCTAGGGAAGAGCAAAGGCAACAGCTGCAGGAACTGTGATCACCACCAACAAAGACCTGGAAGGCAGTAGAAAGGAAGCAGCACTTTTTCATGGTTAAGACCTGCTGTTCATGCATGAACTGATACAGGTCCCAGGTTATCTTTGATGCCCAAACTGTGTTCTTACAGCTGAGAACAAAAAGCCTGGTGACTGTCAAGCTGTCTCCTGTGCTCTTCTGTTGCTCCTAGATGTTCTGTTGCCTGGGGAAATCTCCTGGTGCCTCTTCAGCACACAAACATACACATTCTGTAAACTGCAAAGGCCTATAGAGCACATCTCTGCCTTAATAACCATCATCTGAAATTAAATACCCCCCAACCTCCACCTCTATTTTCTCCTGGCTCCAATCTACCCTCTTACAGTCCATGCTGATTATCTCATTCCCCTGCTCAAAGCCTTTCTATTGCTGACATTCCAGGGGTCCTATGATCTGGACTCAGCCTGTTTTCCAACATAGGTGATGCATGTGCTCCTTAACCCACCCAAATTGAAGTGGAGAAGGGGTAAACAGCCAGACAAAACAGGACTCTGCTCACCAGCCAACAGTATCTGCTATAGCAGCACTTCTGAAACTTTAGCGTGCATCCAAATCACTAGGAATTTGAGAAAATGCAGATCTTGATTCAGGAGACCTGGGATGGGGCTCCCGATTCTGCATTTCTAACAAGCTCCTAGATGCTGTGGCTGCTGCTGATCCCTAGAGCGCACACTGTCATCTTATTAACATCTGACTGGGGGTCAGAAAGAAAATGCTCAAAACTCATATTCAAAATAGCTTTATTTCTAGAATGTATTAACTATAAATTCACCAGTTTTGTAAAGCAAAAGATCAATTTCATGTGGTTCAACCTAACACAATAGACAGTCCATCAACAACTACTAATAGAAACCAAAGCTCCTGATATCAGAATCCTAGCCAACTCACCTTGGAACAGAGAGGAGGCATGACTTCAGATCAAAGTTTTAAATGTGTTAACTCAAGCTTAAAGCACAGCCTCAGCCCTGTACTTGCCAGCTCCTTTCTTACAGTTCCTGGCTCCCAAAAGAACCCCACCCTGAGAGGCAGCCCATGGCCCAGGAGACTTCTTCCTGCCTTTTTCTGCCTTGCAAGCTGGACAGAAGGATCACTCCACTGGATTGCCTTTCATGTCCCTCCTCTGTTCAGAACATGCTTTAACTTCAAGGCATGTCTGGAAGCACTGGCACATCCCCTGGCAGTTTTGTTGGTCACCTGTATCAGTGGGAAGAAGTTAGCAGATGGCAGGGTGTGTTTTGTTCTCATTAGAAGCTTACTCAGCACTGGAAGGGAGGTGTGCTGAGTGTGTGAGAACCCCCCAGTCCCTGGTTCTTCCACCACCTGGCAACATTTCTCCACCTGCAGAAAGTCCTGGTTGTGTGGGGGTACAAGGGAGGGGGGATTAAAAGTCCTGCGGAGGCAGAGCAACGCCTGGCCTGCGGTTGCCTTTCTGATGGCAGAGTAGCTACTATAGAGTCATCCATCTCCACTGGCAAAACTCATAGGTGAAAAAGCAATAAGCAAATAGGATATTTCAAGAGCAGCAGTAACATGTGCTCTCTTCATGAGAAGTTCCTCTACACCTCAGGAGGCTCAGGATATTCTCAGATTCAAGGTACTGTCCATCTGACTAGGCATTGATGGGATATTAATGTTCATTGATTATGTTCCACTTGTTCTGAAGTCCAACTTCCCTCTAGCTGGTAAGCTTTTGATGAATACAAGTATCATCCCAAATCAATTAAATCAGAATGTGAGAAGGCATAGACAGGCACAGGTGGGCTTTAAAAGCACCCAGGTGATCTGGATGCACAGTGAAGGTAGCAAACCACTGGGTTAGATATGGTTTCTTTTTCTCAAAGTTCAAGGAAAAGCATCTTTTTTGATCATCACATTTCTCAACTTCTAAAACTTCACCTTTTTTAATGCAATTCAAGATATTGGCAATAATGAGTACTCTCTTACACTTTCAGAGTCACAAATCACTTCTACATGCACTATCTTATTGGATTCTCAAATCAGCCTGTGGAAAATGCTAACACCATTACAGAAAGATATATGATGTGCTTGCTGTGACATTGTTTATAAGAGACAAAAAAATGGAAACAACACGAAAGCCAGCGAGAAGATGGTTAAATATGTTATGGGTGTTTGTGCAACTGAGAATTCTATAGTTATTTGGAAGACTTGGGGAGATCTATATGCATTGGCTTAGAAAGATAGCTACAAACTACTTTTAAATTTTAAAAAATCAAGTTCAGAATCATAATTATTAATCATCCCTTTCTGTTTTTTTAACAGTTACTGTGGACTAGGGAATTTATTATTTTTTATACGCTATGTGTGTTTGTGTGACTTATAAGCACAAAACAAGTAACCACAAGGATGTACACTAAACTGTTAATAGTTGTATGTATAGCATGGACTAGAATTAGAAAGAGGTGGTGGGGGGGGCATCACGTTTTTTACTTCTATATTTTAATTTGTTAAAAAATTATGCTTCTGGCCGGGCGCAGTGGCTCACACCTGTAATCCCAGCACTTTGGGAGGCCAAGGCGGGTGGATCACGAGGTCAGGAGATGGAGACCATCCTGGGTAACATGGTGAAACCCCGTCTCTACTAAAAATACAAAAAATTAGCCTGGCGTGGTGACATGCGCCTGTAGTCCTAGCTACTTGGAAGGCTGAGGCAGGACAATCACTTGAACCTGGGAGGCGGAGGTTGCAGTGAGCTGAAATCGCGCCACTGCACTCCAGCCTGGGTGACAGAGCGAGACTCCAACTTAAAAAAAAAAAAAAAATTAGGCTTCCATACTGTTAAGAAAAAACTGTTTTAAAATCACAGCCCTGAGATGATGAATTTTAAGGAAAGATCATCATATCCATTTTTCAGAGGAAACAATTGATCCCAGTGATGTGGGGTAACTTGATCATGTGGCTAAAAATTGCTGGAGCATCTGTTTGAACATATATGTATGTTTATACACGATTTTTAAAAATGAATTTAAAAAAATTAAGTAACAGGAAAAAGGCTCAACAGGTGGACTGATCCTTATTGAATGAGGAGGAAATAAAGTCCTACACAACCAGATGACCGGGACAGGCTGGTGCATCAGAAGCCTGATCCATCAGCTACTACTGCATCTTGCAGGCTGGCCAGTTTCATCCCAGTCATGGCTGACTCAGGACCTAACAGCTCCCTGTTTGCTCCGAGGCTGCAAGGAAGATTTACTGGCTGCCAGTGGCAGCTGTTGGTGGTGCAGCAGGGACACAACATCCACCCCTACAGGGCAGTTCCGTTCCTAATAAGGAAAATTCACTTTACACACGCTTTAGGGGAAATGTCCTGGGATGGAGCCAGAGCCAGATGGGCTCTGAGCTTATGAAAAGCATGCTTGTTACCAGAAAACATTTGCAAATATGTATGGGTATTTTTGTGTGCGTGTACATGCATTTTACACACATATGCACACACATCCCTCTGAAATCCCTTCAATTAAAATTGTCTTCCAAATTGTTCCTCAATATACTTTGCAGTTCACCCTTATGTAGGGGCAGGTGCTATGCCTCATACCTTTTAATGTTGGATTATTGTTCTGATTCTTGTTTTTCCCTCCTGCCAGGTGCAGCTCATCCACTATAACCATGAGCTATATACGAATGTCACAGAAGCTGCAAAGAGTCCAAATGGATTGGTGGTAGTTTCTATATTTATAAAAGTAAGTCTCTTGCATTCCTTCATTCTTCTCACCATCCCCACCTCAATCAGAATACCAATTTACGGTCTCTGTTGGAGTTAGAAATATTAAAAGGGGTGCTATCCATGCCTAAGAAAACTATGGGATGGTGCCTTTTATATACATGAGATTTATGAAAAATGAGGCCCCCTGCAGTGAGATGCAAAAATGATAATCTCCATTTCAGAGCATCTGGGCCTGAGGATTCAAGCAGCTTCTGTCCTAGAAAGAAAAAGGGGGCTAGATCCAGGGACAGGCTTTAGGACCCACCTAATGCAGTGAAATCAGAAGGATATAATACTAGAAGGGTGGGTGGCTCACTAATGCCCCACAGGATTAAAGTCCTGTTCACCATTCAGCTGCCCCTTGTAAACATAGGAAGAAGTGAGATGTCTCTCCCCTCCAGGCACTGCACTAAATAGCTCCTTCCAGCTTCCTCACAATTGCTCTGAGCATCATCTTTCTCTCTCGCTCTCCCGTTCCTTCATAAGCCTCCCTGGTAATAAGATTACCCACACTGACTTTATGACATTTTGAGGAAACTCCACATCTCCCTAACAGTCAACAACGACAACATAAAATCTCCAACCAATCACATTCTAATTTGTTTAAAAAAAAATACTAATTACCTTTAACATTTTAGCAGATGTAGAGAGAAGCAGGTATGCAAATTTTTTAATAAAAAAAGAAATTGCTTTTCTAATTAGAAAAATAAAAATTAAAAAAAAGCAATGTGTGGCAGTTCCAAACATTAGCAGTCACCATGCTAGCCCCTGGGGATGTTTTGGCCAGATCATTAGAGAAAGTGCCCCAATCGGAATTGGGAATCTGATGGAGATGATCAATAGATCAAAACTGCCACCAGGGAATTTTAACAGGGCTGTCATGATGACATCATTATTACTCAGAAGAATGGGCACCTGGGGCACTGATCCCTCTCCCCGCCCCCACAAAAGAATTACCCCGTGCCATAGGCACTTCACCCTCCCTGGTCATCCATGCCATGCCCCCTCCTAACTTCCTCACCCTCCCCTTGGTCAGATCAGGGCAGACCTATGCACTGGGCAGGGGCTGGATGGGGCATCCATGGCATGTTGCTATCCCTGGCCACTAACCTCAACCTCCTCTGGTTTGTCATTAACAAAGAGAGGAAGGGACATTTGGCCAGGGAAGCATATTTTTAGGCTTTCATGCCTTTGTGATACTTGACATGACATCTCAAAGGAAACTGGTCCCAGCACAGATTCTAATGGTATCTCCTGGCATCATCACAAACCCTGGAATAATAAACAGTAGATTTCTGAATGCCAGACACTATGATATGTATTTTACATCTATTTTGTTGTTTAGTAATAAACTCAGAGGTTGAACATTCGTGTTGTATCTTACAGATGAGTAAAATTATTCAGAGAACCTTTGGGATTTCACCCAAGTTCATGTCGCTTATAACAGCCCAGCCAGGAGAGGATCCAAGTCTTCCCTGACTTTAATACTCATGAAAGAATGGCTTACTCATTCTATGCCTCTCCAATAGAGCTGGGAGAGAGCAAGTGAGGGCAAGAAGGGAGTACATGACATTTTAAAACATTCTTCCCACACTCCCCACAACCCCATGCTACTCATAAGCACAGGGCAAATTCCTGTATCTCTTAATCAAGCCCTGATTATGGCATTGATAACCAATTTGTACATTCAACCTAGGCTGCACTCACTGTGAAGCCGTAGATAGGTCACAATATTGTCATGTGTGTCCAGGAGCTCACTTCCCCCTATGACTTTCCCAGCACAAATCCTGCCTGCCCCAGCAATTCCTGTCCTTTGGAGAGTGTCTCGGCCTTGGTCCTGACTTTACCTCATGTGTCTGAAAACTTGAGTCAGTGACTGTCATTCTGGAGGCACAGGCACATGACAGCTGACAGAGTGACGGATACACTGGGAAGCCAACAACAAATTACTGGTGTGTTTCACAAGCTCCTACAGAAATGTTCATTCCTACCGAGCTGGTGACTAGCAGCTGGGGTTTGCAAGTCCTAGTTGCTTGCCCACAGGCTGTTGAAAGAAACTTAGGCTGTAGACCCTGAGGTCAGTGAAGGGATAATAACTAGCTCCTGCATCTTCTCAGGTCAGTTTAGCTCCTAGGGATGAAGCCATTCTTTCCCTGAGCAGACCTGAAACTTTCTTGCTAGATCTCAAAATAAGCCACAACATTTCTGTCTTCCCTCCATATAATCAACTCCCAGAAAATCAACTCCACCATGAGTTATTTAAGCTGTGACTGACCATTCACTCATCTCAAAACTCTGATGGAGCATGAGGTACTACAGGCCAGCCCTCTGCTAGGCACTGGTATCCAGAAGTAAGATGAACAAAGCTCTTGGTCCCTAAGGGTGCACAGCCTCTTGTAGTTGTCCTCCCCTCCTTCTGAACTCTCTGCCTTCCCTTCCCAGCAGGGTGGGCAGGAGTGGGATATGACAAGCCCCACATCCTGGTAGTTTAGTCCTAGAGTTATCACCCTGGCTAAAAGCTGAGCCGTAGAAAAGCTGGAGTTACTCTCTAAAAGGAGATACTTGCTTATCTATGAGTTTTATTTATCTCTGTCCTCCACAAATCCCCCACCCTTGCTGTGACCACAGGGAACTGAGATTTGGCTGTAATTGCTGCTCAATCACACACCATTAACTTCCCACTTAAGCTCACTTATACCAAGTACATATTTTATCCTCTCACCCACGCAGCCAACACACTAGAGCCCACAAATCATCTGTGTGCACTTTGGAAATTTTTCAATTATTTTTAATCAGCTCAAAATGGTCTGCTCCCAACGCAAGGGCTGACCAGACTCACCAGGTACCAGGAGCTCAAGGCACCCAGGAAGTAAGGTACATAACAGATTCCTTACCTGCCACGACAATATATTCCTAGCCATCTTTCTTTCATGGGGTGCATCAGCACCAGGAGCAGGCTTCAAGCTATCTTTTAAATGGCTGAAGAGGATGTCAAAGTAGATGTTGAATATAGCACTGAGGGGAGCAGCAGTATTCAATTTGGGACTTTTTCTATTTAGGGATGGACTTTTACCTCCACTGGGCATTGTCACTCACCAAGCTCCCTTTGGTGTGTGTCTCACCACAACACAGCCAGGAAACCGCAAAAAGGGAGACAGATGGAGGGAAAATAAACAGTCTGTGCTTTCTCCAAGCTAAAATTACCTGTTGCTTATCTAATAATAATAATCATCTGCTGCAATTTTTCCAACCCTCAGATAAATCAGATTTAAAATGTTGATGTGTCACAACATCCGATTAGCCACTGAGACATAAATTACAGAGCAGAGCTAAGCAAGGTAGGAGAGAAATGACTAGGATGAACAATGGTACCCCAGAAAAGGCTGAGTAAACAGGTGTTTTTAAGAAAACCCTTTTCTTATGTAGGGCCACATCACAGTCTCATCAATGATGGTTCCCTGCTGAAGCCCCTGGAAACCTGGTTTCTTCTCCCAACAGAGGAATTTGAAGCTATAAGGGCATAGGCATAAAATGGGAACTGATCCCTGAACATCTGGTACAATGTTTGGCCCATAATAGACCCTCTGCAAATATTTATTTGTTGGGTGGGTGGCTGGCTGGCTGGCTGGCTGACTGGCTGGCTGGATGGATGGATGGTTGGTTGATTGAATTACATGGCTTATGATATACTCAATTCATGCAATAATGAGCAGTGATACTTTTCAGTTTTTTTTTTTTTCCATTTCCTTATACCTCTATTCTGGGTACTCTTTATGTCTCACCCTCTACGTAGATGAATTTCCCCTTCCTAACATGTCAGTCCCTACCTTGCTTAAAAGCCTGACATGATCTGGCCCCTGCCAATCTTTCTAGGCTCACTTCCTATCCTTCCCCATACCCTCAGCTCCAAGTACACTGAAGTCTTTGCATGAGCATGCCTGGTTCTCACTTCCCCATGTCCGTGTATGTAAAGATTTTCTGTATGAAATGCTTTTCCTTGCCTTTCATCCCTTTTCACACTCTATCACCAGAACGCTTTGTTAACTTCTACCCATCCTCTCAGACTCATGACTTAGATTCTCAGGTGGTGGCTGGTCTTCCTCCAACATCATTACACCAATGACTCAATCATAGCACTCTTCACACTATATGAGAACAGTTTGTTCACTTACCTGTCTTCCTCTCTAGACTGGGCTGTCCTTGAGAATAGGGACTCTGGCTTTGCTCTCTGAATTTGCAGCTGTCATTGTGTTTGGCTCATGGTAGATACTCAGTAACTATGAATGAATAAGTGAATGTCACGGGGAGATGTTTGTCCTGCAAGAGTGATGCCCAGTCATTAATATTTTCTTTTCTCCTCCAGGTTTCTGATTCATCAAACCCATTTCTTAATCGAATGCTCAACAGAGATACTATCACAAGAATAACATATAAAAGTAAGTTTGGTTCAATTTCCTCCACAGCAACTATTCTATAAAGGTTAGACCTGCCTGAAGGCGGGAAGCCAGAACTGATGATCTCCATGGGCCCTTTTCAGTTTCATGATCCTGCAGTTCTGTAGAAAGTCACTCTGGAGATTAGGGTTTGGCTAAGAAGCAGCTCATTTCAAGCAGAAGTCCCTAGGGTGCCTTTGTCATCCATGCCTAAGGTGATAATGATTATGACTATGGTGGTCATCGTTATCCCATAGATTGGTAATGAGCCAGGGGACTCTGCTGGCTGACACGCTCCACCGTGTCAGCTGGTCACAGTTGGGGCTTTGCCAATTACGGGATTGAGAAAGCCCTCATCAGGTACTATGGATCCAATCGCAACATTTACAGAAGCCCTCGGCTAGACCATTTCTCTGTGTGTGGCTGGGTCTCCTTTCCAGGCAGAGACAGGATAGCATCTCTCTTCAGCCACATGTGTGGCCCATGGATGTAGAGGACTCTGTCCAGTTTCCTTGGGTTTCCAGAGTGTTTTATCCCCAGACTCATTATGCAGAAAAGAGAGAACAGTGCAAAGTTGAAGGAGGAAGGAAAAAGATGCTGCTGTCATCTCCAGCAATCCCAGAAGGTGCAGGATTTGGGAAAAGTTGGGTGAGACAGCACACACCCATAGATGAAAGAAATAATATGAGGAAAAAAGATTGTCTTTACCTAATTAGGAGCGAGTAGGATACTGGGATTCAAGTCCTGGCTTTGTCCTTCATCAAGGAGTTTCCTCACTTTGACTCTGTCATTCATCTTATAAAGTAAAAAAGTTGAACTTCAAGTTTCTAAAGTCCTTCTAGGTCTGGGATTCTGAATCAAGCAATAGGTAAATAATGATTCTCACAAAAGTGAAAAACAGTTGGCAAACATCCAAGCACCCACATCCCCTTGGCATGCCCTTCACCAAGCCAGGAGCTCAGCTGTGTCTGCTGCTTCTCTCTCCAATGGTGATGTGAAGAAAAAAAAATGAATGTGTACAGCTCTCACATTGGACTGCCAAGGGAGAGTATGGAGAATGCTTCACTCAGCCGTTTACTCACTTATTCGACAAACATTTCCTGCATGCCTGCCCCATGACAGGCACCAAGCGAAGCTCCAGGGATGTAAAGATGGCCCAGACAGCAGCCCTACAACTACCACGTGCTCACTGCCAAGTCCCTCCCATCTGCAGAGGCTGGGAGACTGGTAGGGCTGAGGAATGAACCTGGAGAATCCCGCTCCACCTAGAGAGACATTGCCCAGAAGAATGAATTAGGTTGTCTCCAAGCATATTCTGCCTTTTCTCATTAGTATTCTTATGGAGTCCTCTCTAAGCACACACTTAGATTGCTCAGCTAAGGGAGATATTTCTGTCTTGTGTGTAAATAGCACATTTATAACTGCCCATAAAAGATTATTATTCTTTTAACTTTTTTGATGAAAAAAGCATGAAAATTAAATAAAATGTTTTCAAATAATCTTGGATTTGCAATTTAGAGACCGTGAAAATGCATGAAATCACACATTAAGCCCCAACACACAGTCTAACAGATTACCAGTTGCAGAGTCAATCATTAGAGGGACTTTCCTCCCCACCCCACCACCCATCCCCCAGCACTGGTCTGATTAATATTAAGTGATGTGGCTTGTGCCACCAAGGGAGGAGCAAGAGAGGGGAGGGAGAGGAAGGGGAGGCAGGGAAGAAGGAAAAGACAGATGGAAGGGAGGAAAGGAAGAAAGGGAGGGAGGGAAGGAAAAGCATTCCAAGTGTGGGGAGCCACATGCACAAAACCTGGAGAGCACTGAAGGCCGGTGAAGAGTTCAGAGGGAGGAACTCTGTCTTCATCAGCTCTTCGTCTCAGTGCCTAAGACGAGGCACGCCCAATAAGCATTGGTGATGGCCTGGGTGAATAGAAGGATGAATGGCCTCTTTCAGGAGCTGTGACGGGGCAGAGGGAGTGGCAAGAAAGATGTTCTGGAGCCGGATCTTGAGCCATGTTAAGGTGTTTATGCAGAAGGCAGGCAGACATTTAAACACCCTTTTCACCTCTGAAGACACATTCCTAGAAATGCAAATAGAAGACAGCAGGAGCACCCTCTCCTTCTGACCCCCATACTCTACACCTCTCAGGGCCCAGGGAAAAGAAAGGGGAGCCAAAGCAAGATAAAGAGATCCTGGCCTGCATGGGGAAAGATAGCTGATTTAGGCCCCCTAATAACAGGAATTTTGTGCTCCTATAATTCAGCAGGGAGTAATTGAGGTGTCCTCTGTAGTGACCTTTGTCACATACCTGAAGGGAGCAGCACTGCAGGAATAATGATGGCCGATTCATGAGAATGACCCTGACACTGCTTTGCCCAGGACACTGCGGCAGAAATGAATTGATTTGCGCAGCAGAAAACCACAGCTCTCTTTTGTCCCTAGGGCAGCCAGAAGGTTAGCCCAGTGGCAGGCAGGGGAGTCTGGAGTAGGAGTCATTCACTAGAACACAGCCAGTGGGTGGGAAACATAAGACTGGAAGTCCCTCCCGAGGCTTTCCAACAGGCAGCAGGTTAGGCCAGCACTGGCCCATAAATTCAGGTTAAGATGAAGAAAACTCAGGGGGCCCTATCAGGGTATCCTGCTTCTGTCCTTCTAAATGTTCGAGAGACAGAAATCAACCCCCCACCCCACCATTTCTACCATGCTACTGAGGGACACCTAACCTCCACCCCTGCCCATTCTACTGTTGCTACCCAGAACTGCACCCCAGCATAGCTTCAATTTGCTCTGCTCATTTAGATGCAGTATCCACTCTGCAACGTGCTGAGCCCCAGGAATATGGAGATGATGCTTACTGAGCACTTTCCACACACCAAGGTCTATGCTTTACATACAGGCTCCTTACCTAGTGCTCACGAAGTCCTTCAGAGCGGTATGATTGCCATCCCCAGTTTACAGATGGGAAAAATCAAGGCTTCAAGAGGTGAAGTCATTTGACCAATGACACACATTTAATGGCTGTATCAGTCAGCAACTTCTGCGTAATAAACAAGCATTCAATGATAAGCATTGATTTCTTATTGCTCCCTCCTTGGGTTGGTAGGGGTGGCTCTGCTTCCAGCTACAGGTCTGCAAGTGAGCTGAAGCAGCTCAGCTCCACGTGACTCTCATTGTTCTAGGATCAAGATGATATCCAGGGCAAGTAGTTCTCATGGTAGAGGGAAGAAATAAGTGATGTGACTTAAGGCCTAGTCATGAAACTCACACACTCACTCTGTCCACTTCCACAAGCCAAAGCAAGCCATATGGCCAAGCTCAACATGAAAATCCTGCCAAGGAGATGAAGATGAGGAAGAAGTGAACATTTCCTGAAAAATATTCTTCCATAGTAGAAGAGCAAGTATCCAAATACAGGTCTTCCTGGGTACTGTTTCCTCTGCTTTTCCTTCCTATCATGCTTTCTCCCTAAGGAGGAAGGAAAGCTTAGCTCCAGGGTCTTAAAACTAATTGCAGTGAAGATGTTTTCACATTCCATGAAACTTGTCAGCATGTTTTTCTCTTAATTCCAACTTTGGTTCAGTTTGAAGAAGCATCTTTTTGCTATTTGCATGTGCCTCCACTTGAAAGGGACATATACTAACCACAGAACTGATGGGAACTTTGGCAGTTCAAGTACATCCTGACCTAAGCTCTCTCCAACTCCTGCCTGGCCCTGAACATGGTACCTCCAGTGGAAATCAGTCATTCAGAGGGACACAGTGACATTGCCATTACTGACATATATAGTCACCAGAGAAGGCACAGAGATTAATTCTAGAGGGGGTCAGTCTTCTGAAAATCTGCCCCTTGAAGGTCATTGTAACAAAAAGTCAATCTAGGAATTTAAGCAGAGTGACATCATCTGTTGACAAAAGGATCGCCTCATTGCTTGGTTGAGAATAGACTACAAGGGGCAGAGTCCACAATAGAAGAGGATTGCAGCAACCCAAATAATGAGACGATGGCACTGACCATGACCGGGCTGATGGGGATTGGCAGGGAGATGGTGAGAAATAATTGGATATATTTTAAAGAAAAAGCCAAGAGGCCGGGCACAGTGGCTCACACCTGTAATCCCAGCACTTTGGGAGGCCGAGGCAGGTGGATCACGAGGTCAGGAGTTCGAGACCAGCCTGACCAACATGGTGAGACCCCATCTCCACTAAAAATACAAAAATTAGCTGGGATTGTGGCGCGCGCCTGTAATTCCAGCTACTTGGGAGGCTGAGGCAGGAGAATCACTTGAACCCGGGAGGCGGAGGTGGCAGTGAGCTGAGATCGTACCATTGCACTCCAGCCTGGGCAACAAAGCAAGATTCTGTCAAAAAAAAAAAAAAAAAAGCCAAGAAATGTACTGATATATCTGATAATATATCTGATGTTTTATGTGAGAGAAAGAGGGGAGTGAGGGATGACTGTAAGACTTTTAGCCTGAGCAACTGGAAAGAAGACATTTTCATCCACTGAGATGGGGAGACTGTGGATGAAGCGTATCCGTGGGTGGGAAGGAAATCAGAAATTTTGAACATGTTCAGCTTGAGATGTTTATAAGGTACCCAAGAAGAGGTGTGGAGTAGGCAGTTGGATATATGAGTCTGGATTTCAGGAGGGAGAACTGAAGATATAAATGTGGAAGACGTTGGCATCCAGATGGCGTTTAAACGTTGGTGAAATCCTGAGAGTAAGAATAAATAGAGAAGAGAGGCGGGACATGTCCTCACTTTTGAAAGAGCAACTCAAATCTCCATGACTTAGGATTGAAAATCACTTCTAAAGATATCTTTAAAATCCCACCCTGGAAGAGGCTCCCGTGTGGCTGCCTCATCAGCAAACTGAGGTGGTGCAGGGAGCTGCTGCACACATGGAGGCAGCGGGGTGAAATCACAACATGGCAGCTGGAAGAGACACAGTCCATTTGCCCGGTTTGTAGGATTGGGCACAGAATGAATGACCAGGAAAAAAAAAAAGGGGGGGAACTGTGCAAAATCATTCTTTTGAGCCAGTTACAAAAAAAATCAATGCCAGGAAATTCATACAAGGAGGAAAGAGGGAGAATCTCGCCAAGAGGATTGGGAATTTTGGAGGCTAAATGCCATGCTGGTAAAGGCACCACACCCATGGGAGGCAGTGTGTTCTAGTGAAGAGAGATCTGGGCTCCTATCCTGGCTCTACCACTTCCTTTTGTTGCCTGACTTTAAGCAAGCTTCTAAACACCTCCCCGATCTGTAAGAGGAAGATATTAATGCTGACGTTGAGATGGTTGGCATGAGAATCAAACAAGGTAATGAGTCAAATGCCTGAACAATGAGTGGTATAAACTAGGTGTAAAATGAACGTGTATTTCTAAGTTGTCTTAAGGTACCTGGCTATCAAATCCAGCTTCCCTCAGGGGAGGAGGCAGGTTGCTATGATGCCAAATAAAAATTATGTTGAAGGTAAATGCAATACAGGACACAGAGTCAACAGAATTTGCTTGTTTTAAATGAAATACCGCTCCTGTGCTTGAATCCATGCAGTGGATGGTGATGATTTAATGAGATTCTACTACTTTACTTTCCTTGCAAGCTTAGATTTCATATGTCTGAGTGAAACTTATAAAACACTCTAACTGGGACTGACAATGAAAAAAACTAGCCTGAACTAAATTCGGGCTGAATTTAGAAAGTCTTCTAAAGAAAACCCATTTTATTAAAGTCAAATTCCCCTTCAACAGACTGGGGGTTAAGACTAAAATCATGACATTGAAAAATAGATTTTCCGAATGGATTTTCTGGAGGAGATATTGGTAATTTACTTGAAGTATTTTAATTTTTTAACGTAGTGTATTGGAATAAGGCTAATATCCCTCCATTTTTCTTGTGTTAATTAATTGGCATTAATTAACAGAATCCCAATTAAATAAAAAGTAGTATTCTTATTTTATTATCTACCCAATTTCATTAAGCCAGCATTATTTTTTAAAAAGAGATTTTATGCTGTTTTCAAGTGGCTAAACTAGTGACCAATGAAGTGCAAAGAGGCTTCTTAAGTGGGTAAGAGGGAACAGTTATTAGAACACTGCATATAAAACACTTTCCTCTAACATCTTAGGACAGTATTATTTTGGTAGCTTCATTCTCCTTCAGTGTCGCATGCCCCCATTCATTTAGTCCAATAAGAATCCAAACGATCACAAATTTCAAATTTAAAAAGGTATGGTGGCTGGGCGTGTTGACTCACACTTATAATCCCAGCACTTTGGGAGGCTGAGATGGGCAGATCACCTGAAGTCAGGAGTTCAAGACGAGCCTGGCCACCATGGTGAAACCCTGTCTGTACCAAAAATACAAAAATTAGCTGGGCATGGTGGTGGGCACCTATAATCCCAGCTACTCGGGAGGCTGAGGCAGGACAATCACTGAAACTTGGGAGGCGGAGGTTACAGTGAGCCAAGATCATGCCACTGCACTCCAGCCTGGGCGACAGAGCAAGACTCCATCTCAAATAAAAAATAAGGAAAAAAAAAGATATGGCTATTGTCCTAATGTATTTCCTCTAAGGAAATAAAACCACACCACTGAAGGCATCTGGAGGAGAGCTTTCAGATTCAGCGCTTTGACACGTGGCACAAGCCCTTTAAAGCATCTTTTTCAGTCTTACCTGTTTATAACTTTGCTTTACTTCCCCCAACCCCCAGATCTTCTATTCAGCTAAAAGATGCATGTGTAGGCAAGGACAGATCAACTTGGAACTGCCTTATACTTCTCAGTTCTTTGGGAAGTGTTTTATGCGCCGCTCCTCAGAGGGACGTGGTGTTAAATGTGACGAAATATCACCAAGGAGTTTAAGCATATTGCTCCTGGTGCCTTTCTCTATGCTTAATTGAACTTGTACTTTCATTTCAAAGGAACGGCTTTGGAAATGCTTTCACAGAATGCAAAACGCAGCACACCACTTTCCATGTTGCAATCTAAGTAGTTACTCACGTCAGCAAGGAACAGAACAGGAGCAGCTTACCTCCACGAATCCAATTCTCAGAGGTCCCTTTTATCATTTATTGTTTGTGTAAAACAAAATATCATATTACTTCATTCTTTAGTAATTGCCTTTTTTCATTTCAGTTGAATTTGCCTCAGATTACAAGAGGAAATGTCATTCTATATGAGAAAATTGCCAAATAGTTCCATATTGATCAGGAACAAGTCCAGTATTGATCTCTGAAACTACCGTGCCTTGTTCTCATTGGAATAGTTCTCTTCAAATGGGAACTTCATAAGCAGGAAGCCGGGCAATATTAAATCTCATCAGTGGTCCACATGAGTAAGCACAATGCATTTAACAGAGGCTGCCTGTTAAATGCAGACTGAAAAAAAAAAGTTCAGACTGAGGGAAAGTTTCCCCCGACTCCCCCAAGTGGTCCTAGGCATTTTATCATAGTGTACGTCTCCTACAAAAAGAAAAAGTCAGCTTGGGAGTTGTAACCACGACTAAGAACTCAGTATAAGATAAATCACAGGTTCATCAAGAACATGTCAAAAAACCAAAGGTTCAGCTGTCAACTTCTGCAGTCATTTGAAATAATAAAATTGGGTGATAAAATACACACATATATTCTACACTTATTGATTATTCAAGATCCAAGGGGTCCTCCTTTACTATAAAGATACAGCCAACACATACAAAATTACAACACTCTCATATAAAAATTTGACCTACCTAAGATAAATTTGGCTAACAAGCTTGCTTATGTTGAAAGATGGTTTCGGATCCATAGAATGTTTAATACCTGAAGATGCAATTTTCCAGGACTGTTTGGTATCCTCAAGTAAGAGGTTACATTCTTTTCCATGAAGGAAGAATGAGTTGCTGGCAAAGCTACCACTAGAACTCAGACTTGAATTAAGACTCTTGACTTGACATCTAGGATTTGCCCTTTATAAGCTATTTTCTCATATGACAGGTAAGTAGGTGATAGAGATATGAGAGAGAGAGAGAGGAGAGAGAGAGAGAGCTGAGAGAGAGAGAGAGAGAAAGAGGGGATAGGTAGAGAAACCTCTCTGCAAAACTATTCATGAAACTTTATTTGAACATCTGTCCTCACTTCCACCAATAAACATCCTTAAAGCAAGCAGAGACATGCATGAACACTCCCCCACTGGCCTCTGAGCTTCACCCCAAATTTGCATCTTTGTTCACAAACAACTCTGACCTCCTCTAGATCTTTGCCATCCTTACTCATGAATAGAGCCTTGGAAGTTTAGAGAGGAGAATCTCCCTTCTGGTATATTGGTCCTCAGTCTACTTTCTGTCTATAATGCCCAGACGATAACGCTGACAAGAACCAAACAATGGTTTTCTGCTGGATGCTGCAAGGACAAGATAGTTTGTGACTAAAAGCTAGTTCCTGGCCTAGTTAGCCCTGAAAACACCCCAGTGTGCCTTGACATTAGGGCTGAAAACTTCTGTTTTACTCATGTTCTTTTCTTGGGTCCCTCTGCTTCTGTCCTATCAAACATACAAAGCAAGCTTCAACAGAGAGAAAAGAAGATGCAGAAAGTTAGCCAGTGGCTTTCAAATCCCAATACCTAAAAGATAGACACTGATTTAATGGCAGCCTCTGAGGCAGCATGATGAGTCATGAAAACAAACATTACACGTTAAATGCGCACTGACTCAGCAATGTAAATATGAAGGTAGAGGAGTCTTTGGTATGGAAACATGGTAATAGCATATGGAGATGGAAACAGGGCAGGCAATCTCACCCTGATGTCTTAGGGTGTGAGACATAGGGGGGAGATGGTAGGCAGCATGTATTTAAGCTAAGGATGCTGACTGGAGCCTCAGAGATGCTTCCCCTCATCTGATAAATGATGTCGTCTCTTCCTCCCTTGCTTTTGCCCAACACTGCCAGCAGGTAGAGCTGCTGAGCAGAAACCATTTCATTTGTTCATTCGAGCAGTGTTTACTAAACACCCAGTATGTGGTGGACTCATGCTGGCATTTGGGGGCTTAGAGATACAAGATGCAAACCCTTCCCCTGAAGGCTCACAGCTTAGCAGGGACAGTCAAATAGGCAAATAATGATTGACAAGCTAATTCAGTAAATACAGCAAAAAAGGAGGGCACTGGCCCAGCTGGGGAAGCCAGGGAGTCCTTGAGGAGAGGAGCAGTAGTTATTCCAGGGCAGGGTAGGAGGATGTGACAAACCTGGACCACACCTTATGCTAGGTGCTTGAAAAGCATGATCCTGTTTATTCCTCAAACAACCCCGTGAGCAAAGTACTCCAACCATCTGCTTATTGCAAATGTAGAAACTGAGGCTCAGAGGGTTACCTGTGGGTCCAAGGACACACGGAGAGTGAGCAGCAAAGTCAGCACTCCAACTGCGATGTGAGTCTAAAACTCACACTCTCCACTCTGGGTCTTTCCAAGTTCTGCTGTGTGAGGATATAAAAAGGGCAAAAGGTAGAGTATAAGTATTAACAAGATTTGCAGAAGGAACACAGTGGGGAGTGAAAATGTCAGGAGAGCAGAAGCTGCCTATGTCCTCTGATGACTGTTGCATCTTGGAGAGGGAGTGGACAAAGAGGGATCTCCTGGCAGGACCTCAGTGGATGGAGTCTGGGGTATCAGCACTACGGTGTTTTGGAAACCTGCTGTGTGTGATAAATCCCTGAGCATAACCTTTGACTCTTGCTCCTAGCCTACACTATACCTCGGCCCCCAATCTTTTCCACAAATATAGCTGCAGCACAAAGGCTGGTTACAGTCTCAAAGAAACAAAACATGTTCCTTTTCTTTACTCCAGTCATGCCTGGAATGCCTCTCTTTCTACTTCCCCCTTCACTCCTCCCCACCGCCCCGAATAAAATAAAATGCAATAATAACAGCATGCTAGAGTACCCAATGTGTTCCTCGTGCAAGCTTGGTTAAACAAATCACATTGACCTTTAACAAAAATGTGCTGAATGCTTCCTTCTCTTATTCAATATGTTAATCTTCAGGCCAAACCACCATCAGAGCAAGCCTCATTAAGTGCAAATGTGATCATGCTACTCCTTGGCTTCAATCCCTTCGGTGGTTCCGCATTGCCTCCGGATGAAGTCCAAACTCCCAGTAGTGCTGGGAAGACCTTCTGGTGTGGTCTGTGCTGACCCCACCAGCCACATTTCTCACAGCAGCCCTCCCTCCCCTTCCATCTCCACATCGCCCTGCACCTCACACTCCATCTGTCCCCAAGTACACACCACTCCTTCCTTGACTCTTTTTCTAGCATTGCTCTGTCTACAGTGGCCTTGACACCCTACCCGATTCCCAGCTACAAACTGATCACCTCCTGCTGTTAAAGATGCAGTTCAAGTCAACTCCTCGATTCATTCCTTCCTGAGTACCCCGCACCCTCGCCCCAGACAGAACTCACAGCCTCTCTCTGGGCCCAATGCAGATTTATGTCATTGTCTCTGTCATGCCTTCTGCATTCACTTAATTATTTCCTACTCATCTATACCTGGCTTAGTGCCTGACACATCTTAGGGACTTAAGAGGCAGTCAGAGACAAATGCTGATATCCAATGTTAACTTATTGGGTTGGCCCCTGATGTAACCCCCAAGGTCCCTCACGTCGTGTGTGCCCTGGGCACTGTGGCTTTGTTATGGAAGCATCTGCCCAAACAGGCCATAGTGCAGACCCAGGCTGGCCATATTCCAATCACTGTGTCTCTCTCGAGCATGTCCTCGTTCCTTGGTGTTTTGACGGAAAGGTAGAAACATTTAAATGAAAAGTGAAAGAAAGTCCTTCCTCCTAGGGTTGGTCTCCAAATCCAGCTTGGTGAAGCTATCTTCCTCAGAGACTTTGGTGGATGGAACCCTGGAGGGGTTCCCTTACCCCATCAAGGGAGTAGGAGGCCAGGAAGGGCAGCTTTGAATGGAGTAGGCAAATTGTGATTGTATTTATATCATTCCAAACGATTGGCTCCATTGATTTGTTCACAATTTAATTGACAAAGCAACACTGAAATTCAAGTTCCCTTGGCAAAGGTAACTCTTTCTTATTGGAGAAGGCTGAACGAGCAATTTCTAGAGGAAGAAATGGAGGAGAGGGCATCTTTGCCAAGGAAAATAAATTAGCAGCATTAATCAGTAGGTAAGTACAGGCAGGTCAAGGTGCACTTATTACTGTGACATTATAGCCTACTTATTTTTATTTTGCCATTTGTTATCTATCTCTCCAACTAGAATAAGGTCAAGGACTGCATCTATCTTGTTAATTGCTCTGTCCCCAGAGCTTAACACTGTGCCTAGCACAAAGAGGTTCTAGTGAATAATCGTTGAATGAAAAAATGACCTTGGTCTGGAGGTCGGAAGAGCTGAGTTCTAATTTCCACTTTGCAGTCACCAGCTAGCCCTGTGACCTTGGGCAGCCCACTTTGCCTCCCTGATCTTTAGTTTCTTGTCAGTGGAGGATGTTACTATCTGCCTGACTCATTTTATTGAGTCAATGTGAGGTTCCAGCCATATGTGAAAGTCTTCCTTTACCATATATGTGCACAATACTAAACTGAAGAGGTTCCCTCAACCCCTGAAGAATGAGTACTTTCCCACTGGGAGTTAGACACATGGACGAGAGAACATGTGTGCATCCATGGGGCTGGAGAGTCAGTCTCATCCCTCGGCCAGCCAGGCTTTGGGACCCTGCCATGTGTTCTCCAGGTCTCCTGGACTGGCCACAGTGATGGGTGCTCATGGTATGCCTGGGGATGTGATACCTCTAGAGATATAGATCTGGAATCACTGGGATGCAGAAGGCAAGTGAAGCCATGGATGTAGATGAGCTACTCTCAGATGAGAGGATAGAGTAAGAAAAGAAGGGAGCCTTGGACTGATCTTTGGGGAATTGCATCATTGAGAGAAGCAGGTAGAAGATCAGGAGACAGCAACAAAACCTGAGAGAGAATGGCCAGAAAAATGGGAATACTAAGTATGGTATTTTTGAAGCCAGCAGAAGAGAACAATCACGTGCTAAAAGAAAGGAAGAAGGATCATGAAGAGGGGAGAAGAGGAGAGATACATTGCAATTAACTGATATTTTAAAACTCCAATACACACAATTTTATCAAAAATACAACCAATACATTGACTAAAAAAATTAACAGGAAACACACCAAAATGCTAATAGTAACAGTTTTAGATGACTGAAATTGTTTTTTCTTTTTTCCATATAGTCTGTGATGTACTTATGTCATTTTTACCATTGAATTACTGTATTTAGTAATAGAAGATATATGGGTATGAATACCTCAAATTGGTGTAAGAGAAAAGGCTATCTGCATAGACCTGAGAGAGAGAAAAATACACACACACACACACACACACACACACACACACACAAAATAATCAGTTGTTGAGCTTAACCATAGAATCTCATGGTAGGATTTGGCCTGATTTACTTTTCTATCCAAAAATATTTTCTTATTGTTGTTTTAAGTGAGAATGGTCACCAGGTGAATTTCAACAGGTCTAGAAGCTTTAATTGTCCATCTCATGATACCTGTAATGCCTAGGAGTCCAGATCTCAGGGACTAGAATCAAGGACTCCTCAAACAATCCCTGTGGTAGAACGCATTGCTTACAGCTCACCAATGCTCAGGGCCCCATCCTGTGGAAGGAATGTGCTTCCTCGCATCCCCAACATCAGCCTTAACCATGTGACTTCTTTGGCTACCAAAACATGAGCACAAGTGATGTGTGCCACTTCTGGGATGGAAGTTTTAAGAACCAACACACATTCGCCATGCTTTCGCTTCTGTCACTGTGATCCGCACAGGTCCAGGTGTTTACTGCTCTAAGAGTCTAGGTCCCAAAGCATGGACAATGACATGGAGGGAAGCCTCAGCCAACCTGGAATGATCATGTGTGTGAGCAAGAAATACATTCTTATTGCTTAAAACAACCGAGATCTGGGGGACAACTGCTTGTTACTGCAGCCTGTTCTGACAGATAGAGTCTTCTGGAATTCCAAAAGAAATACATATATATCTGTGTGTGTATATATGTATGTATATGTATATGTATATGTATGTATGTATGTATGTATGTCAGCAATACCATCCCTTTCTCAAGAAACCTAATTTTTAAGTCTTCTTTCCTTCTCTAGATGATGCATATTTACTACAGGGGCTTAATATAGAGGAACTATATCCAGAGACCTCTAGTTTCATCACTTACGATGGGTCGATGACTATCCCACCCTGCTATGAGACAGCAAGTTGGATCATAATGAACAAACCTGTCTATATAACCAGGATGCAGGTGAGTTTCTCTCTGGTCATTTAGCTAATGGAGAAGAATGATGTTAAAAAAAAATCACTGAAATGTGGAGTGCCTATTATAATAGTTTACTAGGACCACTATAACAAAGTCCCACAAACTGGGTAGTTTAAACTAACACAAACTTATCGCCTCACAGTTCTGGAGACTAGAAGTCCAAGATCAAGGTGTCAGCAGCGTTGCTTCCTTCAGCGGAATGTGAGGAAGAATCTGTTCCATGCCTCTCCCCTAGCTTCTAGTGGTTTGCTGACAATCTTTGACGTGCTTTGGCATTTAAAAGCACCACCCCAAGCTCTACCTCCATCTTTTTTTTTTTCTTTTTTGAGATGGAGTCTCGCTCTTGTCACCCAGGCTGGAGTGCAGTGGCGTGATCTTGGCTCACTGCAACTTCCACCTCCTGGGTTCAAGCGATTCTTGTGCCTCAGCCTCCTGAGTAGCTGGGATTACAGACACGTGCCACCACGCCCGGCTAATTTTTATACTTTTAGTAGAGATGGGGTTTCATCATGTTGGCCAGGCTGGTCTTGAACTCCTGACCTCAGGTAATCCATTTGCCTCGACCTCCCAAAGTGCTGGGATTACAGGCGTGAGCCACCACACCCAGCCTCTACCTCCATCTTTATAAGGTGTTCTCCCTGTGTCTGAGGCTCTGTGTCCAAATTTCCCCTTTTTATAAAGGCACCTTCTGTATTCCATTAAAGCCTAACCCCAATAAGCTTGTCTTAGCTCATTCCATCTGCAATGACTATTTCCAAATAAGGTCACATTCTGAGCAACTAGGGGTTACCAGTACCTTCAGCTTATGAATTTCAGGGGTACACGATTCAACCCATATGCCTGGGTTTAAAGAGCCAGCATCCAAAAGGCTTAGCCTGAGCTAATTATAGAAGCATCTCAACTGTCTCAGTGGGAAAAGATAGCCATTAATTCCCAGAGTGTATTCTACAACTACAGTGTTCAGAAAGCAAGCAAGCAAAATGGAAGATGTCATTATGCATTTGAAAAAGTTGGGTTTTAAAAAGTTAAATAGATTCCATTGTTGAAGGATTTCTGGGGTCCTTCTTAAATGCTAATATATGTGTCAGTCTTCAAGAGGAAGTGGTATGATATGTAGTATTTTGCACACATATTTGAATGTGCAGTGTTTTTTTTGGATCATCTCACAGAGTTAGTACTCATCAGAACTGGATGGGAGGCAGATGGGTCCTCCTGTGTGAGCTTGGCTACACGGCTTATTGTGCTCTTCAGGCCTGTCACCCACCTCTATGAAATGAACACTCCTCTTCTTTATTGAGAGGGGGATAAATTACATGAGTTTGCTCCAGCTCTGACATTCTACGACTGTGGGAGTCTATAACAAATTAAAGGAGAGATGAGCAAAGGAAGCAGAAGCCAATATCCTTGACGGGATATGTGTTCCCACCTGACCACCATTTGAACAATTTGAAGTTCCTTAACCTATCTGTATTGAATGGGACCCACTGGGTGACAGGCAACAGTAACTCCCCACTTAAGCTTAGAAAAAGCATTTATTTGAGAGCTACGAGGGCATCTTAGAGAATTTAAAATCAGAAATTGACATCAGAAATTCACTGAAATGGGAACCCCAGAAGTGCTTTCTCTCTGTTGTCCTCTTCTCACCACACATTCACTTCATTCTTCTCTCCTGCTAGAGACCGTCTTCTTTTGCCTCACAGTCCTGTGGCAGAACATGGCTGCAAACAGTCCAGCCACCTGGCCCTCATAGTCTCACAGAAAAGAAACCAAACTGGTCCAGCTTAGTTTAGCTCTGACCCATGGACCAATCACTATGATCCACGTAATACCATGTGGGAGTCATGGAATTATTGAACCAAAGAGTATCAAAGAAAGAAAGAACCTTAGAGAAACCTAACCAGATTTGCTCCTTTTTTGGATGCTGCATTTGAGGGTGAGAGAGCGCAAGTGACTTGTTCAGAGGCATACACAAGCTAGTAAGCTAGAAGAAAGGCTGGCTTCATGTGTGGAGGTATAATGGGCCTTCAGCTCAACTGAACCCATGGAAAAAAGGGACTCTGTGGGGCTTATACAGCCCTTTCCTCATACAGCCAATACCACCTAGCTTGGCCAGAGTCTCTGTGGTCTTATTTCTTCCCTAGTGCATTTAAGAGGATGGTTGGATCTCACGGCCACTTCTCTCTCCTCAGATGCATTCCTTGCGCCTGCTCAGCCAGAACCAGCCATCTCAGATCTTTCTGAGCATGAGTGACAACTTCAGGCCTGTCCAGCCACTCAACAACCGCTGCATCCGCACCAATATCAACTTCAGTTTACAGGGGAAGGACTGTCCAAACAACCGAGCCCAGAAGCTTCAGTATAGAGGTGGGTTTGGTGGCTCAGAGAGTGGAGGATCTAGGCTAGAGCTCAGTCTTTCTGCTTAGACCTGTTCTTAAAGGCCTGGCATTATCTTCCATTATAGGAATGATGACTGTAAATGACAATAGCCATCACACTCCATTTGCATGGTGATGAAGGTCTAAAGTTTTGATATATGTGATACAGATACCTGTATGAATGCATCTAGGTAGGTTGGTAGGTAGGTAAGTAAGTGGATGGATGGATGGATGGACGGTAGGTAGATGGCAAGGTGTAGAGGTTTGATATATGTGAGATATATATATATGTAACCTTTAAACACATATATCAAACCTTTAAAACCCCTGTAGATCAGGCAAGACAGCTTTTTATTGCCATTTTTCAAAAGAGCCCAGAAAGGCTGATGTTCCCAAGGTTATCTGTTAGAACAGGACAGTGAAAAGCATTAGAGCTTTTAAGTATATGGAAGAAAGACCTGCTTTCCCCTAGAAGATGAACAAATACTCTAAAGGGCAGGCCATTAGAATCCAATGGGGTAATTTGTGAGTGTATCTTTGCCCAGTGCTATGTCCCTAGAAATGGTTATTATTCCCACTAAAGGGGACATTTAAGTTGACATCTGCCTCCTGTAACTCTGTGGTGCACACCCAGCCCTCTCTCTCTTCCCTTCTGCTTACTACTAAACATCTGTTAATCATTGTGGTAAACACTCAGTGTGGAAAGAAAGATGGAGGAAGGATGGGGTCTTGGAGAGCCCTGGACTGGAAATCAGGACACCCAAGTTCTGGGCCTAGTTCTAACAAGCTGTGCAAACCCAGCCACATTGTTTACCCCCTAGACCTGGCTTCTTCGTGACAGTTCCTATGCCATCTACTTCACAGTTTGTTAAAGGAAGCAAACAAGAGCCTGGATAGGGAAGCCCTTTGTAGCAATAACATGCTCCCCAAATAGGAGGGCTGTGGTTATTACCAGACAGCTTTTAGAAGCAGCCTCCACCACTACTCCTTGATCCTCCACTTCATTCCTCCTACTTCCCCCTTGTTCCCTTCTTTTTTCTCTCTCAGATACACTTGCATGCCCAAACTACATATTTTCCACACCCTTCCAGCCGGAACTACCAGAAAAGTAAATACCTAACTCATTCATTGCTTCTTCTCTTTAGTCAAAACCCCTGTATTGTGTTCCTACCATGTGTCAGTTAGCTGGGTGATGGGTGACAGATAAGACACCTATCCAAACAGAGCATATGGTCTACAACAGGAGTCTACACACTTTTTCTATAAAGGACAGAGAGTAAATATGTTAAGTTTTGAAGCCATAAAATCTCTATGGCACTCTGACATTGTAGTATGAAATCAGCCATTGATAATATCTAAATGAATGGGTATGGCTGTGTTCCAATAAAACTTTATTTATAAAAACAGGTATTGTGCTGGATTAGATCTGTGGACTGTTGTTTTTCCATCCCTAGCCTAGAGCAGTGTCATCCACTAGAACTTTCTGTGGTAATGGGAATGTTTTCATGATAGGTTGATGACTATCCTGCACTGCCCAATACAGCAGCTACTAGCCATATGTGGCTATTGAACATTGGATGGGTGACTAGTACAATGATGCAACTAATTTTTTATTTTAATTAATTTAAATTCATAGTAGCCACATATGGCAGCTAGTGGCCACCATATTGGTCAGTATAGGCCTAGAAGGTCATGGAGAATTGGAAGGGAGTAGTTGGAATGCATATAAGTAAGCAGGCATTTACAAAACAGTCCCTTCCCCTCTGGAGGAATTCTCTAAAACTGTGTGCAAATTAATTGAGTATGCCTCGTTTTATGTTGTATGTGTGATTTTTTTTTTCTTTCTCTCTCTTTGCAGTAAATGAATGGCTCCTCAAGTAGGGAACAAAGCCAAGAAGAATCCCACCTCAGTGAAATGCTACAACTGTGAATTGACGTAACCTAGAATGTCCCCCTTCTTGCTTCTCTCTCCTTCTTTCCCCCAAGCCTCATTCATTCTTGGGATTGGCCCTTTCTTCATGAAAAGTGTCTGCAAAACCATGGCAGAGGAATACATCTCTCACACATACTCACAAACACACACACAAGCACTTGCACATACATACAAACACATGCAAACATACCTACACACACACACACTCTTACAACCTCCATCATGGGAAGTCAAGTTTCAGAAACAAAAGTCTCATTCATAAGAGGTCTTAGAAGAAAATAACCAGTTAACCTGATTTCAATTTTGATACCGTTTTCCTGAACTAATAAATCTACCCAATGAGACTTTTCAGCCTTTGTACATACAAAATTCTTCCAAAAGAGAGAGGAGAAAATACAGCTCTGATGGCATCAAACGGACTTTGCATCAAGTAATTTCAGATAGTGTCCTAGGATCCTTTGAGGGTGCTGGTAGCAGGTGAGCAGGACAAAGTTGACCAAGGACACTTATTTCTAGATTATGATTCTTCTGTTTACTCAACAATTTACAAAGAAAAAAAGGACAGACATTGAAGAGCTACACATTGTATATATATCACCACAGACTATAAGGAAATGGAATTATTTCCCTCTTTGTCACATATCTGTAGTAGGATTTGCCAAGATCAGAAATGATCCATTTGCTGTTTCTTGTTTTCCAAAGGTCATACATTGTGTTTGGTTATTGTTACCAGCTCAATAAATGTGTTTAACGAGTTAATTTCATTTTTCTGGCTTTGGTCTGTTCTCCTTCCTTACAGGCTAAGCCCTGGCTCCATGCAACTGCATTCTTTGATTTCACTTGTTCCTTCATCTACATGTTTTGTTCATTTGCAGCCAGTTTTTACTGAGTTTGTGGCAATCAGGAATGCATTTGCTAAGCAAGTATGACTTTAATTCCACTCCATGGCTCAATCATTCACATGAGGTGAGCTTCAGCCTGAGATAGCAGGCGACAGACTTCTTGCGTTTCAAAACTGCCATGCCCCCCTGTG
Source organism: Homo sapiens (assembly GCF_000001405.40). NCBI lineage: Eukaryota > Metazoa > Chordata > Mammalia > Primates > Hominidae > Homo > Homo sapiens. Next base: position 51,630,498 of record NC_000017.11, on the reverse strand, counting down.
ATGCTCCCGTGAAGGAATGCACTTTGCCTTGTAAGTTCCTGGGAAAGGGGTATGTTTTCTCTCCAGGTGCAGCCAGATCTCACAAAGTACAAAACGAATGCCTTTCTTTTCTTGTTTATAATGGTCACTCACTGTGTTTGGTTACTGTCAAGAAATCAATAAATGTGTTTAACAAGTTACCCAGTACCCATGTCTGACTTTATTGAGAAAGAGGATGCTCCCTGCTGAAGTCTCTGAGTCCTGCTGGGTGCAGGAGCAATTGCATACGGGGCTGGCAGGGCATCCAGAACAGCCTGTCTAGCCATTCCCAGAGCCAGGTAATTAATACCCTGTTGAGAAAACATATAGGCTTAGCTCCTGGAAGAGAACACTTGGATGTTTGTTCAGTGGCCAAATTAAAAATAACTTTCATCTCTCCTTTCTGTCACACTCTCCTGGAAGGGGGAGAGCACAGGCAAGGAGAGTCTGTGCAAATGAGAACATTCCCAAGCATATGAAAAACTTCAGCCTAGTGACTAGATGGATTGACAATGAAAAATTCAAAACACCCAGTTATTTCATATTCAAAATAATATACTTAACTGGATTTTATCTTTTACTTTACTTTTTGCATCAATGTCAGACACACGGCAGCCTTAGCTATGATGGCATCTAGACCTATTTCTGAGCAACCTTATTTTTCCAGAGAACCAAATATTCACAAAGGTTTAGGGTAAGCAGGTGGCAATCTTTACATGGCTTGCTGCTGCTTCTGAGGTAGAATCTTCCTTAACCTGCAATGGCAGGCAGCGATATAGTATAACAGCTGAAGAATATGGATGGTAAATCAACTTTACTCTGCCTCTTGCCTGCTGCGTGACCCTAGGCAAGTTGCTTTACTTCTCTATCTGTACATTGGGGAGGTTAATAATTGCCTCCATGAGTTATGAGGCTTAAACACTATGTAGTTACTTAAAGCAGCCTGCACAATACCTGCAATGACCTTTCTATAAATGGTACCAATAGTAGAGCATTTGTACGACCTGCCTATTAAAAGTTTATCTGAGTCATACCATGCCTTCCTTTACAGGGTGGTGGTAGCATCAATCACAACAAGGACACCAGAGTGACAGCAAACGAAAGCAATAGATACCCAGCAGACTGCACATAGATAAATGCCTACGATGTGTTGAGGAAGAGAAGGAGAAGCATGAGCAAGGAAGGCAGGCAGGCAACTGGGTTTCTAGGCCCCACCCCATCACAGCATCCTCTCTGACACTGGGCAAGTCAACTCCCCTCCCTGGGGCTGAGTCCTTATCGACAAATGATTTGGACAAGATGACCTCCCCTGGCCTTTCCACTCTTAATTCCCCAACTGTGCCTCTCATTCAGTTCTTTAGTCCAGTGAGAACAAAGAAAAACCCAGTCTCTCACCCCTAGGGCCCCTAGGCATAGGCAGACTTTCACCTTGACCAAACAGGACTCAAAATGGGGCAAACTGGCTCCTGTCTCTGACTTTCTGGGCCAGTCCTAAATGCCCCTTTCTCCATACTCACTAGGTTTCCCAAACTAGAAAAAGAAAACATAGTCACTTTGCCCTCACAATATGTAGGAGTAATAAAAAGACTAGCTAGATTAGTACCTCTCAAAAAAAAAAAAAAGGTGGTAGTTTTTAAAGTACCAAAGAGCCCCTGGACTTCCTGAGCACCCATGGGCTGTAAAATCTATTGATGTATTCTTGTTCTTTGGTGTCTTCATCTAGGACTTTGGTCTCATCTGGGTCTTGATCTCTTCAACATCACTAATCATCAGGGAAATGCAAATCAAAACTACAATGAGATACCACCTCATACCTGTTGAAGACATCAAGGAACAAAAATACATTAATCAATTTTGCAGTCCATGGGTGCTCAGGAAGTTCCAGGGGAGTGGTGTCTCTGTGCTCCACAGTGTGTGCCGATCGGCCAGCTTTGCCTGTTGGAGCCCAGGCTGACAGGGGCACCCCTTCCCTTTTGGAGAAGTAGTCTACAACCTGCAAGGAAACACATGCTAAGCCTCAGTTCCCTCCTCTGCGAAATGGGGGAGGGAGGTAAATATACACCCAAGAGAGATCTGGACAAATTGAATGAAAAAAAGAACACATTGAGGTGAGTGGATCACCTGAGGTCAGAAGTTTGAGAACAGCCTGGTCAGTATGGTGAAACCGTGTCTCCACTAAAAATACAAAAATTAGCCGGGCATGGTGGCACATGCCTGTAATCCCAATTACTCGGGAGGCTGTGGCAGGAGAATCACTTGAACCCAGAAGGTGGAGGTTGCCGTGAGCCAAGATCCATCACTCCACTGCACTCCAGCCTGAGTGACAGACTAAGACTCTGTCTCAAAAAAAAAAAAATCATGTGGAAATCCACAGCCCTAGCCCCTTCTTGGGGACACATTTTATGGTTTCCCAGACCATTTAGAGCCTTGTTCCAATCTCCCTCTGTAGCAGTTAAGTTTCCATGGTGACATCAGGACAACCACAACTCACTGCACTAAATGTGTCTGGAATGTGGTACAAGACAGTGAGAGAATCACATGGAATCTGGACAGGAAAGCAGTCCTTGACCACAGCCCATAACACACACATCAGGCCAAAGAAGATGATTGACAAGGGTCAATTAGCATATGCCCATACCCCCAGGGTGGACCCGTCCTGCTGGAATCCAGAACACCTGCAGTTCATAAGAGTATCTCAATTTTCCTGTTCCAGAAATCCTAAAAGTAGGACCCCTAGGAGCAGAAACTTACTGTAATATTATTCACCAACTGGCACAACTGAACATAAGGAAAGATCTGCCAAGACTCCAGATGAAAAAAACATACTATTATTGATAAGGTCTGCCATAGGTTGCATATTTTCTGTGGTCCAGGCGCTGTGCCAAGCAGTTTACAAATATCATCTCATTTTACCCACACAGTGACCCACAAAGTAATCACCACTGCTGTCCCTGGGTTGTAAATGCAGAAATTGACTTCTTATAGACCAGGTGATAGCCTCAGGATCACATAGCTCATAGGTGGAAATGCCAGACTCAACTCTTCTAAGCCAGTGGTTCTCAAAGCATGGCCCCAGCCAACAGCATCACTTAGGAGCTGGTTAGATATGCACATTTTTAGATCCCACTGCAGACCGATTGACACTCAGAGGGTGAGCCCCAGCCATCTGTTTTAACAAGCCCCCTAGATGATTCTGATGCACACTCAACGTGAGAATCACCGTAAATCAAATATTCATCCCTACTACTTCCTACTCTAGAGGTTCCCAAACTTTACTACATATTAGAACCTCTTTAGCATAATGTCCTCCAAGTTCACCCACGTTGTGGCAAATGTCAAGATTTCCTTCTTTTTAAGGCTAATATTCCATTGTACGTCTATGCCACATTTTCTTTACCTGTTCATCTGTCAGTGAACAATTTAGCTTTTATCCATGTCTTTTTATTATTATTATTATACTTTAAGTTTTAGGGTACATGTGCACAATGTACAAGTTAGTTACATATGTATACATGTGCCATGCTGGTGTGCTGCACCCATTAACTCGTCATTTAGCATTAGGTATATCTCCTAATGCTATCCCTCCCACCTCCCCCCACCCCACAACAGTCCCCAGAGTGTGATGCTCCCCTTCCTGTGTCCATGTGTTCTCATTGTTCAATTCCCACCTATGAGTGAGAACATGAGGTGTTTGGTTTTTTGTTCTTGCGATAGTTTACTGAGAATGATGATTTCCAATTTCATCCATGTCCCTACAAAGGACATGAACTCATCATTTTTTATGGCTGCATATTATTCCATGGTGTATATGTGCCACATTTTCTTAATCCAGTCTATCATTGTTGGACATTTGGGTTGGTTCCAAGTCTTTGCTATTGTGAATAGCGCTGCAATAAACATACGTGTGCATGTGTCTTTATAGCAGCATGATTTATAGTCCTTTGGGTATATACCCAGTAATGGGATGGCTGGGTCAAATGGTATTTCTAGTTCTAGATCCCTGAGGAATCGCCACACTGACTTCCACAATGCTTGAACTAGTTTACAGTCCCACCAACAGTGTAAAAGTGTTCCTATTTCTCCACATCCTCTCCAGCACCTGTTGTTTCCTGTCTTTTTGATGATTGCCATTCTAACTGGTGTGAGATGGTATCTCATTGTGGTTTTGATTTGCATTTCTCTGATGGCCAGTGATGGTGAGCATTTTTTCATGTGTTTTCTGGCTGCATAAATGTCTTCTTTTGAGAGGTGTGTGTTCATGTCCTTCGCCCACTTTTTCATAGGGTTGTTTGTTTTCTTGTAAATTTGTTTGAGTTCATTGTAGATTCTGGATATTAGCCCTTTGTCAGATGAGTAGGTTGCGAAAATTTTCTCCCATTTTGTGGGTTGCCTGTTCACTCCGATGGTAGTTTCTTTTGCTGTGCAGAAGCTCTTTAGTTTCATTAGATCCCATTTGTCAATTTTGGCTTTTGTTGCCATTGCTTTTGGTGTTTTAGACATGAAGTCCTTGTCCATGCCTATGTCCTGAATGGTAATGCCTAGGTTTTCTTCTAGGGTTTTTATGGTTTTAGGTCTAACGTTTAAGTCTTTAATCCATCTTGAATTAATTTTTGTATAAGGTGTAAGGAAGGGATCCAGTTTCAGCTTTCTCCATATGGCTAGCCAGTTTTCCCAGCACCATTTATTAAACAGGGAATCCTTTCCCCATTGCTTGTTTTTCTCAGGTTTGTCAAAGATCAGATAGTTGTAGATATGCGGCATTATTTCTGAGGGCTCTGTTCTGTTCCATTGATCTACTGTTTTGATACCAGTACCATGCTGTTTTGGTTACTGTAGCCTTGTAGCATAGTTTGAAGTCAGGTAGCATGATGCTTCCAGCTTTGTTCTTTTGGCTTAGGATTGACTTGGCGATGTGGGCTCTTTTTTGGTGCCATATGAACTTTAAAGTAGTTTTTTCCAATTCTGTGAAGAAAGTCATTGGTAGCTTGATGGGGATGACATTGAATCTATAAATTACCTTGGGCAGTATGGCCATTTTCACGATATTGATTCTTCCTACCCATGAGCATGGAATGTTCTTCAATTTCTTTGTATCCTCTTTTATTTCATTGAGCAGTGGTTTATAGTTCTCCTTGAAGAGGTCCTTCACATCCCTTGTAAGTTGGATTCCTAGGTATTTTATTCTCTTTGAAGCAATTGTGAATGGGAGTTCACTCATGATTTGGCTCTCTGTTTGTCTGTTGTTGGTGTATAAGAATGCTTGTGATGTTTGTACATTGATTTTGTATCCTGAGACTTTGCTGAAGTTGCTTATCAGCTTAAGGAGATTTTGGGCTGAGACAATGGGGTTTTCTAGATATACAATCATGTCATCTGCAAACAGGGACAATTTGACTTCCTCTTTTCCTAATTGAATACCCTTTATTTCCTTCTCCTGCCTAATTGCCCTGGCCAGAACTTCCAACACTATGTTGAATAGGAGTGGTGAGAGAGGGCATCCCTGTCTTGTGCCAGTTTTCAAAGGGAATGCCTCCAGTTTTTGCCCATTCAGTATGATATTGGCTGTGGGTTTGTCATAGATAGCTCTTATTATTTTGAGATACGTCCCATCAATACCTAATTTATTGAGAGTTTTTAGCATGAAGGGTTGTTGAATTTTGTCAAAGGCCTTTTCTGTATCTATTGAGATAATCATGTGGTTTTTGTCTTTGGTTCTGTTTATATGCTGGATTACATTTATTGATTTGCATATATTGAACCAGCCTTGCATCCCAGGGATGAAGCCCACTTGATCATGGTGGATAAGCTTTTTGATGTGCTGCTGGATTCAGTTTGCCAGTATTTTATTGAGGATTTTTGCATCAATGTTCATCAAGGATATTGGTCTAAAATTCTCTTTTTTGGTTGTGTCTCTGCCCGGCTTTGGTATCAGGATGATGCTGGCCTCATGAGTTAGGGAGGATTCCCTCTTTTTCTATTGATTGGAATAGTTTCAGAAGGAATGGTATCAGTTCCTCCTTGTACCTCTGGTAGAATTCGGCTGTGAATCCATCTGGTCCTGGACTCTTTTTGGTTGGTAAGCTATTGATTATTGCCACAATTTCAGCTCCTGTTATTGGTCTATTCAGAGATTCAACTTCTTCCTTGTTTAGTCTTGGGAGGGTGTATGTGTCAAGGAAGTTATCCATTTCTTCTAGATTTTCTAGTTTATTTGCATAGAGGTGTTCGTAGTATTCTCTGATGGTAGTTTGCATTTCTGTAGGATCGGTGGTGATATCCCCTTTATCATTTTTTATTGCATCTATTTGATTCTTCTCTCTTTTCTTCTTTATTAGTCTTGCTAGTGGTCTATCAATTTTGTTGATCCTTTCAAAAAACCAGCTCCTGGATTCATTAATTTTTTGAAGGGTTTTTTGTGTCTCTATTTCCTTCAGTTCTGCTCTGATTTTAGTTATTTCTTGCCTTCTGCTAGCTTTTGAATGTGTTTGCTCTTGCTTTTATAGTCCTTTTAATTGTGATGTTAGGGTGTCAGATTTGGATCTTTCCTGCTTTCTCTTGTGGTCATTTAGTGCTATAAATTTCCCTCTACACACTGCTTTGAATGTGTCCCAGACATTCTGGTATGTTGTGTCTTTGTTCTCGTTGGTTTCAAAGAACATCTTCCATGTCTTTGTTATTGTAAGTAATGTTGCAATGAACTTGGGAGTACAGATATCTCTTTGCAATCCTGGTTTCAATTCTTTTGGGTGTATACGCAGAAGTGGGATTGTCGGATCATACAGTAGGTCTATTTAATTTTTTGTGGAATCTCCATACTGTTTTCCATAGTCTGTACCAATTGACATTCCCATCAACAGTGTACAAAGGTTCCCTTTTCCCCACATCTTTGCCAACAATTGTTATCTTTGGTTTGCTTGATAATAGCCATAACAGGTGTGAGGTGGTATCTCATTGTAATTTTGATTTGCATTTCCCTGATGATTAGTGATGTTGAACACCTTTTCATATACCTATTGGCCACTTGTATGTCCTTCTTTGGAGAAATGACTATTCAGGTCTTTTACCCATTTTTTAATCAGATTATTTGGGTTTTTTTCTATTGAGTTGTGGCAGTACTAAATGAAATAAGCCAGACTCAGAGGAACAAATACTACATGACCCCATTTATATTAGGAATCTGAAATAGTCAAACTCATAGAAGCAGAGAGTACGGTGGTGGTTATCAGGAGGTTGGGGGAGGAGAAATCAGGGAGGTGTTGGTAAAAAGTCAAATCGTTTTAGTTATTCAGGATGAGTAAGTCCTAAAGATCTACTGTAGAGCATAATACCTGTAGTTAACAATGCTATCTTTTATATTTTAAAAATGTATATATAAAAATAATAGGGTAGATCTTATGCTAAGTGTTCTTATGACAAAAGACGAGGAAACTTTTAAGGATAATGGTTACATTTATGCATTGTTTATGGTGATGGCTTCAAGGGTGTATACTTATCTTCAAACTCATCAAGATGTATATACATTAAATATATACAACAGTTTTATATGTCAATCATAAAAACATAATTATATAGATGTCATTCATTCATTTTGTATGTCAATCATAAAAATATAACTCAATAAAAAATATAGTAATAATTTAAAAAAGAATTTCCTAGAAAGTTTGAAAAATCCCAGTGCCCAAGTTGTACTGCATATCACTTAAATCAGGATGTCTGGGAGCAGCAGCCAGGCTTCAGTGTATTATAAAGATCTGCAGATGATTCCAACATGCAGCAAACTTTGGGGATCACACCTCTACCTAAAGGACCTTCTCAGTGGAGGGTTCGCCTCTGACGGGCATCCATCGGAGCCCAGAGACCAGAGTTATCTAATGGCCATTCCCTTTTCAGAATCAGGTCCAGATTCCTATGCATGTTAACTACTTTCGATGGTCTCAGAATGTTTCCCATCCCAATTTTCTCCTTCAATTAACAGGTCCAGAGTTTGAATAACAAATCTCTCTCTCAAAACATTGCTATTTGAAATACTGGCTCGGCACCAGCCTTCTAAAATCCACTCCAAGTCATCACTTCTAATAACTCAGATTGCAAAGTTTCCAAGACCTCAAACTATTACAAACAATGAAAACAAACTGTGAGTCAGGATACCAGAAGTTCAGAAACAAGCTGGGTCCATCACGAAAAGTTATAAGCCAGCTGTGGCCCCAACAGTTCTAACTCCAAAGTGTCTCTTCCATGCCACATTCCCTCCCCCAACCCTTCAGCCCTGTGACAAGGCCTAGTCCCAGCCGTCATCCTCTTTGGCCTGGACTACAACAATATCTACCCAGAAGGTCCTTCTGCCTCCAGTCTCCAGAAAAGTGAGAGACCGTGGGTCAAGAGTGTAAAAATACCCAAACACTGTTCTCATATAAAGGGAAGCTGAGTTCATCCTGAATAAATGTTGAAGGAAATTTAGGCTGGGCTGAGGAGTAGGTAGAAAACAATCTGAGACACTTTCCAGAGAGGAGACCAAAAGCTACACAGAAAATCCAGCAGGGCAGCATTCCAAATTGATTTGGTAGAGAAACAGATTTCAGGCACAATACAAGAGGGCAGCACCTGGATGCCAGACCTGGAATGGACATAGGAATCAGGACTCAGGAGAATTGCCTGAGCTGCTCTTCACAGGGTATCTGAGGTCTTAGCCATGGCCCAGGTAGGGAGGAAGGGTTAGAGAGTCATATTCTGACCTGGACTTTGCCAGCCCACTCCCATCTCATCACTAGGATGAATGAACGAAAACTTCCAACCAGAGCATATCTCCCAACACTCAAGCTTTCAATGGTTCCCAGTTGTTTCAAGGTTAAAGGATCAAATTCTTTTGCAAAGCCTTTCTTAATGGATTCTCAGCAGAGGTCCAAAAATTCATGTCTCAGCCCTCCTGATGAACGTTGGGGGGCCAGCTACCCTAGACCCTTTGCTGACATTCAGACACCCGCTCACACTTTCCAGCCTCCTAACCATAGTCCATGTCATCACTCAGCTTAAAATGCTGTTTTCATCTCCTCAGGGGAAATGATTTCTTCCATCCTCTGAGCTCACACAGCATATTGATTATATCTCTAATTAACATTTACTTCACTCGGTTCTATGTTTGAAATATGTGTATGTAATATACAAAGAACTTCATGTGGTTCTATATTTTCCTGTCTGCACATGCCAATTAGAAGTTCCCTGAAGACAGAGATGATCTCTTCTTTCATCTTTGTATCTCTCCCTTCTATGCACAGAAAGAGGAATAGAAAGAAATCATATAATACTTTGCAGAATAGGAGATATTCAAAAAAAAATTGCTACATAGAATTTTCCTATGGGATGGAGGATAGTATTTGATTCTTTTCAATTCAGAGTTGTTGACCTATGTATCAAATATGTATCAGGCAGAGTGCTGGCTTATTTTACATATTATTTTACATACATTCTTTATTTTATTTGGTGCTCCTAGCAGTTCTGCCAAGTAGTTCTTGACCTTATTTTATAGATAAGGAAGTTATCAAAGACATCCATACACACTCAGGATCATATAGCTGGTGTGTACTGGAAACAGAAAGTTACAGCAAAAGCTGATGCTAGAGAAGCCTTGGGTGAACATGTCTTAGCTGATGCCGGAATGGAACAGTGCTTCTCTTTGGGACTGCAGTCATCTAGTCTTATTCTTTATACTGGATCTGTTACGGTCTGAATTTTTTTTGCTTTTGTTTCTGAGACAGGTTCTCACTCTGTCTCCCAGGCTGGAGTATAGTAGCAAAATCATAGCTCACTGCAGCCTCTATCTCCTGGGCTCAAGCCATCCTCCCACCCCACCCTCCCAAGTAGCTGGACTGCAGGTGTTCGTCACCACACCTGGCTAATTTTTATTATTTTTAGTAGAAACAAGGTCTCATTATATTGCACAGGCTGGTCTTGAACTCCTGGGCTCAAGTGATCCTCCTGCCTCAGCATCCCAAAGTGCTGAAATTACAGGTGTGAGCCACCATGCCTGGCCTAATCTGAATGTCTGTCTCCCTAAAATTCGTATGTTGAAATTTTAACCCCCAAGGCAAATGTATTAGGAGGTAGGACTTTTGGGAGGTGATTAGGTCATAAGGGTGGAGCTCTCATGAACGGGATTAGTGTCTTTATAAAAGAGGCTTGAGAGAGATGCCTCACCCCTTTTACCATGTGAGGACACAGCAGGAAGGCACCATCTATAAGACAGAAAGTGGGCCCTCACCAGACACTAAATCTGCCTTAATCTTGGACTTCCCAGCCTTCAGAACTGTGAGAAATAAATTTCTGTTTCTATAATGCAGCCAGTTTACCGTATTTTGTTTAAACAGCCAAAATGGACTAAGACAGGACCCAAGGCATAGGAACTCTGCCAATGGCTCCCAACCCCAGACCAATTAAATCAGTCTCTGACTTTTGAGTCCATGCCATCAATAGATTTTTTAATGTTTTTTTTTTAAGTCACAGGTGATTCTATTCTTCTATCTGCAAATATATCGAGACATTTGCTTTCCTCTAGAAAATAGTTTCCAAGGGAAAAAAAGATATTTGCCTAACAGTTCCAAATACATATAGGTTACCTGGCCCTGGAACAGATGCTCAGATAGAATGGTAGGATGGAGAGTGGATGAAAGAAAAGAACAATTCCTTTACGGGCCCAGGATGCTAGGTTCTGACACATGAATTCAGTGAGATGTACTACAGGTTGATTATCCCTTATCTGAAATGCCGAAGTGTTTCTGATTTTTTCAGGTTTTGAAATAGTTGCAGAATAAATACTACTTTTGAGCATCCCAAATCTGAAAATCCAAAATTCAAAATGCTCCAATGAGCCTTTCCTTTGAGCACCATGTCAACACTCAAAAAAGTTTTGGATTTTAGAGCATCTTGGATTTCAGATTTTTGGATCTGGGATACTCAACCTGTAGTAGGATTTCTAGAGTTGATGAGGATACTCACCCCTCCCACCCAAGTTGGCCTCTTTACTTCCGGGGTCAGACTCTGGGAATTTTAAGGATATTGAATGGTTAACTTCAGACAAGAGTTAAGAGGAGGAAACAAGAGCCAAACTGTCACTGTGCCGGAGTGGTCACCTGAGTGAGTGGCAGCCTCACCCCTGTCACCAGACAATGAGATAAGATGCTTCTGCTTCCTGGAGTTAAGGTGCCTCATGAGAGAAATGGATATAATTTCTTTTCTCATAACCTAACAGGTTGTGAAAACAAAACCAGAAAAGAGATGAGAAAAAGCTTGGGGAAAGTGTTAAACAAATGTCAAATAGTGCTAATAGAAGGGATGCAAATACTTTTGCTGCAGTGAATGAAGATGCATTGCTGGAAAATGTACACAGCCAGGGAACCTGGTGGACAGAGATTCAACAGCCATTGAGTGAAGGCCTACTATGTGCCAGGCACAAGCCTTGTCCACAAAAGAACTTAGTGTAGAAGGGGAGATGTGGCCCCAGTGGATTTTGGGATATACCTCCCTGATAGAGATTTTAAAGGTAAAAATTTGAGCTGCATCTTAAGAAATACTTTTGGGAGCTGAGAATTGTGGGTTAGAAGAGAAAGGCCACCTTGGAAATTATAGGAGGAAGAAATTGATTCTAACAGAGGCTTCTGAGAAAGAAGCCTTCCCTAATGAATGCCATTTCAGCTGATAAAGCTCAAAATGAAGGAACAGCCGTTGGTGGGTGTGCCCCCAAAATAGTGAAGCAGTCAGTGTGGCTAAGATCATCTGTGGGTGTCAGTCAGCTCTTTCCTGCAAGAGTTTTGCTGAGTCCCTTCAGAGCCAAGGCTGACACACTTCCTCTAAGTCACTTCATTTGCTGGACACTAGAGACTTAGCACTTGGCTTTGGACCAGGCACAGTGGGGAAAACTGAAGGACAAGTAATGGTCATTGCCCTCAAGAAGCTTAAAATCTAATTGGGAGGACACAACAAATGAGTGTGGAACTCTTGCAATCTATGTGACTTAGTAACATTTAACACTCAGAAAGCAATTATTTTGAAACTGTCAGATAGCCAAGTTGGCTAAGTATGGTTGTCCAGTCAGCACACTGCCCAAAAGTGCCCAGCTGAGAAGACGACTAAGGACATCCTTTTACAATTCATCAGCCTAGGGTCAATGAATGCCTTCTTCTAATTCACACAAAGACACTGCTTGTGCTAGCTGAAGGCCAAAGAGCACCAACTTGAAAAATGATAGGAAATTCAGAAATGAAGAACAAGGTCTTGATTGAAAAGCTCAGTAGGAAGCTTTAGTGAAGAAAGAGGGATTTGAATTATGCCTGCCAGGTGGCAGGATTGGAATTGGTGGGAGGCAGGATGGTAATCCAGACAAACAGAACAGCTGGGGCTAAGATCTGAAGCTAGAATGAGCCTGGCAGGTGTTCTGGGCATGAAGAGAATTCACTGGCTTAGTACAGATCAGTTGAAAGTAGACTAAGGAAAACTCAGCTGGGCTTGATACAGGGGGTCAGAGAAGGAAGGCAGCGTGCAAACCAGAAGTAGCAGGTGCTCCTGGGTCTGCCCGTGTCTTCTAGTCCGGGCTCTGCAATTCACACACTGACGAAGTTTGACAATTATGTTATACCTCTCAGTTGAATATTCCTCATCCATAGAAAGTAGAAGAATCTCCCTTGCCCCCTTTGCAAGAAAATACACAAAAATGAAATGGGGAGAGAGCTACCTACTTCATGGGGTTTCAGAGAGGTTTTGTTAATATAACAAACAATAGGAAGCCATTGCAAGCCATGAGAAAGAATATGGCATAGCCATATGGGATCTGGGAAAATATCTGAGACATAGATCCAGAGAACCTGTGGAGGGGAGGAAGAAGGCAGCTTTAGATCCCTACTGGTCAGGTTGGAATAAGCTCAAAGTCCCACTCCTCTAAACTTGGTGGGTGTCTTCTTTCTGTTCCCGAGGAGCTGACTCCCCAGGTTCCCAGGACTCCCCATGTTAAAGGGACAACACAGTGGCTCAACCGCCTTGCCCAGGAAGAAATTTCAGTCACCAGCTGATGAAAGAGCTGCTCTGGATATTTGAAAGATGAAAGATCCTAATACAAACGGGGGTCCAAAAGGAGACTGCAGAAAATAAGTACTGAAAAGAGAGGATAGCAGTGATTGCTAACGTTCATTACACACAGACTATGTGCTTTACAGGTATCAATTCATCTGATCATTACAATCCTCCTATAGGGGCTGTCATTATGAACGCCATTTTACAGAGGGGAACACAGAGGTATGGAGAGGCCAAGCCCCTTGACCAATATGGTTCAACCAGTAAGTAGCAAAGAAGAGAGCCAGGTATCAGAGTCCTCATGCCTCATCATGCTGTCATGGTGCCTCTCAGAAAATGTGGTGGCAAAAAACACAGCAGAGATTAATTAAAATAAGTAGCCAGAATACACCCCAAGGAACTGAAAACAGGTATGCAAACAAGTACACATCAAGCATGTTTACAGCAGCACAACTCACAATAGCCAAGAGGTGGAAACAGCCCAAACACCCATGGATGGATGAATGAATAAGCAAAATATGCTACAATGACTATTATTCATCCATAAAAAAGAATGAAGTACTGATACACACCACAATACGGATGAACCTGAGCACATTATGCTACGTGAAAGCAGCTAGACCTGAAAGACCACATGCTGCATGCTTTCATTTCTGTGAAATATCCATAACAGGTAGATCCGTAGAGATAGATTGGTGGTCACAGGGGGTTGGAAAGAGAGGGGAAGAGGGAGCAACTGCTCAATTGGTATGTGGTTTTCTATTGGGGTAATGAAAATGTTTTGGAAGTAGATAGAGATAGCAGTAGTACAACATTGTTAAGGTACTAAATACCACTGAATTGTTCACTTCTAAATGGTTAACCTTACGCTATGTGAATGTCACCTCAATTTTAATTTTATTATTATTTTTTAGATGAATCTTGCTCTGTTGCCCAGGCTAGAGTACAGTGGCACGATCTTGGCTCACTGCAACCTCTGTCTCCCAGGTTCAAGCGAGTCTCCTACCTCAGCCTCCTGAGTAGCTGGGACTACAGGTGTGCGCCACCATGCCTGGCTAATTTTTGTATTTTTAGTAGAGTCAGGGTTTTACCACATTGGCCAGGCTGGTCTCAAACTCCTGACCTCAGGTGATCCACCCACCTCAGCCTCCCAAAGCGCTGGGATTACAGGCATGAGCCACCATGCCTGGCCTTGCCTCAGTTTTTTAAAAAATAATAAGTAACCAAAGCCCAGGATAGGCAATGCTAGGGAGGAAAGCACCTGCTCGACAGGGGAGGAAATTACAGGGAGGCATAGAATCTGCAAACAGCCTCTGGCCCATGCCCCCCACACAGCCTTGCTTAAACTGAACTTTGTTGCATCACTTGGTTGGTGGGAAAATACAGCGAAGAGCAATGCCTGCTAGTCACTGAATACCTTCCATGTGCCAGACATTATGCTAAGCACTTTACCAGCATTATTTTATCTGATCCTTTAATAGTATTCTGTAATTTAAAAAAAAACTTGTTGTCCCTAAGCACAGTGAGCCTAACAAAGGTTCAGAGCGTTGAAGGGACTTGCTCAATAGCCTAATCTTAGTAAAGTGGCAGAACCAGGATTCAAGCCCTTGTGTCTCAGATTGTTCAACACTACACCTTACTATACTATTCCTCTGTCCCTGAAACTTCAGAATCCTTCCTCATACCTGGGTTACTCTGGGACTAGGGAGATCACTACTTAGACATCCAGCAACACTTTCACCTCAGCTATTTACCATCCTTTGGGCAAAGAGAAGTGAGCTCACCCTTCCACCAGCAGCATGCAATGGAGTTACCTGCCTGCCAGAGTTTAACTAATAGCATGCAGCTTGGCCATGCGGCTTCCGATTTTTTTCCCCGATTCAGAGGTAGACAAGTAGTCAGTGTGGCTTAGAGCAATTGTTTCATTTCCAGTGAATTAAAACAACTGTCAAACCATTGAGGCCATCTTCTAGACCCTTGTTACAGAATTATTCAGAAGGGAAGTTTGCATGATAAAAACGCAAACCAATTATAGAGAGAAACCCAGCATCAGAGAGAACCCAGACTCCTTCCTGCAGTCTTCAAATCTGGAAATAACTACGGATCTGTCAAACACCCAAGGGAAGCAGAGAATGAAAAATGGATAATAAATATTTTCAAGAGGAGACTGGACACTGACAAGAGGAAGTGGTACAAGTGGCCCAATTCCAGGAATTCAGACTGCTTAACCCTCACTCAAGTGGCATACAACCCGGGCTTCCCAGAAAAGCCAGAGTTGGGAAGAATTGATGACACCAAGGAAAGCTTAGTAGGAGAGCATAATTTAATAAAAAGAGATGAGAAATTTGGTGACCCTAGGTGCCAGAAACCTCAGGAAGTAACTACTCTACAACCTCAAGAAACCCCCACACTTCGGCCCACATTTGAGATCAAAGACAGAGGTAGTTGGGCTCTCCTTGAGCACATTCTATAAAATTGACGACTTTTGAAAATAATAGAGTTAAAGTCAAGGTTGATATTGATAGTTTTTAGATTCATAACGAAAAGTACATATATATTAGCAGAAGCAAAGTAAAGGTAAGACTTTGATTTGGGTGAAGAAATTTGCCAAAGCTGGAATCTTTTTATGTGCCAGCTGCTCCCACCCACCAGAGGTACTGGCCCATCACCCAAGCTTGGTTCCCCTGGTGTTGAAATGTGGCTACACGGTGGGTTACTTTTAAATTGAGTAGGAACAGTTCTGGAAGCTGTGATTAGAGAATGGCCACTTTCTAGGAGAAGTCTGATTACCAATAGAAGAAAAAAAGAGTGGGGTTTAAACATGGGTTCCAGTCCCAGGGTTTTGTCTTACTAGCCAGGCGGCATGGATGAGGCACTTTCCCTCTATGACCCTCAGTTTTCTCACATAAATGGGTAGGGCGTTGCTTTCTATTCTCTTTTTCTTTTTTCACTGAGAACACACGTACGTGTTTTACACAATACTTGGTGAAGCTTTCTGAATTCTGACAGCTCATTTACTCTGGTACCTTCTGCATTACAGATGTCTTGTTCTTCACGTGCCTTTTTGAAAGTCTTTCTTGTATTGTTTCATCTGAAGGTCCCTTCTTCCTTCTGGATTATTAGTAACTTGATGGCTCCCCAGCTGTGCAATGATTGAAAGTTATTTAATTTTTTTTGAGCCACAGTTTCTTCTTATGCAAAGCAGAGATAATGAATAATAAATAATCTCTCACGATTGTTTGAGAGGATTCACTGAGTTAACATGTGTGAACATGCCTGGCATATTGTTTAAGTGCCTAGCATAGCATTAGCCACAGAGTGATGATCAGATAAGTGTCATTTTTATCTAAGAGTAAAATGCCAAAATAGAGGTGGTATTTTCTCCCACATCCTAGAAACGTTTCCCCTGAATATTTCCATTTAAAGGCTTAGCACATCAAGCACACGTTTGAGGTAGCCTCAATTAGGCAGTGTCCAGCTAAAGACTAGGAAGAGAAGAGTATATTAATGAATGAAGTTAATTAAAGCTAACTGCTATAACAACCCCAAAAGTTTAACATAATAAAGATTTCTATTTCTCTTACATTACAGTCCAATATCAATGTCAACTCTCTTCGGTAGCTGTCCTCCAAGCAGGGGGTGACTCAGGGATCCAAGTTCTTTTTCCCACTTAGGATACTGCTGTATTAAACACAGCCACTGTGTAAGTCAGGATTCTCCAGAGGGACAGAACCAATAGGATAAGGAGGGTGGTGGGGAGGGAAAGAGAGAGAGGGAGAAGGAAAGAGAGGGGGAGAGGGAAAGAGAGAGGGGGAGAGGGAAAGGGTGGGGGAGAGAGAAGGAGAGAGAGGGGGAGAGAGAGGGGGACAGAGGGGGGAGAGAGGGGGAGGGGGGCAGAGAGGGGAGAGAGAGGGGCAGAGGGGGGTGAGGGAGGGGGAGGGAGAGGGGGAGGGAGAGGGGGCAAGGGAGGGGGGAGGGAGAGGGGGTAGAGGGAGGGAGAGAGGGAGAGAGGGAGAGGTGGGGAGAGGGAGGGGGTCTGTAGAGGAGTAGAGGGGGAGAGTGGGGAGAGGGAGAGGGGGGATGAGGGAGAGGGGGGAGAAGAGGAGGGGGACGGGAGAAGGGGAAGGAGAGAGGAGGAGAGGGGGAGAGAAAGAGGGAGAGAAAGGGAGATAGGGTAAGAGAGACAGAGAGAGATGGACTGAGTAGGGAAGATTAGCCCTCAGTGTTAGCAAGCACCATCCAATTGGCTGTGGGCCTATCCACCTTGAGGGCTAATCTTCCCCACTCAGTCCATCAATTCACACAACATTCTTCTCTGAAAACACCCATGCAGACACACCCAAAAGTAATGCTTTACCAGTTCTCTATGTATATCTTAATTCAGTCAAGTGGACCCTAAAATTAACCATCACAGACACCACCATCAATTTTGAAGAAGAGAGTCCTTTGCTTCTAGTGACACAAAAGGAAAAACCAGCGAGTTTGTGGACAATGACTCATGAGGTCTAATGGCCAGACTGGGAAGTGTCATCTGTCATTTATGGCCACATCTTATTGGCCAGGATCCTATCACATGGCCCACTCTAAATCCAAAAGAAACTGGAAATGTAGTCTTCCTGTGTGACTAGAATGGAGACAAAATCATTTTATGAGAATGCGGCATTGCCCCCAACACGGTCTGGCCTCAGCCCTGGATTTTACATGACTGTGGCATTGAATGAATGCATGATTTGATTTCTCAGCAGCTCCTCTTACCATTCATTTACTTGTTTCATTCATTCTTTAATTTATTCATTTACTTATCTATTCATTCCACATTAATTGGGCATCTCCTATGTGCCAGGCATTATGCTTCCTCCTCAGATTACAAATAAGACATAATGCTTGCCTCCAGGGAGTTGCTCATCTAGCAGGTAATAGATAAGCAAACAATTAGAGTACAGTACAAAAGTGTCTGCAATACAGACACTGTTTTTTTTCAATACAGGCCTGTACAGGCAGTACAGGGAGGAGTGCTACCCTCTCCGCTGCTGCCTTAAGAAACACAGTCACTCCATCTCCTGGTACCTCAGCCCAGCCAGGGCCCACCTTGCTCTGGAGAAGATTTGCTGCTCTTGGTCCAATGGGGTCTGTCCTGGGAGAAGGCAGGGCCTCCTAGGCAGGAGGTAACAATTTCACTCAGTAGCTGGTTGATCTGCCCTTCTACCTGTGCAACTCTGGGAGAGGGAGACTTGACTCACCTCACAAGGGGAGGGCCACCTGTGAAAGTGAATGTTGCTGCAGAAACACAAACACTTAGACACCTGAGTCCTGGGCCCTCTCCATCCACAAGTCCCAGGACAGAGCTTCCTCATTTCCCCAGGGTGCTATAGCGTCTCCTTTCCCCTTCCAGACCCATTTTCCACTTGTCTGTATCCTGCTCTGCACCCCAGGAGACTGACCTTGGCACCCACTAGCAAGCTCCCTGGCTCTCATTCCCATTTGGGACCAGTAATAGTCCTGTGACAAGCAAGAGACTAGAGGATGGGGAGAGAGTGAGGGGGAGGTATTTATTCCCACAGCTCTCTCCCCCAGGCAGCAGGCTGACAGTGTCTGGATTGTCTGTGAAAGGCCACAGCTCCAGGGACCGGCCCTTCCTGTAGCTACAGGCCTCAGAGAGCAGCTGCTTCCTCCCTCTGCCCCACGGGTTTCATTTACCCATGATGCGAGTCTCCACTGTGTTCCCTTGGCTAAGGCATTTATGCTGTGTGTGTCTGGGTACCTGGTGGCCTTCCCAAGAGAGCAGCTACATCACGTGTCAAAGTTTCGGAGGATCTAGATCCCAAGGCTGATAGATCGAGTGCAGCATGGGCCCTCACTGCAGTCTCAGTCCCAGGAAGATGTGGGATGCGCTAGAAAGAGACGAGTCTAGGCCCAGACGGGGCAATAATTTGTTTCACAAATATGGGCAGGTTATTTAGTCTCTCTGAGCCTCATTTTTCTTATCTATGAAAATAGGGTGAAACTATCCCTTTCCTGAGGACTCAATGAACAATATAGGTGCGGTGCCAGCCAGAGGGGAGCCTTCAGTAAAAGAAGAAAAAATATCAGAAAAAAGAAATTTTTTTCTTTCCTTCCTTCTTTTCTTCATTCTTTCCTTCTATCCTTCCCTTCCTTCTTTGTTCCCTTCCTCCCTCCCTCTTAAATTCCTCACCCATGCAGTAAAGGAGGGGACTTTAAAATCAGATTTAAAATAACACATCTTAATTAAACATCTACCATGGGCAAGCAACTCTACAGCATGCTATGGAGGACACAAGAGTATGTAAGCCCCATGCCTTCTTCCAGAGAGGTTAGGACTCTGACAAAGGAGACGGATTATCAGTCCCTGCATCTGAAACAGGTGGAGGTCAGCCAAAAACTTGAACAGAACACAAAGGGCACACAGTGCAGGGAGCAATTACCCGGGACTGGGAGATGGGAAACGCATCCTGAAGGAGTTCAAGTCTGAAGTTCGGAGTTTTCTATAGAATAGTTGGGACCATTACCTATTCAAACTAAGTACCTCATTTCCTACAGCAACCTGTCACCGTTCAGCAGGTTGGGCCTGACATCCAATTCTGCCCTGGGCAAAACACTCTTCAGAGTGTAAATGACATTTTCTTGTGGTTTTGTCCAAAATAAAATGCAAAAAGGAAAAAACAACATTGCTGTACACTGTGGGCCTCTGACTGCGGTGGTAACAGAGCCGATTTGTTGAGAAAGTCTCCAGAAGGCTCCCCTGCAGCCCCCGGGGCTCATCTGACCTCTCACTTCCTGCTTATATCTCTCAAGGTTCCCCCATTGCCCTTGGAATAAAAATGAAATTCAATCCACTTAGTAGTGTCCATAAGGCCTTTTATTATCTGACCCCCACCTTTCCCCACTGCTCTGAGACCTCAGACTCTCTGTCCTATACCCTGTGTTCTCATCACACGAATTACTGGCAAGGCCTCGAACAAATCACAGTACTTCAAGCCTTGGTATATGCTTTTTCTACTTGAAACATCCTTCCCCAACCCCTCTCACCTGCATAGTAAAAGCATTCTAAGTACCACTTCCTGCCAGAACCTCCTCTGACTTCGCCATCTGCCCTTTCTCTATGTATGCATCTGTATTGCAGACACTTTTGTACTGTACTCTAATTGTTTGCTTATCTATTACCCGTTAGATGAGCAACTCCCTGGAGGCAAGCATTATGTCTTATTTGTAATCTGAGCAGGAAGCATAATGCCTGGCACATAGTAGATGCCCAATTAATGTGGAATGAATAGATACGTAAATAAATAACTTAAAGAATGAATGAAAGAAATAACTAAATGAATGCTAAGAAAAGCTACCAAGAAATCAAACCATGCATTCACATAACGCCACAGTCATGTAAACTCCAGAGCTGAAGTCAGCACTTGGGGTCCTGTGCAAGCCGATGAGTATGCACTCTGGAGAGAGGGAACAGAGCAGCCCCTCAGCAGCTGGACAGCAAGCTGCTACTTAGATGGAAGAAAGAGCCATAGTTAACCCTTTCTGCACTCTTATGTCATAGGTACAATTATAGTCTTCATTTTACACATTAGGTAACCAACACTTGCCCAGGGTCCCAAGGTAACAAGTGGTGAGCCAGGATTCACACCTGGGAAATTTGACATCAGGGCCGCCTGCTCAACCCCTACGCGATAGCCTCCCAACTTGGGGATACTGTCATCAGTTCTTCACCACTCCCCAGGTCTCCGAAGACCTGGCTCCATTTCTTATACTTGTCTTGAATTACACAATGCCACCTGAACCCTGACAGTCAATGCCCTGCACTTGACCTGAAGGTCTGTGTTTCCTGTGACCCAGGAGGCCAGATTCGAGATCCTCTGATGAAGGCCTTGGGAAGGAATGGGAGCAAAGGCCAGGATAACACATGAAGGAGACCTAAGTGGGCCTCCCTGAAGCTCAGGACAGAAGGGCACAGGCTGCCTGGAAAAAACATGCCAGAAGGTGGGGCCCAGGCTGGCATTTTTTTTTTTTTCTGGTAGAAACAGGGTCTTGCTATGTTGCCCAGGCTGGTCTTAAACTTCTGGCCTCAAGTGGTCCTCCCGCTTTGACCTCCCCAAGTGCTAGGATTATAGGTGTGAGCCACTGTGCCTGATCCAGGCTGACATTTTAAAAAGTAAAGTTCCACCAGCCCACCTAGAATGCTATACCTAAAGCTTGTCTTTATCTATCCCCAGGGCACAAGCCTGGATAAGGAATCTGCTCAAATTGTTTATTGTTTCTCAAAGGAAATGTCACCTAGGAGCTGTCAGCCTACGTCTCAGAGAAGCCTAAACTAAAAATACCAGCAGGATTCTGAGACTCAGAGACTCCTTGAATAGTAGAGCTGGAATAATGAAAATAATAATGAAAGCAGCAATGACTACATGTGCCAGGCCCCAGGATATGTACTCCATATATGTTCATCCAGTTCTCACAACCCTCCCTGCAGTCATCATGGTTTTTATGGCCGAACAATCTCAGGATCAGAAAGATTAATTAACTTGCCTAAAGTCAAATTGTTAGTGTCCAAGGTAGGAGTCAAGCCCCCATGGGTCTAATCTCATTTCTCAAACCCTTCCCGCTACAGCAGCATCAGCCCACTGCCTGTTTGTGTAAATAAAGTTTCATTGGAACACAGCTGTGCTCACTGTTCTGTGCCTGCTTTTGTGGTACAATAGTAGGGTTGAGTATCCCACAGAGACCATACGGCCTGAAAAGCCTAAAATATTTGCTCTCTAAAACTTTATAGGAACAGTTTGCTGATCGCTTTTTTTATACCTTGCTACTTTGGAGAGTTTTTATTCCTACCTTTAAGATTATCCAAGTGATGTACAGATAAGTAAAGTGATCTGCCCAAGGCCACACTAGCTCTCCTCACTGGTTTTCACTCAATAAATATTTACTTTTTCACTGTGCTATTTACTCTGAGGAACAGGAATTAGCTCCTGTCCGCAAGGAATGTAACCTACTGTTGCAAAGACTGACATACCAGAAAAAGTTTCTGAACGCAAGTCAGTACACACTGCATATTGCCGTATATCTCGCTTCAGGCTCACCTCCCGCAACCCTACCCATCCTTCATTACACTCTGGCCTTCCTTCTGTTTCCCAGCAGGTTATTAAAGACTGACCACAAGGCAGAAAATAAGTCTTGGAGGGAGAAGCCAGGAAATCAAAACAACTGGATTCAGTCAAGAAAGCAAAGTGTTTGCAGGTCCGGCTGAGTGGTTGGGAACGGAGGCTGTGAACCCTTTGTGGGTAGACTGGGAACTCAGAAGTGCCAGGCAGAAACAGACAGATGTGCAGCCCTCTTTATAAAGCTGATGCTTCAGCTCCACTTTTTATAGGAAACTTGGGCTGCTTTTTCAGTTGCACAGATAGCGAGAACTCAGTCAACAACATCTTCTTACTTAATTGCAAATTCCCAAGTGCCTTACCTGATGTAAAAGGTCTATCTGGATTTCTCCCTTAGAGAGCTAAGGAATTTGTATGAGAATCAGCTGAATGACTGCATTAGCTAACCCTGTTACCTAGACTAGGCCAAAAACTACCTCCTGGAAATCAAAACTCATTTTGGCTGGTGAACAACAAAGACATCAAAGACAAAGGAGAATCTTGGCCCTCACGGGGTCATAACCCAGTAGAGGAGAAAAGATTATGTACAAAGAAGCAACGTGATAGAACATGCTGGGCTTTGGAAGATATGGGTTGCAGATCTGGCCCTTTGGCTTGACCCCTCACAGGCTATCAGGCCCCAAGTAATTGAATTAACCCCTCAGACCCTTGGCATCTTCACTTCCAGCCTGTTGATAATCTTGCCTATGACATAGGGCCATTGTGAGCATTAATGAGATTATTGTCAATACTAACAAGTAGTTATTAACTAGTATTTCTCTCACACTTTACAATTAACAAATCACTTTCCACTTAGTGTTTTCATAAACGATAAAAGTGTTGTGAGAATTAAATCTCTGTAGAAACACTTAGGTCATGCTCTTTTCCTTGTAACTACGGAGGACTATGCCTGAGCTGCCTTATTTGATCCTAAGGGTCTGCCGCCCAGGAGTTGACGCATTGGACCTTGGGGGAGACCCATTCTTCTGGAGGGAATTTACAACCAGGTATACTGACAAATAGAGTCTCGAGCAAGTTATTTCTTTCTGAATTTCGGCTTTCTCCTCCATAAAATGGGGTTATTAACCCTTAAGTTATTGTGCTCTCAAGAAAGAGTTCCCGACAAAGTAGAGGAGAGATAGGAGAGATGTAGGTTAATAATACCTCTTCACCAAAGGCAAGCCATTCCCTAAGTTAGACCAGAACACAGGATTTTGTTTTGTTTTGTTTTCAACTGCAATGAAGTTTCAGGTCAAGGAGCAATGGTATACTGTGGCAACTCATGCCAGCTCACAGAAAGCTGACAGTAAAACATTCAAGAATTTTGCATGCTAGTTGTTAAACCATTGGTGGTTTGAAATCAGCCACGGTGGGAGCATTTACACCATGGAAATTGGCAAACACTACAAACCAGGCTTTTTTTCTTCTTCCTGGAGAGCTGGTCTACCAGCACACCAATGGCAAAGTGAACAACTTGGTAGCGATCAGAGCATCAGGGTCAGCGATTAGAAATTCACCTGGGAATAGAATGAATGGAAAGCTGTTTTAAACAACATACTCAATTCTATAGTACTTCAGATATAAGGGGGGCCACTATCCTTTCCTCAAAACAGGGGCTCTTAAAATTTTCTCCCAGTCGAATACATGTCACAGGAAAGACACATTAAGTCTGATTTCCTCCAGCACCCTGCCTGGTGCCCATCCCTTCCCCTCCACTGAAGAAAACATATCAGAATGCCACACGTGGGGGATAATACTTTTATAAACATAATCTCGAGGCTGCTCCCACTTTTCCTAAGTACACCATTTGCAAACACTGTTACTTCATTACTACCAACAAATTGGTTATGACAAACTTCAAAGAGTCAAGACCCAGCTATTGAGAATAATCATACTAAGCAGATGATGATGGCTCACAACTTGTACTCAATCCAAGGCCCTCATTTTTCAAGCTGACTTTAAAGCTGCTAATGCATTCTCTGAATTGATTTGGAAAGAGAGAAAAATCATCCCAGAGGTGACACTTGTGATTTTACACTTAGGCTTTCTCATATGCAATCAGTCATTTACCCATCTATCTGTTCGATAAACACATAGTGGCCCTGTTGCATCCACCATTCTCTAGCTACTGCCAGGGGCGGCCAACAGAAATGTAGGCTTGATCCTTTTCTTCTCTTCTTAGACCCTTCACTAGCTCCCCACTGTCTGCAGGGTGGGTTCAACCTTGACCCTGAGACTCAGGGCTCGCATCATCTGGCCCCAGCATGTGTCCCCAACTGTACTTTTCTGGAATGACACATGCTCCCACATCTTGACTTATTCTTATAAAATAATTGGGAACACATTCTCAGGAATAAAATTTTAAACAATAAAAAAATACATCGAGTGAAAAAAAAGTTCCTCTTTGTCTTCCATCTCTCACCCCCAACATCATCCTCCTCCCTAGAGGTAACCACATAACATTTTAGGTTCTATCTATGTAGACTTTTTAAAAATGCATTTTCACATTTAGAGTGTGCATATTAATGTATTGTTTGGATTTTTAAAATAAATAAGATCATATATATTTATATTTATTATATGCTATATATATATATAATATGCAAAATAATTTTTTACTTTATATCTCAGAGATCTTCCCATGTCTGGGCATGTGTATCTCTCATTATTCTAAACTGTTGTCAATTTCCACAGTGTATGTGTGTGTGTATGTATGTATGTATATATACATATATATAATTATTTAATCAACTTCCACTTGATGGACATTTAGGTTAACTATTTTTCACAATTGCAAACAATTCTGTAATGAGTATCCTTGTACATATTTGTGCACATGAATAAGTATTTCTGTAGAACACAAATCTGGAATTGGAATTCCTGGGTGAAAGCACGTTCATTTAGAATTTCAATAGGTACAGCCAAAACACCCTCGATAAAGACTCTACTGATTGGTACATCTATCTACAGTGTATGACTGTTCCTATTTTCTCACAATCCCATCCAATCTTGGACTTTCTCACTTTTCAATTTTTTGCTGATCTGATAGGTTTAAAAAACATCTCATTCGTTGTCACTTAAATTTTTATTTTCTTGGTTACTGGAGTATGCAATTTTTCAAATATTTATTGGCACTCTTTTCTACTGTAAATTATCTGTAACTCTTTGACCATTTTTCTGTTAGGTTGGTTAGGTTGTCTTTCTTACTGATTTGTATGAGTTATTTATATACTAATAGGAATAATCCTTTGTCTATTAAATATGTTAATTGGTCACCCCTTTTGCTTTTTAAGCAGAGGGCTTGAATGAGAAAAAATCTGATACAAGATTTTTTATAATATATAATCCCTACAAACACTTCTCTACTTATTGTACTCATCCTTTAATAGGTGCAAGCATTGCCCCTTTCTGTGCCTGTGACAGACTCACTGAGCAATTGTGACATTCTGTCCCACTGAGCCTGAACATAGCCCTTGAATCTGTGTCAATGCAGTGCTCCAGGTAGCTAACATGAATAAACCAAAATT
Source organism: Homo sapiens (assembly GCF_000001405.40). NCBI lineage: Eukaryota > Metazoa > Chordata > Mammalia > Primates > Hominidae > Homo > Homo sapiens. Next base: position 51,604,745 of record NC_000017.11, on the reverse strand, counting down.
GGCCCAGTAGAGTAAATCTTTCTGCCACATCAGCTATAAAACATACATGGTGTATGTTTAAGAATGGTCCTGTCCAAAGAAGCATCATCCCTCAGTCCTTAATTTATAGATTAATATTCCAGGGGCTTACAAAACTTCTCTGTCCTTGGCCAGGTCACAATGCTCTTATAAATGTTTAAAATAACATTGTTACTTGTGTACGCACCCTCTTATCTCCTCGGGAGTTATTTTTGGGAAGGGTGTGTTATCATCCTTATTTTTAAAGTTAAACTGTAAACTAAGTTCCTCCCAGAGCTGGCTTGGCTTACATGCAGGAATGAGCAAAGGCAGTTAGCCTGTGAGGTCAGACACAAGATGGAGTCAGTTATGTTTGATTTCTTACTGTTACACTCACTACTGGGAAGCCAGACTGGATGATGACTGCAAGATTTTGTTCTTTCTTGTCAACTGTTATGCTCATCCTCCAGCTGAAAGTCCCATCAAAAATACGTTTATGCTATGTATTTTCCTCCAAATGTGACTCCATTACTTCAGCCATGTGATCAGGTTATACTTAAATCAATGAAGAGTAAATATTAAAACACTTTCTTGAACAGCACGCTAACAGCAGTGAAGAGAGGCATGGGTGTGACAGGTTTTCAAAAGGAGTTTAGCATGAAGGATGCCATATATGCTGTTGCCAATACTTGGAATACTTGGAACACAGTGACTAAAGACACAGTTGAGCACGCCTGGCACAAGCTCTGGCCTGCAACTACATTCAGTGATGATGATGAACAAGGTGGTGACTTTGAAGGATTCTGTATGTCAAGTGAGGAAAACATGATGTCTAACCTCCTTACATATGCAAAAAACATACCTTCGGAGTCCATCAGTAAGCCGGAAGAAATGGATATCAAAGAAGTTTTTAACATTAATAATAAGGTTACAGTTGTTCATTCATTGACCGATGGTGAAATAGCAAAAGTGATTGTAAATCAAGGTGATTGAGATAACAGTGACAAAGATGACGTTGTTAACACTGCAGAAAAAGTGCCCATAGACAACATGGAGAAAATATGTACTGGGCTTATTGAAGGACTAGAGCAGCATGTGTTCATAACAGAGGCATGTCAGTTTAAGCTAAAGAGAGTCTTCTAAGATAAAAACCATTGTTCATGAAGCAAGTGATTCTGGAGGAAACAGCTTTAAATCCCATCCAGCAGAATGCCTCCTCATCCCAAGTGACCCACGTCCTGGTCCCTCAACTGCTTCTGATGTTTCTTCTCAGCAAAGAAAAATGAAATACAATGCACAATAACTTAAGTCAAAACACAACATCGAAGGTGGAGACTGAAAGCCTGCTCTTGTCAGCTGCTGCTGATGCCTAACAGTAGATGCAGGTATTATGGCAATGCTACTGTGCTGCTTAGTTATCCTGAACACATTATTTTTTCACCCTATTAATAGCATGTCATGTTTTCTAATGTTAAGTACTTACGGGTGAGTAAATGTAAGAAAATTATTGTTTATGGTAGCATATAAATTCAGTCAGGAATGACAATGATGTCAAACAACCACAGATCATCCACATGGGTGATGTGATAGAGTCCTTTGCTTTCTTATGCTTCAATGTATACAGACTTTGTTTCATGCACAAAATTATTTAAAATATTATATAAAATTACCCTTTGTATATATAAATATATATGAAACATAACTGAATTATATTTTTAGACTTGTGTCCCATCCCCATGATATCTCAGTATGTACATGCAAATATTCCAAAATCTGAAATCTGAAACACTTCTGGTTTCATGCCTTTTGGATAAGGGATACTCAACCTGAAGTTTCTATCTGATGAACACTGTTGTGTCAGGTCATTCATGGCCCATTGGCCAACCTGGGCTGGCCCAGGTTTCATAAGGCTGAATCTCTTGGCCTTGAACAATGTGTCTCCAGCAGATAAAAATTAGGGATAGAGGAGGTATACTCCAAGTCACAGAGCACCCACATAGGAGACATGCTTGTGAAGCTGACACAGGCATCCTTACCAGTGGTGCTAGAAGAAATTGATTTCCTCTTCTGTAAAAAGTTTTTCCTCCATTCACACAACACTTCAGACACCAAATGTATACCAAGAAATTCTCCAACTCTCTGGATACCAACTGGGCGTCCAATAATTTAATTAATTTTGACACTACCTTAAGTTAGCATCAGATCCTGCAAGCTGAAGGCTCACTCCACAAGACTGCCCCAACTTCAGACGCCAGTTGTAAGTCCTGACCTCCTATACTTCCGACCAACTGACTATAAACTGGGGCTTCCTACCATCCCCTCCTTGGGTTCAATTATTTGTTAGAATGGTTCACAAAACCCAAGGAAACATTTTATACTTATTTTTACAGGTTTGTTATAAAGGATACAGCTCAGGAACAGCCAGATGGGAGATGCATGGGGCAAAGTATGGAGGTGGAGGGGTGCATGGGGCTTCCTTCAATGCCTTCTTTGGGCACATCACCCACCCTCCCGTCACCTCCATGTGTTCACCAACCTGGAAACTCATCAGAGCTTGTCATTCAAGAGTTTTTATAAAGCTTTATTTCCAGCTCTATTCTCCTTCCTGAAAGTTGGTGGGTGGAGCCGAAAGTGTCTACTCTCTAACCATCTGGTCTTTCTGGTAGCCAGACCTATCCAGAGGCTGTTTAGGATTCACCACCCGAAATCACTCATTAGCATAAACTGAAGTATAATCAAAAAGTGCTTGTTATGAGTAACAAAAGACACTCTTACCACTCAGAAAATTCCAAAGATTTAGAAGCTCTCTTCCCAGAACCAGGAACAAAGACCAAATGTGTTTTTTGTTATACTACATTTCTGCTGCATGAGGAAAAGAGGAAGTAAAGACAAGCCTAAAAGTGCATGATACTTGTGTCCCTGATATGACACGTCACCTAGGAAGGCTATGCACCATCTCCTTCCCCACTCCCTGTGCATCCCTCAACTTTGCTGCTCTTATCTCCTTGTTCTATAACTGTGTTTTTAATTATCTAGAGCTTCTTCAAGGTAGGGATGAGGCCATATTCGAATTTTTCAGCGTATGAATTTGTCATAGTGACTGAAACTCTATAGCTATTCAGTAAATGTTATTGCAGTAATAAATGAATGGTCATTATACTTACCAGTGAAGGCAGAACTATTCTGTGTTTGAGCCCTATACTAAGAACATTACATACTTTATAATTTAATTCTCACAACACTATGAAGTTGGAGTTATTATATATTATATAGCTGGTGAAACTGGGAGTAAGTAAATTCTCTAAAATCATATAGCTTATATGAAAGTTGTCAGAATAAAAATGCATTCATTTGTGTCAAATAGCCCTGACAAATAGAAATGTGGAAGGCCATGAAAAGAGAATTCTCATGCATAAATGGCTGATAACAAAAACTGTCACAAAGCCTGCAAAAAAACACAACCTTGCACAAAGGCCGTAACTTTACACAAAAAAATACTTCTGCAAGGACATCTGCCCAGTAACAGACTGTCCAATCTCAGACTGGTGTCACTCTTGTTATTAATCCTTGTAGCCAAGGATAATTATCTCAAAACAGTTATGTAATTCTCCTCATGTTTTCTTTAAAACCCTTTGTCTTCTTTTACTTCCCTGAATACTAGGGCATGTATATTCACATTGCAATACCCTACTCCCAAATAAATATCATGTACTTTTAGAGAACCTCTCTCTTTTTATTTAGGTTGATGTATAGGCCATTCTTAACATCACTATAAAGAAATTCCTGTGACTGGGTAATTTATAAGGAAAGGAGGTTTAATTGGCTCATGGTTCTGCAAACTTTCCAGGAAGCAGGGTGCTGGCATCTGCTCAGCTTCTGGGGAGGCCCAGGAAGCTTTTGATTGCAGCAGAAGGCAAAGGATGAAAGCAGGAGTAAGCAAGAAGGAGACAGGGTGGGTGCCACACACTTTTAAATGACCAGACCTCTAAGAACTCGCTATCATGAGGACAGCACCAAACCATGATGTATCTGTCCCCATGATCAAAACACCTCCCACCAGGCCCCATCACCAGCATGGGGGATTACAATTCAACACGATATTTGGGCGGGGACAAATATCCAAACTATTTTGGATATCTGCCCCTAGTCCCTCCCAAATCTCATGTCCTCTCACTGTTGGTGAAGAGTCAAACTCTAAAATATTAGAAGAGATTTATTCTGAGCAAAATATCAGTGACTAATGGCCCATGACACAGCCCTCAGGAGATCTTGAAAACATGTGCCCAAGGTGGTTGGGTCACAATTTGGTTTTATACATTTTAGGGAGACATAAAGCACTAATCAACACATGTATGATATACATTGGTTTGGTCCGGAAAGGGACAACAGAAAGTGGGAACTTCCAAGTCGTAGATAAGTTCAAAGATTTTCTGATTGGCAATTGGTTAAAAGAATTATTATCAATAGGAAGTAATGTCTCAGTTACAATAAGGGTTATGGAGACCAAGGTTTTATCATTCAGATGAAGCCTCCAGGTAGCAAGCTTCAGAGAGAATAGATCGTAAATGTTTCTTATCAGGCGTAAAGAGTCTGTTCAATCAGTAATTCCAAAAGGAAAGTGGGTACAATGATGCATGTCTGGCTCCCCCTTCTCATCATGACCTGAAATTGTTTTTTCAAGTTAACTTTGGATGCCCTTGCCCAACAGCAGGGATCTATTCAGATGGTTAGGGGTGCTTAGAATTTTATATCATGTTGCAAAATACAATTATGCCAGGAGCTCCTCCCAAATCTCATATCTTTCTCACATTGCAAAATACAATCATGCCTTCCCAATAGTCCTTCAAAGTCTTCACACCTTTCAGCATTAATTCAAAAGTCCAAAGTCTCATCTGAGACAAGGCAAATCCCTTCCACTTAACAACTTGTAAAATCCAAAACAAGTTGGTTACTTCTTCCAAGAAACAATGGAGGTATAGGCATTGGGTAAACTTCTACATTCCAAAAGGGAGAAGTTGGCCAAAAGAAAGGGACTACAGGCCCCATGCAAGTTCAAAACCCAGCAGAACAGTCATTAAATCTTAAAGCTTCAAAATAATCTCCTTTGGATCTGTGTCCTACGTCCAGGACACACTGGTGGAAGGGGGTGACTCCCATAGCTTTGAGCAGCTCCATTTTTGTGGCTTTGGAGGGTTCAGCCTCCAAGCCTGCTGTCACAGGTTATTTAGTTCCTGTGGCTTTTCCAGGGACAGGGAGCAAGCTGCCAGTGGATCTACCATTCTGGGGTCTGGAGAATGGTGGCCCCCTTCTCATAACTCCACTAGGCAATGCCCCACTGGGGACTCTTTGTGGGGCCCCCAACTCCACATTTCTGTTTGACTCTACCCTTGCAGCAGGTTTCTACCTGGGCACTTAGGTTTTCTCATACATTCTGTGAGATCTAGGCAGAGGCTGCCAAGCACTCTTCACTCTTGCATTCTATGCACCTGTAAGCTTAACATCACATGAAAGCCACCAAGGCTTACAGCTTGCGTTCTCCAAAGTAGAAACCTGAGCTGTACCTGGGCCCTTTTGAGCCACAACTGGAGCCAGAGCAGCTGATTGTGAGGAGCAATGTCCCAAGGCTGTACATGGCAGTGGGGTTCTGGCCCTGGCCCACAAAACCATTCTTCCCTCCTAGGCCTCTAATGGCAGAGCTGCCACAAAAGTCTCTGAAATGTCTTTGAGGTCTTTTTCCAATTGTCTTGGCTATTAACACTTGGCTCCTTTTTAGTTATGCAAATTTCTCCAGCAAGTGGTTGCTTTCAACCTCCTCGAATTCCTCTCCCTAAAAGGTGTTTTCTTTCTCTGCCATGTGGTCAGGCTGCAAATTTTCCAAACTCATTCTGCTCCCCTTTTAACTGTAAGTTCCATCTTTAGGTCTTTTCCTTGCTCCCACATTTTAGCATAGGTCCCACATTTTAGCATAGGTTGTTGGAAGCAGCCAGGTCATATCTTGAACACTTTGCTGCTTAGAAATTTCTTACAGCAGATACCCTACATTATCACTCTTTAGTTCAAACTTCTACAGATCCCTAGGGCATGAACAGAATGCAGCCAAGTTATTTGCTAAGGTATAACATGTGTGACCTTTGCTGCAGTTTCCAATAAGTTCCTCACTGCTGACTGAGATCTCATCAGCCTGGAGTTCACCATCTATATCACTATCAGCATTTTGTTCACAACCATTTAACCCGTTCTCTAAGAAGTTGCAAATTTTCCTCATCTTCCTGACTTCTTCTGAGCCCTCTAAACTCTTCCAACCTCTGCCTGTTACCCAGTTCCAAAGTTGCTTCCACATTTTCAGACATCTTTAGAGGAATGCCTCACTCTTTAGTACCAATTTTCTGTGTTCAGCAATTCTTGCATTGCTATAAAGAAATAGCCGAGACTGGGTAATTTATAAGGAAAAAAGGTTTAATTGGCTCATGGTTCTGTGGGCTTTACAGGAAGCATGGTGCTGGTATCTGCTCAGCTTCTGGGGAGGCCTTAGGAAGTTTACTATTATGGAAGAACGTAAGAGTAGCAGGCACATCATGTAGCAAAAGCAGGAGCAAGTGAGAGAGAGAGTTGGAGTGGAGGTGCCACAGACTTTTAAATGACCAGATCTCACAAGAACTCACTATCACAAAGACAGCACCAAGCCATGAGGATCACCCCCATGATTCAAAGACCTCCCACCAGGCCCCACCTCTAGCACTGAAGACTACAATTCAACATGATATTTGGGTGGGGACAAATATCCAAACTGTATAAATTGATAAATAAAAATAAAGGCAATCCCAGAGAAACCTTGGAAGTTGAATGCCCAGCCACAACAGGATGAGAGATCAGACATGCCTTGTTATACCTCCTCCCTGGCTAACCACCATTAGGCTTTCTTCCCTAAGGGTTAAACAGAAATCGACTCTTTTGAAAGACTCCACCACTGATATCAACCAACAACCTAATGCTACCCAACCATTTTGGGGTTTCCACACAACCAACCAGCACTCCTTCCTAATAAGAGACCACTGACCATGGAGTGATTCTTGCCAGTCTACAGAGGACATGCAGCAAGGGTTCTTGTGTCCTCTGCTTTACTCTTTGATGTCAGAGGGATGAAAACTCCACCCTCAGGTCATGCTAACGCTGCCCATTTTTGCACGTGGGACCCAGAGAGTGACATGAAGCTCAGTGTGCGTGCACGTGTTTCTCATTTCATAAACATTCATAATTCCTCCTGCAGCTTATTAAATATGTATATTTGGCCACTTCATTCAGCATAAATTCACATTCCCTTTGCCCCTCCCTCAAAGTGCCTGTTACTGGCTTCTAGCCCAAAGCTATGCTTCCCAGCCTGTTAGAATGGCCACCCTGCAAGCTACAACCGTTTATGAGAAGTAAAGCTCTCCTTTCCAAATTAATGAACTTCATCATTCTCCATTTCATGAGGTTAACACTTATAAGTGGTAAATCCAGAAATAATGCCAAGATCTATCTGAATTCAAAGCCCACTACTCTAAATTATTACTCTATACAGCCTCCAACTGAAGTCTGGTTCACAGGTAGGCAAGACAATGTCATTGTCTTTATGGAGCAAAAGGAATGAATACACATGCAGTATATAAAATATTCTGTATATAAAAATAGGATATCTTAGCTATTAGAAATGATAAGATGAATATTCATTGATAATAAATTTATAATAAGTGAAAAACAGCCATTTTCAAAATATGCACCATTATATACGATATATAATTACAGAAAAATATAGAAGAAAATATACACTGTGATATTACAATTATCATGGGTCTTGTGCATTTTTTATCTTCAAATTTGTCTGTATTTTCTAATGTCTAATATTTCAATTAAGTTCATACACATTATCCTTGAGATATTAGAAGACAACAATGCTCTCAAGATATAAGTCCTTGTGCCAGCCAGCAACTGATAATTAGAGATGTGAAATAAAACAGTATAGAATATTACATTTAACAATTAATAATAATGACCCCATTTTACAAATAAGATCAGTAAAATCCAAAAACATGAAGTGACTTACTCAAGTTTACTAAGCTCCTGAGCAAGACATTCAGGATCACAGCCAAATAAAAATACCGCATGTTCTCACTCATAAATGGGAGCTGAACAATGAGAACACATGGACACAGGGAAGGGAACATCACACACTGGGGCCTGTCAGGGAGTGGGGGGGCTAGGGGGAGGGATAGCATTAGGAGAAATACCTAATGTAGGTGATGGATTGATGGGTGCAGCAAACCACCATGGCATGTGTATACCTATTAAACAAAACTGCAAGTTCTGCACATGTACCTCAGAACTTAAATATAATAATTAACAAAAAAATTCCTCTCCCAACTCAGGTTATCTCCAACTTACAACGCATCTGACTTCTTCCAGTGGGCCTGAATGAGGGACCCTCTGTCAATGCCAAAAACAGCACGTGGTATCTCCTTGCACTAAACTCCCTTTTCCCTGCTGCTCTCTCCCTCTCACGGTGACCTCTGAAAGTATCCCAGGATGGAATGCTAACTTATTGCTGAGAAAGCACTTTTAAATACAGCAAAGGCAAAAGCACATATAGCCAAGAAAAAGTAAAAGCTATAAAATAAAAATGAAAACAGAGGCCAAACAAAGGTCCCTCAACCAAATCTGGCCCACTGCCTGTTTGTGTGAATAGTTGTATTGAAACACAGTCATGCCCATTCCTTTACACGTTGTCTTAGACTGCTTTTGTGCTATAGCAACACAAACTGTATAGCCTGAGAAGCTGAAAATCTTTCCCATCAGGCCCTTTACAGAAAGGGTTTGCTGATCCATAATGCAAACGAGTAAACGTTGTTAAATGAAGTTTAGCCTAAAGCTGCCTTTTTTTTTTTTTAAAGGCAGGGTCCCAGCCTGACCAACATGGTGAAACCCCACCTCTACTAAAAAAAAATACAAAAATTAGCCAGGCATGGTGGCGTGTGCCTGTAATTCCAGCTACTCAGGAGGCTGAGGAAGGAGAATCACTTGAACCCGGGAGGTGGAGGTTGCAGTGAGCTGAGATCACACCACTGCACTCCAGCCTGGGTGACAGAGTGAGACTCTGTCTCAAAAAAAAAAAAAAGACAGGATCTCACTCTGTCACCAAGGCTGGAATACAGTGGTGCAATCACAGATCACTGCAGCCCCAACCTCCTGGGCTCAAGCAATCCTCCCACTTCAGCCTCCCAAGTAGCTGGGCCTATAGGCATGCACCACCACGCCAAGCTAATTTTTATATTTTTTGTAGCAAGAGGGTTTTGCCATGTTTCCCAGGCTGGTCTCAAACTCCTGGGCTCAAGCAATCCACCTGCCTCAGCCTTCCTTACGTATTTTAAGTTCATCCTAAAGATTTCTCTGTACATAGTGAACAATAACCTAAATGGAGGTGTAAACAGACTGTAACCCACACTGGTGCCAATCGCCAGGTTTTCTCCATTCAAAGGGGACCAACTGTTCAAACTGTGTCCAAATAAGGCAAAAGTCAAGCTGTAACCCATAAAGCTGTTTCCATACCTTCCTTCCATTTTCTATACATCACTTTCCTTTTCCTTCTATAAATCTTCTACCACAAGGCTGTGCTGCAGTCTCTCTGAGCCTACTCTGGCTTAGGAGGCTGCCTGATTCATGAATCGTTCTTTGCTCAATTAAACTATTAAATTTCATTTGGCTAAGGATTTTTTTAACCATCTACTTCCCTTTTTGGTGACACTCATCAACAAGGACCATCAAACAATCCCCCACAATCTTCAGAGGTGGCCACTGAAGGGCGTAAGTCCACACAGTCCCTTCTATTAACTTCAGCAGGCACACAGCCCAGAAGCAGATAACACAGACACTCAGATGAGCTCTCAAATGGTAACACTCAGATCACGGCTGCACATTTAATGTTTGCCATTTTCCTTTTTTTTTATTTTTAATAAGAGAAAAACACAAACCCCTACAAAAGGTCAATAAGACAGTTAACAAAGAGTGACGACAGGGCAAGATATGAGAGAAACACTGTCAACATAATCTGCAAGATTCCGCCAGTCAAACAGCATCGATAAGGAATAAATGGGCCATCTGAAGAGCTGGAAAAGGTCAGGGAAGACTACACAGATGATATTAAAGAGGAAATAAGGAAAATTGGAAAAGGCAGAGTATTCATAAGTGGGGGCAGGAGAGACAGATGGACTGTCACAGAGGGTAAATTGCTCCGAGAGAGAATGAGAAATAGGCCAAGAGCTGAGAGAAAATCAGATCCTGGGCCCACCACGTGAGGTGGGGAAAGGAATAATAAAGACAAGTCTGCAAGCAAAGTGATGTACAAATAGTGTGTTTTCCAGAAATAGACTAATAAAATGCAGATGAAAACCATCAAATTGAAAAATGCTTTTCATCACCTGAAATGCAGCAGTACTATGTGCTGAAAAGTGTACGGCCGTGGAAGCCGGTTAGAAAGGGGTTGGAATTCGGGATCCATCGCTTAATAGTTCACCCACATCAAAATAAATTTTACTGAGAAGGAATTCTCTAAGTGACCCTGCTTACCTAGCTCGGCTCGCTATAGGTACTAGAAACTTGACTGATCCCGGTATTTACATCATGGATAATATTCAGAATCTCTAATGACAGTTATGGCATCAGCCCTGGCCAGTCAGAGTAGATGCCTACTGGTAAGGCATAGAGGTGTGTACTAAGCGAGCATGAGCCCTGATATGAGACACAGCAATGCCTAGGGTGGATTTGTGCAGAGTGATTAGAGCCTTAGTCTGGAATAAAACTACTTACAACGTGAATGTGTATTAAGTGGACTAGAAAAAGACATGAGTCCTGACCCTAGTCTATGCTTACTCTTCAGGAAGAGGTGATGATAACTCTCAGTGCTGGCCTAGGATGGATCCTTCTTCCTTTCGATGTTGAGGATCACCTGTTTCCCACGTTGGCTTCTTGCTATAGGCCTTCATAACTAATTCCACATGCTCAAAGAGAAATCCTTAAGGATTCAGTCATTTTTCATTGATTTCCGCAGAAGGCAACATTTTCCTCTAATGTAATCCAACAAGCACAAAATATTGGCTGTGTGCATTCCTATCAGGAAGAAATACTCATATTTCTCTCTTTTTCTTTTTTAACCAGAGTGCTCAGGGAGGTGGCACAGCCTTCCACTGTGACAGAGGAGGGTTTTCATCACCTCTAATGAGCAGAGACACTTTCTGATTGAGATCTGAGCTGGAAATGGATGGGAGGTATGTCACTTCAGCTTTCTGAATCTCAGTTTCCTCATCTATAGAATGGTTGTAGCAGAATTCAGAAATTATTTTAGTAGCTGATACATGATGAAGCCTGAACTTCCTGGATGAAAAATACCCTGCCATCTACCCACCAGAAAACACCTGTGTCTCTCACCATATCAGTGAGGAAAAAAAAAAATCAAACAAAGCAAGAATTTGGTTTTAGGCTAATGTATTTTAGTGGAAAGAACACAGTCTGAGAGCCAGGCCTAGAGGCCCAGGTTCAAGACTCCATCCTGGCATTACCTGGTCATGGGCTCTTGCACTGACTGTGTTCCCAGCTGTCAAATGAAAGCTCAGATCTAGAACAACAGTTTCTCTGGAGCTCCAACAAGATGCTTCAGGGACCACAGACAATGAGGCTGAACACTGGGGACCTTCTCCCCTCCCCATCATCAATCCATTTCTACCTGAACCATTTCCCATCATCTGTTATATATATTATGTAGTCACATCACATTTCAGTTGATAAAGTGGACCATTACTTAAGAAGATTAAAAGTTTAAAAACCTCCCTTAGCATTCTATGCTTCATAACATGATCCTTTTTTAAATCATTTAAAAATATTTTTGTAAGATAAAAATGTAGTGCTTATGGTAAAATGCTAAAGCAGAGAGAGAAAGAAAGAGAAAAAGAGAGAGAAAAAAACAGAAAAAGAGGAAGAGAGAAAGAAAGAAAAAAGAAGAGAGAGAAAGAGAAAAGCAGCAGGCAAAATATGGAAGATTAACCCAAGTATTTAGCAGAGAATAATAAAAAGCCATAAAGGGTTTTTTGCTCTCCACTTCAAAATGGGACTGGATAGCTGGGGTGAGCATTGGATTGGTATTATTTGTCCTAAATTGCCTGTGTATCAGGTCTTTTTGGAAATATTCTGAAATCCATATTAACTTGTCTTCTTAAGTCTGAGCTGATCTACCAGAAGGCACATGGTCTACCCAAAAGAGCAGAGTGTTGGTTTCCTATCGCCGCTCTAACACATTACCACAAATTTAGTGGTTTGAAACAACAGAAATGTATTATCTTACAGTGCCAGAGGTCTAAACAGAGTCTCACTCTGCAAAAATCCAAGTGTTGGCAGAATAGTTTTTCCAGGAGGCTCAGGAAGACTCTGTCCTCTTGCCCTTCCCCGCTTCTAGAGGTGGGTTCCCCACATTCCGGGCCATAGCCCCTTTTATCTTCAATACCAGCATTGGCCATTCAAGTCTCTCACATACATTACTCTGACCCTGACTCCCCTGATCCCCCTTTTCCCTAGTACAGACACTTGTGATTATACTGGACTTACCCAGATAATCCAGGATAAACTCCCCATTCAAGGTCAGCTGATTGGCAGCCTAAATTCCATTTGCAACCTTAATTCCCCTTTATCGTATAACATAAGATACTCAGCTTCTGAAAATGACAGCATGAACATCTTTGTGGGGAGGAAGGGAGGACATTATTCTGTCAATCACAGGCAGTTTCCAAGGAAGGAGGTCTTAGGCCCTGCCAGAGCAGGAGGTAGTTGGGAGATGATGGAAGGAGAAAGGGTTATTACCAGTCGTCTACAAGCACTAATGTCAAGGTAGAAAGATAAACTGAAAATGGAAGTATCAGGAGTCCAAGATAAATGTTGAGAGCTCTGGTCGAGCAAGTCAGTGTCAGAACTAGAAGTATGTATCAGAAGTGGGGACGGACTAGATGGGAAACTAAAACTTACAGAGATGAAATGATTGACCCAAGGACACTCAAGTTTTTTTGTTTTGGGGGTTTGGGTTCTGTTTGGGTTTGTTTTCGGTTGTTTTTTTTTTTTTTCCCAGACTTGGTCTCACTTTGTTGCCCAGGCTGGAGTGAAGTGATGCTGTCATAGCTCACTGCAGCCTCGAACTCCTGGGCTCAAGCGATCCACCCACCTAAGCCTCCCAAGTAGCTAAGACTACAGGCAGGTGCCACCATGACCTGGTAAATCTTTTTTAATTTTTTGTAGAGATGAGGTCTTGCTATGTTGCCCAGGCTGGTCTCAAACTCCTGGGCTCAAGCAATCCTCCTGCCTCAGCCTCCCAAGTCACTGAGATTACAGGCATAAGCCACCACACCCAGCTGACACTCAAGTTTCAGGTGAATTCTAAATTATGTTTGTCTGATTCCAAAGCCCATAAATCACTGGGCTATCGTCCTCCCCGTCACATATAGCTTTTACAACAGAATTGGCATGTTTTGTCAGACTGGGGAAAGAGTCTTAAAAAAAATTTATTATTCAGTAACTTCACAGTTTTAATCTAAAATGAGTTCGTAAAATGAAAAATAAGATTAATTTTTTTTAACTCTCAACTTGTAACTTTTTAAGAATTTTTTAACCGTACTTTCTAGTATCCGATAATCAACAAGCACTGTGCAAGGCACCTTAAGCTATGTATTTAGAAAATGTTTTCCCAATTGACAAGCAGTTAACAAATGTTGGTTACACTTTCATTTTAAAAGCATTGCCTGGGGAGTGTTGAGCTTGGTGTTAGAATCCTGTCTGGGTATTGAGGAACTACAGACAAAACCTCTGCCTCAAGGTCTCCGTCCCTTTTCTGTTCCCTTCTTTTTCACTCCAGAAGCTGTCCACTCTTCCCTCCAGGTGTCTGAACATGAGGCAAAGTATTCAGCTCCTTTTAGCTATGCAGGGAAAGAGAACCATAATTGAATTCTGTTTTCCAGAGTTTATTGTATGAATTCAAATTGGCATTGATTCACGTCTAGCAGAAAATTTACTCACAGAATACCTTAACATTTAAGGCAAAGATAGCCTCCCTTATAATCGTAAGAGCAATAGAAAAATGCCTTTCAAGACTGAGTTTTGGGGCCTTCCATCCACAGATTCCCATTCAGGCTCTGACATTGCTTGTCCTTGATGTATCGCCTTCCATACACAGGCCCTGGGTAACACAGTGAGAATCCTGGCCCACAAGAAAATGAGGTATTCTCCAAAGGGAATACTCATAACTGGCCAACAATAGCTAGTCAGGTCCTAAGAGATAGAGACAACACTCAAGGAAAGCCAGCTTTCTAAAGCGAAGCCAGATCACATCACTCCTCTTCAATTATTCAATGATCCTCCACCACTTATGGGACCCATGCCAAGATACTTAGTGAAGTACAAAAGGCTCTTCATAACCTGGCCTCTGCTGATCTTTCCAGGCTCATTTCCAAGCCTTTCTCAAATGTGCAGCCAGTCAGAGTCTACACTCTGGTTCTACCAAACTTGTCATCGTTTCCAAGTGCACTTCATCTTAAGGGATTCACACATGCTATTTGTTCTGTCTGGAAAGCAAATTCTTTACCTCAACCTCCACTCTGTTGACTGAGCTAGTCCTTTTGAAACCTTTAAGACCCCCAGTCAAATGTGATCCCATCTAACCATCCATCCACCTATTGTTGCCATAACAGTTGTATCATATATGTATTTTCACAAATATGTATAACCCAGAAGCAGAAAAGGCAACAAAAAGGCAGTGTTTCTATCCACAGCTGTTTTGCTTCCCTTAGTCATCCCAAACCCAATGCTAAGATTGAATTTCTCTCCTTCTACGATTTACACCCAGAGGAGTATATACATCTGCAGAGGCCAGCCTCAGAGTATCTGATTTATGGACTGGTTAGAGCCAAATTCAAATCATGGTCCTGCCCCATATTATTTTATCTTACATAAGTTACTTAACTCTTCTGATCCTTAGTTGTTCTATTCTGCAGAATGGGGGTTACTAATATCTACATAATAGGAATTTTGTACAAATTAAATGATATAACTTAAATAAGAAAACTAGTATTGCCTGGAAAATAGCAGGTGCTCAATAAATGGTGTTATAAGCTTCACATATAACAACTTAAAAGTTCACATTTTAATTTCAAAAAAAAAAGGAAATATATATACACATTACCTTTCAAACTTAGTATCCTAAGAAGTATAACTGAAAGTGGTAAAGACGTAACCAAAAAGGAGAAAAAGTGGGTGAGTTATGCAGCCTCCCTAGGTGACTGGTCATTAACTCCCTTTCTTTTGTGAAGGGAGGTTCAAAATGTCACAACTATAAAAGATCCCAGAGATTATCCAAATCCACACACCCAACATTGTACTTTTCAAGAAGAAATCAAAGACCCAGTGGCACTGCTAAGAAACCTTACGGGGCCTAGAAGTTTCAAAGGACAAGGGCAAAAGTAATTAAGAAGTTAGCCGCCTCAAATTCACTTTTGAAGCAGGTGGGACATAAATAATACATAAAATAAATAAATAAGATTAATCGTTTTCTTCCTAACAGCAGCAGGGACTGCCTGCCTCTGATAAACCAGAAGCCAAGTGCAAAGACCCTGTAGACGAGAGGCAAATACTAGCCTACATGCAATCACAAAAGGGGAAGACTCAGATAAGCAGCAGATCATAGTAAAAACAGTTTTCAAAGGAAGAATATGAGTGACAAAACATACCTTATTTATAATCAGCAACTAGAAATTAATGTCTTCTTTCTTAACCAAGAAAGGCTTTTGTAGGAAAGTATGAGCGAGTGTGAAGTCAATTTATTTTAAGTTATTGCAAACAGGAAGTTCCCCAAAGTGCTCACATTATTTCTAAGGGCATCTACGTTTCACCTAAGGCTAGCATTTCATCCCTTGAATGATACTGATGAAGCATTTACAGATGGTCCCCAGCTTGCAATGGTTCAACTTTGATTCTTTGACATTACAGTGATGTGAATGCAATATGCATTCAGTAGAAATCGTACTTAGAGTACCCAAACAACCACTCTGCTTTTCCCTTTCAGTATTCAACAGATTACATAAGATATTCAACACTTTATTATAAAATAAACTTGTATTTTATTATTTTGTTCTACTATAGGCTAATGTAAGTGTTCTGGGTACATTTAAGGTAGGCTAGGCTAAGCTATGATGATCAGTAGGTTAGGTGTATTAACTGCATTTTTTACTTAAGATATTTTGACTTGCAATAGTCTTATTAGGTTGTAATCCCATTGTAAGTCAAGGAGTATCTGTATTTATTCAGCTAATATTTATTGCACACCTATTAAGTATCACACACTGTTTATCTAGGCACTGGGAATATACTAGCAAATAAAACAAAACAAGGTTCTGCCCAAGACGGAAGACAGAATCAACAATTTTAAAAGCCAGATAATTTTTATGGAGTGACAAGTGCTCCTTGGAAAAATAAAGCAAGATGGTACAAAGGAGAGAGCTACCTTGGTAATAAAGATCTCTCTGGCAAGGTGATGTTTGCACTGAATGACAAAGGATTAAGCAAATGAAAATCTGGGAATAGTGTTCTAAACGGAAGGAAAGATAAGTTTAAAGACAATATGGAATGAGCCAGTTTGGTGTTCAAAGAAGAGGAAACCAAGTGTGGTTAAAGGAGAAGGAGCGAGAGGAAGATTACAAGGAGAAGAGGTCAGAAAAGTGATTGGAAGAGGACAGATAGGGTCAAGTCTATTAGGCCAGAGAAAGGAGTTTGAATTTTATTCCATACTTGGAAATTATTTGAGACGTTAAGCATGGAAGTGAAATAATCTGACTTACATTTTCATTATCAAGTTTTAAAATCTTCAATATAATGGAAGTCAGTCTCTAAAATAGGTGTCCTTAGAGGAAAAGCCCAATGCCAGTAAGCAGCAGAGCTTCCCCTACAGTGAGTCTAAAACAGTAGCTTAGAGAATATGTGAATATGTGCATGTAACCCAGATAAGTCCTAGGGCCCACGTGACTCAGTGTCAGTATCATTCATGCATTCATTTACTTATTCATTCAACAAATATTTATTGAAAACTAAGTGCTGGACATAGAGCATTAAATAAAACAAAATGTGTCTCCTGATGGATTTTCCATTTTAAGAGGGAAATAACCAATAGCAAACACACAAATATTTAAAGATTAGTACTATGAAGAAATATAAAATAATGTAAGGTGCTAAAGAACACCTGGAAATAATATTTTTGATTTTCCTCTTTTTAGAGGGAAAGTCCCTTTAAGGAATGGCGATTTGAGCATAGAACTAAATAAGCCATGCGGCTATCCAGGGACAGAACATTCCAAGCAAGGAATAAGCAATCACAGAAGTTCTGAGGCAGAGGCATGTTTGCTGTGTCCAACAAACAGCAGAGGCCAGGCAGGCTCTGCCATTGCAACAAAAGCAAAAAATGAAAAATGGCATCTAATCAAACTAAAGAGCTTCTGCACAGCAGAAGAAACTATACACAGTGTAAACAAACTACAGAATGGGGAAAAAAATTTTACAGACTATGAATCTGACAAACGTCTAACATCTAGCATCTATAAGAAACTTAAACAAATTTACAAGAAAAAACTAACCACCCTATCAAAAAATGGGCAAATGACATGAACAGACACTTCTCAAAAGAAGACATACATGTGGCCAACAAGCATATGAATGGGTCATCCATGTGGATTTTGAAAACACCAAGAATGATGGCAGGACTAGGGATGGAAAGAAAGAAGCAAAAACAGTTGCTCTAATTTTCTTTCTTTTTTTTTTTTTTTTTTCCTGAGACAGAGTCTCACTCTGTCCCCCAGGCTGGAGTGCAGTGGCGCGATCTCAGCTCACTGCAAGCTCCACCTCCTGGGTTCACGCCATTCTCCTGCTCAACATCACTCCTTATTAGAGAAATGCAAATCAAAACCACAATGAGATAACATCTCACACCAGTTAGAATGGATATTACTAAAAAGTCAAAAAACAACAGACGCTGGTGAGGTTGTAGAGAAAAAGGAATACTTAGACACTGTTGGTGGGAGTGTAAATTAGTTCAACCATTGTGAAAAACAGTGTGGCAATTCCTCAAAGACCTAATGACAGAAATATCATTTAACCCAGTAATCCTACTACTGGGTATATACCCAAAGGAATATAAGTCATTCTATTATAAAGACACATGCATGTATAAGTTCATAGTTCATTGCAGCACTATTCACAATAGCAAAGTGATGGAATCAACCTAAATGCCTATCAATGATAGACTAGATAAAGAAAATCTGGTACATATACACCATGGAATACTATGCATCCATAAAAAAGAATGAGATCATGTCGTTTGCAGGGACATGGATGAAACTAGAGACCATTATCTTTGGCAAACTTACACAGGAACAGACAACCAAATATCACATGTTCTTACTTATAAGTAGGAACTAAATGAGAACACGTAGACACCAAGGGGAACGACACACACTGGGGCCTATCAGACGGTGGAGGGTGAAGGGGTGAGAGGATCAGGAAAAATAACTAATGGATATTAGGCTTAATGCCTGGGTGATGAAATAAGTCTGTACAACAAACCCCCATGATACACATTTACATGTGTAACAAACCTGCACATCCTGCTTATGTACCCCTGAAATTAAAAGTTTTTTAAAAAGAATTATTAACTAGTGAAAGGTAGTTTTGTGCTAACAGAATTTAAAGAACACTCTAAGGAAGACAGAAATAGTAAAAGTAGGGAGTAGTGACTGGCCATGGTGCTACAGTCCAATGCTGGCAAGCTGGAAGGTACCCAGTGGGAGGCTGGCAGAACAAGCTGGAAGGTGGGCACTACTGAGTCTTCTGCAAGCTGCTGAGAGCCACACGATCAGAGGAAGAAAAGCATCCTAGAACCTAAAGAAACACCCTCTTCCTCCTCCTGCTATGCCTTGCAGTATCCCTCCAGTGCCCTCTACCGACAAAGGCTAACATTCCGCCACCTGGCATTGAAATGTTTCCAGGGTCCAGCTCTACTATCACAAAGCAGAGCAAAGAACGGTGCATTTGGAGCTAAAAGTCATAAATTGGTAACTAGTATAATAACACTGTAAATTATTTAGCTCTAGAATGAGTTTTTAAATCCTTTAAATTAAGTCTTGAACAAAGCCTCCACCTTCTTCTTATTCAAAAGCACCTTGGCTATTCCTGGCCTTTTGCAGTTCCAAATGAACACTGGAACCAGCTTGTCAATTTGAAAAGAACAAAGTTTTAACTTGTATTGAGACTGCATTGCTTATATAATCAATTTGGGGAGTGTTGACTTTTCACAATCTTGAGTTTTTCCTTGCATGAACATATTAAATCTATTTGTTTTTACATTTTTTTCTTAATTTTTTTCATCTTCTAGGTACAAGTTTTGTCAAAGTCTTTTAGATTTATTTCTAGGTGTTTGGTATTTTTGTTTTGTGGTCATGAATTTCAGGTCAGTCATTACAGTTACAATTTTTCTTCAGCTACATTCAGCTTCTTGAGTGCAGATACAGTGTAGGAGGAGAGAGTTAACCTGGGATAGTGTTTGTCTTACTGAGTAAGACAGGGGGAAATAGGAGCAAGAGAGTTGCTCCATAACAAAAGCTTTATGCAAAGGGCTACAAATATGGGCCTCGAAATTTAAGTTGGGTAACAGGGAAAGTGGGGGCATGAGAAAGATAATGGACAATGGAAAGTGTTGAGATTAGTGGATTGAAGGTCTGAGTGGAGTCAAAGAGTTATTAGGGTGAGGTATGTGAGGGAGTTAACTGCAATGATGTGAGATGGTAGTCTAAGTACAATACTTGAAACTGTAATGACAAGGTCTCAGTGCAGCACTGTTCTATGGAGCTTTCTACAGTGATGGAAATATTCTATATCTATGCTGTTCAATATGGTAGCCACTAACCACACATGGCAATTGGTCACTCGTAATGTGGCTGGTGCTACTGAAGGACTAATCTTTATTGTATTTTATTAATTTCAAATTTAGAAAGCTGTATGTGGGTAGTTACTGTTGTATTGAGCAGCTCAGGTCTAGTGTATGACCATGACAATGTCTGACTGAGTGTGGTGAAGGACACAATCATTGGAATTGAGGTAGCCAAGGAACTGAGAAGCCAGGACATTGGATGGGTGATCCATGTGGATTTTGAAAATACCAAGAATGACGGTAGGACTAGGTATGGAAAGAAAGAAGCAAAAACAGTTGCTCTTTTTTATTTTTATTTTTATTTTTTGAGATGGAGTCTTGCTCTTTCACCCAGGCTGGAGCGCAGTGGCGCGATCTCAGCTCACTGCAGCCTCCGCCTCTCAGGTTCACACCATTCTCCTGCCTCAGCCCCCTGAGTAGCTGGGACTACAGGCACCCACCACCATGCCTGGCTAATATTTTTGTATTTTTAGTAGAGACGGGGTTTCACCATGTTAGCCAGGATGGTCTCAATCTCCTGACCTTGTGATCCGCCCGCCTCGACCTCCCAAAGTGCTGGGATTACAGGCGTGAGCCACCGCGCCCGGCCAGTTGGTCTAATTTTCAATGGATAAGTTTAACCATCAGAACTGAAGAAGACTGCAACAATGACGGGCAGTGGATGGTATGGTCTGAAGGAGCTGGGTTCTTTAAGGATGCAGAAGAAACAATGGTCTGGAAGTCAGCATGAGGAACAGACAGTACCTTCAGGACCAGTAGTTGGCAGGAAGTGGGGGAAGGAAAAGCCACATGAGAGGATATAGGGGAATCAGTGGCTTCAGGGGAGAGTCAGTTTTCATATAGAGCAAGAAAAAGAAGTAATGTTACAAAGAGAGTTTGAGAATGCTGGGAATTTTGCTATTAACAGACCAATGAGTTCCAAAGGGCAGAGTGGAAAGGTCTGAGAAGTTAAAGGGGTGATATATTGGGTCAAACTGGGGGATGTACAGACCCTTAAGTAGATGACAGTCCAGGTGAAAATGGGTCAAATGAGAAGCTTGAAAGTCTTGGTAAGTGGGGTAACACACATAAGGGTATGATGCAACTGGTCCTTGTGGTCACTTAGGGCAGTGGCTTTCAATCACTTCTGACTGAAATTCAGCAAAAGAAATACCTCATAGCAACACTAAGTACAGACATCATGTAAAACAACGTGGAGATTCCTCAAAAAAATTAAAATAGGCCAGGCATGGTGGCTCACACCTGTAATCCCATCACTTTGGGAGGCTGAGGCGGGCAGATCACAAGGTCAGGAGTTCGAGACCAGCCTAGCCAATATGGCAAAACTCCATCTCTACTAAAAATACAAAAATTAGCTGGACATGGTGGCAGGCGCCTGTAGTCCCAGCTTCTTGGGAGGCTGAGGCAGGAGAATTGCTTGAACCCAGGAGGCGGAGGTTGCAGTGAGCCAAGATGGTGCCACTGCACTCCAGCCTGGGCAACAGAGTGAGACTCTGTCTCAAAAAAAAAAAAAAAAAAAATCAAAATAGAACTACCATATGATCCAGCAATCCCTCTTCTAGGTATGTATGCAAAAGAAATAAAATCTGTATGTCAAAGAAATAACTGAACTCCCATGTTCAATGTAGTGTTATTCACTAACCCACCATGAAATCAACCTGAGTGCCCATCAATGGATTTTTTTTAAATGTGGCATATATACACAATGGAATACTGTTCAGCCTTAAAAAAAAAAATAAGGAAATCCTCTTATTTTCAAAAACATGGATAAACTTGGAGGCCATTATGCTAAGTAAAATAAGCCAAGCACAGAAAGACAATTACTACATGATCTCACTTATATGTGGAATCTGAAAAAGTCCAACTCGAAATCAGAAAGTAGAATGGTGGTTACCAGAGACTGAGAGTGAGGGGTTTGTGGGAAATGTTGATCAAAATATACCAAATTTCAGTTACACAGAAGGAATAAGTTCAAGAGATCTATTGTACAACCTACTGACTATAGTTAATAACAATATATTGTATACTTGAAAATTGCTTGGGGAGTAGATTCTAAATGTTCTCACCACAAAGGAAATGTTAAGTATGTAAGGTAATAGATATATTAATTAGCTTAATTTAGCTATTTCATAGCTAAGTTATACATTAGACATGATATGTATACCCCCACCCACCCACCCACCCACACACACACATATATATAGGTTTGAGGTTTGAGGGAGTTCCTTTGTCTGTCTGCCAAGTGAAGACTCAGCAACACGGCAGTATCTATGAAGCAGAGAGCTTTCACCAGACACTGAATCTGCCAGTGCCCTGATCTTGAACTTACACACACACACACACACACATACACACACACACATTTACAATGTATAATTTAGCTATGAAATAGCTATATCAAGCTAATTAATATATCCATTACCTTACATACTTAACATTTCTTTTGTGGTGAGAACATTTAGAATCTACTCTCCTAGCAATTTTCAAGTATACAATATATTGTTATATTGTCTATATACACACACACACCCTGTTGTACACCACGTGCATACAATCATTGTACACCATGTTGTATACTGTCTTAGTCTATCTGGGCTGCCATAACAAAATATCTTAGACCATGTAATTTATAAACAACAGTTCTGGAGGCTGGGAAGTTCAAGGTCAGGGCAACAGCAGATTCAATGTCTGGTGAAAGATCTCCGCTTCATAGACGGTGCCCTGTTGCTGAGTCATTACATGGCAGATGGGCAAAAGAATTCCCTCAAACCTCTTTTATAAGGGCACTAATCCTATTCACGTGGGCTCTGCCATCATGAACTAATTACCTCCCAAAAGCACCACCTCTTAATACCAATATATTGAGAACTAGATTTCAACATATGAATGTTGGAGAGACACAAATATTCAAACCGTAGCAAATAATGTAAATATATAAAATTTTTGTCAATTTAAATTTTAAAAATACTAAGAAACATAAAAATATAAGAAATGCTGCATTAATGTACATATGATGAAACAAAGATTTTAACAAATGATACCTGTCTTTACTATCTGTCACACAGCTTGTTTTTAAAATCTGTTTATTTCCTTATCTATTTATTTTGTTTTCATTAGAAGGACAACACGCAGGTCACAAGACATGGAATTGATTCCACTACTCTATAATTTGGAAAACACTGGCTTACGAGGAGGTGGATAATCAGATCTGGTTATGTCCTTCTTGGAACTGGTCTCTTGGACAGTTTAGTCAGGGGAGGCAGGGAGTTTGTATATAGGGTGTTGAAGGGTAAGAACCATGGGGTCTTAACAGATTCATGGAGAGCTCTGTAGATCCCCTCATTTTAAATCCTATAAAGAGGACTGGTGAATCCAGAAGAGGAAAAGTCTCGCCATAATATCATGATGTTGTCATCAAAGACTACAGATTAGCAACCAAGGCAACTTTAATTTCTATATGCATCTCTCAGAAAAAAATATTAAAGATCCAATTTATAATCTACAGCACTACTTTTTTTTTCAGAGCAGGAGTGAAAGTTTATTAAAAAGCTTTAGAACAGTAAAAAAAAAAAAAAAAAAAAAAAAAAAAGGAAGGAAGGGAAAGAAGGAAAGTACAACTTGGAAGAGGGCCAAGCAGGCGACTTGAAAAACCAAGTGCGCCCACAGCACTACTACTTAACACTTCCTCAAATCCTCTTCCTAATCATCTTGGTTTCCAGTCTTCTCAGAAGCCAAAGCTACACTGGAACTGCCTCCTTTCTAAGCCCTCACCAATCAAATTTCAACCTCAATGGCCCTATACCCCGGATGCTCAGTTGAATCACCAAGGCAGTTTTATTAAAATGCCAATCCCTAGATGAGTTAAATCAGAGGCCCATGCATTGGCATTTATTATTATTATTATTATTATTATTATTATACTTTAAGTTTTAGGATACATGTGCAGAATGTGTAGGTTTCTTACATAGGTATAATGTGCCATGGTGGTTTGCTGCACCCATCAACGCATCATCTACATACATAAATAATTATGTATTTCTTCTAATGCTTTCCCTCCCCTTGCTTCCCATCCCACCAACAGGCCCTGGTGTGTAATGTTCCCCTCCCTGTGCTCATATGTTCTCATTGTTCAACTCCCACTTATGAGTGGGAACATGCAGTGTTTGGTTTTCTGTTCCTGTGTTATTTTGCTGAGAATGATGGTTTCCAGCTTCATCCATATCCCTGCAAAAGATATGAACTCATTTTTTACGGCTGCATAGTATTCCATGGTATATATGTGCCACATTTTCTTTTTCCAGTCTATCATTGATGGGCATTTGGGTTGGTTCTAAGTCTTTGCTATTGTGAATAGTGCTGCAATAAACATACGTGTGCATGTGTCTTTATTGAGAATGATTTATAATTCTTTGGGTATATACCCAGTAATGGGATTGCTGGGTCAAATGATATTTCTAGTTCTAGATCCTTGAGGAATGGCCACACTGTCTTCCACAATGGTTGAACTAATTTACACTCTCACCAACAGTGTAAAAGTGTTCCTATTTCTCTACATCCTCTCCAGCATCTGTTGTTTCCTGACTTTTGAATGACCACCATTCTAATGGTATGAGATAATATCTCATTGTGGTTTTGATCTGCATTTCTCTAATGACCAGTGATGAGCTTTTTTTCATGTTTGTTGGCTGCATAAATGTCTTCTTTTGAAAAGTGTCTGTTCATATCCTTCACCCACTTTTTGATGGGTTTTTTTTCTTGAAAATTTGTTAAAGTTCTTTGTAGATTCTGGATATTAGCCCTTTGTTAGATGGGTAGATTGCAAAAATTTTCTCCAATTCTGTAGGTTGCCTACTCGCTCTGATGATAGTTTCTTTTGCTTGCAGAAGCTCTTTAATTTAAATTAGATCTCATTTGTCAATTTTGGCTTTTGTTGCTGTTGCTTTTGGTGTTTTAGTCATCAAGTCTTTGCCCATGCCTATGTCTTGAATGGTATTGCCTAGGTTTTCTTCTAGGGTTTTTATGGTTTTAGGTATTATGTTTAAGTCTTTAATCCATCTTGAGTTAATTTTTGTATAAGGGGTAAGGAAGGGGTCCAGTCTCAGCTTTCTGCATATGGCTAGCCTGTTTTCCCAACACCATTTATTAGATAGGGACTTTTTTCCCCATTACTTATGTGTGTCAGGTTTGTCAAAGATCAGGTGGTTGTAGATGTGTGGTGTTATTTCTGAGGCCTCTGTTCTGTTCCGTTGGTCTATCTCTCTGTTTTGGTACCAGTACCATGCTGTTTTGGTTACTGTAGCCTTGTAGTATAGTTTGAAGTCAAGTAACATGATGCCCCCAGCTTTGTTCTTTTTGCTTAGGATTGTCTTGGCTATACAGGCTATTTTTTGGTTCCACATGAAATTTAAAGTAGTTTTTTCTAATTCTGTGAAGAAATTCAATGGTAGTTTGAGGAGAATGGCATTGAATCTATAAATTACTTTGAGCAGTATGGCCATTTTCATGATATTGATTCTTCCTATCCATGAGCATGGAATCTTTTTCCATTTGTTGGTAACCTCTTGTTTCCTTAAGCAGTGGTTTACAATTCTCCCTGAAGAGGTCCTTCACATCCCTTGTAAGTTGTATTCCTAGGTATTTTATTCTTTGTAGCAATTGTGAATGGGAGTTCACTCACGATTTGGCTACTATTGGTGTACAGGAATGCTTGTGATTTTTGCACATTGATTTTGTATCCTGAGATTTTGCCGAAGTTGCTTATCAGCTTAAAGAGTTTTTGGGCTGAGACAATGGGGTTTTCTAAATATACAATCATGTCATCTGCAAACAGAGATAATTTGACTTCCTCTCTTCCTATTTGAATATGCTTCATTTCTCTTGCCTGATTGCCCTGGCCAGAACTTCCAATACTATGTTGATTAGGAGTGGAGAGAGAGGACATTCTTGTCTTGTGCCATTTTTCAAAGGGAATGCTTTCAGCTTTTGCCCATTCAGTATGATACTGGCTGTGGGTTTGTCATAAATAGCTATTATTTTGAGATACATTCCATCAATACCTAGTTTATTGAGAGTTTTTAACATGAAGGGGTGTTGAATTTTATAGAAGGCCTTTTCTGCATCTATTGAGATAATCATGTGGTCTTTGTCATTGGTTCTGTTTATGTGATGGAGTATGTTTATTAATTTGCGTATGTTGAACCAGTCTTGCATCCCAGGGATGAAGCTGACTTGATTGTGATGAATAAGCTTTTTAAAGTGCTGCTGGATTCAATTTGCCAGTATTTTATTGAGAATTTTCACATCGATGTTCATCAGGGATATTGGCCTGAAATTTTCTTTTTGTTGTTGTGTCTCTGCCAGGTTTTGGTATCAAGATGATGCTGGCCTCATAAAATGAGCTAGGGAGGAGTCCCCCTTTTTCTATTGTTTGGAATAGTTTCAGAAGAAATGGTACCAGCTCCTCTTTGTTCCTCTGGTAGAATTCGGCTGTGATTCCGTCTGGTCCTGGACTTTTTTTGGTTGGTAGACTATTAATTACTGCCTCAATTTCAGAACCTGTTATTGGTCAATTCAGGGATTCAGCTTCCTGATTTAGACTTGAGAGGGTGTATGTGTCCAGGCATTTATCCATTTCTTCTACATCTTCTAGTTTATTTGCATAGACATGTTTATAATATTCTCTGATGGTAGTGTGTATTTCTGTGGGATCAGTGGTGATATCCCCTTTATCATTTTTATTGTGTCTATTTGATTCTTCTCTCTTTTCTTCTTTATTAGTCTGGCTAGCGGTCTATTTTGTTAATCTTTTCAAAAAACCAGCTCCACAATTCATTGGTTTTTTGAAGGGTTTTTTGTGTCTCTATCTCCTTCAGTTCTGCTCTAATCTTAGTTATTTCTTGCCTTCTGCTAGCTTTTGCTCTTGCTTCTCTAGTTATTTTCATTGTGATGTTAGGGTGTCAATTTTAGATCTTTCCTGCTATCTCTTGTGGGCATTTAGTGCTATAAATTTCCCTCTAAACACTGCTTTAGCTGTGTCCTAGAGATTCTGGTATGTTGTGTCTTTGTTCTCATCGGTTTCAATGAACTTATTTCTGCCTTAATTTCATTATTTACCCAGCAGTCATTCAGGAGCAGGTTGTTCAGTTTCCATGTAGTTGTGCAGTTTTGAGTGAGTTTCTTAGTCCTGAGTTCTAATATGATTGCACTGTGGTCTGAGAGACTGTTATGATTTCCATTCTTTTGCATTTGCTGAGGAGTGTTTTACTTCCAATTATGTGGTCAGTTTTAGAGTAAGTGCTATGTGGTGCTGAGAAGAATGTATATTCTGTTGATTTGGGGTGGAGAGTATGTAGATGTCTATTAGGTCCACTTGATGCAGAGCTGAGTTCAAGTCCTGAATATTCTTGTTAATTTTCTGTCTCATTGATCTAATATTGGCAGTGGGGTGTTAAAGTCTCCCACTATTATTGTGTGGGAGTCTAAGTCTCTTCATAGGTCTTTAAGAACTTGCTTTATGGATCTGGGTGCTCCTGTATTGGGTGCATATATATTTGGGATAGTTCACTCTTCTTGCTGCATTGATCCCTTTACCATTATGTAATGCCCTTCTTTGTCTTTTTTGGTCTTTGTTGGTTTAAAGTCTGCTTTATCAGAGACTAGGATTGCAACTTTTTTTTTTTTTTTTTTTTTTTTTGCTTTCCACTTACTTGGTAAATCTTCCTCTATCCCTTTATTTTGAGCCTATGTGTGTCTTTCCACGTGAGATGTGTCTCCTGAATACAGCACACTGATGGGTCTTGACTCTTTACCCAATTTGCCAGTCTGTCTTAATTGGGGCATATAGCCCATTTACATTTAAGGTTAATATAGTTATACATGAATTTGATCCTGTCATTATGATGCTAGCTGGTTATTTTGCCCATTAGTTGATGCAGTTTCTTCATAGTGTCGATGGTCTTTATATTTTGGTATATTTTTCCAGGGGCTGGTACCAGTTTTTCCTTTCCATATTTAGCGCTTTCTTCAGGAGCTCTTGTAAGGCAGGCCTGGCGGTGACAAAATCCCTCAGCATTTGCTTGTCTGTAAAAGATTTTATTTCTCCTTCACTTATGAAGCTTAGTTTGGCTGGATGTGAAACTCTGGGTTGAAAATTATTTTCTTTAAGAATGTTGAATATTGGCCCCCACTCTATTCTGGCTGGTAGGGTTTCTGTTGAGAGATCTACTGTTAGTCTGATGGGCTTCCCTTTGTGGGTAACCCGACCTTTCTCTCTGGCTGCCTTTAACATTTTTTCCCTCATTTCAACCTTGGTGAATCTGATAATTACATGTCTTGGGGTTGCTCTTCTTGAGGAGTATCCTTGTGGTGTTCTGTGTATTTCCTGAATTTGAATGTTGGCCTGTCTTGCAAGGTTTGGGAAGTTCTCCTGGACGATATCCTGAAGTGTGTCTTCCAACTTGGTTCCATTCTCTCCTTTACTTCCAGGTACACCAATCAAACATAGATTTGGTCTTTTCACACAGTCCCATATTTCTTGGAGGTTTGTTCATTCCTTTTCATTCTTTTTTCTCTAATCTTGTCTTCCGGCTTTATTTCCTTATGTTGATCTTCAATCTCTGATATCCTTTCTTCCACTTGATTGATTTGGCTATTGATACTTATATATGCTTCACAAAGTACTCGTGCTGTGTTTTTCAGCTCCGTTAGGTCATTTATGTTCTTCTCTAAACTGGTTATTCTAGTTAGCAGTTCCTGTAACCTTTTATCAAGGTTCTTAGCTTCCTTGCTTTGGGTTAGAACTTGCTCCTTTAGCTCAGAGGAGTTTGTTATTACCCACCTTCTGAAGCCTACTTCTGTCAATTTGTCAAACTCATTCTCTGTCCAGTTTTTTTCCCTTGCTGGCAAGGAGTTGTGATCCTTTGCAGGAGAAGAGGCATTCCAGTTTTTGGAAGTCTCAGCATTTTTGCACTGTTTTTTTCTCATTTTCATGGATTTATCTACCTTTGGTCTTTGATGTTGGTTACCTTCGGATGGGATTTTTGCACGATTGTCCTTTTTGATGTTGATGCTATTGCTGTTTGTTAGTTTTCCTTCTAACAGGCCCCTCTTCTGCAGGTCTGTTGGAGTTTGCTAGAGGTCCACTCCAGACCCTGTTTGCCTAGGTATCACCAGCGGAGGCTGCAGAACAGCAAAGATTGCTGCCTGCTCCTTCCTCTGGAAGCTTTGTCCCAGAGGGGCACCTGCCAGATGCCAGCTGGAACTCTCCTATATGAGGTGTCTGTCCACTCCTGCTGGGAGGTGTCTCCTTATCAGGAGGCACTGGGGTCAGGGATCCACTTGAGGAGGCAGTCTGTCCCTTAGCAGAGCTCCTGTGCTGTGCTGGGAGATTCACTGCTCTCTTCTGAGCCAGCAGGCAGGAAAGTTTAAGTCTGATGAGGCTGTGCTCACAGCAGCCCCTTCCCTCAGGTGCTCTCTCCCAGGGAGATGGGAGTTTTATCTATAAGCCCTTGACTAGGGCTGCTGCCTTTCTTTCAGAGATGTCCTGCCCAGAGAGGAGGAATCTAGAGAGGCAATCTGGCTACAGCAGGTTTGCGGTGCTGTGGTGGGCTCCACCCAGTCTGAGCTTCCCCATGGCTTTGCTTACTCTGTGAAGGGAAAACTGCCTACTCAAGCTTCAGTGATGGCGGAGCCCCTCCCGCCACCAAGCTTGAGCATCCCAGGTAGAGTTCAGACTGCTGTGCTGGCAGCAAAAATTTCAAGCCAGTGGATCTTAGCTTGTTGGACTCCACTGAGGTGGGATCCACTGAGCTAGACCACTTGGCTCCCTAGCTTCAGCCCCCTTTCCAGTGGAGTGAACAGTTCTGTCTCACTGGTGTTCTAGGTGCCACTGTGGTATGAAGAAAAAACTCCTGCATCTAGCTTGGTGTCTGCCCAAGTGGCTACTCCGTTTTGCACTTGAAACCCAGGGCCCTGGTGATGTAGGCACCTGAGGGAATCTACTGGTCTACGGGTTGCAAAGACCATGGGAAAAGCATAGTATCTGGGCCAGATAGCACCGTCCTTCATGGCACAGTCCCTCACAGCTTCCTTTGGCTAAATGAGGGAGTTCCCAGATCCCTAGCACTTTGTGGGTGAGGCAATGCCCCACTCTGCTTCTGCTGGCCCTCCATGGGCTACATTCACTGTCTAATCAGTCCCAATGAGATGAACTGGGTACCCGCAGTTGGAAATGCAGAAATCACTGCCTTCCGCATTGATCTTGCTGGGAGCTGCAGACCGGAGCTGTTCCTATTCAGCCATCTTGCCCAGGAGTCCTTGCATTGGCATTTTAAAAACACTCCCAAGGAGGTTCTAACAAACAGCCTTGCCTGCCTCAACACCCCTTGCACTCTTCCTTTCCCTTCCTCCTTCTCACCACCTGCCATTGTTATTTTTTCTCTCAAGTAATCTTAGCTGGATAGGGGGAAGAATGCAGATGAAAGGACGGTAAAAAGTCAAACAGAAAACCCAGAAGTTTACCTAGCAGAGGTTTGGAGTGGAAAAGATTCTACAAAGATACTAATAGAATCATAATTTGTCTTGCCTGCCACAAGTATAACTACAGAAAAAAGAAACAGATTTTGGGTGTATGAATAAGCAAAAACTTCCTAGTTAACCATTATATTGGTTCATTATCAAGTATGGGAAGGCTAAAGTGTGACTTTCTATCTGCACTATATTTCCTGTGATCTTATGTGTACATTATAGTCCCTGGATATAGTCCCTGCCCTTTTAACCATAGGGCTGCCTGGGATCAACAGGCTAGAAGGACTGTACCAAACAGAAGAGTATTCAAGTATACACACACTTTGTAGAAGAACTTTTAGCAATGCAGAGTTTCCTCTAATTTAAATGTAGTAATAGGATATAATGACCTTGTATTTTTATTGATACGTAATATTTGTACATATTTTGGGAGTACGCATATTTTGCTACATGCATAGAATGTGTGATCATCGAATCAGGGCATTTAGGGTATCCATCACCTTGAGTATTTGTCATTTTTATGTGTTGGGAATATTTCAAGTACTCTCTTCTGACTATTTTGAAACGTATAATACATTGTGGTTAACTATAATTGCTCTACTCTGCTGTTGAACATTAGAACTTATCCTTTTTATGTAACTGTATATTTATACCCATTAACCAATCTGTCTTCCTCCCCCACTCCCATTGAACACCCTCCCCAGCCTCTGGTACATATCATTCTATTCTCTACCTCCATGAGATCAACTTTTTAGCTCCTAAGAGAGAACATGGAACATTTGTCTTTCTGTGCCTGGCTGATTTGACTTAACATAACAACCTCCATGAACTTGTATTTTTGAAGTCTGAAAAACTATTTTTAGAGGAACTATACAATATGCTTAAATTGATCAGTAGTTGAATAGTTTCAGAGACAGCTTAGAAAATCAATAATTGCATTATTTTCATCTGAAATCAACATTTTTCTCTAGCATTTTCTACCCTCAAAGGGGGCAAGTGAAGAAAACAAAGTGAGAAGAACAGGAAATCTGAAATTACACATGTACAAAGTATTTTAATCCCTCTCCACAAAAGGAGGATAAATGTTCAGAAAGTAAGGACAGCTGTCCCAAAACGTGCTCTTCTACCTGAAGCTCCAATATAAACATCTCATGATGGACATAGAAGAAGAGGATGGAGAAAAATATGTCAAAACCACCTTTCTTTAAGTGTCCCTAAAAAAAAACTATTTCAAGTTAAATTATCACTGCTACTTGGAGACTGGTACATTTTTTGCCTGTTTCTGATGAACACTTGCTTCTGTTTCTCTCATTTGTATTTTCTTCTCAGTTAAGATAAAGTATTTTCCATGACGTTTAATATGAAAAGCAAAGGAAAAAAGTACAACAGGGCCATGATTCACTTACATACTCTGAGTTTTACAAGGAGATGCCAAGATTTACAGATCCATGAAAAATCCTGAGTCCTACTCAGGGTTTTCCTTTATCAGTGTCAGTTTGCTTTACATAACCTCTTTTAGCTCAGTGGTTGGTTCAACCCCAGGGAAAATTGGACAGGCCCAATGGTCCTTCATTGTAACTAATTCAAAGGACCCTCAGCTCCTGTGTCATAGGTATATGAAGCAAGAAGAGACTGTTCGGACCTGAGAAAGTAATCTTGGCAGTGGCCAAGGCAGGGTCTTCAGCCTTCATGTTGGAGCCATCTTTATTTCTCTGGCTTGGTGTCAAGAGGCCATGAAGATAAAAACTCAGCAAGACTAAGAACTATGTGTAGACATTATCTTTTCACCCTCTAGCAATTCTTTGGGTTGTCAATTTGGTAGGGCTCAGCTAGGATGGCTCATCTCTGTTCCACATGGTAACAGCTGGGCTGACTCATGCATCTATGGTCAGTTTTCAGGTCAGCTGGTGGCTGGCTGACCCAAATGGACTCAGTCACATGTTTGTCAGTTACCTGGGGCTTTCAGCCAGTATGTCATGCCTCTCCTTTGAAAGACTCATCTTCTCCAGTAATTAGACCAGGCTTTTTCCATGATGACAGGGGCATTCCATGAAGATGACAGTAGCAGTTGCAAGGTTTTTTTTTTTTTTTTTTTTTTTGGAGACGGAGTCTTGCTCTGTCACCCAAGCTGGAGTGCAGTGGTGTGATCTTGGCTCACTACAAGCTCTGCCTCCCGGGTTCACGCCATTCTCCTGCCTCAGCCTCCCAAGTACCTGGGACTACAGGTGCCTGCCACCACACCCGGCTAATTTTTTGTATTTTTTTTAGCAGAGACGGGGTTTCACCATGTTAGCCAGGATGGTCTCGATCTCCTGACCTCATGATCTGCCTGCCTCAGCCTCCCAAAGTGCTGGGATTACAGGCCTCTTAAGGCTGAGCTTCAGAAGTCTCAGATGTCACTTCTGTAGCATTCTATTAGTGAAAGTCACAAGGGCAGCACAGATTCAGGAAGTAGGGAAATAGACTCCATGTGTGGATGAAGGGAAAAACAAAGTCACATTGCAAAGGGAGAAGACAAGGAGGCATCATTTATTGGGGGCCAGTATTCCAACAAACTACCACTGTCCTCCCTCTGGCCCCAGTGATTCATGTGAAATACATGAAATACACTCACCTTCTCCCAAGATTTCCAAGTTCTCTTTTAATCACTCTATTAGGCTCAAAGTCATGATTTCATGATCTGTAGCATGTTCTATTCCAGTCAAGGTTGTTTGGGTACAGCTCCTCTTCATTCAAAGACATTCTGTGGGCTGGTAACTTGGGCAGGGCTCAGCTGGGATGGCTCCTTTTTACCCCATGTGGTGTCAGCTGAGTTCATTTGTGTTTTTATGGTCAAGTGGTAGTTTGCTGGGCCAGATAGTTTCCAATGGCCACTGTCTGACATCTGGCAGTTGATTGCAAGTACTGACTGGGAGGGCAACATTCTTTTCCATATGATTTCTCATCCTCCAATAGGTTAGACCAGGCTTTACCATAATGACAAAAGCATTCAGAGCTAGACTTTGTCATTTTATGAGTGTCTTAAATTAACATCGTGTTGCATAGGGTGTTATTTAAAAATTGTCACCATATGCAGTCTTACCTGAGGCCACGTTCCCCCAGAAACAGACTCTGAGACAAGGATTTGAGTACAGGTAATTTGTTTGGAATGTGGTCCCAAGAAACATGGTTAGGGAAGTGAAAAAGTGAGATGGAGATGGGAAGAACATCAATAAAGAGTATGTTATCAACGAGGTTTCCACTTGTGGAATCCGAAGCTCAATCCACCTGGGAAACATTGAGAGGCAAGGCAGAACCCACCACAGAGTTGTCCCTCTCAAGGGGTGAGGAAGCCGGGTTATTTACCCTCCAGTTCCCACATTTCATTGGCCAGTTGCTATTCCCAGGATCATTAAACCCCCAACACTTATGGTCGCCCCAACTGCAGATTTAGAAAACCCTCAAGTGTAGGATTTTAAGAGCTTACAGTAGGGCTAATCAGAATATGCTAGAACAACAAGTACCAAAAAAAATGCAGGTGAGGCATGGATAGTATTTGCTTCAAAACTTTACACCAGCAAACCTCAACTCAGAAATGTGTTGTATTCTACTCATGATTTGGCTGTTTATCTGTTATTGGTATATAAGAATGCTTGTGATTTTTGCACATTGATTTTGTATCCTGAGACGTTGCTGAAGTTGCTTATCAGCTTAAGGAGATTTTGGGCTGAGACGATGGGGTTTTCTAGATATACAATCATGTCATCTGCAAACAGGGACAATTTGACTTCCTCTT
Organism: Homo sapiens; assembly: GCF_000001405.40. Taxonomy (NCBI): domain Eukaryota; kingdom Metazoa; phylum Chordata; class Mammalia; order Primates; family Hominidae; genus Homo; species Homo sapiens. Next base: position 51,570,417 of record NC_000017.11, on the reverse strand, counting down.
TTCCTAATTGAATACCCTTTATTTCCTTCTCCTGCCTGATCGCCCTGGCCAGAACTTCCAACACTATGTTGAATAGGAGTGATGAGAGAGGGCATCCCTGTCTTGTGCCGGTTTACAAAGGGAATGCTTCCAGTTTTTGTCTATTCAGTATGATATTGGCTGTGGGTTTGTCATAGATAGCTCTTATTATTTTGAGATACATCCCATCAATACCTAATTTATTGAGAGTTTTTAGCATGAAGAGTTGTTGAATTTTGTCAAAGGCCTTTTCTGCATCTATTGAGACAATCACGTGATTTTTGTCATTGGTTCTGTTTATATGCTGGATTACGTTTATTGATTTGCGAACATTGAACCAGCTTTGCATCCCAGGGATGAAGCCCACTTGCTCATGGTGGATAAGTTTTTTGATGTGCTGCTGGATTCAGTTTGCCCTTCAAGGAGAACTACAAACCACTGCACAATGAAATAAAAGAGGATACAAACAAATGGAAGAACATTCCATGCTCATGGGTAGGAAGAATCAATGTCGTGAAAATGGCCATAATGCCCAAGGTAATTTATAGATTCAATGCCATCCACATCAAGCTACCAATGACTTTATTCACAGAATTGGAAAAAACTACTTTAAAGTTCATATGGTACCAAAAATAGCCCACATTGCCAAGTCAATCCTAAGCCAAAAGAACAAAGCTGGAGGCATCATGCTACCTGACTTCAAACTATACTACAAGGCTACAGTAACCAAAACAGCATGGTACTGGGACCAAAACAGTAGATCAATGGAACAGAACAGAGCCCTCAGAAATAATGTCACATATCTACAACTATCTGATCTTTGACAAACCTGACAAAAAAAAGAATAGGGAAAGGATTCCCTATTTAATAAATGGTGCTGGGAAAACTGGCTAGCCTTATGTAGAAAGCTGAAACTGGATCCCTTCCTTACACCTTATACAAAAATTAATTCAAGATGGATTAAGGACTTAAACGTTAGACCTAAAACCATAAAAACCCAGAAGAAAACCTAGGCAATACCATTCAGGACATAGGCATGGGCAAGGACTTCATGTCTAAAACACCAAAAGCAATGGCAACAAAAGCCAAAATTGACAAATGGGATCTAATTAAACTAAAGAGCTTCTGCACAGCAAAAGAAACTACCATCAGAGTGAACAGGAAACCTACAGAATGGGAGAAAATTTTTGCAATCTACTCATCTGACAAAGGGCTAATATCTAGAATCTACAATGAACTCAAACAAATTTACAAGAAAAAAACAACCCCATCAAAAAGTGGGCGAAGGATATGAACAGACACTTCTCGAAAGAAGACATTTACGCAGCCAAAAGACACATGAAAAAATGCTCATCATCACTCATCAGAGAAATGCAAATCAAAACCACAATGAGATACCATCTTACACCAGTTAGAATGGCAATCATTAAAAAGTCAGGAAACAACAAGTGCTGGGGAGGATGTGGAGAAATAGGAACACTTTTACACTGTTGGTGGGACTGTAAACTAGTTCAACGATTGTGGAAGTCAGTGTAGTGATTCCTCAGGGATCTAGAACTAGAAATACCATTTGACCCAGCCATCCCATTACTGGGTATATGCCCAAAGGATTATAAATCATGCTGCTATAAAGACACATGCACATGTATGTTTATTGTTGCACTATTCACAAGAGCAAAGACTTGGAACCAACCCAAATGTCCAACAATGATAGACTGGATTAAGAAAATGTGGCACATATACACCACTGAATACTATGCAGCCATAAAAAATGATGAGTTCATGCCCTTTGTAGGGACATGGATGAAACTGGAAACCATCATTCTCAGCAAACTATTGCAAGGACAAAAAACCAAACAACACATGTTCTCACTCATAGGTGGGAATTGAACAATGAGAACACATGGACACAGGAAGGGGAACATCACACACCGGGGCCTGTTGTGGGGTGGGGGGATGGGGGAGGGACAGCATTAGGAGATATACTTAATGTTAAATGACAAGTTAATGGGTGCAGCACACCAACATGGCACATGTGTACATATGTAACAAACCTGCACATTGTACACATGTACCCTAAAACTTAAAGTATAATTTAAAAAAAAAAGAAATGTGTTGTATTCTAAACGTTTATATGAACATTATATGAACAATTTTAAACTCAGAATACTTTTTTGTAAAAACTAAAAAGTTATTTATATATGTATATATATACACATATCTTTTTCTTTAAAAAATTTGTAGATGTATATACACACACATATATATATATATATTCAGAAGTTCTTAACTTTAGGTCCATCAAAAGAATCCCAGATGGTCTTGATCCCCCTGAAGCTGTAGATAAAATGCTCACAGTACAATTTTCTGGAAACAGCATCCACAGCTTACATATTATACTGTAAGGATTCCTGATCTCAGATGGATTAAGAAGCACTGCAGGAGAACACAGGACTAACAGCCCTACATTTAAGCCTCAGCTTGGCCACTTGAGCAAATTTCTTAACTTCATGTCTCTTATGTTCTCATTTTTAAATAGAGGAAAACAAAAGTACCTATTTCATAGGATTGTGAGAACTAAGCTCAGGAAAATAGCACAAGCTGGTGCCAAAATAATATAACTATAGCTGCTCGTAACCTGAGCTGCTGAAAGTATATAGAACAATCAAAATTCCCAGCTCCGACCAGGAAAATCCTGTAGATTTTTATTCATAAGTTGTTGCCCCAATATCTCCAAATGTCTCTTTCCCAACTATGTATGGAGAAAACCTAGACGACGTTCCTCCCTAGCATTTGCTTTCTCAATTTTCCAACATTCCAAGATTCTAAGTGAGAATTTTTTTTTTTTTTTTTTTTGAGACAGAGTCTTGCTCTGTCACCCAGGCTGGAGTGCAGTGACACAATCATAGCTCACTACAACCTTGAACTTCTTGGCTCAAGTGATCCTCCCACCCTCAGCCTCCTGATTAGCTGGGACTATAGGCATGCACCGCCACACCCATCTAATTTTTTTTAGTTTTAGTAGAGATAAGGTCTCCCTATGTTGCCCAGGCTGGTCTAGAACTCCTGGCCTGAAGTGATCCTCCCACCACTGCCTCCCAAAGTTCTGGGATTACAGGCATGAGCCACCATTCCTGGCCTTAAGTGAGAAATCTTAAAATCAGCGAGACACTTAAAATAGTCACCTTGCTCGTAAAGCTCACCACTGAGTTTGATTTTACATTGTTCCTTGGATGTAGAGCTTCTCTGCTCAAATTCGCTAGACAACTGCCAAAACATCAGTGTAGCTCCACATAGCTTGTCTATTGCATGCTGGTCCCTTTAAATGAACCCAGCCCGATCTTCCCAACATGTCTGACTTTCTAAAACTGAAATTTAACCTAAGATCCCCACCTCCAGAATTAGCCCAAGCAACAATCCTGCTCACTAATTCTACCCTGCTTCTACCTGTTTTTAATCTTCCTTCATGTTCTGACCCCCATTTGATTCCAAATCTTGGTCCTAAGATTGGTGTCCTCTCATTAACTACCCCACTTAAGATCTGTTGGATCTCCACACTTTGGGGGCACAAATTTGCTTCTCTGCTACCTGATCCCCATGCGGGGGCTAAGTAGGGGGTCTCCTTCCTGCCTTCGTCCACACTGGGAGAGAAGAACTGCACAAGGTCAACTGTGTCAGGAGTTAGGATCTAATGTAGTTCTCCCGGCATTGTCAGTTCATGCCCTTCTTCATCTGGTGCCCATGGGGCCAGGCTGAGCTGCCCATAAGGGTAATACACAAGTATCAAACAACTTATGCCTATACCAAACAAGGGGCTTATTCCCAGTGATCAGTTCACATGAAAACTGCATACCACAAGGAAGCAATCGCAAAAAGACACCAGGAATCAAAGCCAAGGGTGACCACGGGGCACTGTAGGTGAAGGTATTAGGTAGAAGAGAAATTTGACAATAGAAAATGCAGATAGCAGGAAGGCCACAAGTTGTAGAAAAGTGGAACAGTTCTACATCTCAGTCTATGATGCTGAACACCAGCAAGAATGTTCTAGGTCTATATTAGCCCTTGAAGTAACATTAGGCCAACACTTTTTGCTTGAAATCACTGCTTATCAGTGTCAATATGATACAAGTCATACGAACTCATAACTAGGATAAATTTATTTTTTCCTCTGTTGTTTTACCACTAAGGTGTTAGCCCAGTTTCCGCTCATTTTTCCAGGGATCTTCCAGTCAAATTCTCATCAAGAGGCAGCAAATGAAATCTGCTCTTAGAATGGTTAGCTCCGTGAAACCCAATCATCTCCTCTAGTGGAGGAGACAGAACAACTAGGGTAGGGTTGCTTTATTCTGGGCTATTTGTTTCCTTTTTTCTTTTCTTTTTTTTGGTTTTTCGTTTTATTTTTCACTTCTCTGCTCAAGTACAAAGCAATCTTCAAGGCTGGTTCAGTTCCAGAAATAAAATATAAAATTTAAATACAACTTTCTCTTGTAGTGCAAATAGAAACAAAAACATGTCACACTTTTTACCTGCCCATGGTTGCAAAGTACAGGTCTGAAATCAGGTGAGATGCTAATATCTGTATTTAGAATTTATTAAGGATGTATGAAAAAATATACTTAAAACATAACACAGAAAAAAAGAATGAATATGAGGAAAAACAGTAACTCAACAGTGCATAATCAGACAAACTCCTTGACTGGATGGTCAAAATTAACATCAGTGAGGGACAGATGGAGATGGGCACCTTCAGATGTGATACCTTGAGAAGGACATAGAATTGCTTATACAGCATTCAAGCAAAGATGCATAACCTGAATCTAACCACAAGGAAACATCAGATAAATCCGAAAACAAGGAACTTTCTGTTAAACACAAAAACAGGATTGTAGCTTCAAAAATATCAATGTCAAATGATAAATGTCGCAAAAAGCTCCAAATTAAAGGAGACTAAAGAGACGTGACAACTAAATACTTGAGCCTACATTTATTTCTGTACTGGAAGGATAAAAAGAAATGCTATAATGGACATTATTGAGTTAATTGACAAAATTGGAATATGCATGGTAGATTAAAGCATCATATTAGTGTTAAATTACTGAAGTTGACGTATAAGAATATTCCTATTCTTAGGAAATACATATTTAAAGTATTTGGGGATAAAGGAGCATGATGCATACAAACTTATATCAAAAGGTTCAGAAAATTTCTATGTTTCTGTGTCTGTGTGTGTGTGTGTGTGTGTAGAGAAAGAAAAATCAAAGCAAATGGGCTAAAAATGTTAACAATAGCTCATCTGGAAAAAAGTATATTGGTGGTCTTTGAACTATATACTATTTCTTGCAGCTTTTCTGAAAGTCTATTTTCTAATAAAATGAGGATTTTTTTGGCTTTTGCTTTTTACTTGTATTCATGAGTAGAGTCATGTTGCTTCATTTACCCTGAATTTCACATACAAGAACCTTGAATACATTCTTCTTTTAAGGTGAATTAAAGAAACAATAGCCCAGCATTAGGGAAAACTAATGTAAACCAATGAAAACAGCAAGACTTGTGCTCTCTTCTACCTCTATGTCAACCAAATGTCTTTATTAACCTAAATATTCTAGTACACATATCAAACAAGATGTCATCCTGTTCTTAGGGATTTTTTTTTAATTGTCTCATTTCTCTATTCATGCCTGGTGAGAGGGTCCGTTGGCTTTCCAAAGATATCTGGAAATTCTGACTTTTCCCATCCCAGCATCACACTTAGAGGGTGACCAACTCTTCCCATTTGCCTAGGACTAAGGAGTTTCCTGAGATATAAAGTTTCAGTGCCAAAACTAGGAGTCCTTAAGAGTTACCCTGTGTTATAGTTCTGAGTCCTGGTTACTCTGGTTTCACACCCAACACCTACAGCATCTTTTTTTTCTCTGCCCCTCACCAATCTGGAACTCAGCCCCTTTTCTGTGGTGACACTTGCCGTCTTCCCTAAAGTGGACACTACTCTCTCAAGTCATTTGAGGAAGTAGCAGGTGTCTGAAGATCTGAGCAGTTAGGAGTTTTATAGCACAACAGCGCTCAGCACCCTCTGTCCCTCGGTTTCTAGGCTCCCTTTACTCTCTGGCTCCTTCTGAAACTCAACTCTTCTCAAGTTTACCTCTAGAACCTGTACTCCTAGTCTTCCTTTGGATAATCTGAAACATCTTAATGTATTTCACTAAATAAAGGATCAACTTCATGTTTTTCACTTTAGAGGCCAGAACTCTGGACAGCGACTTTGAAATGTCTACATTTTTTTCTCTGCCATCTCCTCTGATACTGAAAAATATTCTGTATCATATAAGAGAATAAAATCTATTCTGCATAATTTGAACTTTATGTGTACTTTTATTCTCATTCTTTGAAGATAGCAATTCATGCTTAGCATGTAATATAATATCTTCAATATGTATATTTCAATATAGAATGTTCAAAACACTCCTACATACATCACCTCATTTGATTCCTGCATTATCACTAACAGACAGGACAGGCGTATGATACCCAGTTAGAAGATTCAAAGCCTGAAGCTTGGATAATTGATGTAATTCACTAGAAAGCAACAGAGCTATGCCTTTGATCTAAGCCCAGGACTCTTGCCACCATTCCACAGCCTCATGTTAATTCTGCATTAACTAAAGTGTCCAATTAACCAAAAAATTGATTTCTGGGACATGCAGTGTATCAGAAAATTTCCCTAAGATGATGATAGAGCAGACCTGGGTGGGTGAGAAGAAATTCCTTTCATCCTATTAAGAACTACTGGTCTTGCAGGTGCAGCCAAGTGCTACCTGACAGAAGCCTTTACAGCTAAATCAGAGACTAATTAGGCCCTGAACTGCCAGTGATTATTCTCTTACCCTAGTAGAGTGTGAGAGGCTGTCTGGGGCAGACATTTTGTCCATTTCAAAGCCCTCTTGCTTTAGGGTACAGGTAGCTCCATCCACTACTGTGACTCTCCCAGTCTCCTTGGCTCTCCCTTCTGCCCTGCCTTCCACTTTCTGTGCAGTGTTGTATCTTGAGCAATGTCAGTTTAATTTAGCTTCCTGTAAATCCACCCTACATGATTTCTTTGCATGCTACTTTGCATCAATTGCCCTTTCTTGTTCAGCTTTAGCAGCCATTCACCTGCTTCCAATTCCTTCATGTAATGGACCTCTTAGTTTTATCCGACACAGACAAGATCCCATTTCACCTCTACTGCTCAGAAAAAACTATCCTACACTTTATCCTAACAGCTTCTGTCTTACCTTCTTTCTCCCAGACCTTGCTAGGAAAACAAGACAGTGCTGCTCTGGCACACTCCGCTCCTATCTGCATCTCTTTTTCAGGGCTTGAGGTCTGACCTAGTGGGGGCAATGACCAAACAGAGTCCTGGGGACAGATTCAATGGGATTCCTCAAAGTCAACAGTTACTATGAAGAGAGGTTGAACAGAAGCTAAGAGATAGCCAAGGATTTAAACCCAAATCATGCAACTGATTTATGGGTCTAAAACAGAGCTAAATCCAGCACTAGTGATATCCTTGGTTGCATAATTGTTGTTGTAGGGTAGGGGCCCAATTGTTGTAGGTACCAGTCCATGGCCTGCTAGGAACTTGGCCACACAGCAGGAGGTGAGCAGCGGGCAAGCCAGGGAAGCTTCATCTGTGTTTATAGCCACTTTCCATCACTCACATTAGTGCCTGAGCTCCGCCACCTGTCAGATCAGCAGGAGCATTAGACTCTCATAGGAGCACAAACCCTACTGTGAACTATGCATGCAAGGGATCTAGGTCATGTGCTCTATGAGAATCTAATGGTTGATGATCTGTCACTGTCTTCCATCACCCCCAGATGGGATCATCTAGTTGCAGGAAAACAAGCTCAGGGCTCCCACTGATTCTACCTATGGTGAATTGTATGATCTTTTCATTATATATTACAATGTAATAAAAGTACACAATAAATGTAATGTGCTTGAATCATCCCAAAACCGTCTCCCCCACCCCCACCTCCAAACCGGTCCATGGAAAAACTGTCTTTTACAAAACCGGTCCCTGGTACCAAAAAGGTTGGGGACTGCTGTTGTAGGGGACCGTCCTGTGGACAGGAGGATGTTTAGTTCCAACTCTGCCCTCTACTTACTAGAAACCAAGAGCATCCTCTCCAAGTTGTGACAAACAAAAATGTCTCCAGACATTGCCAAATATTCCCTGGGTGGGGAGAGGAAATGTCACCTTCCCCCACTGAGAACTACTGACCCAAGATGTAAGCACAGGGTCTCTCTTTTTCAGAGAGACAGTTACACTTTTTGGGCCAGGTAAATGAGAAAGAAGACAGTAAATTGCTAAATTGGATCAAAAAGCTGACAGCTGATAGCTTTTACCACCATTAAGAGTGATATGCCCCAAGCTCATGCTAACAGAGCTCCACGAGTCTATATGGTTTAAGAGAATAGAGGCTAATGTGACCTCATCATACTTGCCTCAGATTGTCTTCCCTATTAGTCTAAGATAAATCAATCTGCAGCATGTTAGGCAGCTGCTTAGCTCTGCAGCCCACATTCTCACGATGATCATGAACTCTCCCCTAAAGTTCTGGGCAAAGAAGCCTAATTTTCCCCCTCGTAGTTTATATGTCAGGACAGCAGCACAGATCTGTGTCCACTCTAGGTCAGTTCACTGTGTTACCTTTGTTATTAGCCAGATCTCTATCAAATGGGAATGATTTTGGCTGAAAAATAATTTTAAAAAAAACTCACTTCTGTTTAAACTAATTTAAGCAAATTAAGGATTTTTATTTAGTTTAAACAAATAAGACTTTTTCCCCTAAGAAGCCTGAAAGTAAACAACTGATAGCTCAATGATTGCATGGTCAATTTCTTGGTAATCTTCTTAGCCTTTCCCATGCAGTTCTAAATTGGATGCTTCACCTCCAGGTATTTGATCCACGTGTTCTCAGGAGGAAAAAAGTTGAGATGATGTCAGCTGTGTTCATCTCTTTACTGGGGGAACCATTCCCAGGAGAAAGGAAGGCTGAGTAATGAGCATTTAGCTTTTCTAGCCCCTACAGAGCAGGTGAACAAAACAGGAGTGTGTACTGGATTAGCCAAACAATAAAGTCTTACACAGCCTCCACATTTAAAATTTCCCAAATTATCACCCTATTTCTCCCTTATCTAGAGGAGAAAAGGCTACCAAAATGAAGCATCTTAGCAGAATGGTAAAACTACTCATCTACTAAGCCTGTGCTGATTATGAAGTTCTCCCAGAAAATTCAGGGAAAGTAGAAAATATCTCCAACAGTCAGACCCCAAAGTGTATCTATGAATAAAATTACTTACCCTAACAAGGAAAGGAAGGAACAAGGAAGGCAAAGGTCAAGAAAAACATTGCTGTAAGGTCAGTCCCATTAGTAAGAAGGTAGGGCACACAGTCAGGATGCCTCTTACCCTCAGCCCCCGTACATGGGGCAGGATGACCAACATCAAGATCATTTCCTTGAAAGGTATCAATGACAAAGCCAAAAGAGTGGCTGAAACCAGGAGCCAAGCAAGGTGTGGAAAAAGAACTGGGAATTAGAATCAAAATAAGGGAAGACAGAGCCATGAGAAAGCCATGAGCAAGAAGCAGTGGAATGGGAGATTGGGAGGGGGCCTACAGGAGGTTTGGAAATAGAATCTACAAATGCCAGAGCAGGTTTTTCAAGCATTGATAAGGGAACCATGCTTATTAAATGGGACAGAAAGGAGAAGACACCTGCACTCCAGAAGTCACCACATAATTTACCTACTCAGCACATACTCTTGCCTTTAACCTGCTTGGAAAGAACATGGCTGGAATCAAGGTCAAAATGTGCTAGGAGCCAGCAATACCAGCTGTTGTTGAGAGGACATCAGTGAGGTAAGGAGCTTACCAGGCTATAGAAGCTGGTTCTTCTTCAGAGAGGACCCATCAATTCAAGATATCATGTCCAAAGGGTATAGTTAGCTCAAGCCTGGTCTGGGTGAGTATCAACGCTGACAAGTCCAATCTGACAGAAGAGCACAATAGCAAAACTCAAGAGTGGAGATTACATGAAGCCAAGGGAAGGGTTTGCATTATTCAAGTGATCAACTTATTCATTATTGGACCCTAGCTAGTGGCTGGGGGAATGAGGAGCATGATTCAATCCACCATCAAGGTCGTAGCTACTGGAATACCACTCCTGACCACCTCTCTGGGGAACCCAATGAGGGAGGACATCAGCCAAGAAGAAATCATCGGAGATTGGTTTCCAAAGGGTCATGCATAGTGAGGGCAGTTCAGATTGAGACAGGTTACAAGCCAAAGTCCATTAGAGAGAATCATGAATCCAATGCCAAAGAGACCAATGCAAATATAGAAGTCAAAGGCCCAGAGGAATAACGTTGTGGGGGCAGTGCCAAGGGTTCAGAGTTCGGCAGGGACAGCACCAAAGCAGGAACAAGCAGGGAAAGTGCAAGCCAATTGCAATAAACAGCCCTGAAGAAACCATGGCTCACCTTCATTAACTGGTAGACATGTGAGACTGTCCTAAAGGTCAGAAGAGGCCTACAACAGCCAAATTTAAGTGTGTTCCTGGAGAGCCAGGCAGTCAATAAGCCAGAGTCTAGTCTGGGGCTAACAGAGTAGGCAATGCTGTGACTCAGAAGCATTCCAGGTGTATCACTGAACTTCAACGTAGAAAATGTAAAATTCCAAGAACTACCAAGTGATGGTGCGGTGGTCATTAATACATTCCTAGCCTTTGCCCTAACTGACAGGAGAGAGGGTAAACTTGGGCTCCAGGATTGGTCCATGACCCCAGCGATGAACTGAGTTCACAAATTTAAAAAATAACTCGAAGCAGGTTTTGCCTCAATTTTAAAGGCTTCAAAGCATATCCTGGCTGCTGTGGCTGATACAACATTTTTTAAGTAAACTTGGTTTTCAAGTACAACACATACACAGAAAAGTGCACTAATCAAAAGCGTACAGCCAGATGAAATCTTGCAACATGAACATACTGTGTAATCAGCACACAGATCAAGAAACAGAAGACCTGCTCCCCAGAAGCTCCCATCACATGCTCTTCCAGTTTCTACCTTCCTCTTTGACATTTTTAAACTTTTTATTTTGAAATAATTTTAGATTCATGGAAGAGTTGCAAAGATAGTACAGAGAGATCGCATATCACCCCATTTCCCCTAATGTTAAGCTTGACTTGATTCTATATTCACTTTTCTTGGCCCTCTGCTAGCCCCTGACCCCTGTCGTGGCTTTCAGCCCTGCATTTTCTATTGACCTGTGCCTACAGCTGGAGATAAGAAATGGGCATGCTTGCATTCAAAGCTTCAGATCCCAAGAAACTCACTGAGAAATGGCTGCTCCTGAGCAAGAATTCTGCAAAGAATCTGATTTGCCACTTTGAAAAATTTTGTTTCTTAACACGTCAGAGCCAATATACCACACACACAGGGCCAGAGGGATAGGGACAGGGCATCTTGATGTCCCCCACTATCCAAAAGAACAATTAGTCACTGCAAAAAATAATAATAATAATAATAATAGTAACAGGTCATCATCTTTTTAAATATGCCTGAGGAGATTTTACAAGATCTTCTAAACATTCTTAAAATTTTTTTTCCACCTAAATCTTCCAAAGTCATTTTTTTCTCATTCTGTTCTCATGATTCATAGTAATGTAATGAGGTTGGATTCTAAGTTTTATCATTAATTAAACATATAAGAATAACCAAGTCTTAGTAGCAGAGTTGTCAGGCCACCTCTAATTACCAGAGTCCTGCTAACATACTAATTGCACACTCACGACTCTTCATCAATGTACAAGGCTGTAGTGGGGCTAGTTCCAAACTCTCTTGGGTATCCTGCTAGCACAGGATATAGATTATCACTGACAATTTGACAACAGAAATATGGTAACAAAGACAATGAAAAAACAAATTTGAACATACTAAAAGTTGTGACCTGAATAAATTGCCAGCAATCACTCCCTCCAATTCCAGGTAGTTCAAAGTTTATCACCTGATCACCCCAAAGCCAATATGAAACCAGTCATCCAATTGGACTCCCAAACCAATGCAAGAAAAAGAGGAAAACACAAAATTAGTTTAATTAACATACCCGATAAAACTACATATTGTTAGTATTGCCAACAGCTGCATTTAACAGGGACCTGACATTAATGTTTCAGTCCAAGAGTCTATTGCTTTCGTGTAACAAGCAGTCCACAGGGAATTGACTAGGGTTGGTACAGCTTCTAAAGAAAGCCAGTAAGGATGCAAGCCCATTCCAGCTTATGGCTCCACTGCACTTGGTGTTTCTTTCCTTATGCTCACAACTTAGCTGCACTTAATGCTTATATTTTTTTAATTAAAAAATACAATTTGTTATTTTTAAAATGTAAATGATACAAAGAAATTAAAAAACAAGGCTTAAAAATTATTCCAAACCCAATTAACCAGAAATAACTAATGTTATTTGGTGACTATCATTTATGATAATTCCCATTTCCCATACAGGTAAAAGTATGGATGGATAGGCAGAGAGAAAGACAGCTAAGGAGATAATAGGTAAATAGATAAATAAGAACAAGGCTATGCTATATATACTATCTTTAGTTAAAATAATTAAACTTTTTTAAAAAGGTATACAGAGAGTGCTCTGTCATCTGAGTTTTCACAGGCTTTGAAACATGTATATATGTTGCCTTGTGTCTATGGCCTTTATATCTGAAAAACATCATGGCCGAGTATAAATTCCTGGATCAACCATCTTTTCCAGAGACTCCATAGATACTTCTCCACTGTCTTCTAGCATTACATGTGGCTGTAGAGAAGTCTAAACCTCAGGGCTCTAATCAAATGATGATTCCAAATGATTAGAGCCTCAAATTGTTTGTTCCTCATCTACCAAACTTTTCTCGTACCATGTCTAATCCATCAGTGGACACTTCTTACTCTCTTCCAAAACATACCCCAAGTCCTCACACTCCCCTCCATCTCTACTACTTTATCCCTCTGTTCCAAGTACTATCATACTTGTCTAGGGAAACGCAACAGTTTAACTGCTCTTCCTGCTTCCACCGCTGCATCTCTTCATTCCACCCTCCACACCCTCAAGATTAGCCACCATAATCTTCCTGACAGTCAGATCATGTCAGTTATTTTGCTGCTTAAAACCTTCCAGGGCTGTTATTATTTATAATAACCAAAATCTGGAAACAAACCCTTGTGGCCATCAACGGGTGGGTGAATAAGCAAAACATGGGCTATCCATGCCATGAACTGCTACGCAGCATTAAAAGACAGAAGAACGAAACAAAGCATGGGCCACAACATGGACGAGTCTCAAAACCTCATGAAAGGAGTCAAATGCAAAACACTACATATTATATGATTCCTTTATAGGAAGTAATCAAAGACAGAGTAGATGAACAGTTGCCAAGAGCTGAGGGTGGGAATAAGGAATGACTGCAAAGGAGCAGGAGGAATTTGGGGGAGGAGGATGAAAATGATCTAAAACTGAACTGTAGTGATTGTTACATACTTCTGCAAATTTACTAAAAATCATTTAATTGTATACTTGAATAGGTGAATTTTATGATTTTTTTTTTTTTTTTTTTTTGAGATGGAGTCTTGCTCTGTCACCCAGGCTGGAGTACAATGATGCAATCTTGGCTCACTGCAACCTCTGCTTCCCAGATTGAAGCAATTCTCCTGCCTCAGTCTCCCAAGTAGCTGGGATTACAGGTGCTCACCACCACACCTGGCTAATTTTTTTTTTGTTTTTGTATTTTTAGAAGAGACTCGGTTTTGCCATGTTGGCCATCTTGTCTCAAACTCCTGACCTCAGATGATCCGCCTGCCTTGGCCTCCCAAAGTGCTGGGATTATACCTCACTTTTTAAACAGGGGGCCTCCAAGAGTATCCATAATACTTTGAATACTCTTCCTCCCCTGACTTACAAAGCCCTATTGTGACATGCCCCTTACTCACATTTCTGTTCTTATTATCTTCCACTTCTCCATTCAGCATAAGCATCCTCTGTGCACACTATGCTTGATCCCATCTTAGGGCCTTTGTACTCCCCGACTTCCAAATAGCTGACTCCTCCTTGACATTCAGATATTGGCTTAAACACCAGCTTCTTAGAGTAGCCTTCCCTGAAAGACATAATCTAAAATAGCCATTTATTAACTACATCACTCTGTTTTGATTCTCTGTATTGCCTTATTTCTACCTTATATTTTTCTTGTGGCTTATTACATGTCATCATTCACCAGAATGTCCAAGTGAATTGGCACCTTTTTGACAGGGTATCACTAGTCCCGTCATATCTTCCTATACATAATAATATCAGAGGATATTAATTGAATGACTGAACAATTGAAATAATCAGAAAGTCATACAGAAAAAAAAATGCTTTTCCAAGGAAGAAACAGGAGTTTCCTGTGCTTGCTATGAGTTAAAAAGATGATACCACAAACATTAGATGACTTCTCTTTGACCTGGACAGTAGTAGCAACAAGACCATTTGCTCCTCATACCAAAAGAAATAGACTCCCATGAAACCTCCTAAAAACAAGAGGAACCTTTGAAATTAACTGTGTGTTATTTGAAAGAATGGTTGGTTGTTCTGCTCAAGGCACGTTGAGTGTCAAGGAACAAACCCATTTTAAATAGCTCCAGTAAAGGGGAGTTTGTTCTAAACATATGAACAACAGTCAAATAGAAATCTAAGGATTCATTGAGATAGGAACCATGACTATTTTCTACCTATCAGAAGCTAGGAGATATTTTCCTAGATATTCTACCTATCAGAAGCTAGAAGATAGATACCTATCAGAAGCTACATGTGTCCATTGTAACTTTTCTTGGCTACCAGCAATTTAGTTCTTGATAGTTTTTTTAATTTCCTTCACCAAGACCTTGACCCTGAACAAATGTGACAAGGGGGAGGTAAGTTTATTTGCATAAGAGTTAAAGGAACTGGTCTGAGTACCAGTGGAGTGCTTAAGTGGAGCGCCCTGAAGGAAGGAGAACATAAGGCTATGAACAATTAGAGTGGAAAGAATGTAGAAAGGGAGAAAGGAATCTAGGGAAGGTACAGCAAAGCTGATGTGGGCAATTCTAGGCTATTGGTTGGGGATTAACAGGTCTAGAGGGGGAAAGACCTATTTATTTACTTCAGTATAACCAACATAGAATACTATTATTTCAATATGTAGTCTATATATTAAGTAGCTATTTCATATTTTTCATGCAGAATCTTTGAAGTCCATTGTATATTTTATATGTATATCTCATATTTCAAGTGCTCAATAGCTTTATGTATCTAGTGGCTACCACATAGATCTATACGGGTGCTTCCATACAGACAGGCACTGTATTAGGCAGCAGGGTACTAAGTTGAAAACTGTACAGTTTCTGACCTCAAGTTGCACACAGCCGAGACTGTCAGAATCTTGAACCTAAATTGTGCCTACCACTGGGATTCGGATAAGCCCAGACAAGTTAAGTGAACTGGCCGGAAAGACCCACCTGAAGGCTTTTTAAATTAGAATCCAAAAAAACCTCCTGAGAAAGAATTCTTCCTACAGAAATAGAGCCAGGAAGAAAAGTCAGTACTGGGAATGGATCCTTAAATTATTGCAAAAGAGAGACAATTTGAGAGTCAGTATGATCTGTTTGCAAATACAACTCAAGTTCCAGGACCCTCCCTGCCCAAATCATGTCATTTTTTTTTTTAACGGTGAATATGTCTTTCTTTTATGGTAAAAATAATCATAAGATTTTCTCAAAGAAAGTGATTAGCTGGGCGTGGTGGCACATGCCTGTAGCCCCAGCTACTTGGGAGGCTGAGGCAGGAGAATCACTTGAACCCGGTAGGCGGAGGTTGCAGTGAGCCGAGATTGCATCCCTGCACTCTAGCCTGGTGACAGAGCAAGACTCCATCTCCAAAAAAAAAAAAAAAAAAAAAAAAGAGGGGTTTGTGGTGGTGGTGGTTGTGGGCTATAAGAGTGACGGAGGGACTTCTTGCAAAGTTTGTCTTGGGACCCAGAGCCTCTTCTCTTGTCGGCTGTCACTGTCTTGTGTTCTTTGGAGACATCATATCCAGGCTTGGAAACAGATGTTTTCATTCCACTCCATGAGTTCCACTCCCTGAGTGACATCCTGCACACTGATAACAGCAGATGGCCATTCCCATCGTGGTGGCAGCATTGCCGTCTGTCTGTCTCCTGTAGCAATTTGTGAGCCTCAGAAGCTGGTGTTTTCAGTGCATTTGTGCTTGGTTTATGGCAAATCCCAACCCACACAAAGCAAAACACCAGGATGCAACATCAAGGACACAAGCCCCAGCAGAACGGCTCGCTCAATAATCACATATACGTCACCTCCATGGGAGCCTCGTGTGGCAGCTACAAGTGAGAAAGGAAATGGCACCCTTTCCATAGGGAGTTATATGAGGAGGCAGGTTATGGGTACAGAACCAAGAAGCCGTGTTATAGGCTCCTGGGTAAGTCTAGAAATCTAGAATAGACAAGTGACACTAATTCAGAAAAGGAGATAGTGATCCAGGGGTCCAAAATCAGGAGAATGTTTACAGCAGAAGTCAACAAACTTTCTGTAAAAGGCCAAATAGTCAGTATTTTAGGCTTTGTGGGCTATAAGATCCTTGTTGTGACTGCACAATTCTGCTGCTGTGACATGAAAGCAGCCACACGCAAGTCATAAGTGAATGAGCATGCCGTGCCCCAATAAAGCTCTATTTAGAGACACTGGAATTCAAATTTCATGTAACTCTCGCGAAAGATTCGTCTTGATGTTTTCTTCAACTATTTAAAAACGTAGGTCAGGCATGGTGCCTCACTCCCCTAATTTCAGCACTTTGGGAGGCCAAGGCAAGAGGATCACTTGAGGCCAGGAGTTTGAGACCAGCCCGGGCAACATAGCAAGACTCCATACCTACAAAAAAATAAAATAAAATAAAATAAAATTTAAAAAGACCAAAACCAAAACCAAAACCAAAGCCAAAACTAGCCAGGCATAATGGTGCATGCCTGTAGTCTTAATCTGGGAGGCTGAGGGTGGGAGAATTGGTTAAGCCTAGGAGTTTGAAGCCGCAGTGAGCTATGATCACACCACTGCACTCCCAGCCTGGGCAACAGAATGAGACCCTGTCTCTGAAAATTGAAAAATAAAAATGTAAAACCCATTCTTAGCTGGTGGGCCACGCAAAAACAGGCAGAGGGCCAGATTTGGCACAGGAGTATATTTGCCTACTTCTGGTCTATAACAGCACCATCCAATAGAAATATGATGTGAGCCACGTATGTAACTTAAAATTTTCTGATAGCCACTTTAAAAAGCATAAAGAAACAGGTGATTGAGGAATCATCCTAAACTCTCTAAGTATCAGGCTCATAGTAACTCTAAAAAGAAGGCTAAGAAAAGTTACTCATAGCATTCCTGTGATGACTAAATGACCCAAATCACCTGAAGTATCTAGAACAGCGCTGAGTACACAGTAAGTCCTCAATAAACTTAGCTTCATTGTTACCCTCTCAAAAAGAGAAGCATTAAAGTAAAATTTTATTTAATTCCATATCATCAAAATAGAATATTATGTTAATATGTCATCAATATATTAGCTTTTTTATGTTTTTCATACTGAATCTTTGAAATCCATTGTATATTTTATACTTATCTCTCATATTTCAAGTGCTCAGTAGCCCCATGTATCTAGTAGCTACCACGTAGATTTAGAGCACAGGTCTCCGGCAAAAAATGAATCCCCTATCAAAGGTCAGAGTCAAGCAAATAGAGCAGATCCTGGACGAGGTAGACAATATCACACAGAAAAGGTAAAGTCCAAGGTCAAGGAGGTAGGTAAGTTACAGGCACCTGGGCAAGCACCAAAGCTGACCATGGCCCAGGATTCAGAAGAACATCTGGGCAGCAGAGACCTTCTGGGCCAAGCACCACAGGAAACACTTCACATTGATTCTCTCATTTAATCTTCACATGGCCTTGTGATATTCTTACCCTCACATTAGGAGTAAGATGCTAAAGAAAATGATTTGTTCAAAATCATGTAGGTGGTAGGTAAGTGGAGTAGGATTTGAACCCATGTCTGTCTGACTCCAACTCCCACTCAGCTTCTTAATTACACTGCTTCATGCATAGCCAAGGCAATGAGGGTGCATAAAAGCTCAGAATCCAGGGAAAGACACTGAGCAATGATGTCTCTTGCCTCCATCCACTCCTCTCCATCCTAACTGCCCAGGCTCCAGCTCATTCTGTCTTCACCTCTTACCTGAGCTAGTGCAGCAGCATCAACCCTGGTCTCAAGTATCTCCAGCTTCAATTTTTCCACCATTCATCTGACAAAATAATTTTCATCAAGCCCAATTCTGGATATATCCCTTTCTGGCCCAAGACCTTCTACTGGCTTCTCTTGGTTGCAGGATACAAAGCCAAGTTCAGGAAACATAGATCCTAAGCTCCCTGTCTTACTCTCATTAGCTCTCTGACTTCTAGGCACGGCATTCCAGACTCTCTGTGCCTCAACCTATCACACTGCCTTCATACTCCTTGACTTCTCCTATATTTCAAGAAGGTGTGCTAGAATCTAGTCAACCAGCCATTGACCCCCTGACACCAACTTTTTCCCAAACACAGCCTACAATGTTTACATCTGTGCCTGGGGGTCACATTGTTCCTTCAACTTTAAAAGACCTTTCTTTCTTGTCCTCTCCACTCTGCTTGCATAGACCCTACTTGTCTCAATCACATCGCTTCATGAGCCCTTGGATCCCTGATCCCTCTTCTGGACTCTCCCAACATGGTGTCTGTGCCACTTGTATAGCTCTTACTACTTCCTACCTTATTTCTCAGATATATGATGTGTCTCTCCCTTTCTACAATGTGAACTACTCATGGAAAGGTTTGGTATCTATCTCCCATAGCATATGCAACAGTGTTTCACATTAACAGACCAGGTACTTGGTATGCTTGTTTAATTAAAAAGATAAACCAATGTTGGTTGAGTTGAATTGATCATGATGCTTAAAGTGTTTTTTATCCAATTTCTTCCTTAAGCACACTCAAGAAATTTTAGGCTGGATGTGGTGGCTCATGCCTGTAGTCTCAGCACTTTGGGAGGCCAAGATGGGCAGATCACTTGCAGTCAGGAGTTCAAGACCAGCCTGACCAACATGGTGAAATCCCGTTTCCACTAAAAATACAAAAATTAGCCAGGCCTGGTGGAGGTGGGTGCCTGCAGTCCCAGCTACTCAGGAGGCTGAGGCAGGAGAATCACTTGAATCTGGGAAGCAGAGGTTGCAGTGAGCCAAGATCATGCCACTGCACTCCGGCCTGGGTGACAGTGAGACTCCGTCTCAAAAGAAAAAAAAAAAATTTTTAATTGAAACAACGCACTACGTTAACCTAAAGGTATAAAATTAAGTAACATTCAGCAGGATTTCAGTATGCCACAATTCACTAGAAAAGGGAGCCATGCAGCTGATGTTTTTGTTTGCTTTGGCTGTTAGAAAACTCAATTGAAAACCTAGTGTTCAAGGACAAGAATATACTTAACCTGGGCTTTCATTGTCCCTCTAACCCCCTTCCTCCCTTTAGTGATTCAGTGTTTGTCTAGGCCAACTTTAAGTATTGTTTATTAAAAGCTGCCTGAAATACTTTTGAAAGTATGTGTGAAAGGGAGTGAATACAAGTCCTAAACCAATGCTATTGGTAGGATTAAGCTCCTGAGCTTAATCATGAGGCATAAGCAGAAGGAATTCTGGGCCCTTAGCCCCCTGGGAGCAGAAGTAAGGGGAAGAGCCAGGATCAAAGGGACGAAAACTAAGAGAAATGACTCAGCATCAGAACTAGTCCCTAAATGGGAAACCAGCAGTCCAAAACCCATCATCCAGCAGGATGTGGTGGTCTCAGGTTTGACTGGGCTGGAGCTGCAATGCAAAGGACCCCAACTTAGAGTATGGGACGTGGTTGCAGGAGGAACAAGGCAGCAGCCATATGCAGAGCCAAGCAACGAGTCTCATCTGATGGCTACGAATGATTGAAAATCCAACTTCCAGAAGGAAGGTTGGCAAGACCCAGAAGGGGATCAGGGTCTCCATTAAAGAACACGGATTCACAACCAGACTCCAGCCCCAGTGTGTGACAACAGAAATGGACAGGGATCCCAAGCAGAAACAGCTATGAAGAATGAGCAGTAACACTGAGACTAGGGAAAAGTTGTCCCTTTCAGTGCCATGAATCCCTAGTCCCTCAGGAAATCCTAGTGGTCAGTGGGCTCAGAGCCATACATAAGTCAATAGTCTTAAATGGATGACACTTATCTATTAGCCTAAAGATTGAAGGCCTTGCCCCCTACAGGAAAATGTAATAAGACATATAAGATGACAATTTTCTGTTTTGAGCAAGGGCCTGAGAGAATGCACAGTATGATGGGTTAGCTTTGATAGGGTTTAATGGACAGAAAAACTCCAGACAAGAGGCCAAGGGCCAGAGAAGGTATCTGTATAGGCAGAAAACAACAGACTAGAGAACACCTATCAACAAGGAGGCAGAGGCCTCCCAAGAGGGCAGCCTCGCCATTTGGTCAAGAGTCTACTCTGTTAACGATAAGGAAACCACATAAGATGGAAAAAGGAACAACACTTCCTCCCCGCCCACTATGATGGATACACTTTCTAACTTCACAGCAGACACTGTTGTCCCCTTTTACAAGGGAGGAAATGGAATCTCAGAGTGCTTATGTGCCTAAGTCATCTAGCTATGACAAGTCAAAATTCAAATCCAAGCCTCTGACTCTTGAGCTGGTGCTCTTACCACACACTGGGCTGTCATCCAATAAGAGTCGACCCAGCAATCCCATTACTGGGTATATACCCAGAGAAATGTAAATAATTCTACCATAAAGACACACGAACACGAATGTTCATTGCAGCACTAGTCACAATAGCAAAGACATGGAATCAACCTAAATGACCATCAATGCCAGATTGGATAAAGAAAATGTGGTACAGCTACACCACGAAATACTACGCAGCCATAAAAAAGAATGAAATCAAGTCTTTTTCAGGAACATGAATGGAGCTGGAGGCTATTATCCTTAGCAAACTAACACAGGAACAGAAAACCAAACAGTGCATGCTCTCACTTATAAGTGGGAGCTAAATAAGAACTTATGAACACAAAGAAGGAAACAGACACTGGGGTCTACTGAGGGTTAATGGTAGAAGGAGGGAGAGGAACAGAGAAGATAACTATTGAATACTGGGCTTAATATCTGGGTGAAGAAATAATCAAACCCTTGTGATACATGTTTACCTATGTAACAAACCTTCACATGCACCCCTGAACTTAAAAGTTTTTTTGGCTGGGCGTGATGGCTCACGCCTGTAATCCCAGCACTTTGGGAGGCCCAGGCGGGTGGATCACTAGGTCAGGAGTTGAGACCAGCCTGACCAATATGGTGAAACTCCATCTCTACTAAAAATACAAAAATCAGCTGGGCGTGGTGGCGGACGCCTGTAATCCCAGCTACTACTGAGAGGCTGAAGCAGGAGAATCGCTTGAACCCGGGAGGCAGAGGTTGCAGTGAGCAGAGATTGCACCACTGCACTCCAGCCTGGGTGACAGAGCAAGACTCTGTCTCAAAAAAGCAAAAAATAAAATAAAATAGAACAAAAAAAGATACAAAGTAAGTGAAACTTCTGGAGCTCACTAAATACTCCCTTGGCACTGGGTTGGGGTGTAAAGTCTCCCCAGTGAGGTCAGTACTCTCCTGCCCTGGGGCTGCAGGCACGGGTGGCTTCAGAAGGGAAAACACACATCCACAAGGTGAGCTGTACTCACACCATGGAGAAAGAAATTCCAGTCCCCAAAGGTGCCTGCTGCTGCTTCAGTTCATGGAACAGATTATGTCTGCCAGCTCCTTGGGGAAAGGGCTCTGCTGCAAAGCTGAAAGGTCAAGAGCACTGTTCCTCACCACCTGATGGTTGGGCCAGGCCGGCAGCAAGGGCTCCAATCTGGACAGTTACACCTGCTAAGAGCACAGAATGCCTCGGGGCTGCCCTGCCCGGCTTGACATTTCCTCTTTAATTGCCAATCCTTGCTTTTTACCTCTTTGAGAAGCTGACTCATCTTTTCAAGCCATAGAGCTGTCGTGTGGGGGTCCTCTGAATTCTAATATGCCAAGAGTTTTCTCAAGCCATATTTAATGGGAGAAAGCTCATGCCTAAATCCATCGTGTTTAACAAGCATTTTTGATGCTTTCTATGCACAAGCAATTTTGCAGGCATTGTGGTAGACCCATGGTTTCCCAACCAAGGGGAAGGCAGAAACATATCACTAACTTAAGTTAGTGATGCAAACCTACATAAGAAATCTATAGAAGCTATGATTAAGAGGGGGAAAAAAAGTCATTCAGTGGGGCCTTAAGTCCTCACCTTGTACAGTCTCTAGGATGCTTTCATCTAGTAGGTTTCAGGAAAATAGCATCCCCTCCTGGCAACTGACATTTTCTGCCTTGTGCCAGGGGTGTCCCCTCTGTGTTCTGCTGAACGGTATTTTAATCAACTGCTGTTGATGGTACTTACACCAGGAAATCCCTTGACTCCCCAGGTTGTTGACCCTGGATGCCTGTGCTCCCTTGGAGATGGAGGAGGGAGGATTAAGGATTAGGGCTACTTTACTATATTCCCAAGAAGGGGCCTTTGTAGTGAAAGAGTGCCTGTTCTTCACTAACAATTTCAAGACACGTTCCCCTCTGAAACTGGTTTAGAGAACATTTCAGTGTCACTATGACATAACCAAAGTCTCTTTCCTTGGTAATAATCAATTTGTGTCTCAAAACAGAAGGAAACTCAACGTCAAGGGAAAATTCTAACCTATGCCAAGAACTTCCCCGCAGAGGTGGGTAATAGGGTTTATCCTCCTTTCTTAGCTGGGGATACTTTTTTTTTTTTATTTTTTTGAGAGAGTCTCGCTCTGTCGCCCAGGCTGGAATGCAGTGGTGTCATCTCGGTGCACTGCAACTTCTACCTCCAGGGTTCAAGCAATTCTTTTGCCTCAGCCTCCTGAGTAGCTGGGATTACAGGTGTCCGCTACCACACCTGGCTAATTTTTGTATTTTTGGTAAAGATGGGGTTTCACCATGTTGGCCAGGCTGGTCTCAAACTCCTGACCTCAAGTGATCCATCTGCCTTGGCCTCTCAAAGTGCTGGGATTAGAGGTGTGAGCCACTGCACCCAGCCGAGAGACTTAATTTTGGTTTCCCAAAATTTAACCATCAGTTTCAAAATACTCTCCCTCTAATATCCCAAGAGGTCCATGAAATTCCCAGGTAAATAGTATTCCTGGCAACACATACCACTGAGCCAAATTTCCCACTCCAGCAAATGGATTCAGCTTGTCTCTCAAAACCACATGGCACTCATACAGTATACACACATATATATACTTGTAGTTAATTACGTAAAGAAAAACCTAGAAGCATTAAGTCACAAAAGTAGCAACAGGCAATTTCTGAGCCCAAGCTAGGAATGTGACAATGTTCAAGTCAGAGGCCAGGAGGACTGACGGCAAGTTATATGATGTGTTGTCACAAGTGGTTCAGAACTAATGCTGTGAATGGTGAGAAAGTGCTAGAAGTTCACTTTCATATGCTCTGTGTAACCTGGGACAAACCCAACCACCTAAAGGGCCAGTCAGGGGTCAGATAGGGTGGCCAGGGTCAGCTGGTCCACAAGTGAGTTTGAACATGATAGTTAAAGGTTCCTAGTTCCACACTGAACTCGGTCGAGAGCAATTCCTTCTCTTGCCTTTGCCTATGCAGAGGTTTCAGAACTGCCCTGAAAGAGGGAAAACTTGGAAGGGAGTTGGGGTAGGGGCACTTGGGATGAATTGGCTGCCCCTGGAGTTTGCCTTGATTGACGCTAATTGAATTCTAATTGAAACCATCCATCCAGGCCCCAAGTGCCCCTGCAGGAAACTTCAATATCCGGAAGCCACACCCCAGGGAGTTTGCTAGCTTCTCTCCTCTTGCACAATTCCACCAAGTACATTATTTGTCTATTAAACCTTAATACACCTTTGGAGACTCCACAGATTGCCCTGCTAAAGGCAAAAAGAGCACAGCCTCTATTTTGGGCTGCCCTACAAAGCTGGGTTTTGACCTGGTAAGACTATAACAGTTCATTTAGCATCATTGCTGTGCACCATACTAATTAGAACTTGGGGACTCTTAAAATCACTGGATTATGCAGTGTTTCCTCCCAGGTCTTTCTGTGTTGTGGTCCAAATCCTTATGAAATTTGTATTCAATGAATAAAAAGCAGGGAGGAAAGACTTGGGGAGTGAAGGGGAGTAGCTAGAGGGGAATCAGAATTTTATATTGCTTCACTGGGTAAACAAGCTCTTCAGCCTTTTGTTCATTCATTCCACAAACATTTACCAAGCCCCTACTATGTGCAAAGTATTAATTATTCCAGAACCTGGAGATACAGTATCTCAAAAGTACATATTTTAGTGAAGGAGGCCAAACAGGTGGAAATGAATACATGAAATACTTCCAGGTGCAAAGTTCAATCAAGAAAACAAGATGGGGCAATCAGATTAAGAGTAGATGGAGAAAGAGGGGTTAAGTATTAGTCCCTTCCTGCATTGCTATAAAGAACTACCTGAGACTGGGTAATTTATAACGAAAAGACATTTAATTGACTCACAGTTCTGTAGGTTGTACAGGAAGCATGGTTAAAGAGGCCTCAGGAAACTTACCAATCATGGCAGAAGGCAAAGGGGAGCAGGCACATCTTACATAGCCAGAGATAAAGGAGGAGAGAGCACAGCAGGGAGGTGCTACACACTTTTAAAAGACCAGATCTCGTGAGAACTCACTATCACAAGAACAGCAAGGGGAAAGTCAGACCCCATGACCCTATCACCTCCCACCCAGGCCCCTCCTCCAACACTGGGGATGACAATTCGACTTGAGATTTGAGCAAGGACACAAACCCAAACCATATCAAGGTGGTTAGCCAGGGTTGATGGGAAAGCCATCTCTATGGAGATGACATTTGAATTAAGAGCTGAACAATGAGAAACAGTTTGTGAGAAGCTCTGAGGAAAGAGTATTCCAGAGGAGGCATAGCGAGTATAAATAAACAAAGGAAGGGAAGAACTTGGCATGTTTGAGGGTCAGAAAGAAGGCCAGAGACAGATAAGACTAGAGAGGTAACCAGGGACTTATAGGGCCTTGCAGGTCATGGAACAAGATTTGTGAGGGTTGGGGGGCGTTTTCCTAAATGAAATGGAAACCATTCCTTAAGCAGTAAAGTGTCCTGATCTGATTTCTACTTTAGGAAGATCATTCTGGCTGCTCTATGGAAGATAGACTGGGAGATGGGGGAGTGGAGGCAGAAACAGAGCCAGAGAGATCAATTAGGAAGCTGTCGCAAGCGTCAAGCAAGAAATAATGCCTTGTACTGGATAGGAGCAGTAACAGAAAAATTTGGAAACAAAGTCCATAGGCTGTATTAACAGATTGCGTTTAGGAGTGTGTAGAAAGAGGAAATAAAAAAGTTCAGGCTTTGGCCCCGAGGGATGAGGTGGATGGGGGTACTCTTTGCAAAGATGGAGAGAGTGGAGTGAGGGCTGGAGCTGGAAGAAAATCAAATGCTGCATTTGGCCACATTTTGTTTGACATAACAATGGAACATCCAAGTGAAGATGGGAGGAAGTGGCTCTTGGATAGCGAAGGCTGGTGCCTGGGGAGAGGTGTGTGATGAGGCCTCAGCATGTGGAGGATGAGGCGTGGTCAGGTCACTAGAGACCAAGTGTAAATGAAGAGGAAGGCCACTGAGATCAGAGTCCCAGGCCTGGAGAGCCTGGTTGGGGCAGGGGAGCCAGCTGAGGGGTCTGGGAGGGAAAAAGAGAAGGGAGAGGAAAACCAGGAGAGGGGTCTCCCAGAGGCCTAGAGAGAGGTTAGCCCTGTCAAATGCTGCTGAGAGCGCCAATCAAGCAGTTTCTGGGATTGACCACTGGTTTTAGCCGAATGTGGTCACAGATGACCTTTATTAAGAGGAGTTTCCTTGAACAGGTGGGAGTGACCACCCAACAGAGGAGCCATTAGAAGAAAATGGGAGGTGAGGAACTGGGGAGAGTGAGTGTAGACAATCTTGTTTTCTTACGAAGAGAAGCAGAGGAATTAGGTAATAGCTGGAGGGAGATACAGGGGTCAAGAGAGGATGCGGATCTTGTTTTGTTTTAAAGATGAATGACAATGGTCTGTGTGCAGTGGATGCAAGCCCACAGAGAAAAATCAGTTATTAGAGAAAAGGAGATAATCACTGGAGCAGAGTCCTGGAGGAAGCAAGAGAGGGATAGGATACAGGAACCAAGAAGACTTATCAGTCTAAGTCAACACTGCCCCAAATGACAAGGTCATTCCTAAGGCTTAATATGTGGAGAAGGGTTACAGACAATAAACAAAGATGCAAATATAGAACTAGGAAAATTTCTAGGAGTAGTGTTATGAAGAAATAAAACATTGACATGACAAGGAGTGACAGAACAGGAAATAGGCTACTTCCAGCCATAAAGGCCTCAGTCACCACAGCCCAGTGGCCCTGGCCTTGTTCACAGTGCTTGGTGACAGAAGCTGGAGCCAAGGTGGAAAATAGTTTGCAAAACCAATATTCCTCAAGCATGTTGTATCGGCTAGATGCTTTGTAAGTATTCTCTTATTAAATTCTAGTTTAATCCTCACAAGAACCCCATGCAGTAAATATTAGCCCTATTTTCCTGATGACAATACTGACTTAAAAAGCCTAAGTGGGCCAGGTGCGATGGCTCACACCTGTAATCCCAGCACTTTGGGAAGCCAAGGCAGGTGGATCACCTGAGATCAGGAGTTCGAGACCAGCCTGGCCAACATGGTGAAACCCCATTTCTACCAAAAATACAAAAAATTAGCTGGGTATGGTGGCAGGTGCCTGTAATCCCAGCTACTTGGGAGGCTGAGGCAGAAGAATTGCTTGAACCCAGGGGGCAGAGCTTGTAGTGAGCTGAGATCGTGCCACTAAACTCAGCCTGGGCGATGGACCAGGACTGTCTCAAAAAAAAAAAAAAAAAAAAAAAAAAAAAGCACCTAAATGCTTCCTCCAGGGTCAAGTAGCCAGTGAGCCTCAGAGCTGGTGTCTAACCTCACATCTGCCTGATTCCAGATATCAGCTATCAGGTATTTTCCAATATCCCACATTGCATTTCTTTTATAAATGCTACTGACCTTTATTTATTATGCTTGGCATAACTGGGCATTCTCAATAAAAAAATTATAAAACATTCTATTTTTTTTCAGCAAACCACCATGGCACATGTATACCTATGTAACAAACCTGCACATTCTGCACATGTATCCCAGAACTTAAAGTATAATAATATAAAAAAAGATGCTAAGATCATATTGATGACAAAAATCTATTATGTAGTTGTAGGTGCATTTCTAAGGGGAGGTAGTGTGTGGGGAGACATGGGAGAAGGTGAATGGAACCTTCCTGAAATTCTTCCCACTATAAAATTCCCTCTTCCTCTTCCCCCTGCTGGAGCAAGCCTCTCACTCCCTTTCTAATCCTACATTTAAAATTTATCCTCTGGGAAATCTTCCCTGAATTCCCTTTCCAATCCTGTTTCTCAGTTTACATCTTCTGCATCATCTAACAAAAAGAGATACTATATACCTGGAAGGTAATAAAACATGAAAGTGGTAGGCACTTAGTAGGTGTTATTATATTATTGCTATTACTACTACTTTGGCCTTTATTATTACTGTTAATGAGGCATCAATTGCTAAAGGCTTTCTCAGACATGGTTTCATTTGTCCTGCCTCTTCATCCTAAGATACACAGACCACAACACAGAAGAAAAACAATGTAGATAATGCTCATTTGTACACAAGTAACCAAATCCTGGCTGTAGCCTGCAATCTTGTAAAGTTCATTCATAATGCAAAGGTACAATGAATTCCATCCACATCACAGCTTTCCATTTTTCTCTAGCTCATTGCTCGAAGTCACACATTATAAATTGCCTTTTATGTTATCTCTCTATTCCAGTAAACCCTTCCCCTAATCCTTTTGCCCTGCCCAGAGCCCATGCTCCAGGGCTGCCTACAGCAAGCCACCAGCAACTGCTCTTTGTAAAGCTGTCGATTTCTATAAACTACTTTATTAGTGGTCATTATTATTCTGTTTCTAATCACCACTTTAATTAAAGTTTTATCATCCACATTAAAGAGGGTATATGACTCTTAATAGGCTGGATGGTTCTCTCTCAGCCATGAAGCATTCCTGTGAAATCAGCCCAATGGACTCTTGGTTTCAAAGACTTTCTGAAGCCTGACTCTGTTCAGGACACAGGTGTGTGTGTTTATGAGTGAGAACGGGGTGTAATGCATGGAGTTCCCTCCTCAGCAGCCCCTTTGTCTCCCTGGCTCAGGCTCAGAAACCCCCCAACAGCAAGTGCTCAGTGGTCACACAAGAATTATCTAGTCTCAGAATTGAAAGTACCCACCTAACTTGAATAGTCTGTACATTCAAAAGGGGATATTGATCAAGACTTCAAAATTTCCATCAAGTCCACATTTCTTATCATACCCACTTTCGCAAAATCTTCTCCTCTTGCAGGAGTTCCCCGCTTACACTAAGATCTAAATATTAAAGAGAAGCAATTGCTTCCCTGACCAAACCTACACCCAAATAGAATCATTTGCTGATGTATCGGCTCCAACAGTCTCCCTGAACCCCCTCCTCCCATGCTAAACTGAGCTATTTGAGGGGAAGGGCACATCTGAGTTGATTTTGGATCTGCAACATCAAACCCAGTGCCAAGAAAACAATGAGTCTTCAGAGGGTCTAGAGTGACGTCACTGACTCTGTCCAGGAGGCCGAGCCCACAATGGAGGGTAAAATAGAATCAAAATGGGAACTGCCCTTCAGGGCCCTCTCCTTTGTATCTCTCCTAGAGTAAGAGGCAGGAGAATGTGTTCTTTGTAGCATTACTCACAACAGCCAAAGGATGAACACAACCCAGTTTCTGTTGATGGACAAATGGATAAACAAAATGTAGTTATATATGTACAATGCAACATTCAAAAGGAAGGAAACCCTGGCCAGGCATGGGGGCTCACGCCTGTACTCCCAACACTTTGAGAGGCCGAGGCAAGAGGATCACTTGAGGTCAGGAGTTTGAGACCAGCCTGGCCAACATGATGAAACCCCATCTCTACCAAAAATACAAAAATTAGCCAGGTGTTGTGGCGTATGCCTGTAATCCCAGCTACTCAGGAGGCTGAGGCAAAAGAATAACTTGAACCCTGGAGGTAGAAGTTGCGGTGCACAGAGATGGCACCACTGCACTCCAGCCTGGGTGACAGAGCAAGACTACAGCTCAAAAAAAAAAAAAAAAAAAAAAAAAAAGGAAATCCTGTCGTATGCTATAACATGGATTGACCTAAGATATTATGCTAAGTAATGTGAGCTTGTTACAAAAAAGAAATTATATTATTTTACTTATATGAGTTATCTAGAGTAATCAGATTGATAGGAAATAGAATAGTGCTTTACCAAGGGCTGGGAGGAGAGGAAATAAGAAGTTATTGTTTACGGAGCTTCTGTTCATGGAGATGAAAAATTTTTGGAGTTGGATGGTGGTGATAGTTGCACAACAATGTGAATGTCCTTAATGCCACTGAATGTTTAAAAAATGGTTAAAATGGTTAATGTTATGTGTATTTTAATCACAATTTTTCAAGTAGGGAAGTATTCTTGGTTCTCTAGGGGCCAGGAAATACAACATTTTTGCAGTTAGATCTTTTCATCTCCTTCTGGGGTTCCAGGAAGTCTAACCACAAGATGGCACAAGTCACCAATTGCATTCATGCTTTCATCAATGGACACAGAGTGCCTACTGTGTTTTAAGAACTAGGACTACAAAGACAAACTGCACACACTGTGCAAGGGACGTGCTTCCAGGAGGCGGCACCCTACAGCCATCAAACCCTCTGGGGCCCGCATAATGTTGTGTTCCCTTCAATTCCTACCGCACGGAGTCACCCCAGGTTCTTTCAGAGACGAGGAGAATGCCCCTTGCCCAAGGCTCTGTCTTAGGTTGTCACCAGGCCTGATGCCACTCTGCTTCCCAAATCCCATGAGATCCTAGTGCAAACAGTCCCTTTCCCACAAACTGACAGCTCTCTGATTCCAGAAGGCTCAGAGTGGGTCCACGGGGCCACCCTAGAGACAACACCATCTCTCTTCTTCACAGGGCTGGGACTTGCCTTGGGCACAATTTTAAAGGGGTGCCAAAAAACTTCACAATCAAGATAAAGAATATTTTAATGCAACATTTTTTAAAAATCAAAATGAATGCAAAGAATCCCGAGATGAACAAAACATCATAACTTGAAATAAAAATAGGATCAGTGTTACTGAATTGTCCTTTTGCCTCAGGCTTAAAGATGGCTTGGCATGACACTGTTCTTGACCCTTTATTCATTTGAAATGTTGATGTTTTGTTCGTTGTGATATGTTGTATTCATATTTGCATTTCAACTGTTTTTCCACTGCATTACAATATAATTACTGAGTTCTTGGGCACCCCTTTAAGTTTGGGCCTGAGACAAGTGCCTTACTCACCTCACCTCAGTCCAGGCTTTACTTCTCCATTTCATTCCCTCTACCCTCAGCAGCCTGCAGCGACTTAGACCTGCAGCAATGCCTCCCAACAGATAATTAAGGACCCACCTGGTCGTCAAAGAGAGAGCAGTATCAATCATCCCAGGCTCATACCTTTGAGACCAGGGGAGTGGGGGCATCTGTTAGGAACTGAACGTTTGTGTACCTAACCACAACAAATTCATATGTGGACATTCTAACTTTCCATGTAAAAGTACTAGGAGGTGGGGACTTGGGAGGTGTATTAGTCTGTTCTCACACTGCTAATAAAGACATACCTGAGACTGGGTAATTTATAAAGGAAGAGGTTTAATGGACTCACAGTTCCACATGGCTGGGGAGGCCTCACAATCATGGCAGCAGGCCAGAGAACATGTGCAGGGGAACTCCCCTTTATAAAACCAGCAGATCTCATGAGACTTATTCACTGTCACAAGAACAGCATGGGAAAGACCCACCCCCATATTTCAATTATCTCCCACCAGGTCCCTCCCATGGCACGTGGGGATTACGGGAGCTACAATTCAAGATGAGATTTGGGTGGGGACACAGCTAAACTGTATCAAGAGGTGATTAGGTCATGAGAGTGGAGCCCTCATGAACAGGATTAGTGCCCTCATAAGAGCTTTCTTTCTCTCTCCCCCTCTCCCCGACCCTCTCTCCCTCTCCCTCATGTCTACCCCACCCCATGTGAAAATACAATGAGAAGGCAGCCATGTGCAACCTAGAAGAGGAAGCTCATCAGAATTACACCATGCTGGCACCCTGATCTTGGACTTCCAGCCTCCAGAGCTGTAAGAAGTAAATTTCTGTTTTTTATAAGCCACCCAGTCTATGGTGCTTTGCTGCAGCAGCCTGAACTGGCAAAAACAGTCTCTCTCCCTATGCTCCTGCCCATCTCTCCCACCAGCCTGCAAGCACTTACAGAAAGGCTCTGTGCTGCTTCCTTGGTGTCTGTATCCTGGGCCCCTAGCACAGCACCTACAATAGGGCAGGGTCTCAAGCAGTGTTGCCAAACTCACTTTAATCCCTCTAAGAGTCCCTGCGAGAAATATAAACAAGTATATTTACTTCCACACCCTCTCATTTGCCTCACGTGAAGTTTTATCCAGTTTTATAATTTTCTTCTTCCTTTTCTTCAATCCAGGCTTCTTGGAGAGGTTAAGCTGCTTTTTAATCAAATACATTTCCCTTGCAACCTGTTCCTCACATCTCTATCTGGCAGGTCACAGACTCTTGCCTGTAATTACCCCCTATTTTCAGCTTTGCCGCCTAAGCTTTCACTGTGGAGTTCATCCCCTGCGGGTAATTTTCAGCTGTTTTGTGAGCTCAAACGAATCCCCACCCCAGCCTTCAACAACTCTCATAGACACTTCACCGTTCACTATTTTATTTCCTTAATTGGATTTTAATTTGTTTCACTAAACCCAGATTTACTTGAAAATTTCTCATCCCATGTTGAAATTGCAAATTGAAATGACACATACCTTGCCAAAGGAAGAGGGAACAGGATGTAGGTCAGGAAAATTACAAAGGGCAGAAAGAGAGCCAAAAGAAAGAAGGTCAGGCTGGGCGCAGTGGCTCAGTCCTGTAATCCCAGCACTTTGGGAGGCCGAGGTGGGTGGATCACGAAGTCAGGAGTTCAAGACCAGCCTGGCCAACATGGTGAAGCCCTGTCTCTACTAAAAATACAAAAATTAGCCGAGCATGGTGGCACACACCTGTAATCCCAGCTACTCAGGAGGCTGAGACAGGAGAATCACTTGAACCTGGGAGGCAGAGGTTGCAGTGAGCCAAGATCACATCACTGTGCTCCAGCCTGGGCAACAGAGTGAGACTCTGTCTCAAAAAAAAAAAAGAAGGCCAAATGGACCCGGTTTTGGTTCACAAAACCATCTAACTTGTGAGTATAACAAGACCACCTCATGGCCATTTTACAATGTTACATTCCCAGAAACTTCCAAACTGAGATTCAAAAGATGCACACACTGAAAAATAAGTCTTTATTTTGCTGATCGCTATGTCTCTCACTACTACCCTTTCTTGGTAAATCAGTAACTATTCTTTAGCTTCTCTTTGATCCTCCCCATTCTTTATCCTAAGCAACACAGCAAGGCCCAGGAGCTACGCAGGTGATTTGAGGATCCCCCCAGAAAACAATGGAGAGGGCAACGCTATGAGCACTTAGACACTGTATTACTTGTTCCTCTGTCACACACCCATTGCCTCTGAATCCATTTCAAGGCGAATCTGTGGCAGGTACCTTAGTTCAAGTGGACAGAATAACAGCATCTCCCTTTCGGCCTGAGGGACACACAGAGTGGAGATTGGGATGGAGCTGGTATACAGGATAAGGGCAGCTGTTCAGTAGGACTGACTCATTGTGTGCAGGGCTCCCAAACCCTGGCTTTTGAGAAAGTGCCGCTAGGTGCCAACTCATACCTGCATCCTGACTCAACTTCAGCACATCTTTAGGAATAGATATCCTAAGCTAACTTATAACCCGGTATATTAGTCCATTCTCACATTGCTATAAAGAACTACCTGAGACCAGGTAACTTATAAAGAAGAGGTTTAATTGGCTCACGGTTCTGCAGGCTGTACGGGAAGCCTGGCTGGGAAGTCCTCAGGAAACTCACAATCATGGCAGAAGGCAAAGGGGAATCAGACACGTCCTACATGACTGGAGCAGGAGGAAGACAGCAAAGGGGTAGGTGCTACACACTTTAAACAACCAGATCTCATGAGAACTCACTCACTATCGCGAGAATAGCAAGGGGGCTGTCCATCCCCATGATCCAATCACCTCCCACCAGGCCCCTCCTCCAACACTGGGGATGACAATTAGACATGAGATTTAGGTGGGGACACAAATGCAAATCGTATCACCTGGCTTCTATGCGTTCCCTGCCCCTGGGTTAGTGTTTCCAAACTTCCCTGATGATAAGCATCACCTGGGTACTTGTTATAATTGTGAATTCCAGCCCCATTCCAGACCCATTAATTGAGAATCACCTGTAGAAGGGTCCGGGGAGCTGTATAATCAGCCCCAGGGGATTCTGTTTTGTTCGGTTGGTTGGTTGGGGGGGAATTTTTTTGTTTTGTTTTTTGTTGTTTGTTATTTGTTTGTTTTGACAGATCAGAGTCTTACTCTATTGTTGAGGCTGGATTGCAGTGGCTCAATCATCGCTCGCTACAGTCTTGAACTCCTGGTCTCAAGTGATTCTCCTGCCTCAGCCTCCTGAGTAGCTGAGACTACAGGCACATGCCACCACACTCAGCCAATTTTTAAAAATTAGTTTTTGTAGAGACAACTTCTCACTATGTCACCCAGGCTGGTATCAAACCATCCTCCTGCCTTGGCCTCCCAAAGTGCTGGGATTACAGGTGTGAGCCACCACACTCAGCCCCTAGGGGTCTGAGAATTAAAACTGGGAAATTGATGATGCCTGGTCCCTCCCTCAGAAATCCTGGGCAGGGTTTCTCAACCTTGATATTATTGACATTTTGAGCCGAACAATTTTTTGAAGGGCTGTCCTCTACACTGAAGGAAGCTTAGCATCCCTGATCTCTACCCACTAGATGGCAGTAGTACCTGCAACCCAGTTATAACAACCAAAACTACCTCCAAACATTGGCAAATATTAGGAAGTGTAGGGCAAAATCCACATGGTTGAAACCCACTAGTCTAGGGTGTGGCCTGAGCACTGTAGGTTTTTTAAAGCCCTCCGGATGATTCAATGTGCAGCCAAAGTGCTTTAGCACTTCTAAAACTGTAATGTGCATGAAAATCACCTGTGGGTTTGTGAAACTGCAGTTTCTGATTCTGCAGGTCTGCATAGGGCCTGAGAGTCTGCATTCCTAACAGGCCCCCAGGGAACACTGATGTTGCTCACTGGCACTTTGAGAAGCAAAGCTAAACATCATCCTTTAATGGGGCCAGTCACAAGGGTTATTTTATCCAACTGTTATAGCAAACTAGTTTTCCCCTGAGTCAAAAAATACGAGATCACCATAATGCAAGGGTGGAACTTATAAACAAGGTCCATGGAGTGGGGAGGATACTGACAGGTTGCCCACCATTCAATCTCCTAGAGAAATTATTTGCAGAAAAAGCTACCTGCACAGGTTCTCCTGTGTACCGCACCATTAACCCTGAGGACCACAAATCAGCCATTGGTCTGGAGGCTCTCCACGGATGACAAGAATCACCTGACTCCCTCCAGGGGCGAGAGAAGGGCAGGGGTGGGTGGAGCCCAGCCATAGATGACCCTGATCTTCCTGTGTCAGTCGATGTAAGAGCAATCCTTTGCCCAGATAATTCTTGTTTGCTTGTTTGAGATGGAGTCTCGCTCTGTCACCCAGGCTGGAGTGCAGTGGCACGATTTTGGCTCACTGCACCCTCCGTCTCCTGGGTTCAAGCGATTCTCCTGCCTCCGCCTTCTGAGTAGCTGGAATTACAGGCGCCCACCACCATGCCTGGCTAACTTTTGTATTTTTTTTTAGTAGAGACGAGGTTTCACCATGTTGGCCAGGCTGATCTCGAATTCCTGACCTCAAGTGATCCACCCACCTCAGCCTCCCAAAGTGCTGGTATTACAGGTGTGAGCCACTGTGCCCAGCTTTGCCCAGATAATTCTCTTCCTCCCTTAAAAATATGCTTTCTGGGGACAGAAAATGGAATGTAACAAAGAGTTCTTTGGTGGAGACTGCAAAGGAGGGACAGAAAAGAACTTGGGAGTAGTAAGTTCAAGATAAATGTCAGAATCTTCCTGTCCAACCCTTTGGACATGAGCTCTGGCCTGGTCACATGCTAGGATTCTGAAAGCCTAAAATTCTTCATTTGAAGCTTTAGGAAATCCAAGAATGGGCAGTTCTTAAAACCTTACAACAAAACCAACTTCCAAAAACCAGAACGAGTTGAAAATTTTTAGTAAATTAGCACAATAAAAGGTGCTTCCTTAACATAATAAACCAAGAGCAGCAGCATCATTTTTATCAATGAAATACTAAAGACATTCTGAGAAATGAAACAGGGATGTCCATCATCACCACCATTACTTATCTTTATCATTTATTGTTGTTATTCAGGTAATTCTAACCAGTGATTGGGAAAAGGAGAGAGAAAAAAAACAATATAAATATTGGAGGAAAGGAAAAATGTGATTACCTGGAAACCCAAAAAGGATTAACTGAAGACTTTTGATCTAATAACAGTTTGGTAAGCTGGCCAATTAAAAAATGCAAACACAGAAATCAATAGCATTTTTATGCAGGCCAAGTCTAAAAAAAAAAGCCTAATAATTTACACTCTTTCCCAACTCACTATAAAAAGTAATCCATGAGGGTTTTAAAGATATGTTCACAATTCTTTAATATGTCTCTCAAGAAGTGAGGCTTCATTTCACTCCCCCAGTCTTCTGACTTGGGTTCTCTCTCTCTCTCGCTCTCTGTCTCTCTCTCATCACTTTCTCTCTGTGTGTTTTCTGGGGAAAGCTAGCTAACATATCATGAAGACACTCGGCCTATGTAGATCCCCGCATGGCAAGTGTTTTAGTTCA
Source organism: Homo sapiens (assembly GCF_000001405.40). NCBI lineage: Eukaryota > Metazoa > Chordata > Mammalia > Primates > Hominidae > Homo > Homo sapiens. Next base: position 51,534,050 of record NC_000017.11, on the reverse strand, counting down.
TTTTGTGCTGCTGTAACAGAATACCACAGATTAGGTCATGCATAGAGAACACACATTTATTTCTCACAGTTCTGGCAGCTGGAAAGTGCAAGATCAAGGTGCTGGCAGATTAGGGCCCAATCTCTCTGCTTCCAAGATGGTGCCTTGAATGCTACATCCTCTGGAGGAGAGAAACATGCATCCTTATGTAACAGAAGAGGAGGAGAGCAAACCCACTCCTGCAAGCCTTTTTTTTCTCTCCCACCACCCCCCAAGATGGAGTTTTGCTCTTGTTGCCCAGGCTGGAGTACAATGGTGCAATCTTGGCCCACTGCAACCTCTGCCTCCCGGGTTCAAGCAATTCTCCTGCCTCAGCCTCCCAAGTAGCTAGCATTACAGGCATGCGCCGCCACGCCCCTGTAATTTTGTATTTTTAGTAGAGACAGGGTTTCTCCATGTTGGTCAGGCTGGTCTCGAACTCCTGACCTCAGGTGATCCTCCTAAAGTGCTGGAATTACAGACGTCAGCCAACTCACCCAGCCCCTTGCAAGCCTTGTTACAGTGGCATTAATGCATTCCTGAGGGCAGAGCCCTGGTAACCCAAACAACTCCCATTAGGCCCCACCTCCCAATGCTGTTGCATTGGGGATTAAGCCTTCAATACATGAATGTGGAGGGGACAAAATGTTCAAACCATAGCCGCAAGAAACTAAGGCTTACCAGCAGCTTGGAAGCAGCTCCTCCCACTAATTGAATCTTGAAATGACCACAGCCTCATGAGAGATCTTGCACCAGAACCATGCAGCTAAGCTGCTCCCAGATTCCTGACTCAGAGAAACTGTGAGATAATAAATGTTGCTTTAAGATGCTAAGGTTGCAGTAATTTGTCATGTAGCAACAAATAACTAATAGAGAATGTTTTGTTGCTCAAGTGACCAAGGATCTCAGCTTGGGCGGTGCTGATCACAGTAATGGATAGACAGGCAGAGTTGGAATAATCCTAGAAATACTAGTTTGGGGTGACATTTAAAGGAGCTTGGTGCTACCCAAGGAAGAGCAGAATAGATCTGGAAGAGGTGAATGGAGAGAGAGAGAGAGATACACAGCTGGTAGGATGGGTGACCAATGATGAGGCATCTAGCCTGCTTTGCTGTGCACCATGCAATGTAATGCTCCCCTTGCACCCTTTAGTGAGTCTTCAGGAAAGATTTTAATTGTTTTTCAATTCTTTTAAATATCAGCCTTGTGTTCTGCTAAATGTGACACTGCTGAAATCTGTGTCAGTTGTGAAACCACAGCTGAAATGTGGCAGTTCAGCTTTATTTGCCTATCAACCATATCAATAATAACCAGTTGGAAATGTAATGGGAAAATGGAGGGAAATATTCCTTTGTAATGATAACCAAAAATTGCATAATGTCTAGCAATACAGCAAACATGCAGGCTTTATATGATATAAGCAATAAATTGTTACTATGGGACATACAAGCAGATTTAAATAAGAGACAATCAGTCATTCATTTAGTCAACAGACCCTTAGTTGAAAGATCAAGGCCTTAGGGAAAATAAAAGGGAAGCAATTTAAAGTGTATATATGGTTTAAATATTAATACATATTGTAAAACAGGATGAGCAAACACCGTAGAAGCTATCTCCTTCAAAACAAGCCATAGACGTTGGCATTAGAAATCTTCTTTAGGAGAAAACCCTTTTCTTGAAAAGCTTTTTTGAGCAAACAATGCTGAAGCATCAGGGTGTTCTGGGGCAGATTATCCTCAGAATCTTATATTTTGAACACAATAGTTAACAGTTACATCTTTTATAAATTTAAATGTAATGCCTTTTCTTGCAATCTCTCATTTCACAAAATCACCAAAAAATGACCTTGTAGAAATTGTGACAATACAAAAGGTAAATTTTCAAGACCTCTTATTATATCTGTATACTGCGAATTAGAGTATAAACTGACTTCCTCTCTCTGAAATACTCCATTGACCAGTTCATGTGACCTACCAAGGCAATGATTGTTAGCCTGTCACATACATTTTTTAAAACTGTTAATTTTAAATTTTATGTTATACAAATGTGAAATTAAGTAACTCACACTGAGGTAGGCAAAATTGTTGTAATCATTGCATGTATGCCCACATAGCTCTCCTATGGCAGTGAGTGATATTACTATTCCCAGTTTATAAACAAGGAAACCAAGGCCAAGGGCACCATTGAATACATTGCTAGTAAATGGCAGAGCTGAGATTCAAATCCCAGCAGGCTGGTTCCTATCTGCTTAGCCATTATGTAATCTCAATGTTCAATATAGAGAATTAGTTGCAGCCATTAAAAATAATATACAAGAGAGGCTTAAAAACTGGCTCTCAGAAGCCACAAAAAGGCCAAGGGATCTAGCATGACCCACACTATTCAATCTCTATTTAGAGAAGCTCTGCTTTCCATTTTGTTTATTGGGATTCCACAAAAGATTTCATTTGTAAGACTGATTAGAATGAGTATATTGAGGAAGAAGAGGTTATAACCAAAGTTGTGGAAGAATCTCTAATGATATGAGGAACTATGAAAGGAAAGAACAATTTTCCAAGCAGTATTCATAGTAGGACCCCTATTTGTAAACAAGACACACACACACACACACACACACACACACACACACACACACACGACTGAAAAAAAAACATTTCAAATAGTAACAATGGTTATATCTAGATTGTGGAAATACAAGGGATTTTTATATTTTTCTTTGACTTTTCTGCATATTTTTAATTTTGTACAGTGGATATCTTTAATTTAAAAAAATTTAAGGCACATAAAAATGCCCAATATCATTAGTCATTAGGGAAATGCAAATTAAAGCCACAATGAGATACCATTTCATACCCACTAATGGCTACAATAAAAAAGACAGGCAATAATAGATGTTGGTGAGGATGTGGAAAACCAGAAACCCTCATTTATTGCTGGTAGCAATATAAAAAGGCACAGCTACTTTGGAAAACAGTTTGGCAATTTCTTAAAAAGTGAAACATGAGTTTTCCTTATGATCCAGCAATTTCAGTCTTAGGTACCTACTCAAGAAAAATGAAAACATATTTGCACACAGACATGCACGTGGACATTCTTAGCAGTGTTGTTCGTAATATCAAAAAATTGGAAACAACCCAAATGTCCATCAACTGGTGAATGAATGACTAGACCAAATACGGCACACACACATACAACATAAACTAGTCGGCATGACCAATACATGCTATGACATGGATAAACCTCAAAAACATGATGGGACAAGAGACCACATATTGCATGATTCCATGTACATGAAGTATTCAGAAATGACAAAGCTATAGAGACAGAAGGTAGATTACTGGTTACTTGGGGAAAGAACAGAGAAGAGGGAAAGATGTATATTAGCAGTAAATATGCTTGCTTGAGAGATATTAAGATGATAAGAATATTCCTTTTTATTTTTATTTCAATATTTTTGGGGGAATAGGTGGTGTTTAGTTGCATGCAAAAGTTCTTTAGTGGTGATTTCTGAGATTCTGGTGCACCCATCACCCGAGCAGTGTACACTGTACCCAGTGTGTGGTCTTTTATCCCTCACCCTCCTCTCATCCTTCCCCCTGAGTCTCCAAAGTCCATTATATCATTCTTTTGCCTTTGTGTCTTCATAGCTTAACTCCTGCTCATAAATGAGAACATACGATGTTTGGTTCTCCATTCCTGAGTTACTTCACTTAGAATAATGGTCTTCAGCTCCAATCAGGTTGCTGCAAATGCTATTGTTTCATTCCTTTTGATGGGAGAGTAGTATTCCATGGTGTATATATGCCACATTATCTTTATCCACTCATTGGTTAATGAGCATTTAGGCTGGTTCCATATTTTTGTAACTGCAAATTTCACCGCTATAAACATGCATGTACAAGTGTCTTTTTCATATAATTACTCCTTTTCCTCTGGGTAAATACCCAGGAGTGGGATTGCTGGATCGAGTGCTATTTCTACTTTTAGTTCTTTAAGGAATCTCCATACTGTTAGTGGTTGTACTCGTTTACATTCCCACCAGCAGGGTAAACGTGCTCCCTTTTCACCACATCCACACCAACATCTATTATTTATTGATTTCTTGATTATGGCCATTCTTGCAAGAGTGAGGTGGTATCACATTGTGGTTTTGATTTGCATTTCCCTGATCATTAGTGATGTTGAGCATGTTTTCATGTTTGTTGGCCATTTGTATATCTTCTTTTCAGAATTGTCTATTCATGTCCTCAGCCCACTTTTTGATGAGATTATTTGCTTTTTCCTTGCTGATTTGTCTGACTTCCTTGTAGATTATGGATGTTAGTCCTTTGGTGGATGCATAGCTTGTGAATATTTTTCCCACTCTATGGATTGTCTGTTTACTCTGCTGATTTTTTTGCTGTGCAGAAGCCGAGATGATAAGAATACTCTAATCTGATTTATGGTGATGGATGCACCACTTGGTAAATTTAATAAAAAATCATTGAATTGTGTATTTCAAAAGGGTAAATTATATGATATGCCAAATTTACATCAATAAAATAATTTTTAAACAACTAAAACAACATGAGGAGAACATTTGGAGAGCCTCCAAACCATAAGAGCCAAAAACAGGAAGTAAATCCAAAAATTAAGAGGGACAGACATCAAAGTGAGTACTAGTGAGTGACAGGAAAAAAAAAGAGAGAGATTATTCTAAATGGTACTTCTCAAACTTATCTCAGAAAGAATCCTAGCAGTGGGAATGTGAATCCGTGTATCCCCTCTGGAAGGTAATCTGTCAATATGTGCCATGTTTAAAATGTTTACAGCTACTTTAACTCTTCAATTCCACTTCTAGCAATGTATGCTGTGGAGTATGTTGGACAAGTGTTCAAAGATGCATTAACAAGGATGTTCACCACAGCATTGTTTATGAAAGCAAAATACTGGCAATACCCAAGAAATAGAGATTGGTTTAAAAAATTATGGTGCATTCATATAATTAAACAGTATGCAGTAATTTATTTAAAAATTCATTCTTTGGAATGATATTTATTGATATGGAAAGATGTCCATAGGACATTATTGAAAAAAATTGCAAAAAAAATGTAAAATAGCCTAGAAAATATCCAGAAGGTTATATGCCAAAATATTAACGACAGTTTTATTTGGTGGACAGGATTATGAATGCTTTTATTGCTTTCTTCTTTATAGCAGCCTGTATTTCTACCTATGGAAAGGCATTAAGGTATTTTGATGAGGACAGAGACTTTAAAGCAAAGCCTCCATTCCATCCCCTACAATACTAGTTTATGTCTTGAGCAAATTACCTAACTTTTCTCAGCCACACTTTGCTCATCTGTAAAATGGGCATAGCAATAGTTCCTTCCTTCTCTTGTTGCTCGTGCATGTAAAGTGCTTAGCCCAGTACCTGGCACAGATTATGAGCTCAATCAATATCAATTCTGATAATTTTTCAGCAGCAATGCTTAGAATCCATAATTTTTAGAAAACATAATATAGTTATTTTTGTCTAATTTTTTTTAAAAATAACAATGACTGGACAAAGAAGAACAAAGGAGCAGGAAGTGTTGGCAGGGAACAAACACCAGACACACATGTCTTTCCCTTTTCTCTTCCCCAAAGCATGGCATGGCCTGCTCTTCTGCTCACACTGCCAAGGCTCCCTCCCTTCCTTCTGGGAGGCCACGGGGGCCAGAGATGCTGGACACTGCACCTGCTCGCCCAGGGAGGAAGGTGCCACATCGTATATAGCTTGATTTGTTTGACGAGCCTTAACAGTTTCTGTAACAGACGCCTCATCTGCACAGAGTTTGTGTTTGCAGGATAGAGCAGAGGAAAAATGTGTTCCTGTCTGCTCCCTCACTGACTCCCTTCAGCCAATCTGCAAGGAGAGGTGGGGGGCGGGGGTGGCCAGGATTTTAGATTGGAAAACAAAGCAGAGAGATGCCACGACTCATAAGAGGTCCTACTCCGACGAGCACCCAGGCCAGGACCTATGGCCCTCAGTGCTATATGACCTTTTCATTTACAAAGTGCCTGAATGTCCATCAACTCCACTGATCCTCACAGCAACTGCCCTTTCCTGAGTCTTTCGTCCAGCAGGCCCATCACCACACCGTGCAGCCGGCAGCCAATAAAACCAGACGTTGGCACTTTCACAAGGTTCAAGACCCCTGTGGTCAACTGCACATGAACCACCCCATTCACCACTGTTCCTAACACCCCTGGTTTCTGAATTAGTGACTCATTTCTTGTCAGTGACCCTATCTTATTCCTCAGACCTCACAGTGGAAACTGCTCTTGCCGTAGGGGTATCAGACCACAGGCCTTTTGTGAGTGCTGTGGGGAGAGGAGAGGAGGGGAAATAGGAATGGGGGAATAATCATTCCATGAGATTCTTTGGGAAACTTTCTTTGCCATTCTCAATGGGGTTTTATACCTCCTGGGCCCTCCTGGGAATGCTGCAGACACTGTCTGTATGTCTACCTAACCGCAAGATTCAAGAACGAGAAAAAAAAAAAAAATCCCAGCCTATTCCTGAGAGCTTACTGTCACCTTCCAAGGTGTGGCTATCTTCTAACAGGTCCAGGCTCTAGGACTACCTGAAGTGTGTTGTAGGACCGGTTTACATTCCAGCTAGTATAGGAATACTTTAATCCTCAGCCTACAAGAGTTACACACATTTAGTAAAATCACCTGATTCCTACTTATGAGCTGGAATGTGTTAGAAGGAGCTCCTCCAATAAATAAGATGCTGAACTAGGAGGAGGATTCCAGCGCCAGGTTGCAGTAGGAGGGGTTTGCCCAAAGTAATGTATACAGTCAGAGGGGTCACCATCATAGCTAAAGGAGCAATGACAAGTATCAAATATGAGAGGTCAGGGGATGACAAAAACGAATGGATGAACAAAAATAAGACCCTTTGAACTCACTGACATAGGCTCTGCATAGAATAAAGTCCTCTGACACTCCCATACTGTATCAGTTCAGGTCCTCTGAGCAGCAGCCCTCAAGACAGAATTAAATGTGCAAAAGATTTATCAGGGAAATGGCCATGAAGGATGAAGGATGAAGGAATGGGATAGGCAAGAGGAGTATGTGCAAGTCTTACATGTGAAAAAGGAGAGAAGGAAGGAAGAATTGTGTAGGAAGAGCCTCAGACTGCAACACAGTTCTGAGAAAATTTTCACCTGGCCAATACAGAGTCTCCAAGCAAAAGTTGCCCATTAGGGAAATCCAGCACTGGGCAGAAATAGGGCTGTGCTAGTAAGCCAGCTGCACCCAGCATTGGTTGGAAGCAACCTGGAGAATGTGGCCTTGCAATCCATGGAACAACAGCTGGGAACTGTCACTCAACTATTCTCCCTGCTGCAGGTCCTCTCAAAAGAGGTCTGAGTGGCATACTTCTGCTACTGCCATACCTTCCAAGGGCCATTCTGTAGACATGCAGTTCTATCTTTATGGGAGCCTTTTCCCAAACTGGGCATTTGCCAACACACCTCAAACCATGAGATGATGTCCACCCAGAACTGGATTCTTTCCATCTCTGCCTATAAGCCACATAGCAGCTCTCACCACTTTTTCAAGACCAAGCAATATATATTTTGTGAACCCTCAGCCATTTCTGGGATCAAATATCCTGCTACTTTTGGCCAAAATTAAGTACTTTGAGGCAAGTCATTTGCTACCAGAGTTCTCATCCTCAGTCACCCAATGAAAGGCAAGGACTTTTCCCCATCTCATCACTCTTGTATTCTAGCTGACTGCTGCTTTGCACTTCTTCAGTCTTGAGTCCAGAATAGAGCCTGCCTACTAAAACAAACAAAAAAAAAATCAAAGAAGCAAAAAAAAAAAAAAAAATCTTGTAGCTCTGTCCACTGAAAAACTCATTCCATTGTTAATGTTAAAAATTCTGTATCTTTGGCCTCTTTGTCGAACTTTTTCTCACTCCCAGGCTTAATGGGAATCTGATCCTCACGTGAGGATAACTTTTACCCCACTTTATACCAAATTTGAGTTGGACCTTAACTGGATCCCCATTGCCACTTTCTAGACCTTATCTTTTTCATCTTCTGCTGGGGCTCACACCACTGGGCTCTATCCGCCCTTAACCTCTATGCATCTGACCATCCAGCAACCTCTTAGAACTTCCTCTCATTCCCTGAAGATGTTGAAACCTACTCACGGTTTTCTGCTTTACCCCAGCAGGAGATTTCAGTCTCCATATAAATGACGTATTCAATAACCTAGTCTTGGGCTTGGGCTTAGAGAAGGAGTGGGTTACAAGACTCAAGAACAGCAGAGTGTTGGAGAAAGAATCCATGAAGTGGAGCCTGGGAAGACCAGACAACTGGAAGAAAGTAGCATATGTGGAGAAGGAAGGCTGACAGAGGGATGTCCACAAGTCTTGGTAAGCTGGTGACCTGAGGGAGTGTGTCTGTTTAAAAGAATACCTACTGCACACCTATTTAAATAGCCAAAACCTAAAAAATAGATGATGCCAGTTGCTGAATGTGGAGGAAGAGGAGCTCTCATCATTGCTGGTGGGAAGGAAAAATAGTGCATCACTTTGGAAGATAGTTTGGCAGTTTCTTATGAAGTTCAACATAGTCTCGCCATACAATCCAGCCATCATGCTCTTTGGTATTTGCTCAAATGATTTGAAAACTTAAGTCCATACAAAAATGGACCAAGAATGGCCCTAACATTCTCCTCACCTTGTCTACACTTTAGACAGGTTTCTCCCTGACCATAGGTCCCTAAACCTCCCTTTTCTTAGATCATTTACTTTAGAAAAATTGCAATTGTGAATTATTTCTCTGCCCCTTTATGATGGAAATCTTCTTCCAGCCCCTTGCCAGTTTTGCCACCCAGGGATGTCTCAAGCACCTGGGAGCTGTCCCTTTGAAATGTAAACATCAATAAATATAGTGCCCCTATCTCCCAGACTCTGTGGAAGGAGTCTAACTTCAAAAGTGCTAATAGTAATCAAAAATGCCCTGATCACATTAGCCAAGCTTCACCTTAATATCCTCCAGTACTTTTTCACTAGCTCACCCCAACACTTAAAAGCTCTTTTTTTTTTCAGTGGAGTTAATTTCAATCTCTCTCTCCTGCTTTAATAGTCTGGAATAAGGTCCCCCTTGCCTATTTAACTTGCCCAGTGCAATTTCCTTTGACAAAACTTATTCATGAATGTTTATAGCAGCTTTGTTTATAATCATCAATAACTAGAAGCAACCAAGATTGTTGTCCTGCAACAGGTAATAAGTAAATAAACTGTGGTATATCCATCCAGTGGAATACTATTCAGTCATAAAAAGGAATGACCTATCAAGCCACTCAAAGTCATGAATGAATCTTTCATGAATATTGCTTAGTGAAAGAAGCCAGTCTGAAAAAATTTCACTCATATGACATTCTGGAAAAAGCAGAACTAGAAAGTCAGTAAACAGATCGGGGGTTGGAAGAGAGGAGGGTTTTTTTAGGGTGGTAAAACTATTCTATATGATAATATAATGGTGGATACACAGCATTTTGCATTTGTCAAAATCTATAGAGCCTTACAACACAAAGTAAACCTTAATATCTGCACATTTTAAAAATTCATTTGGGTGGTCAGGAGATTTCACAGTGGAATGCAGACTGTGACAAAATAATCTGACTATATTATAAATGTATAAAATAACCTTTCTGAAGGAGGTGCAGAGAACTATGCTGACCTATATTACTTTGTTGCTATGGTTTGGACATCCTGTCCACAACTCATGTTGAAATTTAATTACCATTTTGATGATATTAAGAGATAGAAACTTTAATAACTGATTAGGTCATGAGGGCTTGTCTCATGAGTGGATTAATGCTGTTATCATGGGAATGGGTTAGTTATGGGAGTTCAGCTCCGTTATTCTCTCTGTGTCTCATATGCTCTATGCTCTCACCCTCTTTTGCCCTCCTTGCCTTCCACTATGTTATGACACAGCAAGAAGGCCCTCACAAGAGGCAGCCCCTTGATCTTAGACTTCCCAGCCTCCAGAATCATAAGCCAATAAACTTCTTGCCTTTATAAATTACTCAATCTGTGGTATTCTGTGATGCAGCAGAAAACAGACTAAGACATTTAGAAATCAGTGTTATCTGTAAGACTAAAGGCAAAATAATTGCATATAAGCATTGTACTCTGATGAAAGTCATGTACCACAGAGGCAAAGAAACCACTATGCATGAACAACAGAATTGAACCATTAATAGAACACATGGAAGATGATGGAAGCTAGGTTCTCACTATTTAGCAGTAAGTTACAGATAGGAAAGGAAGCTAGAATGATCCATGTGATACTACATGAATGTGAGAGAAATCAGCATAAGCTCATATTTGGTTAAATATACACACAGATGAATACATACAATAATATAGACATGTATGTATACACAGGTTAGTATACACACATGTATTTCCTTACTCTGATGGCTAAAAGGGTCTACAAGCAACAGCCTTCCATTATCAATGATCATACCTAGCACCCATATCTTGGCTTCCAATACCATTCTATAATAAAATAAACCAGGGCTCCTTAGAGAAATGGATGCATCTAGGAATGGAGCAGAGAATAAATGAGATGAGCCTGAAACAGCTTATGGTACAAGAAAGCAAAGAAGTTTTGAAAACAATATTTTTTTTAAAAAACCACAATGATAAGGATATGTCAAAGGGACACAGGAGCCAGCTGAAAGAGCTCCCGATGGCCAAAACTGGAATAATTTGAACAACAAAATAAAGTAGTATTGGATTATAACCCAAAGTACAAAATAATTATCTATGAGTCCAAATGGATATAAATAAAACATTGAACAAATGAATTAATTAGGGAGAATAGGCAAATCTCCTACATAGAAGAATTCCAAATAACTTATGTACCAAACACCCCACCTTAAAGTAAATAAAGCATAACTCTCCACTCCTTGAGTGTGGGTAGAACAGAGTGGACTTCCTTCCAAAAAATACAACATGGAAATGGGGAGGGGAAGGGAATAACTTTGCAGCAGGGAAACCTGATACACACTACTTCAAGCCAGTTGATCAAGGTCAACATCAACAGTAATAAGGCATGTTGACAGCAGGTCCCCTTGACATGATGTGATGAGAATGGCACTTGACCTTTGGGGCTTCCTTTCAACATCTCATAACCCCAGTTTAATAAGCGAAAAATGTCAGACAAATCCCAAGAGGGACATTCTACAAAATGCATGACCAGGACTCCTCAAAACTGTTAAGGTCATCCAAACTTAGGAAAGCCTGAGAAACTGTCACAGCCAAGAGGAGCCTAAGGAGGTGTGACAGTTAAATGTAGTGTGGGATCCTGGATGGGAACCTGGAAGAGAAAAAGGGAACTGATTAAAAACTAAGAAAATCTGAATCAAGTATGGACTTTAGTTAATTATAAAAGTGCACATCTGCTATATGCTTTTTTCTCTACACACTTTTCTCCCATCGCCCTCTTTGCCTTGAAGTTGTCTCCTCATTTCCCTGCTCTCCTTCCCTGACCATTACTTGTTTTTGTCACTCATTAGATTATAAGTTCCCTGGAAGCAAGAACGGTGTCTGCCATGTTCATTATTGCATCAGTACTTAGCACAAGGATGTCTGGGACATAGCAGGGAGTCAATAAATTTTTAATGAATAAAAATGAACCCTAAAAATCCTTCATTTATCATGTGACCCTCCGGCTGATATCCAGTTTCTCCTCACTTGCTCATCCGAATTTCCCAAAATAGTAATTTATAGTTGCTTTCCACACTTTTTCTCTTTCCATTTTTTTTTCAACCCACTAACATCTGGCTTTTGCCTCCTGCAACCACCCTATTGAATTTGCTCCTCCTGGGTCACCAATGACCTCCAGACTGCCAAAAGCGTGGACTTTTGAAAGATGCCCTTTCTCTATGTTCCTGGGCCTGTGCTAGATCTCTCAGTAATGCATTTAACCTTTAATGTGTCTATCTCTTCCACTACACTGAGATCACCTTGAGGACAGGAATTGTGTAAAGATTATTCACCTTTGTATCCTCAGCACGTGGCACATTTCTCAGAACTTAGTAGGTGCTCCACACATCCTAGTTTTTGTTGAAGTCGTAAGGGTTGACAGCAAAATGGAATTATGCATGAGGAGCAGCTATAAGAATGTGTTTCTAAAACAAGACTGCAAAAGGCACTTTGTGTTGAAGCTTCTCTTCTACAGAGTGCTTGCTTCATATGTGACAGTTTAAAGAAACTTTGCCCAGTCAAGAAAAAAAAGGGGAGGAAGTGAATTCCCTTGGACTCCTCACTCATGATTCTTCAGCAGTTCTGAAACACCACCACAAACTCACGAGCCCACTGTGGGCAGATAAACCTTGTATTCAACAAGAGTTCTCTGACTCGAAGCAGTGCTGATGGACAGGTGTGCACTTACAGGTACATATACACCTGCCTCCCCACGTCCTTAAGAGGGGACTACGCAACCATCAGCAGTATAGACAGCAGCCTCAGGGACAGTGGTAGTGTCTTCCTGCCTGAATAACACTTCCTTTACTACTGGCTAATGACTAATGCCTGGCCTTCACTTACCCACCTTAAGGGGTTTAGTCCTTTTTTTTTTTTCTTTTTGGTCTTTTGAAAAAAAAAACATATTCAGCAGAAAGCAGCAAGGCTATCAGCTGTTACCCAGCCATTGTCCCAGTGAAGATGAGATCCAGCTCCTTCCCTGAAGGAAGGTGTTGATGGAGGGGGACAGCAGTGTCTGCATGAAGGAGTGGAAGGAGCCCACCAGGTGTGACGAGGCTGGAGAAAACTGAAGGTGCCACCAGAAACGTCCACTTAACAGGTTTGCCTGGAGCCAGCCTTGCAAGAAACTCTGCTTGTGATGGCTCATTTACTTCTCAAATTGCTGCAGAAAAAAACATAGGGAAGAAAGAGGCTAAGAGATGAAAGAGAATTTTCAAGTAGACATCCCGCATGAAAAACACTAGTTCCAGTCCCACCTGGGGTTCACACAGCAAACAGGTTTAAAACCCACATCGAACATTGGCCACTGAACTATAGATATGACTATGCATAGGTTTTTTCTCATGGCTATAAAGTTTCTTCAGGACAGAATTCAGACTCATTAGCATGGCACTCCAGACCCCAATATACATTTCTAGTCTCATGTGACATTCCCCAAACGTTCTCTGTGTCTTTCAATCACAAGACTTACTGCTGAACTCAGGACACTAAGGATTTTTATATCTCCACACTTTCTCTCTGTGACATTATAACTTAAAATCAGAGCTATATATTTGGTCTTCATCCCTGCTTCTTGGCACAGAGCTCCTAAAACCCTTGTAATAGCTTGAGTGATAGGAGTGTATGACACAGAGCTCCTAAATCCCTTGGGTTTTCCTAGGTGATAGGAGCCTCTTTTGTTCTAATGAGGTGACTCTTGGGGGGCTCCTGGGTAGCCCAAGATGGGAGCTGGGAACCAACCATGTGATTAGAGGTTTGTAACGTTCAGCCAACACCCAGCCTCCAAGGAGGAAAGAGGGGTTGAAGGTTGAGTTGATCACCAGTGGCCAATGATCTGATCAGTTTTGCCTATGTAATGAATCCTCCATTAAAACGTAAAAGGGTTGAACAATGAGAACACATGGACACAGGGCAGGGAACATTACACACCGAGGCCTGTCAGGGGGTGGGGTGCTGGGGGAGGGATAACATTAGGAGAAATTCCTAATGTAAATGTCTAGTTGATGGGTGCAGCAAACCAACGTGGCACATGTATACCTGTGTAACAAACCTGTACGTTGTGCACATATAACCTAGAACTTAAAGTACTAAAAAAAAAAAAAAAAAAAAAAGTAAACGGACTAGGTTAAGGAAGCTTCTGGATGGCTGAACATATTGAGGTTCTAAGAGGGTGGAGAGGCTGTGGAAGTTCCTCAGCCCTTCCCACATGACTTGCCCCATATGGCTACTCATCTGTAATCTTTGTCATATCCCTTATAAAAAATGACTTAGTATAAGTAAAGCATTCCCTGAGTTCTGTGAGCTGCCCTGGCAACTTAATCAAGCCTAAGGAGGGGGGTCATAGAAACCACAATTTATAGCACGTGGGTCAGAAGCACAGGTCACACCCTGAGTTTGCAATTAGCATCTGACGTTGGGGTGGGAGGCAGGAGTCTTGCAGGACTGAGCCCTCAACCTGTGGGATCTGACACTCTCTCCAGGTAGTGTCAGAATTGAATTGAAATAGAGGATACCCAGCTGGTGTCCACTGAAAAATTGCTTGCTTGGTGTGTGAGGAAACCTCCCCCATGAATCTGGTGTCAGAAATGTTGTGTTGAGTAGTATGTGAGAGGGAATAGAAAAATAAACACTTTGGTCTTCGGTTTTTCTTATGTCTATTAATCTCTATCTGAAATATCCTCCCTCCTTTACCTTCTGGACCTAGTAGACTTATATGCTCCATCCGCAGCCAAGCTTGCTAATCCTTCACTTGCTTCCCCATGCAGAGCTTTGTACTACTTTTTCTATTTTCTCAGTGATACAGTAGTCACACTTTATTATGGTGTTGGAGATAGAAACTGTCAATTAACTCCCGCTTCTGTCCTCTGGGCTCTAACTGGTAGAGAATGGAATCAAATGAGGCTCAGAATAAAATCAGCCTCATTAATGATAAAACTAGATTGGAGAACACGGTTTGAATGAAGTCCTAAATGTGCTTTCTGCTCTCTGCCTTACAAGCTGCAGAGAATTAGCCCCTAAGAAAGAGCTGGCCTGCTCCCCCTCCTGCATTCACAGGCTAAGAAGCTGGAACAGAAAGAGCCAAGACCTGTGTCGGGCGCGGTGGCTCACGCCTGCAATCCCAGCACTTTGGGAGGCCAAGGTGGGCAGATCACCTGAGGTCAGGAGTTCGAGACCAGCCTGACCAACATGGAAAAACCCCCATCTCTACTAAAAATACAAAAGTAGCCAGGCGTGATGGCACATGCCTGCAATCCCAGCTACTCGGGAGGCTGAGGCAGGAAAATCGCTTGAACCCAGGAGGCAGAGGTTGCAGTGAGCCGAGATTGTGCCATTGCACTCCAGCCTGGGCAACAAAAGTGAAATTCCATCTCAAAAAAATAAAAATACAAATAAATAAATAAATAGAAAAAGCCAAGACCCGGCTGGTTAAGCAGGAGGCAGGTCCTACCTGGTATGTGTACTCTCTGAAGACCAGCCATGCAAAGTGTCTGCTTCCATCAATCCAGGAAGAATTCTCAGCCATGACTACACACTAAAATCACCTGGGAGCTTTAAAAAACACTGCTGCCCAGGGCTTACCTGAGACCAATGAAATCTGGAGGTAGGGCCTAGGCATCAATTTTTTTTAAAGTTCTCCAGCTGATTCTAATGTGAAGCCAGGGCTAGGAATCTCCAATTGAGTCTAAGCGGCCAGAAGGAAACACGAACCCACCAATAGATAAACTAGGCTAATGATGTCAATAGCTTCCCTGCTTCACCAGTCAGGCTAGCGCTGCCCCTCCATTAGAAAGAGGTGAAGAATGAATGGGTGGAAGGAGAACTAGAGGGTCTCTTTTCACTTCTTCCCTGCTGGCTGGGCAAAAGCATCATTTGTTCTCTTACGGGCTAAGGAGGAATATGAGAACAAATGTTTCCATATAATACTTCACTTGAACTTCACACTTCATGTGTGATATTCGGGTAGGCAGAATTATCTCTATGTCACAGGGGAGGAGAGTATTTATACACTGTCACCCTTTTCTTTCTTTTTTTTTTTTCTTTTTTTGAGACAGAGTCTCGCTCTGTCACCCAGGCTGGAGAGCAGTGGTGCCATCTCAGCTCACTGTAACCTCTGCTTCCAGATTCAAGCAATTCTCCTGCTTCAGCCTCCCAATTAGCCGGGACTACAGGTGCACACAACCATACCTAGCTAATTTTTGTATTTTTAGTAGAGACGGGGTTTCATTGTGTTGACCAGGCTGGTCTTCAACTCCTGACCTCAAGTGATCCACCCGCCTCGGCCTCCCAAAGTGCTGGGATTACAGGCATGAGCCACCATGCCTGGCTCTTATCTTTCTATTTGAACTTCACTTCATATTTTATTTTTTTCTGATTATAAAACTAATGCAGTTTCACTATGGAAGTGTATCAACAGAAGTATAAAGCATTAAATAAAAATAAATAATTCTACTACCAACCACACAGCTATCATTTTGTTGTATTTCCTTCCAATTTTGTCTTCTTCCTTTCTCATTTAAAAATATACACATTTATGTATTTTTTAATGATTACATTATCTTCCATTGTGTGGATGTATGACTTATTTAGCTATTCTCCTAACTTTAAATATTTAGGATATTTCCAAATTTATATCATAGTAAATAAAGTTATAGGAAATCTCTTAACCATATGGCTTTCTACATTTTAAATTATTTCCTTAAGATAAATTATTATCAATGGAGCTACTGTGTCAAAGATTATGAATATATTTTTAAGAATCTTGATACATTTTTCCAAATTTCTTTTTGCAAAAGCTTTTGCCAATAGAAGCCATAGTTATTTATGAAAGCAGAAAAAACACTGAATTTTCTCTATTAGTGACAACGCAGTGTATCTTCTGACACATTTTAGAAGTAAAAGGGATTTCTGCTTTTCATTCTTCACTCAGGAGATGTCTTTTTTTTTTCTTCTGTAAGAGATGACAGAGGTACTTCTAAAGTTCGTCATCTTTATAACAATCGTCATTTGCTTTTCACTATTCCTGGTTCAACAACCAAATGGTTCCACTAGATCCTGGGTAAAAGACAAATGAGGCAAGAAAAGCCAGTCATGCTTTCCAAGTAATAAAGACCTTTTGTGTACTCTCTTTGTGTCTACAAAGCCAGTAAAGCAGTTGTGACAATTTTCACAAGTATCCTATTGCTGCTGGAAGAAAGTGGGGCTCACAGAGATCATTGTCCAAGGTCACAGGCTGGCGAGAATCCAAACACAGCATTTTTTTGTTTGGTTGGTTGGTTTTTGGTCTTGGGGTTTTTTTGGGTTTTGTGGGTTTTTTGTTGTTTTTGGTTGGTTTGTTATTATTTGTTGTCTTGTTTGTTTGTTTTTGCTGTCACCTATCTGTCCCAGAAGTAGCCAGGTCTTCTGTCTCTATATCTCGATGCTTTGCCCCTATACTTCAGCTGCCTCTGTGTCATGCTCTGTATAAGATGGGATGCAGACATCATTTTTTTTATTTAGATGGTAGTGTGTTGTTTTGGGGGCTTTTGTGGTTTTTTTTCTTTCAACTTTTATTTTAAGTTCAGGGATACATGTGCAGGATGTGCACGTTTGTTACATCAGTAAATGTGTGCCATGGTAATTTATTGCACAGATCATCCCATCGCCTAGGTACTAAGCCCAGCATTCATTAGCTATTCCTCCTGATGCTCTCCCTCCCTCCACCCTTGCCAACCCCAACAGGCCCCAGTGTGTGTTGTTCCCTCCCATGCGTCCATGTGTTCTCATCATTCAGTTCCCACTTATAAGTGAGAACATGCGGTGTTCAGTTATCTGTTCCTGTGTTAGTTTGCTGAGGATAACAGCTTCCAGCTCCATCCATGTCCCTCCAAAGGACATGATCTCATTCTTTTTATGCCTGCATAGTATTCCATGGTGTATATGTACCACATTTTCTTTATCCAGTCTATCAGTGATAGGCATTTAGGTTGCTTCCACAGACATCATTTCTTACCAAAGATATCCCACACATCAGCTGAGATCTCCCTGCCTCTCGAGATGTAGATTAGATCACCTAATCCCTGGTACTAATTTTCTAGGGCTGCCTAGAAACAAAACAAAATACCACAGACTTGTTGGCTTAACCAACAGAAATTTATTTCTCACAGTTCTGGAGACTGGAAGTCCAAGACCAAGGTGCCAGCAGGGTTGGTTTCTCCTGAGGCCTCTCCCCTAGACTTGCAGACATCTGTCTTCTCGCTGTGTCCTCACGTGGACTTTTCTCTGTGTACGTGCATCCAGGCATCTCTTTTTCTTCTTATAAGGACACCAGGGTTACTGGAGTATAGCCCCACCACTATGACCCTGTTTAACCTTAAATACCTCTCTAATGGCTTTGTCTAAGGTAGTGGGAGTTAGAACTTCAACATATAAATTTTGAAAGGACAGAATTCATCCCATAACACCCTTTATCCCATCTCCCACAGAGCATAAAGCTTTCCCAACTTGAGGTGGGTTCTTGGTGGAGAAATGGTGGGAGCAAGTAGAGAAGTGCCCCTCTCTGGCTCCAAACTCCAGCTTTCGTAAAATTAAGTCATTGTATTCATCTTCCCTCCATCCAACATAGATTCTCTCTCTCCCCCACTTCCTGTAGACATAGAAATGAGAAAGAGATCTTGTGTTTTCCAGGATGAAATCATTCTCAGGTGCCATTTGGGTGTGTATTTGATATTATTAAGAAGTCCAGGGATGGAAGGGATAGAAAAGGACTCTATGGACAGTTTCAAATTGAACATCAGACAGCCTTGTTCTTAGGAGAACGACCTTATCACATTTGAATCCAAGTATCTAGTCTCAACCAGTTAGAGCCCAAGGGAAGGAAAGGTGGTTAATTGATAGTTCACATCATTAACCTCATAATAATGTGTGAATACTGTATCACAGGAAAGTAGAGAAAATCCACCTATGGGGATGTTTCACTGGCTACCTAGTCATGCGGTTCCAAGCCTAGTGCCATCCTGTAGGCTCTTCTTTCATGCTTTGCCTTCCTTTATTCCTCCTGACTCTTGCCCTCTTGAATTGCTCCCTGGAAATTCTAAATTCATCTCCCTCAGTTAGGCAAAGTCTTTCTGCTCTCTCCAGCTCCAGACTGCCTTTGAATAGCCAGACCAAACCCCTGGAAGGCTCGACAGAATGGAAGGTCTTCAATTTAACCAGCTCTACTTTCCTCAGACTCCAGTTGCAATTTAAATAGCATTGTGTCTTCGTTACTCAAACAAATCCTAATAATGTTGATATTAGTGAAGATGAATGTTTAACAGCTTGGGACTGAAATAATGAAGTTGCTAAATAAAGAATGAGGTCAGAGTTGCTAAAATGCTTGAAAAATATCAGCTGGGATGGATAAAAGGGCATGCTGTCCATGAGTGGCTTAAGAATATAAAGTAGAAGAGCCTGGAAGAGAAAGTTAAGTGAATCAAGCTACAGTGCTAAGTGTGCATTTAGTCACAATCAATGATACACTTTAGTCCTGAAGCCATTGCTTATCACCTGGGGTGGGTGGGGCAGGGGTGGAATCTGACCTTGGGGAGAGACAGAGAGCGAGAAACCGACAAAGAAAAGACATTAACTGGTAGCTGCCTCCCTGCCTTAGCCACTGATGCCCAAAGGAAATGAATTTTGACTCATTCCATTCAGTGACTTATAAGCAGGAAAATAATTGCAGTAGAAAACCAAACCGTGGGGTTTAAAAAGAAAGAAGACATAGAAGAACCCCATAGAGGGTGCTGAAATGTGGGCTTTCATTCTTAGCCTCCATAATACCAGCTCCCATTTATTGATCGCCCCCAACTATGTGCCAGGTATTGTTTAAACTGGAAACAACCCAAAGTTTATTTAGCAGGAAAATGGATAAGCACACTGTGGTACACCCGTACATTGGAATATTACTCAGGGATAAAGGGAACCAACTATTGATACACACAACTTAGATGGATCTCAAAGGCATTGTGCTGAATGAAAGAGGCCAGTCCCAAAAGGCTGAATGATTCCTTCTCGTGGACATTCTCAGAAAGACAAATTATAGTGATGGAGAAAAGAGAAGTACTTACCAGAGGTTAAGAGTTGGGGAGGGTGTAATGAAAAAGGGGTAACGGAGGAATCTCTTTTGTATTTCCATGGTTGTGGTGGTTAAACAAATCTATGCATATGTCAAAACTCATAGAACTGTGCACTCTCAAAAAGCCAATTTTAGTCTATATTGTTTTTTAATAATTTTAATAAAAGTTAAAAAGCAAAAATGGAGAGAAGGTGGAGAAATATGAACACTTTTACACCGTTGATGAGAGTGTAAATGAGTTCAACCATTGTGGAAGACAGTGTGGTGACTCCTCAAGGATCTAGAACCAGAGATACCCATTTGACCCCGCAATCCCATTGTTGGGTATATACCCAAATGATTATAAATCATTCTACTATAAAAACACATGCAGATGTTTATTTATTGCAGCACTATTCACAATAGCAAAGACTTGGAACCAACCCAAATGCCCATCAATGATAGAATGGATAAAGAAAATGTGGCACATTTACACCATGGAATACTATGCAGTCATAAAAAAGGATGAGTTCATGTCCTTTGCAGGGACATGGATGAAGCTGGAAACCATCATTCTCAGCAAACTAACACAGCAACAGAAAACCAACCACCACATGTTCTCACTCACAAGTGGGAGTTGAACAATGAGAACACATGGACACAGGAAGGGGAACATCACACACCAGGGCCTGTCAGGGGGTGGGGGGCTTGGGGAGGGATAGCATTAGGAGAAATACCTAATGTAGATGATGGGTTGATGGGTGCAGCAAACCACCATGGCACGTGTATACCTATGTAACAAACCTGCACGTTCTATACATGTATCCCAGAACTTAAGGTATAATTTTAAAAAAGCATTATTATAAAATAAAACTATTCATTTTAAATAATCCATCAACCTAAAAATTCAAAAATACACCTACACTAAATGTGTGTATGATGTGATTCCTCCTTATGTTTCTCCAATTCCCAGGTTTCCTCAGAGATGCCCCAAGGGCTAGGGTAGCAGCGCAGGAGAGGCCCAGTGGACAGGGCTTTCCACTGCCATTCAACTAGAAAGCTCCACTCTAACCTGTTTTCTATATTTAGATCTAAGAAACATTTCATTTGAACAAATTAAAGCTTGAACCATCAATATAACAAAACCTAGTAATAATTAGCATATATCAAGAGCTTACTATTGCCAAGCACTGGACAAATCTTTCTCAGATGCATTATCTCATTCATTCCTTCATTGAATTTCATGATTAAGAGATGAATTATCTTAAAGATGAGGGAAATGAGACTAAGAGAAATTACTTAACTTGCCACAATCACCTGGATAGTGAATGTCAATGTTACTGTAGAGGGTCTTGACTGCAAGTTGTCCGGGTTCCTGGCATTTTGAACAAAGAATTGGACAAAACAGACCACAGTGCAAGGAAAGACTGAAACAAAGAAAGCAGAGATTTATTGAAAATGAAAGTGCATTCCACAGGGTGGAAGCGGGCCGAGTGGCAGCTCAAGGGCTCCAGTTAAAGAATCTTCTGGGGTCCAAATACCCACTAGAGGTTTCCCACTGGCAACTTGGTATACACCCCATGCAAATGAAGTGGTGGCCTGCAATCAGAGGCTGAAGTGAAGCTACAAAGGTTACACTCCTATGCAAATGTCTAATTGGTTATGGAAAGCAAACAATTAGAGGCTAAAGTGAAGTTACAAAGTTGCACTCCTATGCAAAGGAAGACTTGGCCTCCAACCAGTCTGGCTGTGGAAAGCAACCAGTCAGAGGTACTTTCAATTTTCCATCTGCCGCACAGAAAAGGGGGTGGTTTGCAAAGGGAGTAGCCTCATCCTTTTGTTACTGAAGTGTGGAAAGTTGGGGTTTTCCTTTCAGTTTAGTTCTAGGAAATCAGCATGAATCGGTCTTATGTTTCTGCCTCCAAACCCTATTCTCCTGCCTCAGTGAAACAGAGATTGGCACTGTGGCAGTGCCTCTCAGGTCCTCCATGCTGGGAGGATAACAGGCCCACAGCCCTGATGCACTCTGAAATCCACTGCTGCTCTCACATAAAGCCACATGTCCCAGGGGCTGCCCTGGGCCAATGACAGAGCACAGCAGGGGTGCTGTTCTGGGGAGATGTGAGACTCTTCTCACGGATGAATTTGGCTCTAGATTCTCCAACAGCGTGGCTCCTTAAAGCTATTCTGCAGTTCTTCCCTCATTCATTTCTTCTTTCTTTCCTTCCTGCCTGCTTTCCTGTCTACATGGCCTCCTTCCATCTCTCTCTCTCTCAGGGGCCAAACCTGCAGCATAGTCTGATGCCTCTCCCAGCCTTCTCTGTCTCCCTTCCCATTTTCCCTCATCAGGAAATTCATCTTTCCCGATGAATTCTTGCATGCCTAATTCATCTTGGTGTTTGCTTCTCGAAGGACCCAGACTAGCACATCTTACTCCAGAAGTCAAGTTCTCATAAGCTTTGCAACAAGGAAACAATCCAAGTCTTAGAGATAATAATATTTAACATACGGTTGTTGTAAAAATTAAGCTTCCTAAAGGCGTAAGAATGATACAATGGACTTTGGAGACTTGCGGGGAAGAGTGGGAGGGGGTGAGGGATAAAAGACAACAAATATGGTGCAGTTTATACTGCTCAGGTGACGGGTGTACCCGGTTCTCACAAATCTCCACTAAAGAACTTACTCATATAACCAAATACCACCTGTACCCCAATAACTTATGGAAAAATAAAATTAAAAAAAAAATTAAGCTTCCCGACACAGACGAATCCCCACTGTGTGCCCTTCACCTGGCTTGTAGTATATACTCAACAGTTATTGGATGAATGAAATGAAATGAAGTTTGTATGACCATTAGCTAGGAGGGATTTCATGAAGGCTTGTTGTCTTCTGGCATTTAAAGAGAACGCAGGAGGGAATAGCAAGTGGATTCCCTCCAGGCATCTGGCAGTCCCTACCTGAGTGTCCATAGGACCACAGCACTACCAGCCTCTTCCTCCCTCCAAACCCAGCCAGACGCAGGCAGACCTGGCTGCCTCTTCTCACCCCCATCAGCTTTTTATACAAAGAAGAGTTTTCATGCTGTCATCCCAGCTGGCCCCATAGCTCGTGAAAGTCACTTCATGGGCTGAAAAAAAAAAGTCTCTCTCTGAAAGAATCACTCTCATAAAGTGCTGTGAATTGGATGCTGACCTGGAGTTGACCAGAGGAATTTTTCAATACCCACTTTTATATATAAAATTTGTAACCTTTCTCTTTTCATTGAAACTAGGTAGTATTGACAGAGTAGAAATTTCAGGAAAGTACGTTTGGAACTTAATAGGAGGGGATTCCAGCAGAGAGACAAGAAATCCATCAGCAGGGAAAGGAGACCAGAACTAAGAACCAACCAGAGAGGAAAATAGATGCCTTTATGTAACAACAGAGCACCAACTCTCGCCTGTCAACAGTAGGCAAGGGTCCTTGTCTTCAGAACTTGCAGAAAAATCAGAAAATGTCACAGGGTACAGGAGATTCTTGTTTTGCAAATAAAACTAAGGCTTAGACAGGCCCAACAACTTGCTCAAGATCTTGAAGAAACAGGTGAGGAAAGGGCTAAAATGTAGCCCCTGTCATTCAGAATTATTACACACAGGCCTATTCCTTCTCACGATGAAGAATCTCACTACTTGTAAGTTTCCCTCTTTCCTCCTTTTTTAGTTATCTAGAGGACTCTACTTTCAACTTTAAGTCTCCCAGGACCCAAGCACCTAAGAGTTTATCCAGTTTCACTTCCACTGTGAGGTGGGGTACGTGGGTTGGTGTATAAACATCACAGGACTCAGAGACTTTCATTGGCAATGCCTGACAGGCAAACCTGGACTCATGGTGCACAGC
Organism: Homo sapiens; assembly: GCF_000001405.40. Lineage (NCBI taxonomy): Eukaryota > Metazoa > Chordata > Mammalia > Primates > Hominidae > Homo > Homo sapiens. The sequence continues at coordinate 51,510,318 of NC_000017.11, read as the reverse complement.
AGGGGATGGAGGCAGGACAAGGTGTTAAGGGACCCTCCCCTATAGGACCAAGAAGTTGGGCCCAGGTCCAATCAGAGCTTTCACATCATACCCTGAGTCACCCTCTCCACTGCTCCCATTTTTCTTTCTTTCTTTTCTCTTTCTTTCTTTCTTTCTTTCTTTCTTTCTTTCTTTCTTTCTTTCTTTCTTTTCTTTCTTTCTTTCTTTCTTTCTTTCTTTCTTTCTTTCTTTCTTTCTTTCTTGAGACAGGATCTTGCTATGTTGCCCAGGCTGGAGTGCAATGGCACAATCATAACTTCTTGTAACCTCAAACTCCTGGGTTCATCCAATCCTCCCACCTCAGCTTCCCAAGTAGCTGGGTCCATCATGCCCAACTAATTATTTTTATTTTTGTAGAGACAGGATTTCATTGTGATGCCCTGGTCTCAAACTCCTGGGCTCAGGTGATCCTCCTGCCTCAGCCTCCCAAAGTGCTGGGGTTACAGGTATGAGATGCTGACCTGGCCCCCCATTGTACCCTCTTCCAATTAGCATGACTGAAAATCCTAAAGAACTGAGATCTGATTATTCACAGTCTTTGTGCAGAGGCAGGGGGCTTGATGAGTTGATCTTTTGCCAATCAAAAGAACTCAGCTTTTCAGAGTGGCATCATTTTCTCTTACTCATGAGATCCTACTCCACAATTCTATCTCTGGAGTGTTTGGGGTATCTTGCAACCAGCACACCACCGGCAATTTGGAATAAATGGAAAACAGGGGAATAAGTGAACAGTTGACACAAAGGAAAACACTGTTCCATTTGGCTGCACATGTCCAGCAAATGAAAGCATACAATAGATTACCCATGAATTTCTAGTAACACAACATTTTAAAAGGCTTCTTTGAAACCCAGATATCTCTGAAATAGCTGAGCTGAAGCCTTGTATCTATACCACAGACTTTTAAATTTCCTTCCCCAGTTACTGGGCTATTCATACTTTCCACTTCTTGAATCAATTATGATCATTTATATTCTCTCAGAAAATCATCCATTCCTTTGATATTTTCAAATTTGTTATCATGTAGTAGAATTTTATCCTTCCCTTAAATATCTATTGTTATATCCTCTTTCTAATTCCTCATGTTGTGTGCTTATGTTTTCTCTCAATTGATTTGATTTGAATTGCTTGATTTGAATTGCTAGCACCTGGTCTATTATATTACTTTCTTTTATTTTTTAAGCTGTTGTATAATCTTTATTTGCTTTACATTAAGCATATTTGTTTTTCTAATTACTGAATTAAATTTTTGTATGCAGTTTATGCCTTGTTTAAAAATAAAGGTATTTAAGGTCATGCATTTTCCCTGAGTCCAATTTTGGTCATATCCTATAACGCTGGATATCTAGCATCCTCAGTGCCATTATTGTCTAACTAGACTCCAAGTGTACCTTTTTTTTTCTAAGACAGAGTCTTGCTCTGTCATCCAGGCTGAAGTGCAGTGGCATGATCTCGGCTCACTACAACCTCCACCTCCCGGGTTCAAGCAATTCTCATGCCTCAGCCTTCCAAGTAGCTGGGATTACAGGTGTGCACCACCACACCCCACTAATTTTTGTATTTTTAGTAGAGACAGGGTTTCACCATGTTGGCCAGGCTGGTCTCGAACTCCTGGCCTTGAGCAATCCCCCTGCCTCGGCCTCCCAAAGTCCAAGCGTACTTCTTAATTACTCCTTGACCTAAGAATTGTTTAGGTGAATGTTCTGCATTTGTTTTGTTTTTCATTTTCAAGTGGTAGCAGTTTTATTTCTACTTTTATTTATTAATAGCATTATAGTTAAAGAATGTGACCTGTGTAATTTTGATGAAGGGGAAAGAGAACAGTTTAAATTAACTGCAGAATTGCAGAGATCCAGCAGCCCGAGGGAGGAAGCTGAAGCTATATGACACTACTGCAGAGGTTTAATCTCTGTGTTTACAAATTTATTTGCCATGCTAGAGTGGCAGTCAAGAGTCAGCCGGGGAGTGCCCCCATGTGTCGCCTGGCAGAAACATCAGTGCCAAGTACAGTCTAAGTAGGTACCACACAGGCATAGAACACTTAACGGGCTTCTTGCAAGATCCAGACAATTCTCTCTGACTGGCTGCTGCCCACTCTTGCCTCCAGCTGGCATCCCTCAGAATGGAAAGATGTCTGAATTCTGGCAAAATATCTCCTGCTCACCTCCCAGACACACTGGTTTTAAGTGTAAAAGAAGTCATGAATCCAATCAGTCCTTCTTTAGATCCATATTTAGCAGAAAGGCTATGGTTTCTGGCATATGTGTCTGTAAACTTCTCTCACGTCCTATGCAGATTTCTCCTTCCTTTATACCCTTGGCCATTTCCATGAGATTCTGCAATGATAGGAACTAGATCCCAGTGCTGAAGTCACTAACTTCCTTAGAAATTCCCACTGGCCTTTTTTCTTTTCTTTTTTTCCCTGCCACTCAGAACAACGGTCTATTGGCAAAGTCCTCATTAGTGGGTAGGTTAATATTTCCTCTTCAGAAGTGAACCTAAGGATAGAAAACTAAATGCATTGAAAACAGCACCATTACAGAATGTGCTCTGCCTAAGATTGGTTTTAGCTGAGCTTCAGGGCCACACTCTACTCCTATCAGAACAGCAGATGTCCCTGAGTCACCAGAGCTCACCGTCAATCATGTCTTATGTCTGAAAATAAATCCAGCATTAGGCAGCTGACCACATATGTGCCTCTGAAACTATGGCAACAGAAAGTCCTTTTACCTCTGTGTCCCAATTAAAAGTGTTCTGTTGGCTGTAATTGGGGTGTTTGGTCTCCAAAACTAATAGATCAAAGCAATCACATAAGCCTCAAATGTCACCATCATACAAATTTATATTTCCCATGCAAGCAGCTAATGAGTGGTAACACCAAAGAGCATATGAAATTGAGGTTACAGAGAATAACTGGATAAATCCATTTTTGGATCCTTTTCTCCATGTTCCCAACCCACCCAAGATTTGGAAACTGATTGAATATTGCCAAGGGGGGAGAAAGGACAATGACAATTTCAAGTTGGATGTCCAGGAGGATAAAGGAGCTTTTAATAGAAATGGGGAGAAAATTCTTGGAGTAGGTTTCATAGAAAGAATGACGTATGTTGAGAAATAAATGTATTCAAGTCTACTGTACTAGGGTAGTCCGGTGTCTGGCATTGAACCAGGGCACATAACATTTGAGTTTTCTGCCTGGTTTTTAAAAAAAAATTAACTAGTAACATGAATGTCTTCTTTTGATCTTTATACTTTCAGATTTGTTTTATTGTTGTTTCTGATTGATTCTTAATGAGCAATAGCATGAAACAACTCCGCTTTTAGTTTTTTCTCTGTTAATATGAAATGATCAATAAACAAACACTTAAAAAGATGCAACTGAAAGATCTTTTGTGCGATCCCTGTAATCTTTTGGTAATAGGAAAAATCCTCTGGTAATGTAAACAAGCTCACTCTCTAATAATCAGTTTACTAACACAAATAATATTACTTAATAATGTAAAAGGCTATGGGGGGAACAAAGTATATGTACACACTTTTTTTGCTCTATGAGAGGAATATGTTTGACAAACAATAGGGAGCTCAATTTATAGTAGCTTAATCAACTCAGAAAGTAGGCAGTTGCTGATATTAGTTCAGCAGCTCTGAGTACAATTTTGTCTTCCAGTCACCATTAGACTAAGAGAATTGTGTGAGCTTTGGCTCAAGCTCAAGCCAAACCCTTGCAATTCTCTTAACCTAATGGTGACTGGAAGATTATTCTACCTCTAATATGTCATCCAAATTCTAGGCAAAAAGAAGAGGGTTAAAGAGAAATAGCATATTAGCTGGTTCTTCCCTGCTGTAAGGGAACCTTCTCATCAATTCCACCCAGTAACGTCACCTACATCTCATTACCCAGAACTGTGTCACATGGTCATCCCATCTGAAAAAAACAAAACAAAACAAAACAAAAAACTGGTAAATGTAGTTTCTTAGTGGATGCATCATCATCTTTTAGCTGGAGTTTTGTTAATAATAAAGAAGAGAAAATAGATATTGGGTGAGTGGTTACCATCTCCCCTCTCTATTCAACTCACCCAGAAGGACTGGCATTTTTCTGGCAGCCATCATGCAGCATTGAATCTAGGGTTTCAAGAGGCAAGTCATACATGCTCTATCATTAAAACAAAGGAGTTCCCATCAAAAGACCTGTGATCGGGTTCTGGCTCTGCCAGTAGCTCCGTGACCTTGAACAACTAAGTCATTTACTTTCATTTCTAATCTGTAAAATGAGAGAACTTAAAGCAGCCATTGTAAAAATCCTGAAACCCTATGCTTTGATTGTAGAGCCTTACCTGGTAGATATCAAAGTTTTCTTATGCTCCTCTCCTGGACCCTGTGCCCCACCCTTTTTTCCTGGTAGACAAGGAAACACTGCTATAGCAGTCTATCCAGAACCTAAGAGCAGTATTGCTTCAGGAACCATGTTGCCTTGAAGAAATAAAAACAGTTTCTTCTATCCCCTATAAAGAGAATGTTGAAGGGCAATGGTGGTTCTAAGATAATGTACATGATCCACTTCGGCAAGGTTCCTGGGCTGTGTGTGACCAGCACACCTGTGTCCAAGGCAAGAGGTCATCTGTGGAAGTCAAAGATAAGAAGATCCATCAAAGGTGAGACATTCAGCAGATGTCTCCAGACAGTAGCAACACTTGCCACCACCACTGCACACAGACTGCCAGGAAAACAGCTGGAAGTGGGATGGGAAAAGGGGAGGAAGTAGGGAGGAGAGGGAGGTAAGAAAATCTTAGGGTAATACAGGTAACCTTGCTCAGATCTATAACACTGTGAGGTCTATAGTGTTTTCTTTGGCAAATTTACACCACCAAAAAATAAAAATTCACTTTCTTCCCACTCCCTCCATCCAGAAACTTCATCCTTTCTTAGCTAAACCCACTGTCCCAGCTAGAAAAGGAGGGTTGCTCTATTGGTTACATGAAAGAGGGACCAATTATGCTTTGCATCGGGGAACCTGTCTTACTAGTTACACCGTTGTAGGTGAGCCCTGTTCAAGCCAAATAAATTTTACCCTCTTCCTCTCTCTTTCAGCTCCACCTACCACCTTCTCACTGCATCAAATTTACTGGTGGATGGAGATTTCCATTAGCTGCCTCTGGTTAGCTGATAAATTGGGCTTTGGAATGCTTCTATGACTTTATATCACCCATTAAGCTCTTTAGATATTTAATAATAGAAAACCCTGACCTCTGTTGGAAATAATCCACAAAGGAGTACAGCAAATAGAAGAATAGAAAGTGCCCTTTTCCCATGTAAATTGCACAGTCTAGAACAAGATTACCAAAGAGTCTGAGGGACCTTCGACGGGTAGACAGGTGCAGTAAACCACCATGGCACACATACACTTATGTAACAAACCTGCAAGTTCTGCACATGTATCCTGGAACTTAAAGTAAAATTTAAAAAAAGAAAGAAATGAGCTATCAAGCTATGGCAGACATGGAGGAAGCTTAAATATTTCTAAGTGAAAGAAGCCGATCAGAAAATTTTTGATTCCAAAAATATGACATTTGAAAATGGCAAAACTATGAAGACAGTAAAAAGATCAATGGTTGCCAGGAGTTAAGGGAGGAGAAGGATGAATAAACAGAACACAGAGGATTTTTAGGGCAATAAGACTAATCTGTAGGATACCCTAATGGATACACGTCATTATGTATTTGTCAAAACCCACATAATGTACAACATCAAAAGTGAATCCTAATGTAAACTGTAGATTTTAAGTGATAATGATGTGTCCATGTAGGTTCATCAATTGTAACAAATGTACCACTCTGGTGCCACAAGTCCATAGTGCGAGAGGTTGTGCATGTGTAGGGATAGAGGGATATGGAAACCCTCTGTATATTTCCCTCAATTTTCCTGTGAACTCAAAACTGCTCTAAAAAATAAAGTCAATTATTTTTTAAAAATGTATTTGCTGACCTAAAAATGAACATAGATGCTTCTAAACCCTCTTCACCTCCCAAGAAACTAACACCTCAATGTTTCCCAAAGAGAGATTGCTAGAAATTTGGGAGCATCTACTGATTGCAAGCATTTCTGTTCAGTCCTGTTCTCACCACTGTGGCCAATTCACTCTTTACTCTGCCCACTGAGCTTTAATTTCAACGACAGCATTTTTCATTTCAAGGTCCCTTTGGCTCTCCTGCTTCATTTTTTCCCAATATTATCACTTTCTTCTATTACAACCTTGATGATTTTCTTAGTATACTCATTTCATGGTCTCCACTAATAGCTCTGTTACTGGAAGCTCTTGGGGCTCCAATCCTGCTGTCTCTTTTGTCTAGTGGCACTTAGATATGGCAGCTGGTTTCCTTGTGCGTTTTGTAATTTTGGTTTTTGAGTTCAATTCTAGTAGAGGTCTATCTGTGCAAATACCAAGCAGCCTGAGTTAAGGGTCTATCCAGCTCTCCAGGGTAGTTTTGTATTTGCTTCTGTGGCCATTCCAAGGATATCACTTGCCTAGAACCAGTGCCATATTCATTTTTCAGCTTAATGGCTCCCAAGATCTTGCAAGTAGAATAAATTAGAATCTCAAACTTGTGCAAAAAAGTATGTTGTGAATGAATATTGTTATGCATTCTCAAGGGGAAATTTATTCCCCACTCGGAACTCAAGAGAAGACAGATAAATCTCACTATAGTATATCTGCCAGTGAGTGGGCTTTTTTCTATCTAACCATTTCTCCAAAGGTGTAGATTTTCAACGCCCCAGATTTTTTCAGTGATCTCCATTCCAATTTCCTGCCACTCAAGGGCTCAAGACCTCATCTCCCATATCCATTTGAGCTTTAAAATCCAGAAGCCTTATACATTGTTGGTGGGAAAGTAAATTAGTACAACCTCTATGAAAAACTGTATGGAGATTTCTTGAAGAACTAAAAATAGAATTACCATTTGACCCAGCAATCTCAATACTGAGCATCTACCCAAAGGAAAAGAAATTATTATATTAAAAAGATACCACTCTTTTTCAGGCTAGAACCATGGAGGGTGTAGAAGAGAAGAAGAAGAAGGTTCCTGCTGTGCCAGAAACCCTTAAGAAAAAGAGAAGGAATTTCGCAGAGCCGAAGATCAAGCACCTGAGAAAGAAGTTTGCCCAAAAGATGCTTCAAAAGGCAAGGAGGAAGCTTATCTATGAAAAAGCAAAGCACTATCACAAGGAATATAGGCAGTTGTACAGAACTGAAATTCAAATGCCAAGGATAGCAAGAAAAGCTGGCAACTTCTATGTACCTGCAAAACCCAAATTGGCGTTTGTCATCAGGATCAGAGGTGTCAATGGTGTAAGCCCAAAGATCCGAAAGGTGTTGCAGCTTCTTCGCCTTTGTCAAATCTTCAATGAAACCTTTGTGAAGCTCAACAAGGCTTCAATTAACATGCTGAGGATTGTAGAGCCATACATTGCATGGGGGTGCCCAAATCTGAAGTCAGTAAATGAACTAATTTACAAGCGTGGTTATGGCAAAATCAATAAGAAGGGAGTTGCTTCGACAGATAACACTTTGATTGCTCGATCTCTTGGTAAATATAGCATCAACTGCATGGAGGATCTTATTCATGAGATCTATACTGTTGGAAAATGCTTCAAAGAAGCAAATAACTTCCTGTGGCCCTTCAAATTATCTTCTCCACAAGGCAGAATGAAGAAAAAAACCACCCATTTTGTAGAAGTGGAGATGCTGGCAACAGGGAGGACCAGATCAACAGGCTTACTAGAAGACTGAACTAAGGTGTCTACCATGATTATTTTTCTAAGCTGGTTGGTTAACAAACAGTACCTGCTCTCAAATGGAAAAAAAAAAAAAGATGCCTGCACTCATGTTTATCACAGCACTATTCACAATAGCTACGTCATGGAATCAACCTAAGTGTCCATCAGCAGATGATCAGATAAAGAAAATATGGGATATACACACCATGGAATATATGCAGCCACAAAAAAGAATGAAATAATGTTCTTTTCAGCATCATAGATAGAGTTGGAGGCCATTATCCTAAATGAAATAACTCAGAAACAGAAAATCAAATACTGCATGTTTTGACTTATAAGTAAGAGCTAAACTCACAGACATAAAGATGGAAATAATAGACACTGAGGACTCCAAAACGGGGAGGGATGGGAGGAGGGTAAGGGTTTTAAAAATTACCTATTGGGCTGGGCACAGAGGCTCACATCTGTAATCCTAGCATTTTGGGAGGCCAAGGCAGGAAGATTGAGCCTTCTTGAGCTCAACTCCCACTTTAGCCCAAGAGTTTGAGACCATCCTGGGAAACATGGTGAAACCACATCTCTACAAAAAATACAAAAATTAGCTGGGCTTGGTGGTGCATGCCTGTAGTACCAGCTACACAGGAGGCTGAGGTAGGAGGATCACTTGAGCACAGGAGGTCGAGGCTGCAGTCAGCCATGATCACACCATTGTACTCCAGCCTGGGCAACAGAGTGAGACCCTGTCTCAAAAAAATACAGAAAAATATTTTAAAATGGCCTATTGGGTACAATGTTCACTATTTGGGTAATGGGTACACTAGAGCCCAAACTTCACTATTACGCAAAATATCCATGTAACAAACCTGCACACATATCCCTTGAATCTAAAACTATTTTTAAAATAAAATAAAACGATACTCAGCCAAAAAAAAAAATCCAAGTCCATTATTTACCAGCAACAATAAACTCTGGCCCCTCTGAGACTGCATGACTATCAGCCCTAGTCTTCAGCTCCCTCTGGTTCTAGGCAGTTGAAAAGATGTTTGTTCAGGTTAAATTTTGTTATCACTTATGACAATTTCTAATGTTTATGAATAAACATTGGGAAACTAATCCTTTCTGAAAACTACTAGTGAGCCTCTGTTGGTATAAAACAACTAAACATCTTATGTCATAGTTGCTCAGTGTGTTATAATGTACATTTGAATTTACCTATAATGTGTGACTATTGAACAGTCTTTTTTCCATATCAGTATGAATGAGAATAGATGTAAAAAGCAAGAATAAAATCTATTGGTGAAAAAATAAAAGGAAGTTCATTACATTCTATTGAACATTTCTAGGTATTTTCTAGTAGGAAGGTTTTCAGACTACTTAGACTCCTATCTTAGTGGAAATGGAACCAGCAGTTACATTAGATGCACCACTCCATTTAATCCTCATCCCAACCATGCAAGATAGATAATCATACTCCCATTTCACAAATGAGGAAATGGAGACTCATAGAAGTTACATAATTTTATCAAGGTCACACAACTAATGCTGTCTGATCTCAAAGACCACGTAATTCTCCTTATCTCATATTACCTCTTTGGAGAGCCAGCCTATTTCCTCTACTGTGTCTGAAAGAAGGGAGTCCAGAGCTTGTGAACAGTTTAAGCCAAAGAGTCCTTTGAATGTTCTCCTTGAAAAACGGTCTTAAGAAAAAAAGTTCCTGGCAAGTTTCCATTATTAATTATAAGGGTGAGTGGTAAGCCAAAGAATTATGAAGCCTGGATGTGGTTTGACATCACCTTTGGGGAAACCATCAAGAATCCCTGAATAGGCTTGTGCCCAAGCATACAGAGAGAGAGAGGCAGACCTTCCCTCCCCAGGAAGCCAGCCTTATTTTATTCAAGGGTGGGTCAGCAGAAGGTTTGGAGGATTAGCTCTGCCTGAAATCTGTAGGAGAAAGTGGATACAGGAGAGGTTAATGTCCATGCTGAGGAATCATGAAGCTGATAAAAACCTGGATCATTGGGTTAGAAGCTGGCCCAAGGCCAGACACAAAATATAGCCATAATTGGAGCCTTCCCAAGTAGAAAAAGGTTATTAGTGGAATCACATTAATCACAATGATTAATGCTGAAACTCAAGCCTTTTATTATGTAAAAGGCTCAAAAGAGTATATTGGCAGAGAGGGAAAGGGTTCCAATTTTGCAGAAAATAGTGAGCCAAAGAGGTACAGTAAATATTCAGGATGTGATTTGAAAATCAGAAACCTGGACGGGTCACACAAATCACACTTAAAAGCTGCTTATGCAAAGAAATTTGCCAGAAAGCAAATGTGCCTACAGATGGCCCATCAGGAGGCAGTTGGGTACTCCCTGCTTGCTGCAAGGGCAGCCAGGCCAAGGGAGAGGACAGGCCAGGAGGGGCCCAGGGTGTGGGGTGGAATGAGAACACAAGCCAAGAACAAAGATCTCACTGTCCACAATCCTCCCAGAGTCCTCAACCTGCCAAGGGCAATGCCCCAGAGAGGTCATCTTGGAGCTCCAGGGCCTTTAAAATCTCCTACCCTGGACCAGTTGGGGCAGAGGAACAGTGCTAACCAGGTGTGACTTGTGAGTCGAAAAAGAAATTACAATTACAAAAAAAAAAAAAAACACAAGATTTAAAACCAGTGCTGAATCATAAAAGTATACAAACCAAAGCCTCACCCGTGAGTCCAAACCAAGCTAGATGAAAGGTTGGTCAGTGATGAGGGAAACTCAGAAGAATGAGGCCATTTAAAAACGAAGAAGAAAGTTTATGCTGGAGAAAATCTCTAAACTGGAATTAGGTACTCAGGAGGCTCTTGTGGTCTGACCATTACCAATGGCAGGGACCCAACTCACAGGCAGGAAAGGACCACAAGTGTCCTTCCATATTCCTGGGCTTCTCAAACTGAGAGCAGACCATTAAATAATCATTCCCTGCCTTACATTTTATAGAAGAAAAATTCTGGAAGAAGAGAGGCAAATTATGTGTCTTTTAAAATTAATTTTTTACATGCCTGTTTCCAAAAGGATCTAGGGTATGTCACACTATTAAAGCATATGCACATGGCAGTTAAATAAAGATGCTTGGCAAAGACTGGCTCACTCTTCACCAAACCCATTTTCTCTTCCAGCCAATAACATATGAACAGAAATATTAGTGCCACTTTCAGGGCTGGTCCATAGACACCTCCTAGGCATGACCACCCATAGTCTTTCTTCATTTTCTGGCTAAATGCAGGAGGATCTGAGTGGAATGACTCTCTGGGTCCCTGAATCTTTGCCTGTGGGACAACTGCCTGATGATCAGGAAAACACATTTGCACTTCACATGGGGAAACAATTCCTACTGTGAGAAGCCACTACGACTTGGGGGATTATTGTTATAACAGCTGACATTCTATTTAATACAGAAGTTGGTAACTTGAAGAGGAATACTGACATAATAAAAACTAAACACAGCATTGGCTTAGCACTCAGGTGGCAGGCAGAGAGGAAACTGTTCTCAGAGTGGAAAGATGGAGACCTACGATATTTCATGGCAAAACATTACACTTGTCACCTGGCATAACTTGGAAGCCACAGCATGTGCCAATTGAGGCTGTAGCTCTAGAAAAGAAGTTGAAGAAAAGCTCAAATTTTTTTTCTCCTCTTAATAAGAAGGAAGAGGGAGGAAGAGAGAGAAACAGAGATTGAGTCGGGGGCCTCTAAGGATTGTAAAATCCTACTATTTTAAGGCTGCAAACAGTAATAGATTAGACTGAAGGAAGCATTAAAGAAAAAGGACTCCCAGATAAGAGTGTATTCCCAGCCAAGGCCTCTCATTATGATTCCCTACCCTCTATGGCCTTTCTGTTCCAACATGAGGCCTCCTCAGCTCCTTGCCTCTCTAGCACGTGCACAGCCCTCACTGAGGCTCTAGGGAGCCTCTCACTCCCTGGACATTGTTCATGGACCCTGAGGCACTGGAGAACTCTCTCAGGCCCAGCTTCATGGAAACTTCCCTCAGCCATGTCTAATCTACATCCGGCCTCAACCACTGTAATATCAGACACCATCGTGAAACTGGAGCATCTCCCAAGGCCTTGAAATTTTCTTAGTCTACGGCTTAAGAAATATGAAGTTCCCTGCCACTGGGTTTTCCCCTACCAACCTCCCCAGATGCTTCCACCACCCTTTGATTCTCCTCTCTACTCCCAGTTCTTTCTCCCCATACCAGAAGGGATTCCTTCCTCCTATTCCTATATGAAAGAAAATCACCTCTAAGGAAGACCTTTCAAAAATATTGACCCTCTTATGCCTAGGCACACCTAGGCTATAAGATCCTTAATAGCAAGGATGCCTTGCCTTCAGGACTCATCCAGTGTCTGACATGCAGTAGGCACCAATGTATTTTTGGTGAAATAAATTGAACTGTAGTAAATTAAGGGACAGAGAAAAGGGCTTGCAAGCAAAAAGTGGAAGAGAAGCTCCAAGGTCTCAAGATAAAGACCTGGGGAAGCAGGGAGCAGGGAGCAGCAGGAATGGTGGTGGAGTTGCAGCTTGTGTCTCTTGCCTGGTATAAACTTCCCAAGAGGACTTCTGAATTCAACTTGTTGCAATCCCTGTTTTCCTGCAAACCCCAAGGAAGGAGTACAGGCATGACCACATTCACTCACAGAGGTCCAGACTTAAAGCCTAAGCTGTATTCATTATAATTCAAACACATCTGGGCATGAGTGGAAGGCTGGTGGTGCAGGCCTTCCAAGGATCAGTTTGCATGAGGCACTAAGGAGACCCCTAGGAAATAATCCATCCCAGGGGAAAAAAGAGTTGAAGGGGAAAGTTTGAACCAAACAGAATAGAGGGCCAGGAAGGGAGGGGCAACTTTGAGTATAGCATAATGTCCATCTTTCAGTTCATTGTCTAGTCTAGTCCCTGTGGATGTGTGCCAGAATCCAAGATAAAGGACACTGCATTAAAAATAATTTTTAAAAGACAGAGCTTTATTTTTTTGAAAAAAATTATATATTATTCAGTTGGTACTATATAAATTGAAAGAAAGTTTGAGATCTATGCAGAGTGATCATATATCCCAGTTCTCCCAGGACACTCCCAGTTTGTACCTGTTGTCTCAGCAGGTAACCCTGTTCCCTCTTCCAGCTTATTTCTGAAGTGTTCTAGAAGTTGTATGGTCACCTTGGTTCTGAGGGGCATTTTGGGGATAAATCTAGGTAAGTCACACGCTCTTTTTCTAACATATAATGTCCTTGTGTTCATAAAAGGAGCCTCCTACTACAAAACAAAGAGAACAAGAAAAAGGAACACAAATTCCATTTTCATATAAGACTAGGTGACATCTGTAACCCAGAAGCACATGAGATGAATCCAGAAAGCAAATAGAAGAATAGTAAATGGCTCAGCAGGGCAGACTGAACTAACACTGAAGTGTCTTTAGAGGGCCTTAACAGAGAGAAGAGGGCTAACGTACCCTAAAGAATCCAAGAAAAACTAAGGAACTGGAGTCACCAGGTACCTAGGAGGCAAGAGTAGAACCATCACTGTATGCTATAAAGAAATTATCCCCTCAACATCCCATCAGGAGATGTGATACAGATTCTCTACATGAGTTGAACCAGATTTGCCTCACCTCAGGGACACCAGGCCCAGAGGAGGGCGTGTGAATCACACTCAAACCAGAGAGAATTAACTGAATACTGTATCCTGAAATGTGAGACTCCAATTATTTTCACAGTTCCAGCTTCAGAACATTATCATTTAGCCTTCCATTCTCCAAGAAGATTTTAAAAAATAAAACACCCTGAGGGTGGAGGATTGAAAGGAAAACCTATAAATAATGACATTTGAGGCAATCTGGCTAGCCAACAAATTTTCCTACTTGAAACTCTGTAAGTAAACAAGACCAGCTCAAGTCTAATCAGTTTTTTAGTGCCTCATTCTTAGATATGAATAGGCACCAGGCTTTGGGGGCAGCTGTCAACTTGAAAGACAGAGGCTAAAACAAACAGGATAAAAAGAACAGGGGGGAGAACAGAGACAAGATAAGAAGCAAGAGAAAATGTTAAGAAAATTATAATTAATGATAACCAACGACTTTAGAGGATGAAGAAAGATAGGCTACTATCTTCCTAAAGAAAACAGTCAGAGAATATGAATAAGCTCTTAGAAATTTACATATTATATCCACATTTTTTAAATTATTGAACAAAAAGATACAGGTGGACATTAGGAGAGGAAAACTGAGGGAAACGGAGAATCAATCCAAGTGGACAATATCTGCCTCATAGGAATTCCAAAAACAGAAAAAACATGGGGCTCAGCAGAGTGGGTGGCACATGGCTGCAATCCCAGCACTTTAGGAGGGTCATGTGGGAGGATAACTTGAGTAGAAAAGTTTGAGACCAGCTTGGGCAACATAGTAAGATCTCATTCTACCAAAAAAAAATTAAATTAGCTGGGTGTGGTGGCACATGCCTGTAGTCCTAGCTATTCAGGAAGCTGAGGCAGGAGGCTTGTTTGAGCCCAAGAATGCAAGGTTACATGAGCTATAATTGCACCACCCCACTCCAGCCTGGGCAACAGAGTGAGATCCTGTCTCTTAAAAGAAGAAAAGAAAAGAAAGTTATCAAAGAAATACCATAAAGAAAATTTTCCATTTGAACAACTATTCACATTGAAAGAGCACACCAAGTATGTAACATACTGAATGAATAAAAGCACATCATTTGTGAAATTTCAGAACATTATGGATAAAAAGATTTCAAAAGATCTTAAAAGTTTCCAGAAAAAAAACAAGTCACAAAAAAAATGAAGAATGAGAATAGCATCAGATTTTTAAAAAGCAATATCGGAAGCTAGAAGAAGGTAGAGTAACACCTTACACACTCTGAGAAAAATAGTTTCCAACATAAAATTCTATACCCATTTAAACAATCAATCAATTTTTAAAGTAGAACAAAAAGGATAGAATCTTATAAAATATAAAATATATCTGTCATACTTCCATTTCTCAGAAAACTACAGGAAATGGGCTCCACTAAAATGATGGAGTTAAACAAGAAAAAAAAAAAAAGAGTACATTGCATCCAGGAAATAGGAGATTCAAGATAGGAGAAAGGCAGAAGGAATACCCAGGATGACATCAGGGAAGCCATTCAGGGAACAACTCTTTGTGACTGAAGCAAGGGAAGAAAGGCTCTAGGAGAAGTTAGCCTCTAAGAAAGGTTAAAATGTTAAATGATTTTAACATTGTCTGGCAGGTACATAAGAAATTACCCCTATAAACTTTATAAAATTCATCAGGGAAGGATAGGAAGAGACACTAAAATAAACCAGGCTTGCAGCACATTCAGCATTAATCATTAGGTCAGCTTGCTCTTTGATCTGCTTTCTCATAGTCTTTTTGGTGCCTGTTGCTTCAGAATCACTGCTATAGCTTCAGAACCTGTTGCAAGATTATAGTTCCAATGACAGAAAACCAAACACCACATGTTCTCACTCATAAGTGGGAGTTGAACAATGAGAACACATGGACTCAGGAAGCGGAACATCACACACCGGGGCCTGTCAGGGAGTGGGGGGTTAGGGGAGGGATACCATTAGGAGAAATACCTAACGTAGATGACGGGTTGATGGGTGCAGCAAACCACCATGGCACGTGTATACCTATGTAACAAACCTGCATGTTCTGCACTTGTATCTCAGAACTTAAAGTATAATAATTTAAAAAAAGATTATAGTACCCATGAACTACTCTATAGATAACAACTTAAACATTATAAAATGATAATTTTTCCACTTGAGATATTCTTTCATGTCCTGTGTATCAGTGAAATTACTGACATCAGCTGGTCTGAAGGACCCCATGAGAAGCTGACTCACCCAAAAGAGTGTAGTTTCCACATCCTGATGATTTCATTCCCTTTACCCCAACAAATCAATGACACTGATTTTCCAACCCCTCACCTTCCATAATCCCCTTAAAAGCCCCAGCCCAGAATTCCTTGGACAAATGGATTTGAGGGTCTCCTACCATCTCCTCACTTGACACCCTGAAATCACTAAACTCTCTGCTTCAAACCCTGCTGTCTCAGCGTATTGGTCTGTTACTGTATAGCACGCATATAAAGGTGTTGGTCCTGTAACACATGTAGAAAATTGAATTGAGTGGAATTTTATAGAACTGTGGCAAGATATGGAAAGATTTAGCCCAAGATTCCAGAAAATAAAAGTAAAAATAAATGAGATACTTATCAATTTTTGGAAAAATAAGTTGTTCAAGAAGGAAGTAAAATAATATACTCTTAGCCAGAATAAGTAAGATCAAACAATATGCTAAGAACAGTAAATATGGACTTTACTATGGTTATGTAGTCTTCTAATTATATTGGGAGGGTGGGAGATATCAAGTGGTAATAGAGATTTGAAAGTCTCATCTCCCCATAATAAACACTGTCTAGAAGTGATTAATGAAGAGAGAGCAGCATGTCTGTATTAGTTAGAAATATCAGGGTAAATATCACAAGAAAAAAGATTAAAAGCTAAAAGTGACTACTTCTGGAAAGATGGAGGAAGGCTGTTAAGCGGGGGAAAGCTGGGTATTTTTTAAATAAGTATTTTAGCACTACTTGACTTTTTTAAATTACGGGCATGTACTTCTTCAACAAAAATAAAAATACTCTTCTAAAGAGTAGGACTTCTTTGTAGGCTCTTTTTCCTCCATCTAGTAATTTTTAAAATTACAATAATAAATCTATGTAAGAAGATGGGAGCCTAACACGTTAATGAGGGGTGAAAGGCATCATCTCCATTTCAAAGCCATTGTTGAAGCACAGAACAGGCCCAACAGCCTGAACAGTGAGTACCAAGGAGGTTTTTCATAATTTCTGGTATCCAGAACTGTGTGAATAGCCTTCCTGAGTTTAGGAAAGTTTCCACTAGAGTACTACTTTCTCCTCAAGTCAGATTCTTGCTTCCCCAGTCTTCTTTGCAGCCAGGGCATGGAGCACAGGCTTCAGTATGAAGAGAAGTGACGTGAAGAAGGAGGCACCATATGGGAGCCCTTCTGGCAGAATGGGAAAGCATGGCAGGGCTACAGCTGGCCCTCAAAGGCAGCAATGGCAAAGGTCTTAGCAGTCAGCGTGCCAGGCCCAGCATTGGCATCATGAGCCACACTGCCCCTACACAGCAGGAGAAGTGAGCAGTCAGCCCATGTAGTTGGGTTTTGTTTCTAGCTGTGTTGCTCAAAGCCTGATTCTCTGATCTCTTCTATGATTCTTTAAACAACCTGGTATCCTTTAACAAATTCCTTTTCTGCTTAAATTAACTAGGGTAGGTTTCATTACTTTCAACTATGAACCATGACTGATACAGTGAGCCAGACCAGCATAACCTGGAATGGAGATTTATGAGAGGACAAGAGAACATTGAAATGTCAAGATCCAGAGGAAACTCCCTTGTAGCAACCAGAGCAGGCAGAAAGGAAAACAGCAGAACATGATAGCTCAGAGGGCTGGGTAAGTGAACACTTGAAGATGCCGTAGTCTTCCTGAACTCGTTGCAATACCTTTTAGGATGGGCTGGAATTCTGACAAAGCACATCAGGACAGAACCAGAGAAATATAGTTTCATTATTGCTAAATGATGATCTTAGTTCTATCCCCCAAACTGATGTGTCTAGGAGGCAAAGTCCAGAGTAGTCAAAGGCCTGAACGGAAATCCATGTGTCACATTCAGCTTCTCCTGGGTGTTGCACTCCTCTGCTCAAACCCTCCAATGGATTGCCCATCTTATTCAATGAGTCCCTCCCCAACATTAAGTTTCTGACCTTATGTCCTACCCCCTTCACTCCTTATGCCCCAGCCACTGTTTTTGCTGTTCCCCAAATCCAGACATGCTCCCACCTAAGGGCCTTTGCACTGGCAGGGCCCTCTCTCCAGAACACCTTTCCCCAGATAGCCACATGGCTCACCATTCTCTTTTTCCAAAGACTTAAATGTGGCTTGCTCTGACCACCCTATTTTATATCTCACCCTTCCCAAGCACTCCCCAAACCTCTGCTTATTTTTCTGTCATAACACTCAGTGCCATCTAGCTCACTATACAATTTACTAATTTATTCAGTTATTAACTGTTTCCCTTGACTAGATTGAGGGTGTTGGATCTCAAGTGAAGCTATTTTTTCCTTTTTAGTTTCTGTATCAACTGATATTCAAAGGAAGCAAAGTCTTTTTAGCAGCTCCCTGTTCCAAAACATAGCTGAATTAAAAGCGGTCGAATTCTACTGGCCTGAGGACAGCATGGCTTGCCTTTCACCTCACCTGAAATGAAGTCTAAAGGGTAATCAGCGTGGCAGGCCAACTCAGTCTCTAATTGACGATCTTCCACAGCCTGTTAGCCATCAACTCAGAAAACACCAATCTCTGCTCTCAGGAGCCTTCCAAAGCCCCCTAACAGCCAAGAAGATCAGATTCCATTATGGTCTTCAAATCTGAAATCGCTGATGTGAAAAGGAAAACTCCAGAATACATATACACGTGCACACACACACATACACACACAAGCAAACACACACTCTATACAATAGGTAGTAGATTCTCTTACTCCCAATTTGAGAAGCTGACATTGTACCAAGACTTACTTACAACTAATATCTAAGTATGTGAATGAAATGAGAATGGATGTCCCTCCCTGGTGCAGAATTCCACTCATGCTAATGTTTCCAGCAGTGTCCACATTTGGAAATGAGAGTGAGGTGTGTGCTGCCGGGGGTCTGGCCAGTGCTCCTGAGAATTCAGGCGAGCAGCCGCTGCATTGCTTCCCTCAACCGTGTGCTCTTGCATGGTCCTGGCCCCACCCCAGGGGAGTGTCAATGTAACTGGAAACCACAAATATCTGGAGGGCCACTTAGGGTCTCTAAGCTCCCTCCCAGATGAGTGGGGGCTCCACCCAGGCTGGATTTCAGGAGCATGCCAAGTGGGTGTGACGGTAAGGCAGATCCACATGGTGAAATGGATAGCACAAGGAAATGGAAAACTGTACCATCTTAGTCCATTCGGGCTGCTATAACAAAACGCCACGGACCGGGTGGCTTATAAACCACAGAAATGTATTCCTCACAGTTCTGGAGGCTGAGAGGTCCAAGGGCAAGCAAATTCAGTGTCTGGTGAGGGCCTGCTTACTAGTTCATGGACAGCTGTTTTCCTGCTGTGTCCTCACATGGAAGAAGGGGCAAGGGACTTCTTTGGGCACTTTTTTTTTTTTTTTTTTTGAGACAGAGTCTCACTCTGTTGCCCAGGCTGGAGTGCAATGGTTCAATCTCGGCTTACTGCAACATCTACCTCTTCCTCTTGATTCAAGCGATTCTCCCGCCTCAGCTTCCCAAGTAGCTCGGATTACAGGTGTGTGCCTCCACGTCTGGCTACTTTTTGTATTTTTAGTAGAGATGGAGTTTCACTTGTTGGCCAGGCTGGTCTCAAACTCCTGACTTCAGGTGATACACCCCACCTCGGTCTCCCAAAGTCCTGGGATTACAGGCGTGAGCCACCACGCCCAGCCATCTGGGCCCTCTTTTATAAGGGCACTAACCCCATTCATGAGGACTCCACCCTCATGACCTAATTCCATCCTCATGTCCTAATTCACCTCCTAATTCCATCACACTGGGGGCTAATAACGTATGAATTTGGTGGGAGACACAAACATTCAGAGCCTAGCATGTGCAAAGACAAAGAGCATTCAGAAGCAAGGAACCTTCTGAATCATCAGGTCTAAGAAAGCAGGCAGAGAAGACAGAACAAAATCGAGTCTAGAGGTTCTACCCAAATGCAGGACAGATGCAGCAGATAGGTGCAGAAAGCAGTGCCCAGAGTGGTTCCCTGGGTACCAGGGCACGGAGGAGGAAAATGTTCACAGAGCACATGAGGTTTCATTCTTGAAGAGCGAGGGGGAAATTGAGGATCCTGAGCCATACCAGACTGTGGGGGAAAGAGTCACTGAGGAGGCAGCTGGCATCACTGTCATCAGGGTTGATGGAGGGCCTAATCCCATGTGGAACACAACGAGGACAGAGAGCAGCAGCCTAGGATTCCAGGCAAGAGAAAGGCATTGAGTAAACATGTGCTAGACCCTACAAGCAACGTTGGCCACTGCAAAGATGTTCAAAAATTGATTTTTCATAAGCCAAAACTTTTTTTTTAGAGACAGAGTCTCACTCTCTCAACCAGGCTGAAGTGCAGTGACGCCATCATAGCTCACTCTAACCTCAGCCTCCTGGGCTCAAGCGATCCTCTGACCTCAACCTCCCGAGTAGCTGGGACTGCAGGCATGTGCCACCATGCCCAGCTAATTTTTTTTTTTTTAATTTTTGTAGAGACAGAGGTCTCACCATGTTTCCCAGGCTGGTCTCAAACTCCTTGGCTCAAGCAATCCTCCTATTTTTGCCTCCCAAAGCGCTGGGGATACAGGCGTGAGCCACCGCACCTGGCCCCAAACTTATTTAAGTACACTGAGTGATGATTTTTAAAGGAACCTGTTGTTATATAAATAATCTCTGAGCTGCAGTGTAACTTTAGATCCCCAGATATTTTAATTTCTTGAAGCAAGTCAAACAAGTACGCAAATAGAACTTATTCTCAGTGTTTCCACCCTACATGCCGCTGGGAGGGTGTATGTAATAGGTAGGCCTCCCAGAGAGGAAAGGAAAAACAAAACCTCCCTGAAGCCAAATTCTGCAAAAAGAGGAGGACCCTCTTACTTGCTCCTGATATGGATCAGAATATTGGCCATAACAATTATTTCAGATTCATCCAGTTTGGCTATCCGCATAGAATACCTAAAGACATTCTTTTTTAAATGTTATTTTTAACTGACAAATAATAATTGTATATATCTATGGGGAACAATGCAATGTTTTGATATATATATATATATACATTGTGGAAAGATTAAATCAAGCTAATTAACATATCTACCACTTCACATTTTTTTGGTCTGGCGCAAACATTTAAAATCTACTTTTTAAGCAATTTTAAAATATATTTTTTTTAAATTTTACTTTACGTTCTGAGAATACATTATTGCTAACTATAGTTCCCATGCCATGCAATAGAACTTATTCCTCCTAACCGAAACTTTGTACTTTTGACCAACATTCTGTAACCTTGAAACTTTATGAAGGCAACAAAATAATTCCTTAAGAATGTCAACAACCTTCCTTCTCCATGGTAAGGACACCATCTGGATTACTCTGCTTGTCAATACACAACAAACAACAGAGAATGTGTGGGGGATTCTCGTCCTGAGTCACCCATTTCCCACACCGTACAAACCTGGTGACTCCCCACCAGCACACTCACAAGTGTTCTTATCTGTCCTAAATCCTTTTGTTTATAGTTAGGTTGCTCTTAGCAAATGCTACTTTTGACTTATCCTCTGCCTTTGCAGCCATTCAACATACAATTTTTAAGTTCCAGAAGACTTGTCAAACTGCAAGCCCTTTTGGGTTTAACACTTATAGTTTTGACCACGCTTGAATGGCACTGAAGGCCTAGGGCATCTACTATTTTGCAGTTTGTTTTGTTTTGTTTTTTGAGGCACAAATTTCAATCCTATATTCTACAAGATCAGTGGTCTGAGCCAAGTTATCAACTTAACTAGTGAGTAAACCTGCTTGGATTCCCAAATCTGCATTTCGACATGAATCGGTCATTCTCTCCTTGTTGCCATGTACACCATAAGTTTTATGAAGTAACTGAAATTTCGTTTCTGTGTGCAAAGTGGCTCCCAAAAAGAAAATCAGCTGCTGGTGCTGATGATAAAAATGAAGAAAAAGTGAAGATGTCTCAGAAAGTAATGGTTCTTATCAGAGAATTAAACATTTCAGGGTGGAATGTCACATTTGGCATCTATAATCTAATAGACTCCACTATGCATTCTATATAATAACAATAAAGGCAATTTGTAAAATGGCTTCAGGACATTTTATAGCCAGTGTAAAATAAAAATTGCTCATTGGGTGAGCAGTAAGTCATTTTTGTAAGAGTCACTTAAATTTTTCAGTTATACTCACAAGGAAAAGTAATTGCTAGAATGGTGGGGATTCCTGTTGCTCTTGAGACATACGTTAACTAGCAAAGACACATCTCGACCATCACTTGTATTAGGTTTTTATTCACCGGCAGTTGCAAAAGGTTTTGCTTTCCGCAGCCCCCTGTGCTACACGGCGGCCGTGTCTGTGATGTTGCCGCCCTCCGTCTCTCTAACATGAGGACTCAGTGCTGACAATGACTCTTGCCCGTGATTGCCTTCCACGTACTCAGGTGACAGGGTGGTGCCTTCGTGGGTGGACTCGCTTCCTGCCTGGACTGAACTCTGAAAATAGCTCCCTCTTGAGGCAGAGAGAGTCATATGGTGACACAACCCGGCTTACAACGCTGAAGAGCTCCCAGAATTCACAGTGACTGTTCAGTCATTTTATTTATTCACTTACTCATTTTTCCTTTTTGTGTTATACCCTTAAAAAATAAACAGCACAACTCTTCATCATCTTGAAGACCACACCTTTTTGTGATATTGGCCATCAACCATCTGAGTACACACACACACACACATTATTACCTGGGGAAGATAAAATCTTCTAACGTGATGGACTTAACCTTAACTACCAGAGACGCACCGAACTGCAAAAGTTCTCATCTCTCTTCGGAGAAATAGCCCTCCTTTTCACCATTTTCTCACAACTTGGGCAGAAATTCCATGGCCTCTGATAGGGGGCGTGCTTAGCATATTTGACACCTGGGACAAATTATTTTATAATACCCCCCTCCTCTATAACAGAATTATTTTGGTAATAATCATAAAATAAAATAAATAATAATTTCTTGGGAAATTCAGAGAGCAATAAGTTTCTTCTATTGAATCTTTTATGTATAAAATAATGTCAGTAAAGTAAAAATAATATGGGTAACTTAGATGACCAATCCCCAACATTATGCAATATACCCATGTAACAAACATGCCCATGTACCCCTTGAATCTAAAATAAAATAAAATAATAATGAATAAAATAAATATTACAGCACAAAACAGGAAAAAAATGAATAGCTTAAAGCTTTGTAATCACCTATACTCCCCTCCCCAGTCGGCGTGCACCCAGGGCTGACAACATCTGCAAAGGGGCAATGAAGTCAGCAGCTGCCTTGTTAAGACCATAACACACTCTCTCTGGCTGTATCATTCTTGATTCCATTTTAAGGAGGAATTTAGGCCTTCACATATTTATCCCACTTAGCCTTTTGGTTTCATCCAGAGCATCTAATACATTCAAAACTATTTTAGTAAACAGACACTCAAGATTTCTCCCAGGATAACACGGTGTCCTCGATATTTCCTGCTTTTTGGCCAAATTAGTGCAGATTCATGTCTGGTTCTCTAGTTACTATAGATAATTTCCTAGAAACATATAATGGCTTAGAAAATGTCTCCATAATGTACCAGTCATTATCTTGGCAGTTTTATCTTTTTTGAAATATGTCTGTGCATAGAATTAGTTCCTCAAGTCAGAAAATCCATGCACAATAATCTCCATGCACAATAATTCTTGCGGGATGCATAAGCCTCTTGGTCCATTCCTTTAGCTGCTCTCTCAGTCTGGGCCTTTCACTTTATGTGTTTTACAAAACTGTTGGTACCTGTATTTCATATGCATTGCTATTCCTAGAAAGTAAAATTAGCCTCTTCCCAATTCACTTAATAAATATTTACTGAGTCCCTGTTCTGGGCCAAGCACAGGGAATATAAGAGGGAACTAAACACAGTCCCTGCCTTCAAGGAATTTAAGTCTAGTTAGAATCGAGACAACACTTAGTTAATCACAATACAGGAGCTTTTGATGAAGCCTTGGCTCTCTGCCATATGACAATACTTCTACCCTTTGTGGACTTGGTAAAGATTCTCTAGAAGACCAAAAAACCTGTTAATTCACACCAATTACAAAAGGGAAGTCAATGGATGCCTGTGAGTTCTATAATCTTTCTATTGTGAACTTGTTTATTTGTAAAGTCTCTGTTAGAGAATCTAGACATACCAACTCTCGGTACCCAAAAGGAGAACAGAAAGGCTGTAATTGGATGACATCATTGCCAACCAACCAGATATAAAACAGGCAGGTTACATGAAGAAGCAGCAGCAATGGCAGAGCCTGATGGTGGACTCGCCCTCTTCTGTGTGCACCTCATAAAAGGAACTGGAACTAGGCTGCTCTCCAGGTCTGTGTGGGTCTTGGAAACAGTTCAAGGAGAGAGATCTCACCCATAGAGTGTTGAGAAGGCACTGCTGTTAAATTCCGATTCTTAATGTTACCGTAAATAGAAAATGAAGAAAGTGTTTCAAACCACTTATGATGAATATCTACTTATTACAGTTCCGTGATATTCACTTTATTGCAGTAGTCTGGAACCAAACTTGCAATATCTATGAGGTATGTCAGTATTTATATTCCAAAGCTCTGCCACAGGGAGGGACTTGATTACTATCAAGATGTTTAAAACTAGGGGTGCTTTAGCAAATTAAGCAACAAATAAGCCCCAAACCAGCTCAACTTCTAAGTAGATAAAGGAAACCAATCCTTGCCCTAGCTACCTGATGGTGGAAAGAACAATCTCTTTTAGGGGAAAATAGTATCTACTTCAGACTCTATTATTCTATTACGTATAATGTGACTCGTAACCAGAAGAAAAAGTAGTTAACACAAGTAAGTAGTCTCACAGATGATCAAGATGTTAGAATACACAGAAAATATATTTAAAGTAATTATTATTCATATGATAAATAAACTAGAGGACACTATCAATAAATTGGGTGAAAAGATGGAGAATTTCCACAGATAAACGGAAACCAAGAAAAAACCAACTGAAAAATAAAATATCTGAATTGAAGAAAT
This sequence comes from Homo sapiens, assembly GCF_000001405.40. Lineage (NCBI taxonomy): Eukaryota > Metazoa > Chordata > Mammalia > Primates > Hominidae > Homo > Homo sapiens. The sequence continues at coordinate 51,485,549 of NC_000017.11, read as the reverse complement.
CACTGGATAGCCTTAACAACAGACTGGACATATCAGAAGAAATGATTGTCCAGGTGTGGTGGCTCACATGTATAATGCCAGCACTTTGGGAGGCCGAGGTGGGAGGATCACTTGAGGTCAGGAGTTCAAAACCAGCCTGGCCAACATGGTGAAACCTGTCTCTACTAAAATTACAAAAATTAGTTGGGCATGGTGGCACATGCCTCTAATCCTAGCTACTCCACTCAGAAGCCTGAGGCATGAGAATCGCTTGAACCTGGGAGGTGGAGGTTGCAGTGAGCCAAGATTGCACCACTGCACTCCAGCCTGGACAACAGAGCAAGACTCTGTCTCAAAAAAGAGAAAAGAAAAAGAAAAAGAAGAAATGATTAATAAACTTGAAGACAGGTTAGTAGAAGTTATCCAAACTGAAGCATAGAGAGAAAAAAGTAATATAGGGGAAGCAAAGAAAAAAGCATCAGAGACCTCTGGGACAATATCCAATGTATAGTTGGAGTCCCAATTCATGTTTGAAATGTTTGAATGATAGCCAAGAATTTTCCAAAAGTGATTAAAATTATCAACCTCCAGATTCAGGAGGCTCTACAAACTCTATGCAGAACAAGGGAATTGATGCAAAAATCCTCAATAAAATACTGGCAAAACAAATCCAGCAGCACATCAAAAAGCTTATGCACCATGATCAAGTGGGCTTCATCCCTGGGATGCAAGGCTGGTTCAATATACGCAAATCAATAAATGTAATCCAGCATATAAACAGAGCCAAAGACAAAAACCACATGATTATCTCAACAGATGCAGAAAAAGCCTTTGACAAAATTCAACAACCCTTCATGCTAAAAACTCTCAATAAATTAGGTATTGATGGGATGTATTTCAAAATAATAAGAGCTGTCTATGACAAACCCACAGCCAATATCATACTGAATGGGCAAAAACTGGAAGCATTCCCTTTGAAAACTGGCACAAGACAGGGATGCCCTCTCTCACCACTCCTATTCAACATAGTGTTGGAAGTTCTGGCCAGGGCAATTAGGCAGGAGAAGGAAATAAAGGGTATTCAATTAGGAAAAGAGGAAGTCAAATTGTCCCTGTTTGCAGACGACATGATTGTATGTCTAGAAAACCCCATTGTCTCAGCCCAAAATCTCCTTAAGCTGATAAGCAACTTCAGCAAAGTCTCAGGATACAAAATCAATGTACAAAAATCACAAGCATTCTTATACACCAACAACAGACAAACAGAGAGCCAAATCATGAGTGAACTCCCATTCACAATTGCTTCAAAGAGAATAAAATACCTAGGAATCCAACTTACAAGGGATGTGAACGACCTCTTCAAGGAGAACTACAAACCACTGCTCAAGGAAATAAAAGAGGATACAAACAAATGGAAAAACATTCCATGCTCATGGGTAGGAAGAATCAATATCATGAAAATGGCCATAATGCCCAAGGTAATTTACAGATTCAATGCCATCCCCATAAAGCTACCAATGACTTTCTTCACAGAATTGGAAAAAACTACTTTAAAGTTCATATGGAACCAAAAAAGAGCCCGCATCACCAAGTCAATCCTAAGCCAAAAGAACAAAGCTGGAGGCATCACACTACCTGACTTCAAACTATACTACAAGGCTACAGTAACCAAAACAGCATGGTACTGGTACCAAAACAGAGATATAGATCAATGGAACAGAACAGAGCCCTCAGAAATAACACCGCATATCTACAACTATCTGATCTTTGACAAACCTGAGAAAAACAAGCAATGGGGAAAGGATTCCCTATTTAATAAATGGTGCTGGGAAAACTGGCTAGCCATATGGAGAAAGCTGAAACTGGATCCCTTCCTTACACCTTATGCAAAAATCAATTCAAGATGGATTAAAGATTTAAATGTTAGACCTAAAACCATAAAAACCCTAGAAGAAAACCTAGGCAATACCATTCAGGACATAGGCATGGGCAAGGACTTCATGTCCAAAACACCAAAAGCAATGGCAACAAAAGACAAAATTGACAAATGGGATCTAATTAAACTAAAGAGCTTCTGCACAGCAAAAGAAACTACCATCAGAGTGAACAGGCAACCTACAAAATGGGAGAAAATTTTCGCAACCTACTCATCTGACAAAGGGCTAATATCCAGAATCTACAATGAACTCAAACAAATTTACAAGAAAAAAACAAACAACCCCATCAAAAAGTGGGCGAAGGACATGAACAGACACTTCTCAAAAGAAGACATTTATGCAGCCAAAAAACACATGAAAAAATGCTCATCATCACTGGCCATCAGAGAAATGCAAATCAAAACCACAATGAGATACCATCTCACACCAGTTAGAATGGCAATCATTAAAAAGACAGGAAACAACAGGTGCTGGAGAGGATGTGGAGAAATAGGAACACTTTTACACTGTTGGTGGGACTGTAAACTAGTTCAACCATTGTGGAAGTCAGTGTGGCGATTCCTCAGGGATCTAGAACTAGAAATACCATTTGACCCAGCCATCCCATTACTGGGTATATACCCGAATGACTATAAATCATGCTGCTATAAAGACACATGCACACGTATGTTTATTGCGGCATTATTCACAATAGCAAAGACTTGGAACCAACCCAAATGTCCAACAATGATAGACTGGATTAAGAAAATGTGGCACATATACACCATGGAATACTATGCAGCCATAAAAAATGATGAGTTCATGTCCTTTGTAGGGACATGGATGAAATTGGAAATCATCATTCTCAGTAAACTATCGCAAGAACAAAAAACCAAACATTGCATATTCTCACTCATAGGTGGGAATTGAACAATGAGATCACAAGGACACAGGAAGGAGAATATCACACTCTGGGGACTGTGGTGGGGTGGGGGGAGTGGGGAGGGATAGCATTGGGAGATATACCTAATGCTAGATGATGAGTTAGTGGGTGCAGCGCACCAGCATGGCACATGTATACATATGTAACTAACCTGCACAATGTGCACATGTACCCTAAAACTTAAAGTATAATAAAAATAATAATAATAATAATAAATGTAAAAAATAATAATAATAATAAAACTTAAAAAAAATAAAAAATAAAATAAAAAATAAAATAAATAAATTAAATAAAATAAAACTGCAAAAAAAAAAAAAAAAAAAAAAAAGAAACCTAGTATATCACAGCCAAATGTTGAAAAGCAAAGATAAAGAGAAAATCTTAAAAGCAGCCAGAAGAAAAAAACACATATTGCATTCAGGGGAATAATAAGAACAATGAGTGACTTCTGTTTAGAAACAGTGGAAGCCAGAGAACAATAGAATTATATATTTTAAATGCTTGAAAGGAAAAAAACTGTCAACATTAAATTCTATACCCAGCAAAAGTATGCTTCAAAAATAAAGGAAAAATAAAACTCCCACCTCCAGCATTTTTCTATTTTTTCTGCTAAGTACAACTAAAAACACTGAACATTATATATAAGTAAAATATAAAAAGATTCAGAAAGATGAATAAAAGGCAGACTGGCTAAGGACCCCAGGATCCAAGGAGTGAGTTAGTGGTGAGTTCTGTGGCTTTTCTTTTTGCCTCCTATATCTGACTTGGAGCCAAAAAAAGCTAGCAATCCAGAAATGCCAACAGGCACAAAAAACAAAAGCCTTGGCAAGAGCCTGACCGCTGCAGCCAAAAAAGCAGAAAAGGGGCATCCTAGCAGACAGAAAACTTAAAGACAAAAATGACTTTGCTTCGATCAAACACCATAAAAAAAAAACCTGTGAGCATACTCCACCCACATCAGTAAAGTCCAAATGAAAAGTCTGGGCTTCCACTCTTACTACAACAAAACACTCCAATGCCCCTGCCAGGGTAGGTTAGGGTCAGAGAAGGACAAGCAAGAAACCACGACTTTCATCCCTGACAACTCGCAATGAGCCTCCTCTGACCACAGGATCAGTGTAGACCACACAGGGAGCCTACACTTGCACTCCTACTCAGAGGTAACAAGAAACCACCCACACACCCTGGCAGTCCACAGAGGTTAAGCAGGGAAACTAGAATTATAACTTCAGCTGTCAGGATGAGCTGGTGTTTCCCTTTCCCCAGCCAGAGCAATGTCAGAGAAAGCCAACTAAAACAGAAGTTTTAAAAAGGATCTAGAGTTTTAAGATATAATATGAAAATCAGGTCTCAATAGAAAATCACTCTCCATGCTAAGAATCAAGAACATCTCAAACTGAATGTGAAAAAAAGACAATAGATTCCAATGCCAAAATAACAGAGATGTTAAAATAATCTAACAAAGATCTTAATGCAACCGTGATTTTTTAAAAAGTACTTCAACAAGCCAGATATGATGGCTCATAACTGTAATCCCAACATTTGGGAGGTGGGAGGAGTTTGAGACCAGCCTGGGCAACATAGCAAGACTTCATCTCTTTTGTTTTTTATTGTTTTAATAAAAATGGTTTTAAAAGTGCTTCAGTGAAGCATTTACATCCACTCTTGAAACAAATGAAAAAAGTTGAAAGTCTTAACAGAGAAATAGAAAGTCTCAGCAAAAAAATAGAAGATATAAAAAAGACCCAAAGGGACATTTTAAAACTGAAGAATACAATAACGGAAATAAAAAGCTCAGTCGATGGCCTCAATGGCAGAATGGAGAGAACAGAGAAAAGAATCGGTGAACAAGAAGGTAGAAATTACATAACCTCAACAAAGAAAAACTAGGCTGAAAAAAGAAATGAACAGAAACTCGGGGACATCGGACTGTAACAAAAGACCCCACTTGCATGTCATGGGAGTCCTGAAAAGAGTAGAAAAAGAAGGCGGGGCTGGAAAAGCACTCGAAAATGTAATGGCTGAAAACTTCCCAGATTTTGCAAGAAACATAAACTACAGATTCAGAAACCTTAGCATATCTCAAACAGGATAAACCCAAAGAAATCTGCTCCAAGATGCATCATAATTAAACTTGTGAAAACTAAAGAGAACGAAAAAACCTTGAAACAACCAGAGAAAACAATACCTTGTCTATGAAAGCCAAGACAAATGACAGTGAATTTCTTATCAGAGGAGAGGTTAACGCTGGCCAGGTTATCAACTAGAAAGGGGCACAAGGCAACTATTTCTATAACTAAATCTTCATATGGGTGGTGGCCGCATGATAAAAATTCATCCTAGCTGTACACTCAAGATGTATGCATTTTGGTATGTAAATTTTTCCTCAATAAAGTACTGTAAAAATACAGTACCAGCATTAAATGTTGGTTTGGAACAGGAAAGAGAGACCTGGGAATAAATTAGCTATATCAAAGTGGACTCCTCTATAGAGTGGCCTAAGATGGCTTTGCCACACATAAACTCTTCTCCCACCACTCAGCCTACTGGTGGGAGAACAAATAAAACTGTATTTTCTAATGAGTTTGGCTGTTTCAAATGACTCCCTTAGCACATTAGGGTGGTCAGACTGTAAGGTCAGACTGTAGGATGGTCAGACTGTAGGCCCCCCTTTTTATAATGTATTTAATTTATTTTTTATAAATTTTTTTTGATAGAGTCAGGGTCTTGCTATAGTGCCCAGGCTGGTCTTGTACTCCTGGCCTCAAGCGATCCTCCTGCTCTGCCTCCCAAAGTGTTAGGATTACAGGTGTCAGCCACTGTGTCTGGCATTGTCCCCTTTTAAATGTCCCCTTTTAAAACCTTCTTTTTCTCGTTTAATTAACTCCAGCCATTTTCTGAACTAGCCACTGTTTTCAGAGCCTAGTTACTATCCCAGAGATTCTCACTAAGGCTCTCAACCCTCATACGAATTACACTAATCTGGGACACTTAAAAAAACAAACAAACAAACAAACAAACAAAAAACACCCAGGCCCACAGACCAATTAAATCAAAATCTTTGTGGTGGGTCCAGGCGTAGGATTGCCGTCTGAAGCTCCTCTGGTGATTCTAACATGCAGCCAGGACTGAGATTCCCTGCACTAAGCAAATGAGCACAGCGGAGCCGCAACCTGATCTGATCCAGATCTTACTACAAACAGACCCAAAGCAGGCAGCACATAATTGGGTGCAAAAAAAAAGGAAAAAGAGTCCTATTCCCAATCCAGGCCAAGGGGTGGGGGTGGGGGGTGGGGGCAGATTTTCCTCTGTGTTAAGTGGCAATGACTATGAAAGAGCATGTGAGGCTACTTAGGTTTCCTGGACAGCTCCATCTCCAGCATGAGGTCTTTAATTAAGCTCAGTTCCCACAGCACATCAAGAGACAACTGGGAAAAGAAACCCGCCATCAAAACTTCTCACTGGACTCAGTCTCCAGATCCAATTCAATCAAAAAATTTTCCCATAAGCTTTATAAGAGTTATGTGTCCTCAGCCTCCAGCAGCTCTGAAATAGCCTATGGAAGACACCCGCGCCCTGAACTCCAGACACTTTTTTATTAAGTCTGACTCTGAGAGAGTTGGCATCAGTGTAGGACCTGTTTGCAAGTCAGACAGATCCTTGGTTATTTGTGCACAAAGTCCCAGCACGTGAGTGCTGTGAAATCTAAACACTTGCCAATATCGGTAATGACCCCAGCTTTCCTCAGACTCTCCCTTTGAGGTCTAATGGCAGGTGTAAATAACATCTCTGCCCTGAAACTGGTATTGAGTGTGCTGGGGGTAAACCCTGAATAAAGCAGCTTTTCCTTGCAAGCTCCCCATCTCAACTCTAGCCCTCACTCAAGCATACCCTCTTGGCTAGGACTTGGACACCTGCCTTGGATCTGCCAGCCCCCATCTCTCTCTGGAAGCTGAACACTGCTGTTTGTACCCCTGTAAACAAGTTATGAACTTGCTATGTGTAGATGTGAAAATGGACACCTCACCCTCTTGAAGCTCTATCATCTTCTGCTTACATGCCCACTTTCCTGCCCAAAACTGGGCTCCCTGAATTCCAACACCTGCTAACACAAGCTTAAATAGGGATTTCAACATTGAATATTGGATCTCTAAGACACCCTTATCAACTCTGTTTGATTTCAACATTGGCTATTGGATCTCTAAGCCATTCTTATCAAATCTATTTGATTTCCACATTGGCTATTGTATCTCCAAGCCACTCTTATCAAATCTATTCAGTGCAGCTGGGTGAGTGTCCTCAGCCTCTGTCTGAGCCCTGACCTCCTGCACCTCCCAAGGAGCCAAGTTCCTGAGCTTCCAGCACATCTCATGAAGACCCCATCAAAGTTCTGACCTTTGAAAATCCAAAGTTCTTCGGGTAGAAAAAAAATAAGTATTCTTCTATTAATTTATCTTTTTCCCCCAGAAAGAACATTGATTATATGTATACACAACAATAGAATTTTGGACAAAAGAGAATTGCTTTGCCCTAAAGTGGCAAGTAGTTTTCATCTCTAGTAATCCTAATCAATCAGCAGGAGCAGCCTAGAGAGCCACTTTGAGAAGAATTCTGAGGCTGTCTCTGGGCTCCACTTGAAATCTTATCTTGATTGATTAGCAATGTCTGCCATAGACAAAGATGGGAGTATCAGGATTATGTCAAATATCGTCAGACACTGATTCTATTCCATATTAGCAGCAAAGTCAGGTCTAAAACCCAGGTTTCCTGACGCCCAGTTTTTCCCACATGCCATTACACAACAACTAATAGACATGCATCTGATTTTATAAAATAGAAACTAGGTATGATCCGTTGCATTCCAGAACTCTTTTTGCCTTGAAATGTCTTTACATGAAAAATACCAAGTCTTCAGTAAATTAAAGGGCTGGTTTATGGATCATTAACAACTTGACTGTAAAACCTGGAAGCAGATCACTGGGAGCTCTCACTAAATGACCATCAGAGAGAAATTAACCTGAAATTAAGCTCAGAGATGATCATGTAAACTAGTGGTGAAATAAGACATAGGTTATAAGAACTCCATTTACCTTGAGTTTTTCATAATCATGACTCCTAAAGAGATAAATACATTCTCAAATTGCAAAGAAAAATAAAAGGAGACATAATATTTTCTCTTTGGTGATCTTCATAAGGTGTGAAAATGATTCTCTTTGGGATACATGATTTATGAAGTTAAACACTTATTTGAAAAGAAAAAGAGATGTTTTACAGTGTGAATACCCTTGGAGCCAGCAATTTTCTTGAGTTAATGGATTAGCCAGAAATCCCATGAAGAGATGTAATACGTTTCTCCTAGGAGAAGAAACCCCTAAGCAACTCTTCTCATTGTAATGGAGGTGTAATGAGACATGATGGAATAACCAGTAAATTGAGGGAGGATATCCAAGGACTTGGACCTGATAGACATGAGTTTCCCAGTAAAGAGTCAGCAGAAAGAGGGAAGGAGGGAACTCTGGCTCTGAGAGCTCAATACTGCAGACTCCCCAGTGGTCACTGAGCTCTGCATGGCTAGCACTGACTGTGGACCTCTGGCTAATGAGGTGAGGGTTCACATTAGATGGGAATAAAGGGAAAGGAGCTTCTCCGTGGATGAAGAAAGATGGCCAGCTGCCTGTGGACTTGCTGAATTACTGTCTTTCTGGTTGATTTGATGTCATGCTAGCATATCACAGCATTATGCTACTTGACTCAAGCTTACAGATCATTGTTTAGGTAACAGGGCCCCTATACTTGCCCCTAGTAAGGACTCAGAACCAGCTGCCTGCCCTTGGTCAAATCTGTGTCTCACCATCACCCTTTGAATCTGCAACGCAATCTTTAATAGCAGCATCCTGGAAGAATAATGATCCTCAACAATAAATGGACAGAGGGTTCACCTTCCATTACAGCAAGAGTGACTTGCTGCCTGCCAAAGCTAAATTAAGTTTTTTGTTTTTGTTTCTTGTTTTTTGTTTTTAAGAGACCGAGTCTCGCTCTGTTGCCCAGGCTGGAGTGCAGTGGCACAATCTCGGTTCACTGCAACCTCCACCTCTTGGGTTCAAGCAATTCTGCCGCAGCCTCCAGGGTAGCTGGGATTACAAGTGCGTGTCACCACACCCGGCTAATTTTTGTATTTTCAGTAGATAAGGGGTTTCACTTGTTGGCCAGGCTGGTGTCGAACTCCTGACCTCAGGTGATCCGCCTGCCTCGGCCTCCCAAAGTGCTGGGATTACAGGCGTGAGCCACTGCACCCGTCCCCAAATTAAGTTTTTTAAAAGATCCAAGATAAAACCCGTGTTACACCCATAAACTTCATGCATTGAAACTACGTTGGAATTTCCGTGCACACAGATAAAGATGCTCACTGCTTTTTTTAATCTACTTTTTTTAATAAAAGAAGGCAAAACAAAATTATATCAATAATTCTTGTGGACTGGATCTATATATTTATGTCAAGCAACTGCCTTTGGCAATTTTTTTTCATTTTTTAACTGCATAATTATAAACCTGCAAGAGGTGTGGTGTATAATGAAGTCACTGATGTAACCTTAACTGGCTCCCTGCTAATAGGTGTCTCTCTCATTTTGCAAATTATAAGCTGGAAATGATGACATGCCTGGAAAGCAGTGATGGGAACTCATGAAGCTTAACACCAAGAGTTAGAAAACGCCCATGAGAAGCCATCACAGGCAGATTTATTATGGCATTACACAACACACGTATGGCATTAATTATACCTTCCAAGTTTTTGCTAGATCGCAGCCCCAGACAGTGTGTCAGGCAGTAACACCCCATTCACCGTGTCTCTTAGCCACTTATCAGTGACATCTTTGTCACGGACAACCTGCTGCACTAGAAGCCCCCAGGCCCAGGCTCAGAGGACAGGCTCCAAATGTTCCATCCTGACTCAGTCTGGAAGGCAGTCTGGTGAACTCAAGCTAATGATGAGAAAGCAGTACCCTCCTCCAAAAAAAAAACCAAAGATGTCTCAAGATTGAAGAGAAAATGAGAGATTGGCTGAGAGGTTACAGGACTACAGAATCGGGGAGAAAGGACTTGGAATTGTTTAGCAAAGGCAAGAGAGTGCTAGATATGGAAGTAAGAGAAGAGGCAGAGGAGAGGATGTTAACGTCTGTCTTTATATCTTCAGATTATTGATTCTCATGCCCAGGAGGGACCTAAAACTTCCAGCCGACACTTTGATCTTTAAACGTTGATACGACAGCCCACCAAAAGGGCAGACAACCCCCCTGCACCACCCAATCACAAAAACTTTTCACTTCCAAGACAGTTAATTTTGTCTTAGCTCTGACGATCAGCAAGTTTATCTTCTTGTTGAACCAAATTCTGTCTCTCTGTAACTGACAGCTGCTAGAAGAAACGTGGAATGACTGCTTCCTCCTTCAAGTGATAATAGCAGCTTCAAGTATAATGAGAGCTATTGTGTCCCACAGATGACCCTTCATCAATATAGCATAGATGCATCTGTCTCTGACTCATTGGAACACTATTATCAAAAACAGAAAAAGAAAAATTTTTTTAATAAATAAGTATATAAAATAAACACATGGAAGAACTCTGCGATAATAAGGAACTGTTAAAAGATAATTTTCCCCCAAAAAAATGTAAAATCATGAGACTCATATAGATATAAACTAAACTTGTGTTCAAGATTTTATTTGATTCATGACCAAATGAGGGAACAACTAAGATGTTAACAACCAACTCAAAGGACAAACCAAAGAGCAGACACGTTTATAGATGAAGAATATCGAAATGAACATGCAAATGAAAGCAAAACTGTCTTCTTTCACAGTAGGGGAAAGAAGCCAGTTAAGTCTCTACGTGGAGAGGACAAAATTTGCATGTCTATAGACAATAATTATTTTGCATTGCTAATAGTTACCTACAATTTTGAGGTTAAAATAACTCAAAGGCAATGTATTCCTTTACTAGGGCTGCCTTAACAAAGTACCACAAATGGGGAAGCTTGAAAAGCAGAAATGTATTGCCTCACAGTTCTAAAGGTTGAGCGTCCACTATCAAGGTGTCAATAGGTCTGTGAGAAAGAATCCATTCCATACCTCCCATCTAAGTTCTGTTGGTTTGCAGGCAATCTGCTATATTCCTTGGGCTATAGAGGCATCACCCAGATCTGTGCCTTCATCTTCACATGACAGCATTCTCCTTGTGTGTGTTCACATCCAAATTCCCCTTTTTATAGCAACACCAGTCATATTGAATTAGGGGAACACCCTATTCCAGTATAACCTCATCTTATATCTGCAAAGACCCTAATTCCAAACAAGGTCATACTCTGAGATACTGGGAGTTAAGACTTCAACATATTACTTCCGGGGGGACAGAATTCCATTTATAACAGGTGCAAAGCTCCCATATAATCAGAATAAAATAACCTGAAAGAGTATGCTCTAAACAATGCATAAATTTCCACTGAAGCACAAACTTCCCTACCTAACCATGTAGAGAACTTCCATTAAAAATTTCAGGAAATATTGAAAGAGTGATACCTGGAGACCTGGATATTTAGAACTAACTCTCAGGGGTTTTTTTGTGTGTGTGTAGTTTGTCAAAACATTGTAAATTCTGTTCTGCAGATCATTCTGTAATGACTTGATGGAAAAAAACATCCACAATTCAAAAAGGCTAAGGAAATTGCCTACTGCTGCAAATGTGCCCACTTGCTTAAAAATTTCGTCTATATAATTCATTTTTAGCAGATGCTGACTGAGCTGGGTTGAAAAAAGGAATCTCTGTTATGATAACAATAATTTATTTATATAGTGCTTTCTAATGTAATTCTCATGACCCTTGGAGGTAAAGAGTTTGGTTCTATTAAAAATAATTAAATGGGAAACCACTGGACTGCGTACTCTGACACCCTGTCTTCCTACATAAGCAAACCAAAACCAAACTCAGAATTTAAAAGAAAGCAAAACAGGCTAGCAAACTTACAAACAGCCAACTGGGATTAGTTATATTGTCTTGAACTTCCCACCAGGATAGTCCAAATAGAGAAACTGCTCAAACTTTAACCAAGCAAATAATTTCTTCGCTGTGTTTCTGCAGTTACCCTACAAAAGCCTTCTCCTCATGCCTCTTAGGGAGAGCCCTTACCCACTTCTAGTTTGCCTGTTTCATGAATCACTGTCTGCTTAAAAAAACTGTTTAAAATTTCCATGTGCCAAAGTTTATCATCATTTTTTTACATACAGAAAAATTGGAATGTAAAAGTTTATCTTTTAACAGTCCCCTTCTAGCCCAAAATGATGGCTCATGCCTGTAGTCCCAGCTACTTGGGAGGCTGAGGCAGGAGAATTACTTGAGCCCAGGAGGTTGAGGATGCAGCAAGCCTTGATCACACCACTGCACTCTGGCCTGGGCGACAGAGCAAGACCCTGTGTCTAAAAAGAAATAAAATAAAAATTAACAGCTCTCATGTTATAAATGGAGAACTGAAGCTCAGAGTATTTAAATCTCACATAGTAGGTGCTCCTCTTAAGAAGAAACTAGACTTAGATCTCCAGAATCAGAAAGCTGGGTAGAGACTGTGTGGCAAACACAGCTTCACTCTAATGTTCTACCTTCTCTTCCCCTTCGCTCAAATGTCCTTATCAGTTCTTTAAATGGTTGAGTAGTATTTGTTTCTCAACCCACAACCACAAGCTTGGTTGAAATAGAGCAAGGAATAAAGAAGTTGAAAAGCCACACAACCAGGACCTGAGTACGGTAGCAATTCTTCTGCCTATGTCAGCACAGCTACTAGGCAATGAGTCCTGCCCCACCTCCACCAGCCCCAGGCTCCTCTGTGGGTCTGGTGAGCAGGACTGGTGAGCAAAACTGATGCTCAGAGTCCTGGAAAAACCTGTCAAGTGCTCCAGATTCTATGTATCATATGCATAGTCAGGGTTTAGCAAAAAAAAAAAAAAATTTGGGAGAATTACACCCTCCTGTAACATCTTCATGTGAACAAGATCAACAAAAACAAGACATGTGGGATCTCAGAACTGCAGAGGAGCAGAGTATGTTATCTGACAGGGACTGGCACCTAGCTAGCAAGTGTTCAATAAATATTAATTTAGTTAATTTTCTCCTTTCCATCCCTTGAGTAAAGCCAGATTCTCACAACATGCAGACATAACTCATCCCTTTCAGAACATGTTTATCTTGCTTTTTTCCAGCATTCAAAAGTTAAAGAGAAGTACAGAGTTTGCTTTACAAGATGAAAAAGTTCTGGAGATCTATTGCATGACAACATGAATACAGAATGCTACTGAACTGTGCACTTAATCGTGGTTGGAATGGAGAACTTTTTGTTCCATTTTTTTTTAAGAGATGGGGTCTCACTCTGTCGCCCAGGCTGGAGTGCAGTGGCACCATGATGGCTCACTGCAGCTTTGACCTCCGGGGCTCAAGCAATCCTCCCACCTCAGCTTCCCGAGTAGCTGGGACTACAGGCAGGTGCCACCATGGCAGTCTAATTTTTTTATTTTTTTGTAGAGATGGGGTCCCCCTATGTTGCCCAGGCTGATCTCGAACTCCTAGGCTCAAGCAATCCTCCCCTCTTAGCCACAAAGTACTGGGATTACAGGCATGAGCCACCATACCCTACCTATGTTACATGATTTTTTACCACAATTTTTTTAAAGATGAAAGGAGACCCACAAGCTTTCTAATCAGTTATGGTTATTCCTCAGTCATTATTGATTCAGACGATTTTTTTTCCTATAGGAGACTGAGGTTTTTCTCCATACAATTGGCAGGTAGTTAGATGAGAAGACACTTCTTTTCTCTTTTGCCCAAATTTCCTTATCTGTTTAAAAAATGGTTTAAAAAACCATTAGCTAGTATTTGTTTTAGATTAATATCTGCTGACCTTTGTTTTCTCAAATGCCAAGTGTTTGTTGTACCAATATATTCACACTTTATTAGTATGTAAATGTTAACTACAAAAGCAAAGGCGGGGGAGGACCAGAAAAATCAAGAAAGCCTTTTTAAATGAAACTGCTTGCTCTAGATATCTTTGGGGAAGAGGCTGCTTTTCAAAAAGGATTCTCATAATGTCCACCCCCTTTCTCAGATTGAGGGTAATTTGGATCCAAGAAAACTTGTGTATGAATTCTGCCCCCGACTCTCTACACCCACCCCAAACATACCTATTTCCTCAAACCCTCCCTCTGTGGGTGTAAAGCAGCAGCAAGCAGTGAAGTCCATTACTCAAATATAAATTGTGTGGTGACAGCAGGGGGATCAACGACTGTCTCTCCCCAGACTGAAGAAGGAGAGTCCTCAAAGTACCTCCAAATAGATTGTTTAGTTATCAGGTATTTATTGAGCACCAGCTATGTGCCTGACACCATGCTAGTTTCTGCAGACTATAATTCTAGATGAGGCACACATGTCGGTGCAGTTACATGCTGTGGATGGGCAATTCTGATTCCTGCAGGCAAATCATAAGCTGTTCCCTTGCACGTACAGAGGCATGAACCAATGTTGCAGTAGCGTGCAAATCCCTCTCACAGACTTAGCAGTGTTTTTATATTTCTCACTGCTCCAAACTACATGTTTTTTCTTGCAAAGGATCCATGTGAATCAAAGGATTTACCTTGCTTCATAGGCCTGTCACAAATAAAATTAATCTAGCAGGAAGGAGGCACCCCTCCCATGGGTATTATCCACAATAAGGATGAGTGCTGGGCCAAATTCCTTCATGCAGGCCTCCTCTTGTATCTGAGAAGCACTGAGAAAAGGGGCTGGAGAGAATCTCAGGAACTTTCTAGCCCCAGCTCTTCTTATTCTAATGGGAGAATCTGAGGCCCAGAGATAGTAAGCAACTTGCCCAAAGTCACACAGCTGGAGCCAGAACCCAGATCTCCCAGAGCCAGGCCAGGGACTTTTCCAACACATCCTAAAGAGCTTGGTTTGATTTTAAAACATCCCCTCCTCCTCCTAGTGATTGGTAATACCTGCCACTTTATTACCTATTTGCTTGCCATAGGTCTTGCATTGTTGGGGCTTTTTTTTCTTAAGAGACAGGGTCTCACTCTGTCACCCAAGCTGGAGTGCAGTGGCGATCATAGCTCACTGCCCCCTCAAACTCCTGGGCTCAAGAGCTCCTCCTACCTCACCCTCCCCAGTAGAGGAAATTCTTTGAGTACTTCTTTTGAAATTTCACAAGAGCTATTAAAATTATTGGAGACTTTCAGACAGTAATTTTTAACCACGTGTAACTTGAAAAAAAAAAACGCCTGAACTCCATCCCAAACCCGCTGACTCTGAATCTTAAGGATGACTTTTAAGCCCCCCCGGGCGTTTCTGAAGGCCAGAAAACATGGCTCCAGGTTATTCCAGAATCAGTCTGGGAATGGTCCCTTCACAGGGCATAATTTTTTTCAGGGTCTTAGTATTTTATTGATTTTAAATGTCTATATCATTTCCAACTATAGCTGCTATGCTAGTTCAGAGGCTTGGACATGCTTAGTCAAGGATTACACAGAATCTGCCTGGAACGTGAGACTACATTGCACAGACTAATAGTTTATTGCCATTTCAAGTAGTTTTTTGGGGGGTGGGGGGAGGAAGGTGGTTGTTGTTTTGTTTTGTTTTGTTTTTTGAGACAAGGTCTTACTTCGACATCCAGGCTGGAGTACAATGGCATGATCACAGCTCACTGCAGCCTCGACTTCCCAGGCTCAGGTGATTCTCCCACCTCAGCCTCTCGAGTAGTAGGTATGTGCCACCATACCAGGCTAATTTCATTCATTTTTTGTAGAGAATTTCACCATGTTGCCCAGGCTGGTCTCGAACTCCTGGACTCAGGCGATGCACCCACCTTGGCCTCCCAAAGTGCCAGAATGATAGGCATGAGCCACCACACCTGACCTCAAGTAGATATTCTTTAAATATTTATTTAATATCTATTTAGTGGGGACAGGAACAGGCCTAACTTTAATTTTTTAATACATAATTTCAACTCTTATTTTAGATTCGGGGGTACATGTGCAGGTTTGTTAAAGGGGCATATTGCAGGATGCTGAAGTTTGGGTATGACTGGTCCCATCAACCAGATAGTGCACATGGCACACAATAGGTGTCTTTCAGCCCTTGACCCCCCTCCCTCTTTAGCTGTCCTCAGTGTTTATTGTTCCCAACTTTATGTCCATATGTACCCAATGTTTAGCTTCCATTTATTAGTGAGAATATGGGGTATTTGGTTTTCTCTTCCTGCATTAATTTGCTTAGGATAACAGGTTCCAGCTGAATCCATGTTGCTGCATAGGACATTATTCTGTTCTTTTTTATGGCTTCATAGTATTCCATAGTGTATATTTACCATATTTTCTTTATCCAGTCCTCCACTGATGGGCACCTAGGTTGATTCCATGTCTTTACTATTGTGAACAGTGCTACAATGAACATATAAGCGCATATGTGTTTTTGGTAGAACAATTTATTTTATTTTGGGTATATAACTGGTAATGGGATTGCTGAGTCAGATGGTAGTTCTGTTCTAAGTTGTTGAGAAATCTCCAAACTGCTTTCCACAGTGGCAGAACAAATTTACATTCCCACCAGCATCCACTGTCTTTTGACTTTTTAATAGTAGCCATTACGACTGGTGTGAGATGGTATCTCATTGTGGTTTTTTCTTTTCTTGTCTTTTGTTTTTGAGAAGGAGTCTCATTCTGTCGCCCAGGCTGGAGTGCAGTGGCGCCATCTCGGCTCACTGCAAGCTCCGCCTCCCGGGTTCACGCCATTCTCCCACCTCAGCCTCCCTAGTAGCTGGGACTACAGGCGCCCGCCACCATGCCTGGCTAATTTTTCTATTTTTTTAGTAGAGACGGGGTTTCACCGTGTTAGCCAGCATGGTCTCGATCTCCTGACCTCATGATCCGCCCGCCTTGGCCTCCCAAAGTGCTGGGATTACAGGCGTGAGCCACTGCGCCAGGCCCTTGATTTTCATCTCTCCAATGATTAGTGATGTTGAGCATGTTTCCATAAGTGTGTTGGCTGCTGGTATGTTTTCTTTCGAGAAATGTCTCACAGGGCACATTTATTCAGCAAAATCATTTCACAGAGAAAGAAACAAATGCTTCTAAGAGTTAAGAACGTCAGGAAGGGCCGGGCTCACGCTTGTAATCCCAGCACTTTGGAAGGCCAAGGCGGGTGGATCACGAGATCAGGAAATCGAGACCATCCTGGCCAACATGGTGAAACCCCGTCTCTACTAAATATACAAAAATTAGCTGGGCTTGGTGGCACGTGCCTGTAGTCCCAGCTACTCCAGAGGCTGAGGCAGGAGAATCACTTGAACTCAGGAAGTGGAGGTTGCAGTGAGCCGAGATCGTGCCACTGCACCCCATCCTGGGGAGAGAGTGAGACTCCATCTCAAAAAGAAAAAAAGAAAAGGAAAAAGAAAATCAGGAAAGTTCACATACATAATCCCCACTTCCACTATAAAAGCAGACATGCTGGACATGCTTAGGAGGCAGGTTCAACCCCCTGCATCTGGGGCTGCACTTTTGCTACTTGTGTGAGTTCAGTGAGAAGACGGAACACTCACACATGCAACTGACATGAAGCAGGCTTATTATTTACAGACAGACAGCAAGCGACAACAGAAGACTAGGATTCATGACAAGCTGGTTCCCCCGAGGCTCAGGAAAGCTGCTCATGCAGATGGAGTCTCATCTCATCTTCTCATGCCCCGCTTACACCACAGCTGGGCACCCTAGAAAGCAGCCCACCCTGGGTTCTATACCCCAGAAGTCACAGGATCATTGCGCTGAAGTGCTAAAGGACATCCTGTTTCTAGCAGGGACTGGAGGAGCCCAGGCTCTTCTGGCCAGTTTCTCCTTATCTCAGGATGTTGAATTCCCAGCACCTTCTGCAGTTATTCTTGAGAACTACAAGCAAAAGACTGAAATGAGGTTGGAAACTCGGTTGGTCCTAGACTGCCCAGAAAACAGTCCTACAATGATATTTTTAAATATATAAAAATACATAGTTATGGGATAAACAAATTGTCCTATATTCATACAATGAAATAGTATCCATCAATAAAAGGGTATAAATTACTGAGACAAGTATCAATATGGATGACTTGCAAAATCATGATGTTGAACAAAAGAAGCCACACAAAAGAGTGTATATTATGGGACTGCATTTACACCATGTTCAAGAACAGGCAAAACTATCTATTGTAATAAAAATTAGGCTAACTCTTAGGGGAGATCATACTATCAATAAAGGGACCCAAGGAAAAATTCTGGAGTGAGAGAAATAGTTTTCATTTTTTTATTTTTTTGAGACAGGGTCTCACTCTGTTGCCCAGGATGGAATACAGTGGAGCAATCACAGCTCGCTGCAGCCTTGACTTCCCAGGTTCAAGCGATCCTCTCACCTCAGTCTCCCAAGTAGCTGGGACTACAGGTGCACACCACTACACCAGACTAATTTTTGTAATTTTTTGTAGAGACAGGGTTTCTTCATGTTGCCCAGGCTGGTCTCGAACTCCTGAGCTCAACGATTTGCCTACCTCAGCCTCCCAAAGTACTGGGATTACAGACATGAGCCACCACACCCAGCTGAAATAGGTTCTGTCTTGATGTCAAATGTATGTTAAGTACACTTAAGATTTTATCTTTTACTGTATATAAATTGTACCTTAATAAAACATTATTAATATGAAAATTCAAAGAGACAAAATACAAAGCTGTATTCAAAAACAAGAGGAGGAAAAAAGGAGCAGAAGGATATAAAATTGAGGGTAGTAACTGCCTGTAGGGAGAGAAGGACTGGGTCAGTGCACGGGGCTGAAAATGAGGCTTATCTTTACTTATAAGAGTTTCTATCTCCTATGAAAAGCAAATAGGACAAAACCATTTTTAATTCTGGACTGTTAGATTATGAGTGTTTGTTAAATCATCCACTGTACTTTCCAGGTTTTGTTTTTGTTTTTAAGAAGGAAGATAAATCAATGTGAGAGAAGGCTCAAGAGCCATAAGCAGAGGCCACATCTTCTTTCACAGGGTCCAGCAATCTTTCCACTCTCCAAAGAGGGCTATTAAGGGAGTTCTTCCTCAAATGTGTGCATTCAAGAAGCTTTTCAATGAAAGGACAACATGTGTGCTAATTGATGTTTTGCCTTATAGCGTTTGCACTTCATATTCAGTTTGGGGTGTTAATGGGCTCTGTTTATTCACTCAGATGAAAAGATGAGCCATAAACTCCCCTCTGAGAATGTTTTATATCTTAGTTTTCTCATCTATAAAATGAATTGATTGGACCAACTGATCTGTAACTTCCCCTCCTTCATTCATTCACTCATTCAGCTGCTCAGATTTTTTTTAGCTTTCACTATTTGCCAAGCCCTGATGCTATGTCTCTTTCAGATCTGACACACGTACAAATTCATTCAATCATTTATTCATTACATATTTATTAAGCATCCCCTGAATGCCAAGCTCTGTGGCAGGCAGTGGCCAACAAAGCTGAGAGAGGAGCTGTGGATACTATTGACCCACAGGCCAGGGGATGTTTGAACTAGACAGGAACTCATCCAGCCCAGCTTTGTAACAGGCGAGGGAAAAGAGATCCCGACAGAGAATGTGACTGACCCAAAATTAGCTACCTGGCTAGGGGCAAAGCCAAGGCAAAAGCTTGGTCTACCTGCCTCCAGATGTCATGGAAGCTGGTGGTCTTCCTAGAGGACAATAGAGTAAATATCAGGAGTGTGCATATATAAATGCCAAGTTGCTCTCACAATCAAGGATGGCTACAGGAGCCCAGAAGAGGAAAAGCATAGCTTCTGACTAGGGTCATAGGAGAAGCTTGAAGGATGGCTAGCATTAGAAGCAGGTGAGAAACCAAGAGAACATACCAATCAGAAAAAGAGAAGATGCCCAGAGGCACGAAAACTTGGTCAGTGTTCAGGAACGGTGAGAAAACCAGTTTGGCTTCAGCAGAGAATTCAGGAAGAGAGTAGGTATCATACTAGGAAATTATTACTATTTGTAGATTCTTCCAGTAGATTTGGATATTTGTGGACTTGGTATTGTGGCATGAACACTAGAAAGAATTAGAAAACTCAGTCCTTTATTCAAAAAATCTGATTCTGCAGCTCCTGCTAAGTTCCAGCCTCCGTTCTAGCCCACTGGCAATCAGTCTTGGCTACACATTAGAATTACATGGGAAGTATATATATGTCAGACACATGTGATAGCAATAGCTAAACTTCAGAAGAAGAACGTGTGCTCAGAGTTCCGCGGCAAGGCATCCAGCAGTGGTCAACCTAGAGATTCATTCCTTATCTGTGAGGAACATCTGAAGCCCTGACCCAGCCCATGGAACACAGGTCATACGGGGGATTGAGGCCCTTTATTTGGGTTTAAATGAAGCTTGCCAGGTGGAGGTTGTTAAGGGGAGGGCGCTAAGTGAAAATGCTATATAAACTGCATGCTTTTGTAAGCAGTTGTGGTTCTCCTGTCCAGCCCACCACTGCTGGACCACACTGTATGTAAGTCTCCTCCATAAACCCTATGTCTCATTCACTGGCTCTGGGTCTCTTCATCAGCCTCTTGAACATGGTGCCATCCCTGTTGAAGTTAATAGGAGTCTGGCATGACAGTGTATTGCTCAGCTCAGGTACATAGCAAAGTACCACAAACTAGGTGGCTTAAACAACAGAAATGTGTTTTCTCACAGTTCTGGAGACTAAAAGTCTGAAATCAAGGTGTTGACAGGGTTAGTGTCTTCTGAGGCCGTTCTCCTTGACATGTAGATGGCCATATTCTTCCAGTGTGCTCACATGGTCTTCCCCCGTATACATCCGTGTCCTTGTCACCTTTTTTTTTTTTTTGAGATAGGGTCTCACTCTGTTGTCCAGAAGGGAGTGCAGTGGTGTGATCTCAGCTCACTGCAGCCTCCACCTCCTAGGTTCAAGCGATTCTCATGCCTCAGCCTCCTGAGTAGCTAGGATTACAGTCACGTGCCACCACACCTGGCTAATTTTTGTATTTTTAGTAGAGTAGGGGTTTTGCCATGTTGGCCAGTCTGGTCTCAAACTCCTGGCCTCAAGTGATCCACCCCCCTCAGCCTCCCAAAGTGCTGGGATTACAGGCACGAGCCACCACGCCCAGCCACCATCACCTCTTCTTATAAGGACATCAGTTATTTTGGATTACGGACCACCCAAATAACCTCAGTTTACCTTAGTTACATCTTTTTTTTTTTTTTTTTTTTTTTTGAGACAGAGTCTTGCTCTGTCTCCCAGGCTGGAGTGCAGTGGCGCAATCTCAGCTCACTGCAAGCTCCGCCTCCTGGGTTCACACCATTGTCCTGCCTCAGCCTCCCAAGTAGCTGGGACTACAGGCGCCCAGCACCATGCCCGGCTAATTTTTTGTATTTTTAATAGAGACGGGGTTTCACCGTGTTAGCCAGGATGGTCTCAATCTCCTGACCTTGTGATCCGCCCGCCTCGGCCTCCCAAAGTGCTGGGATTACAGGCATGAGCCACCATGCCCGACCAGTTACATCTTTAAAAGGGCTATCTCCAAAAACGGTCACATTCTAAAGTACTGGGGATTCTAACTTCAACGTATAGATGAGGGGGACACAATACAGCCCATACACAGCTTTGAAAAAATAGCAATTCTGAAGTCCCAGAATTGGTCTTGTTGGGGCCTGGCATTGGTATTTTTTTTTAAGTTCCCAAGTGATTCTAATGTGCATCCAGCATTAAGAACTACTAGCTGGAGATTCTAGCACCAATTCAAGCCAAAAGAAAAAAAAGTAGGGGGGAAACATACTTTTCCCAGTTATAAAATGAGCCAGCTGGACAAAACAATTTTAAAATCCATCTTAGTAGTTAAATTTCATGGTACAGAAGGAAGAAAATAGTCTCGAGCCTAATTCTTCTTTTCATCCTAGACACTTACGTTTCATGGCATCCTGATAAGAAGTGGCATATTTGGGTTTCACGAGTAAATGTAAAGAACTCAGAAAAGTTACAGGAGGATCAACTTCTAGCCAATCAGGTGTTCCCCAGTAATACAGTTGGGCAGGACGCTCATGGCATTCTGCCTAAGAGCTATTGCAGCTGAAAGCTATCGGGAAAGCATCAAGAGGCCCTGCCATTAGCGTCTCTGAGCAGCTGCAATGGGAGTCCTCTGAAAGCAAATTTGCACAAAAACTATGGTATGCTAATTAAAATGGAATTCTGTGTGGACATTTCACTTGAGGATTAGTTAAATGCAATTCGCATCTGGGGCAGAAAGGGGACTTCGGGAAAGAGGATGAGCTGGGGACATTGTTGGGTGGAACGGAAGAGTTAGGCTTTAGTTACAGTGCTTAAGGGAGCTGACTCTGCAGTCTCCTTGGGAGCTCTGTTATAGTGAGACAAAATCCACAAAGCAGGCTGGGTGAACCCAGGCCATAGGATAGATTTAGTGGGTTCTTGAGCTTACACCATCTTTCTTTCTACTTCTTGTCTTGCTTGCCACCATTAGGAACATAATATAATAAAAGCAGATTGATCAATGGCATGTTCACTTTTAGCCAGACGGCAATATGAGACCTCAAATTACATGTTTCTGAAAAATTCCTACAATGAAGCTTTTAAAAGCGAGGCGGGGAGGGGAGGGCGTGGAAGAAGGTGAGTTCCAAACTGCCAGGTACAGTGGACAACAGGCCAGGAGAGAAAAATCCCTGGAGGGCATGTGTGAATTGGGAGAACTTATTTTTCTTCCCTCTGCCCTAAGGCAAGATAAAAAGGCCTGGAAATAGGAGATGAGATGGTGGAAGGTAAAGCAATGTAGGGAGGGCATAGTAGCTCAAGGTCCTCCAAGTAACAAGGAAAAAACAGGGAAAGTGAAAGAAAAATATGAGAGAATCCTCTGGAAATTTAGGTGTATCTGTAAATGTGTGGACTAACATGCTATTTCTTTTTCTTAAGAGTCAGGCCAGCCCAGGTTGGAACGCAGTGGTGCGATGATACCTCACTGCAGCCTTGAACTCCTGGACTCAAGCAATCCTCCCCACTCAGCTTCCCAAGTAACCGGGACTACATGCATGAGCCACTGCACCAAGCTCCCTACTGTGCTCTTTCTTGATTAACATTAGAAATTGAGAGTCCTACCAATGCCATGCATAGTACAAGACATGGGCAGGACAATAAAGAGATGGCAGCAAGCATTTCCAGACAAGAGAGGGCAGAAGCCCCCCTAGCAGCTTGCACCTGACACAGAGAAGACCCAGAAGGTATCCGTGCTCAGTGGAGAGGGAGATACACGGAAGGCGACAGTCTTGGTGGGCATGCTTGACCAGGCATTTCTATGGCAAGCAGCAAAGTGACCCTGGAGTGGAAGACTTGAAGGCCAGCCTGCCCTAGCCCAAGAGGATCCCAGCTACAGCCAGAATCAAGCCCGAAGTTCCCCTAAAGAGATTGCTAGTGTATCCGGTGCGGTCCAGTCAGGAGACAGAAACCACGCCAGTTATTTGAACAAGAAAGAATGTAAAGAACTGCTCACTAGGTAACTGGAAATGCCAAAAGAGAATTCTAGGGTATCATGGAAGTAGCGACTGAGGGAAGAGCCCCTAATCCCTTAAGGCTGGGGGAATAAAGGAGAGAGATTGTAATTATTAACAGTTGAAGCTCGAATCAGGAGGTGTTCCATGGAGGTGAAACTCAGATCCGTGAGGGCGGGATGCCAGCCAGTTGGTGCCGGTGTCTCTAGGGATACAGGAGACAGCTGGTTCTGTGGTGCTGGAAAAACTGCACAGTAGATTCAGCGGCTGCTACAGAGAGGCACTGCTGCCGCCAGGGTGAATCGCTATAGTGATGCTCAGAGACAGACCGGAAGCCCGCGGGAAGGCAGCCATCCCTTCTCCCAGCTCCAGCCTGGCAGTCTCTCTCTCTCTCTCTAGCACCACCTACTGGCAGAGCCTAACAGGGCCAGCCGGCAAACAAGAAAACTGTTCACAGTCCCAGCCCCAAGATCCCAAGTATACAGTATGGATGTGGGGGTTTAGATCCAAGAAACAATAGCTTGGCAGTAGCAATACCTGGCACAAATGGTCAGTCCCTATGAGGGACCAGACTGTATATGCAAACAACAGTGAACAACCACCAATCTTCCTCTAGTATTTTAGGATTAAAGGGGATTCTCTTCTTTCTGTGCCCTGTCCCTCCCTCATAACATGGTTTTGAACCATGAGATCCAAGGGTTCCCCAACTTACTTTGCTATTGGTCACCATCTAGAACTCTGGAACTCCTTAGGTGCAATGCTGCTGCCCTACTACAAGACTGACCTCAAGAAGAGCGTGGTGTAAGCAAGACCTAATGTCACTTTAAGTCTGTCCACACCTTCATGTCAATTCTTTATGGCACCACCAGTACAACTTTATGGAAGGTTTAGGCATTACCAAGGAAAATTATCATGCAGAACGGTATACAGCTCAAAACTGAATATTAGATATTAGTGTTGATAAAGTTTATCAGATAGTCTGTCTTTATGGACTCTGTCCTTAAGGCTTGATCTGCCATCATATTCGTATGCTCTGTTTTCCTATTCTCTCACTTCTTTGAGTTCCAGGCCCCAAATCCACAAGGGCTAGCTGAAAAGTCCTGCTGATTTGTTATCTACAGCAAATTCAAGTCCATTGTCTCAACTTCTCAAATCCAGAATTAGCCTTGAGTCTCTCTTTTCATAAGCAAACATCCATTATCAGGCTTTCTTAAATAAAACAATATTTTTCCCTTAAGGAAAATTATACTACTCCCCTAAAATACATGAACAACTGATGTTAATATTTTTATGATTCTTCTTTCTTTCTTCTCAATAGTTGTCCTGGAGTAGACCCTCCTGACATATCGTGTCTCAGAGTCACTTGAATCCTCTGAATTAAACAGATTGGACAGATCATAAGCTAATCATATCTGCCTGTGGAGCTTCCATTTCCTCCTCAGCAAAATAAGAAGGTTGGATCAGATCTAATCCAAGATCTCTTCCAACAATATGATGTCATGAATTCATTACTGAATTATGAAATTGATTGGTTCTTCTTTAGCTTTGGCTTTCTAACAGCTACCACAATACTTGATCCATAGTAGATGCTCAATAAACATGCATCAAATGAATAAATGAATGAAAGAATCATGGCCGTAATTTTGTAGTTTTTTTAACATCTACAAGGGAAGGAGAAATCCAGTTGTGAGTCCCATGTGTATGTGATGAGCTGCAATTGGTCAATGAGCAAAAAGACACATTAATGATTTAAAAAAGGAAAAGTATATAATTATATCAATAGGCATGTCAAAAGTAAAATATTTTATAAGCTCCAATTAATCAATTCATTTGCTCTTTCAATAAATAATTTACTCATGGCCTACAGGCACTAATCTAGCCACTGGGGACAAAAGAGATAAAAACCCATGTCCTCATGGAATTCATTACATTCAAAATTACAACTTTTTTACAATCTAGGAACAGAAGAAAACTTTCTTAACCTGATAAAGGATTTTTTTAACCAAAAACCTGCAACAAACATTATAGCTGCTACCAAAACTTTAGAAGTACGCATATTGAAGTCAAGAATTAGTTGCTCACTGTCACCTTTTTTATTCAACATTGTAAAGCAGGCCCTAATCAATGAATTTACATAATAAAAATAAATAAAATGCATAAGAATTCGAAATAAAGACTTGCAGATTGCTGACATAGAAAATTCAAGATATCTAAAAATTATAAGAATAAGAGAATTCATCAGGATTGCCAATTGCAAAAACAAAATTTTAAAATCAGTGGAGTTCCTTTATACCAATAATAATTAGTAAGAAATTATAATAGGAAAAAAGTACCCCTTGTTGCAGCATTCTATATACCTCTGAATAAATAAGATGTGTAAGAACTTTATAATGAAATTACAGAACATTATTGGAAATTCTAAAGAACACCTAAAGACAGAGATATGCCATGTTCATAAATAGGAAGACTCAATTCCACATAGATTGTTTTTTCCAAAGCAATCCGTAAGTTTATGACAGTGACTGCCTCTCTGAAAAAGAATGGAAAGGACAGAGAGAGAAAAGGAAATAAAAGTGAGTTTAGGAACAAAGGTGACTCAAGTTTATCTGTAAGTGTCTATTTACTTTATAGTTTTTAAAATGAAGGAAAAATGGGAGAGGAAGATTTGCTGGACCTAACTCCCCTTTCTACTAAGCCTCCCTGACCCATATAGCCTTCTCCTCTCCATGGAAGCAATCATCTATCTGTTCTTTGGAAGGAAAAGGAAAGGTAGCCACTGGTTGGATCAAAAGTGAACCTCTTGACTTAAGCACAACCAGTTCATGGACTGGCCAGTAGTCTATGATGTGGCCTGAAAGAAAACAATGGGCTAGGCCAATCAGATATTTTTCCCCAAGACATGAACTGGAGGCACTGAAAAAAAGATACCAGCTGCTATGCTCAGAGCTGGCAAAGGAGTTACTCAATCTTTTTTTTTTCTTTTTTTTTTTTTTGAGATGGAGTCTCCCTCTGTCACCCAAGCTGGAGTGCAGTGGTGTGATCTCAGCTCACTGCAACCTCCATCTCCTGGGTTCAAGCAATTCTCTGCCTCAGCCTCCCGTGTAGCTGGGATTACAGGTGCCCGCCACCATGCCCAGCTAATTTTTATATTTTTGTATTTTTTTAGTAGAGACGGGGTTTCATCATCTTGGCCAGGCTGGTCTTGAACTCCTGACCTTGTGATCCACCCGCCTCGGCCTCCCAAAGTGCTGGGATTACAGGCATGAGCCACCACGCCCAGCCAAGAGTTACTGAATCTTGTAAATGGGTGCTCTGGGGTGAAAATCTGCAACCCAGCACTGCTAGGGCCATGCTCTTCCTAAGTCTGGCCATTCAACTTTTCCTGGGTTTCCATGCATACAGCAAACTGTCAATAAACTCCATTACTTGAAGCAACTGGGTGGGTTGCAACCAACAACATCCTGCTAACAAACCTCTTCACCTATCAACTGGATGCTGTCCCTTCCACCTGTTGATGATTCTCATCCTCCTCTGGACCTAAAATCAATCAATCAATATCTTTCTTTCATTCTCATTCTCTCTCTCTCTCTCTCCTGCCCCCCACCCCCACCTTGCCTCCTTCACGTCTACACATTTAAATACATTCAAGTCTTCAAGTCTCTTTCATCCTTCCCTCTGTCTTAGTCAGTTTGAGCTGCTGTAACAAAATACCATAGACTGGGTGGTGTAAACAACAGAAATTTATTTCGCAGTTTTGGAAGCTGAGAAGTCCAAGATCAAGGTGCTAGTAGATCCAGTGTCTGGTTGATGGCTGATGCCTGGTTTGCAGATGGCCATCTTCTCATTGTACTCTTACATGGCAAAGAGCAGAGGGGGAAAGAAAGCATGCCCTCACATGTCTGTTTTTGTTGTCGTTGTTGTTTTGTTTTGTTTTGTTTTGTTTTGTTTTGAGACTGAGCCTCACTCTGTTGCCCAGGCTGGAGTGCAGTGGCAGTGGCATGATCTTGGCTCACTGCAACCTCCGCCTCCCGGGTTCAAGTGATACTCCTGCCTCAGCCTCCAGAGAAACTGGGATTACAGGTGCCTGCCACCATGCCTGGCTAATTTGTGCATTTTTATAGAGACAAGATTTCACCGTGTCGGCCAGGCTGGTCTTGAACTTCTGACCTCAGGTGATCTGCCCGCCTCAGCCTCCCAAAGTGCTGGGACTACAGGCATGAGCCACTGTACCCGACCTTCATGTCTTTTTATAAGGGAACTCTTTGGCACCTTCCATCCTGTGAGGACACCTCAAGAAGGCACTGTCTATAAGGAATGGGCCCTCACCAGACACCAAATCTGCTGGCAACTTGATCTTGGAGTTCCTAGCCTCCAGAACTGTGAGAAATAAGTGTTGTTTATAAACCACCAAAAGTCTAAAGTATTTTGTTAAAGCAGCCTGAAGCAATATAAACATTCCTTGCCATTTTTAACCATCCTAATGTTGAATGTCTTACCCCTGAATAATTTCATTAATAGTAAATTTAATTTTTAAAAGTCTGCAAATTGGTGAGGACCACTTGTATAAAATTATATATTTGGCCACTAATTGCATCTCAAATTGATACAGCTATTGCATTCAAATAAAAGAGTTCTCAACTCCCTGACTTTTAAGGAACCTCAATTAAACCTGTTTATAATAAGCTGGTTCCCTTGAGCAGCCTCAGGGATGGAACAGAGAGTGAAGTTGTGTGGTTAATGCAAAGGTGTCTCTCTCAATCAAAAACAGACACTAAGAACCCTATGTTAAAATGCACAAAGCAAATCTGGTTCCTTCTGAGACTACAGTCTTGTTGACCACGTCAGAGAAAGAGTTAAGCTTCTTGTTCCCCCTTTGAACTTCATGCAAATATAAATGGTAAGTGCAGAAAATGTAGCAGCTTTGGATTTGTGTCATAAATCACAAGCATGAGCAGCAGCCTTTCTTCTGGCAATTTTAAAGTTTATTATGTTCTGACTCATGTAGTCAAGGATGACATCAGCACAAATTCAGTTATGATATATAAGGTGATGACAACCCTGACTGATGCCCACTTTTAGCTTCCCATTTCTGAAAGTTGAAATGTGCCCTTTCTCCCTCCAAATGCAGTAAATTCACATTGACTTAGAAGACACCTTTCCAAATAAGATATCAAACTTTATGTAAGGGCATTTCTCTTGAAGGCAGTGGGTACTATCACTGGCCCAGTTGGCTGCTCCGCTCCTGAAGAATTCTTCAGAGTGTGACTAAGGCTAGGAGCCCCTTCCCAGTAGTTGTGGATCTTACTATAGGGTAGTTTAAAACTAGACAGATGGCCGGGCACAGTGGCTGACACCTGTAATCCCAGCACTTTAGGAGGCTGAAAGAATCACTGGAGGCCAGGAGTTGAAGAATGGCCTGGGCAACATGGCAAAACCCTGTCTCTACAAAAAATTTTAAAACTTAGCCAGGTGTGGTGGTGTGCACTGTAGTCCCAGCTGCTTGGGAGGCTGAAGTGGAGGATCACCCGAGCCCAGGAGGTTCAGGCAGCAGTGAGCTATGATTGTGCCACTGCACTCCAGCCTGGGCAACAGACCAAGACCCTGTCTCTCAAATTAAAATAAAGGTAAATAAATAAATGAAAGTAGATAGAAACCAATCTGGCTGCCATTCGCTTGAGAGATTTTGTCATCTTCATAAACCCAAAGGGTCTGAAAGGAAAGTTAACAGCTACCAGGCCTCTCTCAGAAGTGCCCAGGATCAAGACTGTAGTCGTTTACCTTCAAGATGGCCACCATCAACTCTTTTCTCCCTACAGACATGTGTTCCCCTCCTATCAAGAGGTGGAGCCTGTTTCTGGGTGCAGGAATAAATAGAAAATATTTCCCGAGGCATTAGCTCATAGGCAAAGCTTTTCTTGAGTCCTCCAGGCTATTATGAGCTTTCTCCACCGGGATATTTTACCTTCCTCCACCGCAGCACTTACCTCATTATGTGTAACTCTTCTATACCCACAAGACCGCAAGCCCCTTGACAGTTCCAAGCAGAAAATCTGGCAGGTGATGGGCAGCATAGCACAGTGATTAACTCCAAGGGTTTGGAAGATATCCTACACCACATTGGAATCCTGACTCTCCCACTAAGTTTTAGAAGTATGACTTTAGCCAAGTTATTTGACTTCTCTGATTCTTAGTTTCTCCATCTGCAAAAGGGGGTAAGAATATCTCATAATGTTGTGTGGTGTGAGCATTAGATGAGATAATGTGTGCAAATGACTCAGCACAGGGCCTGGCCACAGCCTTCACTAGGTGGTAGCTATTATTATTAGGTACTCAATGCATGTTATGGAACAAATGAAAACACTTCTACCCTCTCTCTGGCCCTGTGAGATGGCTTCTTGAATTTCTCTTCTGTCATCCCCTTTAACTGATTGCTGTTCACTTCAGCTACACAGTATTATTACCTGGGAAGCCTTAAAAAGTCAGATACCAAAAATAAATAATAATTTTTAAAGCATACACACACACACACACACACACACACACACACACCCCATTCTGATAGCCAGATTGCCTTTCAGGCCAATGAAATCAGAATATCTGGAGGTGAGACCCAGGCATCAGGAGCTTTTATAACCTCTAAGTGACCCCAACATGCAGCCAAGGTTGAGCACCATTCCCTTAAATGGAGGCATTTCTCAAGGCCCAGCCTTTGGACCTCTGCTCTTCCTCATCTGTGTGGCCTCCCTGTGGGATCACATCCCTCTCAGGGCCTCACTGTCTTCCCCTAGGCTGGTGACTCTCAGGACTCTCCTCTGGACCTGTCTCCTCTCCCAAGCACCAAATATGGATTTCCCTCTGCTGTCTGGCCCTTTCATCTGGATAGCTCACAACATTTTGAATCAACAAATCCAAAACAGAAGTCTCTGTCTTTCATCCCCACCCTCAACCTATCTCCCTTGTGGGTTACCCATTTCAGTTAAGGGAAAGGGCAGATTCCTAAGTGCTCAAGCTGAAAATCACAAAATCATGTCTTTCCCTCCTAGCCCTGAAAGGATGGGCTTGGCCAATTGAAAGCCCATCTCCCTATTCACTTTCATCATAGAAAGGAGGTTTTCCAAGTCACTGAATCTATTATCTCAGTGCTGAGAGTGTCATTACCTGTTGTGCCAAGAGGAGCCACAGCACAGGATTAAGAACAAATTCTGGAGCCAGGATATTTCTTAGATTTTACTACTAGCTCTACCACTTGTCACCTGTGTGAACCTGAGCAAGTTGCTTAACTCCTTTGCTTAGCTCCTCCATTTGTAAAGTGGAAATAATAATAGTACCATCTTATAAGATTGTCATGAGGATTAAATGACTTAATATTTTAAGCTCCTTAGAATAGTATCTGGCACATGGTACTAAGCATTGTGTAAGAGCTTGTTAAATAAATAGGGAGTCTGAGTATGTGTTAACAAACCAACTAACAAGCATGTAAACCCCCTCAGGGCAAAAATAATGTCTTATTTGTCTAGAACACAGTAGGCATTCAAAAAATATGTGAGCGCTGATAGCTGGTGGTAGAAGGGGAAATTGGTTGTTTCTGGAGGACATTATGTATCAAAATTTTTAACACAACTCTCCTTTGATCCAGTAATTCCAACTCTTAGAATGTTTTCTATGGACGTAAGTAAAAAATGCGAAAAGATGCATCTATAAGGATACTAATTGCAATGCTGCTTATAGTAGCAAAGAAAATAGAAACAGCCTTAATGTCCGTTAATAGAGAATCGGTTACATAAACCATGAGACACATATACAATGGAATATCATGCAGCTATTAAAAGATGATAGGGCCAGGTATGGTGGCTCACATCTGTAATCCCAGCACTTTGGGAGGCCAAGGTGGGAGGATTGCTTGAGGCCAGGAGTTCAAAACCAGCCTGGGCAATATAGTGAGATCCCCCCACCATCTCTAAAAAAAAAAGTTTTAAAAATTAGCCAGGCACGGTGGCATGCACCTGTAGTCACAGTTACTCGGGAGGCTGAGGTGGGAGGATCGTTTGAGTCCAAGAGTTCAAGGCTTGCAGTCACCCTCCAGCCTGGGTGACAGAGCAAGACTTGTCTCAAAAAAAATGCTACATATCCGTATTTTGAGAAAATGAAAAGACGTCTAAGATATATCATTAAGCTTTAAAAGCAGGCTACACCACAGTATACTTTGATATTTTTTGCACATACATGTATATGTATTTACATATGGATAAAAACGTCAGAAAGATGTTAATTTAAAAATAAATTTAAAATTAGAGAAAAAATCAGAAAGAATGCATATTAAATGTTAAAAGTTATTACATCTGGGCAGTGAGATTATGGGCATTTGCATCTCTTTTTGTCTTTAAATTATAAAATGATATATTTATTAATGTGCTTTTGATTGAAATAATACTGAAGTATATGTACTGAAAAAAGGAAACAGTCCCCTCAACCTCCTGATAACTCACACCAAGTAGTATTCCCCACATGCAGCTAAACAGTTTGAGGTGTGAACTTCCTAAACTTTTCTTTTTTTTCCTTTTTTTGTGTCTGTGTGCATTCAAACATACTTGAATGTTGTATAAGGTTTGTTTTTTTTTTTTTTTTTGAAATGCCCAAAAGCAAGTACAAGAAAGATAGAGAGGAGAAAGAGAGACTGACTTAAAAAAAAAAAAAAAAGGCCTCAAAGGTATAGACTCTGCCTGGCCATTTGCTGCTTATGGTAATTTCAGTGAAAATTTACACTTTAGGTTTGCCCTCTTCATGAGTCTAGCTTTGCAGAGGTTGAACTCCTACTGTATGCCAGGCCCTGAGAGTTGGCAGTGTCTGGTCTGGTATGCAGATGCAGTAGGTGATCAATACATATTTGTTGGTAATTGCTAATACAACTTTTGAGGTTTTCTTTGGTCTTGGGGAACTGGTGCCCTGCAGCTTGTGGTTTTTTTTTTTTTTTTTAATTATACTTAAGTTCTGGGATACATGTGCAGAATGTGCAGATTTGTTGCATAGGTATACATGTGCCATGGTGGTTTGCTGCACTCATCTACCCGTCATCTACATTAGGTATTTCTCCTAATGCTATCCCTCCCCTTCACCCACACCCCCTGACAGGCTCCAGTGTGTGATGTTCCCCTCCCTGTGTCCATATGTTCTCATTGTTCAACTCCCACTTATGAGAGAGAACATGCAGTGTTTGGTTTTCTGTATCTGGGATAGTTGTTGTGTTAGTTTGCTGAGAATGATGGTTTCCAGCTTCATCTATATCCCTGCAAAGGACATGAACTCATTCTTTTTTACGGCTGCATAGTATTCCATGGTGTATATGTGCCACATTTTCTTTATCCAGTCTATTATTGATGGGCATTTGGGTTGGTTCCAAGTCTTGGCTGTTGTGAATAGTGCTGCAATAAACATAAGTGTGCATGTATCTTTATAGTAGAATGATTTATAATCTTTTGGTTATATACCTAGTAATGGGATCACTGGGTCAAATGGTATTTCTGGTTCTAGATCCTTGAGGAATTGCCACACTGCC
This sequence comes from Homo sapiens, assembly GCF_000001405.40. Taxonomy (NCBI): domain Eukaryota; kingdom Metazoa; phylum Chordata; class Mammalia; order Primates; family Hominidae; genus Homo; species Homo sapiens. Next base: position 51,452,569 of record NC_000017.11, on the reverse strand, counting down.
TTCCACAATGGTTGAACTAATTGACACTCCCACCAACAGTGTAAAAGCATTGCTGTTTCTCCACATCCTCTCCCGTATCTGTTGTTTCCTGACTTTTGAATGATTGCCATTCTAACTGGTGTGAGATGATATCTCATTGTGGTTTTGATATGCATTTCTCTAATGACCAGTGATGATGAGCTTTTCTTCATATTTTTTTTGGTCACATAAATGTCTTCTTTTGAAAAGTGTCTGTTCATATCCTTCACCCACTTTTTGATGGGGTTGTCTTTTCTTGTAAATTTGTTAAACTTCCTTGTAGATTCTGAATATTAGCCCTTTGTTAGATGGGTAGATTCCAAACATTTTCTCCAATTCTGTAGGTTGCCTGTTCACTCTGATGATAGTTTCTTTTGCGGTGCAGAAGCTCTTTCGTTTAATTAGATCCCGTTTGTCAATTTTGGCATTTGTTGCAATTGCTTTTGGTGTTTTAGTCATGAAGTCTTTGCCCATGCCTATGTCCTGAATGGTACTGCCTAGGTTTTCTTCTAGGGTTTTTATAGTTTTAAGTCTTATCTTTAAATCTTTAATCCATCTTAATTTTTGTATAAGATATAAGGAAGGGGGTACAGTTTCAGTTTTCTGCATATGGCTAGCCAGTTTTCCCAACACCATTTATTAGATAGGGACTCCTTTCCTCATTGCTTGTTTTTGTCAGGTTTGTCAAAGATCAGATGGGTGTAGATGTGTGGTGTTATTTTTGAGGCCTCTGTTCTGTTCCATTAGTCTATATCTGTTTTGGTACCAGTACCAGGCTGTTTTGGTTACTGTAGCCTTGTAGTATAGTTTGAAGTCAGGTAGCTTGATGCCTCTAGCTTTATTCTTTTTGTTTAGGATTGTCTTGGCTATACAGGCTCTTTTTTGGTTCCATATGAAATTTAAAGTAGTTTTTTCTAATTCTGTGAAGAAAGTCAATGGTAGCTTGATGGGAATAGCATTGAATCTATAAATTACTTTGGGCAGTATGGCCATTTTCACAATATTGATTCTTCCTATCCATGAGCATGGAATGTTTTTCAGTGTGTTTGTGCCTGCTCTTATTTCCTTGAGCAGTGGTTTGTAGTTCTCATTGAAGAGGTCATTCACATCCTTTGTAAGTTGTATTCCTAGGTATTTTATTCTCTTTGTAGCAATTGTGAATGGGAGTTCACTCATGATTTGACTCTGTCTGTTCTTGGTTTATAGGATGCTTGTGATTTTGCACATTGATTTTGTTTCCTGAGACTTTGCTGAAGTTGCTGATCAGCTTAAGGAGATTTTGGGCTGAGACAATGGGGTTTTCTAAATATACAATCATGTCATCTGCAAACAGAGATGATTTGACTTCCTCTCTTCCTATTTGAATACTCTTTATTTCTTTCTCTTGCCTGATTGCCCTGGCCAGAACTTCCAATAACTATGTTGAATAGGAGTGGTAAGAGAAGGCATCCCTGTCTTGTGCCAGTTTTCAAAGGGAATGCTTCCAGCTTTTGCCCATTCAGTATGATATTGGCTGTGGGTTTGTCAATAAATAGCTCTTATTATTTTAAGAAACATTCCATCAATACCTAGTTTATTGAGAGTTTTTAGCATGAAGCAGTGTTGAATTTTGTCAAAGGCCTTTTCTGCATCTGTTGAGATAATCATGTGGTTTTTGTCATTAGTTCTGTTTATGTAATGGATTACGTTTATTGATTTGCATGTGTTGAACCAGCCTTGCATCTCAGAGATGAAGCCAACTTGATCATAGTGCATAAGCTTTTTGATGTGCTGCTGGATTCAGTTTGCCAGTATTTTATTGAGGATTTTTGCATCGGTATTCATCAGGGATATTGGCCTGAAATTTTCTTTTTTGTTGTTGTTGTTGTTGTTTTTGTGTTTCTGCCAGATTTTGGTATCAGGATGATGCTGGCCTCATAAAATTAGTTAGGGAGAAGTACCTTTTTTCTATTGATTGGAATAGTTTCAGAAGGAATGGTACCACCTTCTCTTTGTACCTCTGGTAGAATTCGTCTGTGAATCCTTCTGTTCCTGGGCTTTTCTTGGTTGATAGGCTATTAATTACTGCCTCAATTTCAGAATTTGTTATTGGTCTATTAAGGGATACAACTTCTTCCTGGTTTAGTCTTGGGAGGGTGTATGTGTCCAGGAATTTATCCATTTCTTCTAGGTTTTCTAGTTTATTTGCATAGAGGTGTTTATAGTATTCTCTGATGTTAGTTTGTATTTCTGTGGGATCAGTGGTGATATCCCCTTTATCATCTTTTATTGTGTCTATTTGATTCTTCTCTTTTCTTCTTTATTAGTCTGGCTAGTGGTCTATTTTGTTAAACTTTCAAAAACCAGAACGTGGATTCATTGATTTTTGGAAAGGATTTCATGTCTCTATCTCCTTCAGTTCTGCTTTAATCTTAGTTACTTCTTGTCTTCTGCTAGCATTTGAATTTGTTTGCTCTTGCTTCTCTGGTTCTTTTAATTGTGATGTTAGGGTGTTGATTTTAGATCTTTCCCACTTTCTCCTGTGGGCATTAAGTGCTGTAAATTTCCCTCTAAACACTGCTTTAGCTGTATCCCAGAGATTCTGGTACATTGTGTCTTTGTTCTCACTGGTTTCAAAGAACTTATTTATTTCTGCCTTCATTATTCACCCAGCAGTCATTCAGTAGCAGGTTGTTCAGTTTCCATGTAATTGTGCAGTCTTGAGTGAGTTTCTTAATCCTGAGTTCTAATTTGATTGCACTGTGGTCTGAGAGACTGTTATGATTTCCGTTCTTTTGCATTTGCTGAGGAGTGTTTTACTTCCAATTATGTGGTCAATTTTAGAATAAGTGCTATGTGGTGCAGAGAAGAATGTATATTCTGTTGATTTGGGATGGAGAGTTCTGTAGATGTCTATTAGTGAGTTCAAGTCCTGAATATCCTTGTTAATTTTCTGTCTCGTTGATCTAATATTGACAGTGGAATGTTAAAGTCTCCCACTATTATTGTGTGGGAGTCTGTCACTTTGTAGTTCTGTAAGAACTTGCTTTACGAATCTGGGTGCTCCTGTATTGGGTGCATATATATTTAGGGTAGTTAGCTCTTCTTGTTGCATTGATCCCTTTATCATTATGTAATGCCCTTCTTTGTATTTTTTATCTTTTTTGGTTTAAAGTCTGTTTTATCAGAGACTAAGTTTGCAACCCCTGGTTTTTGTTTTGTTGTTGTTGTTGTTGTTGTTGTTGTTGTTTTTGCTTTCCACTTGCTTGGTAAATATTCCTCCATCCCTTTATTTTGAGCTTATGTGTGTCTTTCCACGAGATAGGTCTCCTGAATACAGCACACCAATGGATCTTGACTCTTTATCCAATTTGCCAGTCCATATCTTTTAATTGGGGCATGTTTGCCTATTTATATTTAAGGTTAATATTGTTATGTTTGAATTTGATCCTGTCATTATGATGCTAGCTGGTTATTTTGCCCATTCGTTGATGCAGTTTCTTCATAGTGTTGATGGTCTTTACATTTTGGTATGTTTTTGCAGTGGCTGGTACTGGTTTTACCTTTCCATATTTAGTGCTTCCTTCAGGAGCTCTTGTAAGGCAGGCCTGGTGGTGACAAATTCCCTTAGCATTTGCTCGTCTGCAAAGGGTTTTATTTCTCCTTCACTTATGAAGCTTAGTTTGGCTGGATGTGAAACTGTGGGTTGAAAATTCTTTTCTTTAAGAATGTTAAATATTGGCCCCCACTCTCTTCTGGCTTGTGGGGTTTCTGCAGAGAGATATGCTGTTAGTCTGATGGGCTTCCCTATGTGGGTAACCCGACCTTTCTCTCTGGCTGGCTGTCCTTAACATTTTTTCTTTCATTTCTACCTTGGTGAATTTGATGATTATGTGTCTTGAGGTTGCTCTTCTCAAGGAGTATCTTTGCAGTATTCTCTGTATTTCCTGAATTTGAATGTTGGCCTGTCTTGCTAGGTTGGGGAAGTGATCCTGGATAATATCCTGAAGTGTGTTTTCCAGTTTGTTTCCATTCTCCCCATCACTTTCAGGTACACCAATCAAATGTTGGTTTGGTCTCTTCACATAGTCCCATATTTCTTGGAGGCTTTGTTTGTTCCTTTTCATTCTTTTTTCTCTTATCTTGTCTTCACACTTTATTTCATTAAGTTGATCTTCAGTCTTTGCTATCCTTTCCTCCGCTTGATCAATTCAGCTATTGATATTTGTCTATGCTTCACAAAGTTCTCATGCTGTGTTTTTCAGCTCCATCAGGTCATTTATGTTCTTCTCTAAACTAGTTATTCTAGTTAGCAGTTCCTGTAACCTTTTATCAAAGTTCTTAGCTTCCTTGCATTGGGTTACAACATGCTTCTTTAGCTTGGAGGAGTTTGTTATTACCCACCTTCTGAAGCCTACTTCTGTCAATTCATCAAACTCATTCTCCATCCAGTTTTGTTCCCTTGCTGGCGAGGAGTTGTGATCCTATGGAGGAGAAGAGGCTTTCTGGTTTTTGGAAGTCTCAGCATTTTTGCACTGGTTTTTCCTCATCTTCATGGATTTGTCTACCTTTGGTCTTTGATGTTGGTGACTTTTGGATGGGGTTTTTGAGTGGTCATCCTTTTTGTTGATGTTGATGCTACTGCTTCCTGTTTGTTAGTTTTCCTTCTAACTGTCAGGTTCCCCTGCTGCAGGTCTGCTGGCATTTGCTGGAGTTCCACTCCAGACCCTGTTTGCCTATCACCAGCGGAGGCTGCAGAACAGCAAAGATTGTTGCCTGCTTCTTCCTCTGGAAGCTTCATCCCAAAGGGGCAACTGCCAGATGCCAGCTGGAGCTCTCCTCTATGAGGTGTCTGTCAACCCCTGCTGGGAGGTGTCTCCCCATCAGGAGACACGGGGGTCAGGGACCTACTTGAGGAGGCAGTCTGTCCCTTAGCAGAGCTTGAGTGCTGTGCTGGGAGGTCCACTGCTCTCTTCAGAGCTGGCAGGCAGGAACATTTAAGTCTGCTGAAGCTGTGCCCACAGCCACCCCTTCCCCCAGGTGCTCTGCCCCAGGGAGATGGGAGTTTTATCTATAAGCCCCTGACTGGGGCTGCTGCATTTCTTTCAGAGATACCCTGCCCAGAGAGGAGGCATCCAGAGAGTAGGCATCTAGAAAGGCAGTCTGGCTATGGTGGCTTTGCGGTGCTGTGGTGGGTTCCACCCAGTTCAAACTTTCTAGCGGCTTTGTTTACACTGTGAGGGGAAAACTGCCTACTCAAGCCTCAGAAATGGTGGACACCCCTCCCCCCACCAAGCTTGAGCATCCCAGGTCAACTCCAGACTGCTGTGCTGGCAGTGAGAGTTTCAAGCCAGTGGATCTTAGCTTGTTGGGCTCCATCGGGGTGGGATCCGCTGAGCATGAGCACTTGGCTTCCTGGCTTCAGCCCCCTTTCCAGGGGAGTGAATGGTTCTGTCTCGCTGGCATTCCAGGCGCCACTGGGGTACTAAAAAAAACTCCTGTGGCTAGCTTGGTGTCTGCCCAACCAGCCGCCCAGCTTTGTGCTTGAAACCCAGGGCCCTGGTGGCATAGGCACCGGAGGTAATCTCCTGGTCTGCAGGTTGGGAAGACCATGGGAAAAGCATAGTGTTTGTGCTAGAATGCACCAACCCTCATGGCACAATCCCTCATGGCTTCCCTTGGCTAGGAGAGGGAGTTCCCCGACCCCTTGCACTTCCCAGGTGAGGCAACACTCCACCCTGCTTTGGCTCACCCTCCATGGGCTGCACCCACTGTCTAATCAGTCCCAGTGAGATGAACTGGGTACCTCAGTTGGAAATGCAGAAATCACCCACCTTCTGCGTTGGTCTCACTGGGAGCTGCAGACTGAAGCTGTTCCTATTCGGCCATCTGGCCTGGGAATCCCCCTGTATAAGGTTTTTATAAGCTTTCCGATTCAAATAAAATTGGCAACATTGCTTCCACAACCTCCTAGAAGACAAAGGCTCTTCCTAAGATTTCTATGAATCCCCAAAGACATACATTTTTGTGACCTCCACGGGCTTTGAATCCCTAGTCTTACCAAATTCGGTCTTGTTTCTGAATTCCCTTCCCCACCTCTTCTTTCCTCTGCATTCACTGATCCTAATGTGTGTACAGTAAACACACCTGATAGCATCATTGAAGCACACCCTTAGAACAACCCTGTATGGCAGATGCACCTGAATGTGTGTTCTGAGCTAGAGAATCCGGGAGTGGCCAACCTGGAGATTCATTCCTTATCTACAATAAACATCTGAGTCCCTGGCCCATCTGGTGAAACACAGGCTGTACAGGGGATTGAGGCCCTGAGTTTTGGGTTAAATGAAGGTTGCCAGGTGAAGGTTGTTGGAGGGAGGGGAGTAAGTGGAAATGCTACATAAACTGCATGACATTTGCAGGCAGTTGTGGTTTTCCTCTCCAGCCCGCAGCTACTGGGCCCTGTGGTTATCTTGTCCAGCCCGCTGTCGCTGCACTGTCTCCCTTGTGTGGAAGCCCCTAATAAGACCCCATGTCTCATTTACTGGCTCTGAGTGTCTTCTTTGGCCTCTTGAGCCTGGTGTCTTCCCTACTGAGATTAATAGAGGTTCAGCACAATGATGTGCAACAGAGTTTTTGTGGGTTTCTTCTGATTTTGCCCAAATCACTCCCATATTGCTAGAAGGATTTACTGAGTATTTGATGCAATGGCTGGGGACTTATTTCACAGAAAAAGAACTTGTAACCTAAAAATTCCCATTTTTTTTTTTTTTATTTCAGGTTCAGGAGTACATGTGCAGGTTTGTTACCTAGGTTAACTGGTATCACGGGGGGTCTGTTGTACAGATTATTTTGTCACCCAGGTACTAAACCTGGTACACAACAGTAAGGTACCAAATTTTGACAGGTTCAAAATTTCAGTGAAGGAAGTAACTGTGGATGTGGTAGAAACAGCAAGAGAACTTGAATTAGAGTGAACCTGAAGATGTGACCAGATTGCTGCAATCTCATGATCAAATTTGAATAGATGAGGAGTTGCTTCTTATGGATAAGCAAAAAAAGTGGTTTCTTGAGATGAGATTTACTCCTGGTGAAGATGCCATGAACATTGTTGTAATGACAACAAAGGATTTATACTATTACAGAAACTTGTTTGATAAAACAGTGGTAGGGTACCCAATAGTACCACATTTAGTACCTGGGTGACAAAATAATCTGTACAACAAGATTAATGTTTTTCTGCTCCTCTCCCTCCTCCTACCCTCCACCCTCAAAGAGGTCCCAGTGTCTGTTGTTCCCCTCTTTGTATTCATGATGTCTCCTCATTTAGCTCCCTCTTATGAGTAAGAGCATGCACTATTTAGTTTTCTGTTTCTGCATTAGTTTGCTAAGGATAATGGCCTCCAGCTCCATCATGTTCCTGCAAAAGACATGATCTTGTTCTTTCTTATGGTTGCATAGTATTCCATGGGACCTATGTACTACATTTTTTATCCAATCTGTCATTGATGGACATTTAGGTTGATTCCATGTCTTTGCTATTTTGGATAGTGCTACAATGAACATTTGTTGCACATGTTTTTATGGTAGAATGATTTCTATTCCTCTGGGCATATACCCAGTAATAGGTTTGCTGGGTCAAATGGTAGTCCTGTTTTTAGCTCTTTGAGGAATCACCACACTGCTTTCCATAATGGTTGAACTAATTTAAACTCCAACTAACAGTGTATAAGTATTTCCTTTTCTCTGCAACTTTACCAGCCATCGGTTATTTTTTGACTTTTTAATAATAGCCATTCTGACTGGTGTGAGATGATATATCTTATTGTGGCTTTGATTTGCATTTCTCTAATGATCATGATATTGAGCTTTTTTTCATTTGCTTGTTGGCCACATATATGTCTACTTTAGCAAAGTGTCTGTTCATATACTTTGCCCACTTTTTGTTGGAATTGTTAGTTATTTCTTATAAATTTGTTTAAGTTCCTTATAGATGCTGGATATGAGACCTTTGTTGGATACTTAGTCTGCAAATATTTTCTCCTATTCTATAGGTTGTTTACTCTGTTTACTCTGTTGATAATTTCTTTTGCTGTGCAGAAGCTCTTAGGTTTAATCAGATCACATTTGTCAATTTTTGCTTTTGCTGCAATTGCTTTTAGTGTCTTCATCATGAAATCTTTGCCCGTTCCTATATCCAGGGTGGTATTGCCTAGGTTGTCTTCCAGAGTTTTTATAGTTCTGGGTTTTACATTTAAGTCTTTAATCCATCTTGAGTTGATTTCTGTATATGGTGTGAGGAAGGAGTCCAGTTTCAATCTTCTGCATATGGCTAATCAGTCAACCCGGCACCATTTATTGAACAAGGAGTCCATTACTCATTGCTTGCTTTGTCGAAGATCAGATGGCCATGGGTGTGTGGCCTTATTTCTAGGCTCTCTATCCCCATTCTCAAAAATCCTCCTGAACCACCACTCCCATCCCCCACAATGGGAATTTCTTCTCACCACTTTTCTCAACAGTCTAGAGACTCTAGCTAGGTTTCTTGAGCTTCCTATATCTCTCAAGACCCTCCTCACATTTACTCACATTTGAGAGCTTACAAACTGTTCAACAAAAGGCCATGTTCTCTAGGCCTCATCCTTAAGGTGACATATTAAAGACCTCAAAACACGTTGTTCAGCCAAAGGATCTAGATACTTCCCCAGATGATGTCCCCAAGGCAGAAGTGGTGGCTCAGATGATTCCACAGAGCACTGCGTGGGTAATGTCTTCCTCTCTCACTCCAGAGGAACTATAAATAATTCTTGATAAAGGGTGAATTTCTTTCAACCTAAGAAAACTGATTTTTAAAAAATAAAAGGAAGAAAATAATAAATAAAGGGTGAATTTCTAACTCTTCCTGTCGAGACATCCATCCTGTTTCACTGCCTTCAGAAGAGCTTCTTCCTAACACTGTCATTAAATAATGTTATTTCAGTGCCCAGAAGCCTCAGCTTAGTCAACCAATTCCAGGAGCCCCATAGTTAGCTTATATCGTGGGGGGATTGGGAGGGATGTCCCTATGGCATGTCCCTATCTTCAACGGTATCATGCATCCCTCTCCCATGCTCAGACTCACTGTTTACCCACCTCCCTTTTCTCCTTACAGTTTGGAAAATCCCCTTAGGAAGATCTCCCAAGAGTCAGAAGGAAGTTCTAAAACTCATTTGAGATGAACCTCACCATGAGGGTGGTGGGTGCAGGTACACTGTCAGAGAGCCAAGTACGCGTGGTCTGAGGGCCAGAAATTTCCCTTGGGTGAAAGCAGGCAAAGGAGGCCTCTGAAAATTGCTCAGAAGAATCAGCACCTAGAGACACAGGATTTCTTTAAAGTTGAAGTCTTTGTTGAAAGATATGCTTGGACTGATGGAAAATCCTCACCCAGCCCACCTGCTGAGGCAGAAGCCCAAGGAGACTGGCTGACGCAGCAAAGAAAGAAATTAGGGGTACAATGGACTCCCTGGTAGAAGCTGCATGCTATCAGGCTCGGGGGAGATTCTAAGGAAATGCAATGCAGGACCTGGAGAGGATAATTGTAACGTGTAGTTAGACATGTTCTGGAGATGTTATTACAATACTGGCAGGGCCCTGAAGCAGAGGAGCGGGAACTGATAGTCAGTCTCCCACTCCCTGCTTCAGAAGTCAGCAACTGCCTTGGAGCTTCAAATGCCTCGGTCCCTGTGGCTGGCTGCCTACCTAACAACATTCAAACAGGTAGCTAGAAATGCAGAGGGAAACGGGGACTCAGACACTAAATGTTGACTGTGTTCCAACAGATAGGAGAAATGTTGTCCTCATATGTGTGTCAAAGAACAGTTGCTGGAGACAGCATGGGAACTGTGAGCTGGCTCCCAGAGAGAGGCCCACCCCAGACTGTCCCAAGGTGGCATGACCAGGCCTTTGGGATTCTGCCTCTGACACTCAAGGTTCTGGGGAGTGGGACAGCCCCCACCTCTGTCAGAGAGTTTCCAGTAGAGACCTACTTGGAGGCAGCTATCCTACTGATGAAGATGGGGTCAGCTATCCTACTGATAGAGATTGCCTCTATCAGCACAAATTGCCTCTTGGTGCTTAGCAAAGAGAATGTGACAGATCCAGGAAAGAGCCAAGAATGTGCCAAGCACCTTCTAAGGGCGGGAGAGACAAAAGCGAAAAGAAATGCCCTCTGCTCTAAAGAAGCCTGAGGTCTCCTGGAGACAGAGTTACACAATGCAAATTATAAAGCAGTAAAGTGAGGTCAGTGGTTTACACAGGTTCAGAAGCTCTCTGAGACCTGAATGGGGTATGTCAATGGCACCCTATGTTTACTCTTCAATCATTGTCTTTTCTATCTCCCATTCCTACTATACTGAGCATGGAGAGACGAAGTACTATGCCCCAGTCCACACCATATCCCTGCTATGGCATCATGCCTCACAGTGGCAGGTTCAGTTATCTAAGCGAAAATTAAACACAGAACACATATGTTAGTTGGAAAGTAAAAACTGAGATATTCACACCCTTAAGAAACATGGCACATGGCAGGAATACAGAGAAGTGATTCAAAAGAGGCAACACCTAGCACAGTACTCAAACCAAAAGAGCTCTCACTCTCATTTGGAAGAGTAGATGAAAGAATGCCAGACGTGGATCAGAGGGCAGGGCTGCTGGTTCACCTGGGCCTCTGGTGCAACGTGTGGTCAGGTGGTTAACCTCCTCAGCCTCATTCCATGGTCTTTAAAATGGGAATAGCCACATCCCCACTGCCCACCTAACTAACCTCATCAAGTTGTAGAGAAGCTCACACAGTCAATGAAGAGACAGACTATAAAACAGTGCTATCAAGTGTTATTCAGGAGTCAGGAGCTATTGTTCCTATGCTTCCCACTGGATGGGCAGGAAGGCCATGGCAGGCCCAGCAGCAGAAGTAGAAGCTCAGGGTTAGGAGAGAAGAGTGGCCGAGACCTCCTGCCTGTGTCTCTCAGCTCACAGCTCATGCTGGCTCCAAGGAGTCCCCACAGTGCCCCTTCCTCCTCTGGGCCCTGGGCCCCATGCACACATCAGCAGACCAGAACCACCTCTTCATCAAGGAGAGAGGTCTGGCCCTTTCCCAGCCTGGGCAACTTGAGCTGAGCTGCCCTGGACCAACGCCCGTCTATCAGAAAACCCATTCCTGCATTACTTGACTGAGGCCACTCTGCATGGGGTAAATATCACTCAGCTGGTGCGATGGTTTGAATCTTTGTCCCCTCTAAAACATAAGTTGAAACTTAATCCCCAGGGTGGCAGTATTGAGAGATGGGGCTTTTAAGAGGTGCTTGGGTCCTGAGGGCTCTGCTCTCATGAATGGATGAGTGAATTCCTGGAGTCATAGTTAACATGGGAGTGGGACTGGTGGCTTTATAAGAAGAGGAAGAGAGAGCTGAGTTAGCACGCTCATCCCCCTCACCATATAATGCCTTGTGTTACCTCAGGACTCCACAGAAAGTCACCACCAGCAAGAAGGCCCTCACCAGATGTAGCCCTTGACCTTACACTTATCAGCCTCCATAACTGTAATAAATAAATTCCTTTTCTTTACAAGTTACTCAGCTTCAGGTATTCTGTTGTAAGCAACAGAAAACAGACTAAGACACCTGGGGTGCTGCAAACCTCCACTCTGGTGTCATCTCTGCCTCACTTGAGCTGTGTGACTTAGGGGTGGGCATCCAACTCTTAGGAACCCTGTTTCCATATCTGCAAATAAGGGATTTCCAAGATCAGACGTTCTCAATCTCAGCACCATTGACTTTCAGGTTAGATGATTCCATATTGTAGGAAGCTATTCTATGCATATTTAGAGTCTGGCCTCGACCCACCAGAGGCTAGTAGCACACACCCACGCCCACCATGACAACCAAAAATATTTCCAGACATTACCAAATCCCCCGCAGTTGAGAACAACTAACCTAGCTGATTCTTTAGGGCTTCCAACCTGCTTGGACTTCTCCAGCCCAGGCACTCTGCCTTCAGTACAGGCTTCCTTTGCTTGAGACAAATGCCCCCTCATATCAACCACCACCTCCTCTTTAACAACCACACCCAAAACAAAGGCATTCACCTCTCTCCATGGGTTTCTTCAGTTACCTGCATTCTTGTATTCCATTTAAATGGTTGTCAGGCATGGAAATCAGAGCAGAAAGAACCCAGCTGTCACGTCACAGGGTCCAAAGGAAAAGGGAGATTTCTGGAATGATCTTGGAGTCAAGCAGGTCTGAATCTGAATCCTGGCTTTGCTCTGTGTCCTTCACCAATTCACAGAATCTCTCCAAGCTTCGACTTCCTGTGTATAAAGTAGGAAAATAAAATAATTCCATGGGGCCAACATGAGGATTAACTAAGTGTTGAAAGGGCCTGATGCTGTGTTTCCTCCACAGTGGCCTCTGGATGTGTGGTCACTTCTGCTCTGCTCTGCAGTTGTGTTGATGGCAAGGAACTCAGTGATGGGGAGTCCTTCCAGCACTTTGACCTGACCCCTTTCTCAAACCTAAGTTGACACTGCATGGCTTTGCTCCATCTCTCTTGGCTGTGGCAGCGTGTGGCCAGAGGCCCTGGCCCATTTTCATCTGGCCTCAGCAATAGATGCCTGGTCCACGGGCCAGCTCTCCAGTAGGAAAGCCAGTCCTCATCTTCAGAGCTCTGCCACCAACACGAAGCAATTAAGCCCAACTTCACATCGTATGGATGCATCCGGACTAAGTGGGAAAAGCTTCTGGGGAATTCACTACTTGCTGAAAACAGAATCCTCTTAACCCTGCTTCATCTCCCTTCCTACCCGCCCTCCCCAGTCCTCACAGTTCAGTAATTTAATAGGAAGGAAACAGAACCAACAGGAAACGGAGCTGCCTGTCTGTTTGCAATAAACACAATAGAATCTCACTTCAGAACAAATCCAGGAGCACAGGCTCGGCTATGAGTCATGCCTACTGATGAAGCATCTCCCTTCCCCACTGCAGCAATGAGGCCCTCCCCAAGACCAGGAAAGGCATGCAGAGAAAGCACATAAGCACATGAATTCTGCAGTGTGTGTGTGATGTTGGCCTGTCTGCTCAGCCTTCTCTCTGTCAGATAGAAAACATCAGAGCAGACCAATAACTTCTGGAGGCCTTGAACAAGTTAGCTACTCTATGCCTCAATGCCCTATTTGTTAAGCAGAGGTAGTAAGAGTACATTACCACATAAGGAGGTTGTGAGGATTGAGTGAGTTAATACATAAAGCACTTAGGACAGTACCCGGGATATACTTACTACTATACAAGAGTGCCATGTTTTTGTTGTCATCATCATTATTATTATCCTCAGTCTCTGCTCCTTATTTGGGGACCCCAGAGACAGATGAGATCCAACACAGCACTATTATCCAAGCTTTCATTATTGTAATCACAATCAAAGCCAATGATGATTGAGAACTGACTGTGTGTATGTTTCTTCATTCTCTATGGCCATTCTGTGTGGCTCAATATTATCTCCATTTTATAGAAAAGAAAACAGGCTTAGGGAGTTTGGGAGACCTATCCAAGGACACCAATAAGCAAAGGAGCCACTAGATGTCACATCCAATTTGGCTTAGGTCTCTTCACTCCAGAGCCTGAATGTCACTGGGTGGCATGGCCTGCATTTCCCAGCACTTCCAGAAATTTCTGAAACACAGAGCACATTTCTTGCCACAATGGGGTTGCAAACAACAGAAAGTGATTTTGCCTAACTTAAGCAAAAAGGGATACCAGGGAAGGAGAGGCTCTGGGAATCCACTGGAAGGCTGGGACCCAGGCCTGGATGCTGCTAGGGGGCACAGACAGTTCCTGGAGACAGGAAGAACAGAAATGGTCCTACCGCAGGAGTGGCAGGTCCAGGCATCACCAATGGATGACGTTTGCAACCTTCTCGCATTTGCTCAAGGTTCAAATTCTAGGGAAAAAAGCATCTCTTTGGCAGGGTTTGGGTCACATGTCCCCTTCATGTTTATTGGAAGTCAGAGATCTTCCAGACTAAAGACACTGGACAAAAGGTAATTATCCCAAAGGATACCAAGGCGCTGTTAGGAATGAGACATGGATGCCAGAGGGCCCCAAGGCATGCTTGCCGGCACCACGAGGCTTCCAAGAGTTTTCACATCACGGCACACGAGGAAAAGAGTGAGTCCTCTAATAGGGGGTGAGTCAAGTTACCTTGGGTGTGACAGAGCTAAACAAGAATCCTAATGTGCTAGAGTTTGAAGGAATCTTGGAATTATCTCATCTAGCCTCCCCCCTTCCCTTTTTTTTACAGACAAGGAAATTAAAAATGGTGGGTTACCAGAGCCGCACCACATGTTGGTGGTAGAGCCAGGACAAACAAAGGATTCTGCAGCCCATCAGCACCTCTTCCACTAAAATACTAATGATCTCCCCCTATCCAGAAGCGTTGCCACCCATTCCAAACACCAAGTCAGGCCACCGTGCAGTCCCAGAGATCTTTCTGGGGTCTGGAAAATCAGGTCAGTCATCTACTCTAGAGCCTCCCTTTCCTGAGCAGCCAGCCAGAGATGCCTTTAGGGGAAGCAGAGAACCAGAGAAAGGGGTAGTTCAGCCAACCTCGAGACACCTGTCCACACACATTGGCTCTGAATAGGGAGAAGAGTTGTTGCTCGTGCCTTTCCCCTTCTCCATCTCCCTCCCAGGCTCCTGTGATCCTTTGCTGTATCCTCCCATCCCTGAAGGGGTCCTCATCATTCACTGTAACCAGACTTCCCAGTATTCTGATGTGGGGGAGTCTGGGGGTTCTTTCGGCTGAGACACATCCAGGTGTCACACTTAGATAAAGATGGCTCTGTCTGTTCTTGGTGTTTTGAGTTGTGACATCTGGACTGCCATTGCTAGTGCTCTAATTTAGAATTTGCATCCCCACAGAGGCGAGCAGGGGAGTGGCGGGTGGGGCGGAATATGTGCTCCCAGGTGCTAAAGGGGTGGCCCCTGCCAAAAAAATTAATAAATGCTAGTTTTTGCAAATTCTAGCTCAGCTATGTACCTATAAGGAATGTGGGCACAACCATATATGACATTACCCAGGGGCATCATTAACCTGTCGACTCCATGCATTCCTTGTTTATATACTAAGTCAGGGTCACGCAGATAAAAGTCTACAAAATAGGGTGCAGTGTATACTGCCCAGGTGATGGGTGCATCAAAATCTCACGAATCACCCCTAAAGAACTTACTCATGTAACCAAACACCACCCGTTCCCCCAATAACCTATGGAAATAAAACATTTAAAAAAAAATTACATATCACCTAGTCAAACTTCTGGATGGGGAAGAAAATTCATTGCTCCAAACGCTTTATAAAAAGCTTCTGAGGCCAGGCACGGTGGCTCATACCTGTAATCCCAGTACTGTGGGAGGCCAAGGCAGGTGGATCAACTGAGGTCAGGAGTTCAAGACCAGCCAGGCCAACATGGCAAAACCCCAACTCTGCTAAAAATACAAAAAAAAAAAGAAAAAAATTAGCCAGGAGTGGTGGTGCACGCCTGTAGTCCCAGCTACTCGGGAGGCTGAGGCAGGAGAATGGTGTGAACCCAGGAGGCGGAGCTTGCAGTGAGCTAAGATCGTGCCACTGCACTCCAGCCTGGGCAACAGAGCGAGACTGTCTCAAAAAAAAAAAAGAAAAACAAAAACGCTTCTGAGAGTGTTGATGCTGCTACCAGAACAATGGCTTAGACAAGAGCAGACTTTCTCTGAGAAGGCAGAAAGGAATTAATACATTGCTCTTCCTCCTTTCCAAATGCAGTAAAGCTTGTGTTCCCATATATTAAAATGGGGCACTCTTCAAAATTTTCAAGATCATCACAAGCAATAAAACACTGAGACACTGTCACAGATGGGAGGAAGCTAAGGACCTCTGACAACTACACACAACATGGGATCCCAGATTGGTTCCTGGAACAGAAAAAAAGACATTCGTGGAAAAGCTGGTGAATTCTGAAGTCTGTAATTAATAGTATTGTACCAAAAAAGGTGAACAGCAAAGCAAGCTGGATGAAGGACATTTGGGAATTCTGCACTATCTTTACAACTTTCCTGAAAATTCAAACTAAAAAGTTAATTAAAGTGGGGAAGAGATCTCAGATAGGGCAAAGGATGGACCACCCCTTGGTACTAAGCCCAGCATGGGTGTGAAGGGAAGCCTTGGATGAGGCACATCTAAGAGACAATCTAGCTCAACCTCACTCAGGCCTTGAACGTTCAGAAACACTTTGGCAGAAATGCCAGAGAAAGGAAGCAAAGAAAATGCCGAGAGTTACTCGAGTTAACAAGCAGCACCAGCAAAAAACCCAGGAGAGATCATGGGGACTTATCTCATCCTTGTGAAAATACAAAGCAAAAAAAAACATCAGGCTGGGCCAGCTTGGGTGGTAAGCTCCCAGATTTAAAAAAAGAAGAAAAAATAAAAAAAATTCTGTGATATTTAGTAAAGGAAAACCTTAAAATTTTAAAGTATTAAAAAGGGAGCCAAGGGGTCAGGCAAACAAAGGGTGGAGAGGGGACCAAGATAAGCACCGGTGTCCTCTGGTCACAGGAGAGCAGAAATCAATCTGACTGTGCAAACAAACTCCCTGAAAGCCAAGCATGCCCTTGCCAAGTCCAACTCACCATTCTGAGGCTCCCTACCGGATTGACTGCTGGTAAATATCATGACTGCACAGCGCCCCACGTGGTGAGTAGGCTGAGTCTTGCATAGGGGCTCCCCTGGCTGTACATCTAGAGCTTGGAAAATCGCAAAACCCCACACACTCCCCAGCATCTCCACCTACAATCTGCAGCCACCTCTTGGCTGAGCTCACCCAAAATACTTTCAGCTGAAAAGCAAAGGTAGCAAAAACTCCAGGAGGTGGCCTTTGCATCCAGGACACATCGCAGAGTCTGTAAGCTTTGACTCTCGGTTTTTCTTCATTTTCCACACATTTATTTGTTCATCCAGCAGCTGCGTAACTGCCCAATGGGTTCACCTTGCCCGCTGCCTAGACACAGCTGATATATCAAGACAGGGGAATTACAATAGAGAAAGAGTAATTCACTGCAGAGCCTGCTGTGTGGGAGACCGGAGTTTTATTATTACTCAAAGGATCAGAGTTTTTAAGGACAACTTGGTGGGTGGGGGTAAGCCAGTGAGCCAGGAGTGCTGATTGGTTAGGTTGGAGATGAAATTTTAGGAAGCTGAAGCTGTCCTCTTGTGCTGAGTCAGTTCCTGGGTGGCGGCCACAAGATCAGATGAACCAGTTTATCAATCTGGGTGGTGTCAGCTGATCCATCAAGTGCAGGGTCTGCAAAATATCTCAAGCAGTGATCTTAGTAACAGTTTAGGGAGGCTCAGAATCTTGTAGCCTCCAGCCACATGATTCCTAAACCATAATTTATAATCTTATGTAATTTATTAGTCTTACAAAGGCAGTCTGGTGCCCAGGCAAGAAGGAGGTTTGTTTTGGGAAAGGGCTGCCATCGTCTTTGTTTTAAACTAGAAACTAAGTTCCTCCCTAAGTTAGTTCAGCCTACACCCAAGAAGGAACACCGCAGCTTAAAGGTTAGACGCAAGATGGAGTCAGTTAAGTTAGATCTCTTTCACTGTCTCAGTCATTATTTTGCAACAGCAGTTTCAGCTGCACAAGCTGATTCTCAGAATTCTTGCAGATTTGATCTTAACTTCATTAACTAGCCTGCCAAGTTATGCCATTAGATATGAGTTCTAAATTTCTTTTCAAAGAATCAATATGTCAGTATATTCAATTCTTTGCCTTCTACTTTTAAACTTCATCATAAAGCAACCTTTTTGTATTACCTGCTCCACCCTCATTTCAATCACCTGCTCCACCCTGACTCATTCCGATTACTGCTCCACCCTGACATTCCAATTATCTGCCACCTGTTCTGCCCTGACTCATCCTCCTCACTGCATAACCACGTTTTCCCACCAAACCACTCGCCCTGTCACGCTCTTTAAATTAGCCAATCAGAATTAATTTAGCCTGTGCAGTCTAATCCTAGCCAATAGGGGAACAACACAGCAGCAGTGGCCACAGCCCTTTCCCTCCCTTGTCCAGGTGTGTGCTCACCGTTGCTCCATCTGTAAGGACTCACCTTTCTATAGAAATACGTTGCCTTGCTGAGAATTAAAAAGAAAATTTTACATTCAAGTGCTATTTCTTTTGTGGCACCAAAACGTTATAATACCCATCTCAGAGTTAAGGAAGCCGATGGTCAGTAATGTTAGTTAAGCTCAGGTGACTAACAAGGGGCAAAGTTGGGGCAAAAATAGGTCAAACTTGAGGGTCAAAATTGTGTCCTCAACATCATAGTAGTGAATTGCTTACCATGTGTAAGGCTATGGGAGAATATAGACAACTTTTTTTTAATGGTCCCTGTCCTCAAACAGATAAACAAAGAGACCAAAAATGCCCACATATAATTCAATCGAATAAACATTTATTAATAATTAAATCTAAATGATAGAAGTGGGACATGAAATTGCAATGGAAGTTTAAATGGATTCTTAAACTATAAGAGGCATGCTCTAAGAAAAAAGTTAACATGCAATTAAAATTCCAAATTATTCTGGCAAAACTGGAGGGACAAGATCACTATTTCACTTGTGTAATTGTTGGAGAGATATATTTAACTATGTATATTAAATGTAAACACAGTAGAATATGAATTCATATTAGAACTTCTAATTCACTGGAGAGGAAGAAAAAGGAATAAACTTTATCAACCTAACAAAAATAAGTAAAGCAGAAATGAGGGAACCAATAGAAAGTGTAATAAACAGAAAGCATAAAATTAAATGGCAGGAGTGAGACCAAACCTCCTGGATGCCAAATTCATGTGAGAGGGTTAAATTCCACTGTGAAATGATAAAGGTCCTTGGGGATGGGTTGGAAAAACAAAAATCCAATTATATGCAATTTATAAGAGATGGACCTAAAACAAAATGATACAGGGAAGGTGAAAACAATTGGATAAGCAAACATGTATCAGACAAAAGCAAACAAAAAGAAACATGGATAGAGATATTAAGGGCTAAGAATAGAATGTTAGGCCAAAAATTTAAACAGTTTAAAGAAAGGATATTCTTAATGATAAAAGGGCACTCCATGAAGAAGTAGCTATAGTCATGAAATGTATGCAGTGAACAATCTACAAGGCAAAGGCTCTTAGAAATGCAAGGCAAATTCAATTTAAAAAAAAAAAAAAAAAAGCACAGTGAGAATCCAAAACATCACTCTTCAAATTTTGTAGATTAAACAGACAAAAGAAGTATAGACATCATTTTGGCAACATAATTATCAATCCTGATTTAATAGATATGTAGAAAGAGAACCATGTACACTAAAAAGGAAAATATATTCTTTTTTTTCTTTTTTTTGAGATAGTCTTGCTCTGTTGCCCAGGCTGGAGTGCAGTGGCACGATCTTGGCTCACTGCAAGCTCTGCCTCCCAGGTTCATGCCATTCTTCTGCCTCAGCCTCCAGAGTAACTGGGACTACAGGCGCCTGCCACCACACCACGCCCAGCTAATTTTTTTGTATTTTTAGTAGAGACGGGGTTTCACCATGTTAGCCAGGATGGTCTCGATCTCCTGACCTTGTTATCCCCTGCCTCGGCCTCCCAAAGTGCTGGGATTACAGGCATGAGCCACCATGCCAGGTCCCATAAAATATATTCTTTATTCCCATAGAAGACTTAAAAATAGGGACCATGTACTTAACCACATATGTTATTTTCTAAAAAGTTAGTATTTTACAGGTCATGCTAATTGACTATAATTATGCAAATTCAGAAGCTAATAATTAACAGATAAGCAAACAAAAAATTTTAATCATTGGGGAAACCTGAAAATTATCCTTTAAATAACTCGGGAATTTTTTTAATTATTAGAAATAAAATGACAAAATTGCCGGGTACAGTGGCTCAAGCCTGTAATCCCAGCTACTTGGGAGGATAAGGTAGGAGGATCACTTGGGCTCAGGAGTTTTAGATCAGCCTGGGCAACAAAGTAAGATCCCATCTCTAAAAAAATAAAAATTAAAAAATTAGCCAGATGTAGTGGTGCATGCCTGTAGTCCCAAGTGCTCGGTAGATTGAGGTGTAAGGATAGCTTAAGCCTAGAAGTTCAAGGCTGCAGTGAGCTATAATCACACTACTGCACTCCAGCCTAAGTAAAAGAGCAAGACCTTGGTCTCTAAAAAGAAAAAAAACAAGAAAGATAAAATTATTTAGGGCTAAAAAAAATTAGATCACTTCTTTTCAAACTCTTTGGGATATGGCTAAACCCATACTTAGAGGAAAATTCAGTCTTAAATTATTTATTAATAACTATCAGAAAGATTTTAAAACAAATTACGTAAATAATGAGCACATGAGAAAATATTCAACATCATTAATCTTCAGAGAAATTTAAACCATGATAAAATACCACTACATACCTGCTTAAATTGATAAAATGAAAAAGACATCATGTAATGGAAAAGATAGACACCATTGAAGAGGATGTTGAGTAACCAGAACTCTCGTACTTATTGGTAAGAATGTAAAATGGTTGTAACCAACTTTGGAGAACTGTTTGGCAGTTTCTTAATAAGTTAAATGTACATCTACCCTATAAGGTTGAAATTTTACTTCTAAGTTTTTGTGATTTAATTAATTATTTTAAAGTGTTTAGAATGGGGCCTGGTACACAGTATAGGGTCAATAACTAATAGTCATTATTATTTCAAAAGAAAGGAGTCTGTGGCTTATACTCCAGGTGATTTGGTAAAGTTAAGCTCTCGTTCCCTATTAGAAGGTCTTGTACTTTAATGATGAGATCACTTATCAAGTAGTGTGAGCACCCCAACCTCACTAGGAGACTTTACTTCTGTCTTTTTCTATGAACAGTAACAGAAAACATCTTAACAGGGATGATACCCACTAGGCCATCTGAGCCAGAAAACAGGTGTAAAACCTAAATGTCCTATTGCCATTTCCTCCAATCTCCTTTCCCAAAATGCAGGGACCAGCTGAAGGCAGAAGATCAATGCTGAGGGGCACTGACAAGTCCCTTGCTTATCTGCAAGCTGAAAACATTTCGCCCATGCCCTTATCTGTGAATATCCATCCATGGAGGGCAGCACGATGTAGAGAAAGCAGCAGGTACTTGGGTGGAGTCCACCGGGTCTGAATTCCAGCACTGTGGCCTGGGCCAGTCCCTGCACCACCTCCCCCACTGGGATAACCAAGAGGATGACAGGCACCTGAGATATTTCACCCAAAGCAGCCCCCAGGACATGGCTTGTGATACATTTTAATTCTCTTGTTTAGTCAGATCTTTCTCAGTTGCAAGCATCTCCTTTGAAATTTTAATTGCCTGTATTGTTTGAATTTTGCTTACAATGAGCATGTATCACTATATAATCAGAAGAATCAACAAAGATATTCCCTCTACTTGGGGGAAAAAAACACAATTACTCTGGACAAATAACCTTCTAAGCATTGATCAGCTAATCCCTTGATGAGGCAGGCTGGATAAGGGTGTATGGGATGGGCGGGCAACGAAAACTGTCAACAATAACAACACCACCTTACAGTTGCATAACACTTGTCCATATACAAGGCATTTTCAAGCATGTGATTTTGATTTGTTCTAACAACAAAGCAGCACAAGCTCTTCTTCCCTCCAGGTATCTGCCCTCCCCTCCCTTACTGCAGGGTTCTGTGGCCCCATCAGAGAAGCTGTCAGTGGCTGTTTGAATAGACACAACTTTCTCTCCATTACGCCATCCTCCATCCTGCTCTGTATCCGTCCAGAGCACTGATCACTACCTGAACCTAAATACACACAGATCTATATTTATATCTTTTTTTATTTATCTAGATAAATCTAGCACCCAGTACGTGTTAAGAATTAAATAAAAAGGAAAGAAACATGAAAGGTGGCTCAACAGTCAAGGAGAGGTATATTTTAGAGAAAGCAAACCTGAGAGTGGCTTCTGGCCGAGTTAGGTCAGAGCACACTCTCTTACAGACTAAGAGATTCTAAGGATTCAGGGTGGGAGAGTTTGTCAGAGGCTTGGACTGCTTCTGTGTCTCTTTGTTGTGCTTCTCTGGGAAGGAGAGTTGTGTCTGTTCTCATACATCTTTCTGCAGCTGCAGCATACCCCTGAGTCTGCTTTTAGCTTCTCTATCTTAGGGCATCCTGAAGGGAAAGGAATGTGCTTATTAAGGCCCACTGTTTTACTCGGGTCCATTGTATGAGGGTGAAGTTTGGCAGTTACCCAAGAGACTTTCTCCCCACCTCCCTCTGTGCCCGAGCTGTCTTATCTGTGTTTTACTGTCTGCTCTTTCTGGTTGCTTGTTGTTAGAAGAGAAGTGATTTCCTTGAAATGCATGAGGCTAGAAAGGGAGCTGGAACTTAAAGTGGCAGTGTTTATCTGAGATGACGGTGCTCCTGCTCTGTCAGTATGTATGTAGCCTATCTCCCCTACCAGAATGCAAGCTCTGGGAGATACAGAATTGTGTCTGCCTTACTTGCTGTTGTATCACCAGGGGTACATAGTAGGCACTCAGTAAATTTGCATTGTGTGAATGAATGGCTGTGATAGGCAACCTCTAGGATGGCCCCCAATGATCTCTCCTTATGGAACCCATCCCCTTATGGTATTTCCCCTCCTTGAGTACAAGCTGAACTGAGTGACTCTGTTCTTACAAATAGAATACAGCAGAAGTGATGGAAGCCAACGTGATAAAGGTCATTTCCAAGATTCGGTTATACAAGGACTTTTGGGAGTGCTTTCAGATTCTCCCATGGATCACCAGCTCCTCTGTCATGAGAACACTCAGGCAGTTCATAGAGAGGCCTGTGTGGTGAAAAACTACTATGGCCCGAGTTGTGTTCCCCCAAAATTCATACATTGAAGCCCTAGGCCCCAGTGTGACTACATTTGGAGATAGGGCCTTCAAAGAGGTAATTAAGGTTAACTGAGAACATGAGGGTGGGGTCTAATCCAGTAGAACTGGTGTCCTTATAAGAATGGGAAGAGATCCCAGGGATGCACAGGCACAGAGAAAAGGCCACGTGAGGACACAGCAAGAAGGCGGCCATCTGCAAGCCAAGGATAGAGGCCTCAGGAGAGACCAACCCAGCCAGCCCCTTAATCTTGGACTTCCAGGCTCCAGAACTGTGAGAAAATCAATTCCTGTGGTGTAAGCCACCCAGTCTGTGGTATTTTGTTACAGCCCCAGCAGACAGGAACCAAGGGTATGCGAGTGAACTTGAAGTTGAGCCTTAAGATGACTGCAGTCTTGGCCCACGGCTTGATTACAATCTCATGAGAGACCCAAAGCCAGAAGTACCCAGCTAAGCTGTGCCCAGATTCCTGACCAACAGAACTGAGAGATAATAAAATGTTTGTTGTTTTAAGCCACTACATTTTGGTGTAATAACGCAACCATAGGCCACTAATATAGTGAGTGAACACTTCCTTGAGTTAGATAAAGACTGGTATTATCATTGGCCCCTGTTCATGGGCAAGAAAGCTAAGCCTCCAAAAGGCAGAGTGACTTGCCTAAGGTCAAACAGCCTGGCAGAACCTGTCAAGGGAGAGCAGAGGAAATCAAAGATGAAGTTCGGCCTCCGTGCAAGTTTTGCTATGGGCAACCTGCCAGGCCTATTCAGCTGGGACATCAAGATACAGAGAACATTCCTGAAATACCCCAGAGTGTCACCTTAATGGTCTCCTTGGAGTCTTTGCTGCCAGAGTTGAACGAGAATTGGAGTTTTAACAAGGTTCACCTTGGTGACCTGGCCACATGCAGTAACAAGCCCCCTTGGACATAGTCTAAGAGAACCACCTCCGTCACACCAAACAGTGTGCTACTGAGGCTCATGTCAGAAAAAAATCCTAATGTTTGTGGTCTTATCAGAAATTATAACAGCAAAGACTTACAGAACATTTACTGTGTTCTAGGCAGTGCTCTAAGCACTTTATTATATTCATTTAATTCTCTGAGGTAATTCTACAATCATCCTCATTTTATAGATGAGGAAACTGAGGCACCTAAAGGGGCTGAGCAGTTTGCCCAAGGTCGTACAGCTAGCCAGTGATAGAACCAAGATTTAAGGCCAGGTAGTTTAACTCCAGAGTTAATACTCTGACAAATTTTTCTCTAGGTCTTTGCATTATTTAATATCGCCAGTATAATAGTAAGTAATTTGCTGGCAAGGCTCTATATCCCAAAGCCTCTCTAGCTTTTAAATATCAAAGTGAAAAATAATCACAGCACATGAAGGCATCTTGCCATGCCCCAAGGAGAACCTTTCAGGGGCTCCCCACTGCCCTCAGAGTGGCTGATAAGGCCCCCCCAGGTTCTGGCTCCCAGCCTGCACTCACTACTCCCGCCCCCACTCAATCAGCCTGATTTCCTCTTTGCTGTAACCCAGACACCCCACATCCTGTGCCTCCCTGCCTTTGCGCGGGCTCTGCCTGGGAAATCACCTTCACTCATCTCCCTTCCTGCTAAACATTGTCTATTCTTTACTTCTGGGGAGTTTCACCTTCACACCAGTCAGGAGCCTTAGTCCTGCCCCCACCACCCTGGAAACCCTGGCCTGGCACTAGTGCGTTACCCCCTCTCACTCCCTCTCCCACTGGACTCTGATTTCTGCAAGGGCAAAAGCAGCTTATTTGTCTTTATATTCCCAGCGATTAGCACAGCACCTGGTTCCTATTAAGTACCAGTTTGTTGAATGAACACAAGCCCTCCAAAGAACCTAGCAACACTGTTTCATTACTCACTCCAACTGTCTCCACTGGGCGGTCCTGGAGCATAGAACATACGAGGGCTATACTGGAAGGGGCCCAACAGAGATGCCAGTTTAATCCAATCCCTTCAGTGAACAGGTGGAAAAACATTGCCTCAACTAGTCAAGGGCATAATAGGAGCACAGTGGGGTCAAGTTTCCAGACGTCTGAGCCCCCACCAAAACACTCAAAGTCATCTGTATTCGTTTCCTGTTGCTGCTGTGAGAGATTGTCACTATTTTTGGAGGGTTTTTTGTTTTGTTTTGTTTTGTTTTTGTTTTTGTTTGAGTCTTGCTCCGTTGCCCAGGCTGGAGTGCAGTGACGCAATCTCACCTCACTGCAATCTCTGCCTTCCAGGTTCAAGTGATTCTCCTGCCTCAGCCTCCCAAGCAGCTGGGATTACAGGCACGTGCCACCTCACCTGGCTGATTTTTGTATTTTTAGTAGAAATGGGGTTTCACCATGTTGGGCAAGCTGGTCTCAAACTCCTGGATTGTCACAAATTTAGTAACTTAAAAACAACATGCATTTATTATCTTATAGTTCTAGAGATCAGAAGTCCAAAATGGATCTCACTGGGCTAACACATCAAGGTGTTGGCCGGGCTGTGTTCATTCTGGAGGCTCTAAGAGTGATTGGCTCCCTTGCCATCCCAGCTTCCAGAGGCCACCTGTGTTCCTTAACTTGTGACCCCTTTCTTCTTCAGAACCCACAGTGTAACATCTTCAAATCTCCCTCTTCTTGGATCTCATGCTTCTGACATCTCCTCCTGCCTCTCCTGTCCCCTTTTTTTCCTTAGAAGGACCCTATAATAAGGACCCAGAATAATCTCATCTCATGACCCTTAATTTAATCAAGGCTGCAAAATCCCTCTGCCATGTAAAGCAACATGTTCACAGGTTCTGGAAATTGGGACGTGAACATCTTTGAGGAGCCACTGTTTGGTCTACCACAGCATCCTTATGTTTCTGATGTAAAAACACTCACGATCTGACAGCATCTTCTATGGGCAAGATGAAAACAAAACTTCACCAATATTCAAACATATTTCATTCTCTTTTTCCATTGTCTAAATGTCTAGTTTTGAAGAACTAGTAAAAGTGGTTTATATATATTTATATAAAATATGATATTATATACTAACAACTACAGTATATTCCTCTGTAACATTTATGTTTTAGGCATCCATTTCTAATATACTAATCCTTCTGATTGATTCCTTACAGTCTGTAATACCTAATATGCAAAGAGAGTGGATAGAAGGAAGTAATGTTTAATGAGTATTGCTATATGTCAGGCACTCTGGGTCTTATCTAATTTAAACCTCACAATAGCCTTCTGACCTTGGCTCTATTATCTCCCATTTCATAGATGAACAAACTGACTCTTAGATGAGGTAACTTATCTGATAGAGCCAATAAGTGACAGAACGGGTTTGAAACCCAGATTTATTTGACTCCAGAACTCATGGTCTTTCCACTAGACCTAGTGGTGTCCCCAAAAAGTTCAACTTTCTTTTAGCTGCCTGGTTTATTGATTGATCCAAAGAAAAAGGGCAAAGAGGGGCAGAGGAGAAAAAGAGAGAGAGAAAGAGCAGGTTGGATAAATTTGGGTGGAAATTTCCATGTGGAAAGCAACTTTGGGGAAGCCCTTCTCAAGGGAGTATGGATGCTGTCCACCAAAATCTGCAGTGAGGTCCAGGAGACTGCTGGTTGCTAGGCAACTCCTCTCGGACCACACTCCACATCAATCTAATTAGCAGATTTCACCTGAGTTCCAACAGTTGCTAGGTAACTCTCTGACTGGGGCCTTTTCCTCTCCCCTTCAAACCATTTCTGATCCCAAAAGAAAAGAAGAGTGTGTTTGTAAAAAAAAAAAAAAAAAAAAAAAAATCCACTGATGGTATATCTATCTACAAAATTCCCCTGTGCTTTCATTATATCCACCAAGAGTAAGTAAACCCAGGAAATGGAATTCAGTGGCTCTGATGTTGCAAAAAAGGGGATCCATGAGCCAGAGAACTGATTCTTTAGGAACAAAAGACGTATGGGACAAGAAAAGGCCAGAGACTTGGGCCAGGCATGGTGGCTCACGCCTGTAATCCCAGCACTTTGGGAGGCTGAGGCGGGCAGATCACGAGGTCAGGAGATCGAGACCATCCTGGCAAACACGGTGAAATCCTGTCTCTACTAAAAATACAAAAATTAGCCGGGCGTGGTGGCAGGTGCCTGTAGTCCCAGCTACTCAGGAGGCTGAGGCAGGAGAATGGCGTGAACCTGGGAGGCGGAGCCTGCAGTGAGCCGAGATCGCAGCCACTGCACTCCAGCCTGGGCGACAGAGAGAGACTCCATCTCAAAATAAATAATAAATAAATAAATAAATAAATAGGCCAGAGACCAGGTTGAACTATGTTTGTGAACCACTTCAGACAAGAATTCCTATTGGTGACTCTAAAAGGACTGCGCTTGGAGCACCCTGAGAGGGAGGAAGGGAGGCTAATATTTATGGAGCACCTGTTACGTACCTGGCAACAGGTTTGATGGTTTCGCAAACACATCATTTAATCTCCACAAAATTTCAGTGAGTTGGGTAGCTGTTACCATCTACATTTTACCAATGAGAAATTGCAGTTCAGAAATAGCAAGTAATTTGATCACAATCACTTGCCCAGAGGAACTTTAAGTTAAAGACAGGACTGTCTGACTAAATTTCATGCATGATCTTTCCACTATTCGCTGCACATTCTCCTGTCTCCATGGGGCTATCTCCACAGGATGAGAAGTACTATCATTCATTCAATATAACTTCAGTATTAAAACGAAGATGCAAGCAGAAAAAAGGTAAATTCCCTTCCCCCGTTCATTGCCAGGGACTTAACATTACCCTAAGGCAGTGAGTGATTCTCAAACGTTTAATCCCGGGATGACTTCACGGTCTTAAAAATGAGTGAGGACCCCAAAGAGCTCTTGTTTATGTAGGTAACATCTGTCAATACTTGCCATATCAGAAATTAAAATTGAGAAATCTCTACAAGTGTACACACTAATTCATCTTTAAAGTAACTAATAAACTCATTGCATATTAACATAAATATCTATTTTTACATAAAATAACTATTTTCCAAAAAAAATAGTGAGAAGAGTGGCACTGTTTTCCATTCTTGCAGACTTCTTTGATGACTAGCTTCGAAGAAGACTTGGGTTCTCGTGCCTGCTTCTGCATTCAATCTGTAGCATCGTCACATGCCAGGCATCCCCTGGAACATTTCATTCTCCTCCACCGTACACCGGTGAGTCAATGACAGTAACATAAGCAAATAACATAAGCAAATATTATTATGAAAATAGTTTTGACCTTGAGGACCCTCTGAAAGAAATCTCAGAATCTCCCAGGGCTCCCCAGAACATGCTTTGAGAACCACTGCCTTAAGGCATAATAGCTAGAAAGCCCAGAATGCATTCTGTGCATTCCCTGTGTTCCCTCTGTTTTTTCAGACAATCGTTTAAGAAAGCCCACATCTTTCTTGCCTGTAGCATTTTATGGCCCCTGAGAACCCTCAACTATCCCTCAGGTATGCTGTCTTTGCAATGCCATCTGTGAAAAACAAGATTCAGATACTGGCTCCAGACTAACAGGAATGGTTAGAAATATCAAAACACATAGTTTCTGTCTTCCCAGCAACCTTTCCGCCACCTCTTCTAGTAACTGGTACAGGAAGAAGCAAGAGACCCTCTGGCCTGTGATTGGTAGAAGGGATAGGCACTGGACTCAGCCAGGCCAATCAGAGCCCTTCCCTGAATTTTTTCACCCTGTCTTGCAATTTATCTTTCCCCTGAGGTATTAGCATGTTATACTGGATCACCAGCTTTATGTTGGTGCTTTACAGTCATCCGTCCTGCCCTCCCACCTCAACCCCACACTATGATGTCACATGTTGGGAATTCTATCAGATGATTTCTAACAGAGCTTTTAACATTGAGGTTCTGCCCCAGGTTTGTTTGCTGAACAAATGTCTCATTGCCCCTGAAAAGTCTCATCTTGGCTGCCCATCAAAGTCCACAGCCTGGAACACTCACGGGCATCTCTCTGCTTCCTCCCATCCTCCCATGCACTTACCCAAATTCCTTTTCCAGGGACTCAACCCTTCTCTGCTTTCACAGCAGTGGCAAAGCAGCTCAGGATGTACATATGCAGCTCCCCACCTTGCAGCTAAGTGCCATGGTAGAACATGCCTTTTGTCTTTGTGTGAGCCATTCCCAAGTCAGCTCAATGCACTTTAGCAAGCATTTATTGAGCACCTACTATGCGCTGGACACTGTACTGAAAATACAGAAACATAAAAGTCAGTCCTGATCCTCAAAGAGCTCACATATAGGAGGGAAGATGAGACATAACCAATAACTACAATAAGAGCTAGTTGATAAGGTTTATAAATCACCTAGGACTCTTACAGTACAAATGATAGAACAGGCACCCAAAACTGGCTTATGCAAAAAGAAGGATTATTGGTTTTCCTAACTGACAAATCTAACAGACATTAGCTTTGTGCTGGTTTTTTCCACTTACCTCCCCGAACCCAGATCCATTCTCTGCCCTTCTCTGCTGTGTTCTGTGTCTGGAAGGCTGACCTTAATCTCTGGCTTTGATTGTGTCCAATCGATGCAGGGCCAGCAGAAGATGAGAAGGCTCCAGGAGGGTATCGTCAGAGCATTTGTCTCCCCCAGCCCATTCCCACTTCCTCCCTGCCTCATCACAGTCTGCCAATGGCTGCATTCCTCTGCCACCACCATCCCCCCTTCCATGGCTCAGCTCCTATCAGGCTCTGGTAACACTGTTCCCTCCCCTCACGCCTTCAGGACTACGGGTACTAACAGCTTCCCACTGTTGCTAGTCCCTGAGTGATTCACTGTGCTTTCTCATTCCCCTAATCCTCCTCCACACCTCTGCAAATACCCCTGGCATTAGCCTTTCTTCAGTTATGCCCTTTTAAGTATTCCATCTGTTTCCTGCTGAGAATCTGACATAAGTTTGATGCAGAGCCCCAACTGATGACATCAAGAACTGGTTTCTTCTCTAGGTTCTGCTACACCCATTGGCTCAATGCTCAGGCAAGGTCTCCCCTCGTGGCAACAGGGTGGCTACTGCTGAATAGAGCCTCCCAGCCTCGAGCTGTCAAGATCCCAGGCAGTGGAAAGAGACTATCTCTCTTTCCTGTAGCATCCACTGAATTCTGGTCACCTGCCCACCCCTGAACCAATCACTGTGGCTCGAGAAATTCAGTGGTCTGACATGCCAGGTGTGGCCATAGGATCCACCCCCAAAGCCAGCAATGGAGCCATCTTGATCTAACACCTGTGGCCTTAAGCATGAGGAAGGAGTAGCCCAAAGGAAATTCTAGGTGCTGTCACCAAAAGAAGGAGGAATGGGCCTGGGTTGCCCCAAAACAAGGAACTTCACTTCAGTGCATCACAAAAGAAAGAACCAGGTGGAGATAGAGGGATGAGAGGAGCCACCAGTAACAGAGATTGTCCCTCTGTTGATTATGCCAGAACGTTCATGGCCCCCTTTTACTTCAAAGGTTATTCTCAGCCTAACATGCTCACTATCTCTCACCAAGAGGGTGAGACACCTTTGTATATTCCTCCATGATTCTCTGGACCATAGACTTCTCCCAGAATACTCACAGGAATATGCCTGCTGCCACTTCATTTCAAAGTAATAAACTAACCCAAAAGCTGAAGTTGAGGCATATGCCAAACCTCATCAGACTTGGTGACTTCTTTCAAAATTATCATAATATGCATGGATATGTGTGAACTTCCAAGAAATAAGTTGTAACAGACATCCCCTTTTATTCCATTTAATGCAGCAAATATATTGCATGCTAAAGTGGAAGAATTTTGTAAATTGAAAAGCACCATGCAAATAGCAGCCATAATTAATGCCATGTTTAAGGAATGTGCTGGGCCCTGTCCCACCTGCTCAGCCCTGTAAGACTGCAATCCCAGCCTCCATGCCCGGCAGCCAGTACTACCAAAGGCAGATGCTTCACATCCACTATCTAACTTCCAAACTGCCCGTTCCACTACCCCACATCCCAGCCTGCTGCAAATCACAAAGCCTTGTGACCTCATTACTCTGGGTGTCTTCCGTCTTCAGACTTGAGCCTTCCAGGTAGGACCTTGTCTCCACTCCTGCACAGTTAAGTCTTGCCCTGGCTGCGCTGTCTCAGACCACATGACAGAGGGCCTCCCTCTGATCCAGGAAGGGCAAATACTCCCTTTCAAGATGCTGTTGGTTCTGGTGTCCTCCTGACCTTTCAGAAAGAGTGCACAACTCTGAAGAATCCTGAGCCACGGCCCCTGAGAACAACACATCAATTATCTTCCAGGGTGGTCACGATATCAAATGCGGGGAGAGAATGTGATACGGCAAGCCCCTAGAAAGAACTCTTCGATCGTGAGACTCTGGCACACGTATCCATCAGTGTCTTAGAGTCTAAAACAATGGCTGATAATCTTGTAATCAATTAAATCTGATTCCTCTCTTGCCAATTTGTTGCCCTTCTGCACTTTCTCCTCCCTCAATTTGGATATCAATATCTGTGGCCATACAATTTAGATGTGAAAAGCAAAAATTGTAGGATCACATGACCTATATTCAAATGTAGGCACTGTCCCTTATCAGCTGCGTGACCTCAGGCAATTCATTTAACCTCTCTGAACCTCAATGGTAAAATAAGGATAACCATTCTGCTCTACCCAGCTCATAGATGCCTGCAGATTAAATGAGACAGTGAGTAGAACACAGTAGGTGCTCGAAAAAGATGTGTGTGAACTATTACTATTTTACCATTATCATTACTGTATTGGTCTGGTCTCACGCTGCTAATAAAGACATACTAAGACTGGGTAATTTATAAAGGAAAGAGATTTAATTGACTCACAGTTCCACATGGCTGGGAGGCCTCACAATCATGGTGGAAGGCAAATGAGGAGCAAAGTCACATCTTACATCACGGCAGGCAAGAGCGTGGCCGGGGGAACTCCTCTTTATAAAATCATTGGATCTCGTGAGACTTATTCACTATCATGAGAACAGTACAGGAAAGACCGATGATTCAATTACCTCCCACTGGGCCCCTCCCACAACACATGGGAATTATAGGAGCTACAATTCAGGATGAGATTTGGGTGGGGACACAGCCAAACCATATCAATTACTATTAATAAAACTTGAGGGGACATAAGTCCCATTTTTCCCCTTCCAATAACCATACAGCACCCCCCAAATCACCCCTCCAATACAGTCACCTACTTCAACCAAGCTCATGCCCGTCCCTGACCACTAGGGCACTGTTTGCCTCATATATTTCTCTTTAAAAGTATCATTACTTGGAACTCATCTCTCCATAGAAACCCAGAGAATAAATAGAAGCAGCAGGTTTTCAGTAGTTTTCACTCTGACTGCTTCAATTAAATAAACTCCACACAACTCTTCCATTAGCATGTGGGTGGAGAAGCCGGCAATGTCTCAGCGACCCTCGCTCCATGGTTCACTTAGACCATCCAATTATTTTCAGCCAATAACATCTCCTTGGCTGGCCTTGTTATGAGTAACCTGTGCCAATGTCTGCATGAAGAGATGTGGTTGGGACAAATCTGCTATAACCTTCACATCTCTTACAAGTGTTGAAATTACAAATGTTTTTCGAATCATGAAATTCTTTATCAAGTAATTTCTTTTCTTCCAGTGTTTCTCCAGTGTCTTCTATTGGCAGACTCTTGAACTTATAAAAAGGGGTGAACAATAAATAAATGGAAATAGGAATCCTCAGCTTGGTTGAGAATGTACAAAATATAATCTATATAAGGAAAGTCCTATGCCTGGTGGGGGGCACTCCACAAGTCAATGTGTACCAGGTAGGGTTCCTACATCTTTCCCTATGAAGGCTTTCTTCAGGGCCACAGGTAGCCTGCTTTCCTGTTCCCACCAGATACAGCCAGGTAGCCTCTCCAAGATGTGGCTTGGCTGGCTGCCAGAGGAAGAGATTTCACTGCAGTGAGATGAAGTTGCTGAGGAACAAGAAGAGAAACCCTGACTTTGGCGTCAGTGAGAGATGTGGGGAGTGAAGGATAAAGGTGCCCAGAGTCCACACCTGCTGCAAGGGAAGCAGTTCTGCATTTGGATTTAGAAAGCTCGAGAGTGAAACAGAAAAGTGCCACCTGTCTACCAGGAAAACAATAAAGTAGCTTGAAAGAATGATTCCAGTTTGCAAAAACTAACATGGAAGAATCTCCAAAACAGATTGTTAAAAGAAAAAAAAGCCAGTTGCAACTTATCTACAGTATTCCATGCATGTAAAAGAACACACAAGAGCATGCAAAATAAAACTATGTATTTCTATTGCTACATATATATATATATATTTTGTGTGTGTGTGTGTGTGTGTGTGTGTGTGTGTGTGTACATGTGTAGAAAAAGATCGGGAATGTTAAACACCTAACTATTAATGGCAGAGTCCTGAAGACTGGGTTTGGGGTCAAGGGAAGAAAACTCAGATCCCACCACTTTCAATTGTGTTAAGTTCATTCTGATTTTCCCCCATTCTGCACGTGGGAAATTTGAGATCTTAAAAAATTACCCAGAGGCCCAGAGAAGTCTCTGGCCTTTTGCACAAACATTGAACATCTTTGCTTTTATACCTGAAGATAATGGCCTTTGCTCCCTTTGTGCACCTGTGCGTATAGTAGGTATCGTGTGCACATGCTTCCTCTAGCTAGTGATTCTCAGACACTGCCATCACAGTGCTTACTCGGGTACTCTTGCTTCTGTGGCCACATCAGCGTCTCTGCATCCTGGCTACCCCTACTGTGGTCAGATCGTACTAAACTCTCACCAGGATTATTTCAAGAGACTCCTAAGTGGTCTCCCTGCCTTGCTCTGCTCTACCCTACACTTAACTCCAGAGAGAGTTATCTAAACCACAGATTCAGCAGCATTACCACTTAAAACTCTTCAATGACTCTTGTCTATTTCCACAATAGTTCTCAACTTCAGGGTACACCAGAATCACCTGGGAGCTTCTTTAAAATGCAGATTTCTGGGTCCCTCCTTCAAAGACTCTGATTGTGCAAACCCTGATTTGTTTTTAACAAGCATTTTGGATGTGCTAATGCAAAGACTATGGGGATCAAACTTTGCAAAACACTAATCTTAGGCTAAAGAAGCCCTAGTTCCTTAGCATGGCCATCAGATTCTTTATAACCTGGTGCTTACTTACTTCTCCAGGCTTACCTTGCACCTCTCCGCACCTCACACATTTCCTTCCAGCAACACAGAACAGCTTCTTGTCCCCCACTTGCTGTTTTGCCCCCAATGTTGTTGTCCTCAGCTGTCCCATAAGGCTCTCCTTGCTCATCCACCAACACTCTTCATCTGGCTGATGCCTACACAACCTTTAAAACTCAGCTCAGGCATCACCTCCCCCAAGAAACCTTCCGCAACACTCCCAGGTTATGTTACATGCCCCCACCTCATCCTTCTAATAGCTAAGGTACATGTTAGGCAAAGCTCTTATGCTGTTTCCTGGATTTTTTAGAATTCCTGGATTCTGAGGTCCTTGTAGCAAGTCTGTGTCTTACTCATCACTTGACTTCCACAAGAGCTAGCACAGAGCTTGGCACAATGTGAGCAGTTATCGGGGCATGCAGTTACAGTGGTACACTGTCGGCAGTGTGCTGATGGTTGGATGAGGCCACAGCAGGGGAAGACTTTTCAGATAACACTTCCTTGAATCCACAAGAGCAAGTTGGCCAAGAGATGATACACTTGCCCCAGCCCCTCCTCAATCAGACAATGTTTCTACTCAACCTAAACTTTGGTATTTTTCCAGCCACACACACACACACACAAAATGCATCTAGCAGAAGTTTGGCTCCAAAAAATTCAATAACCACTGCAACTGAGAAAGAGGATTTTGCCCAACCCCCTTAGTAAACCAGATAGTCTTATGCTGGGTGAGGTTCTTATTCATCTCACAGTTTGCCATCATTCTATCTCCTGACCCTATCCTCACTACCAAATGATTTTTAATTTCTGGAAAATACTCACAAGGACCTTACCTCTAGAGAGCAATGGCTACACTTAGGGGCAAAAGTAAAGAATGAACTTTCCCTCTCCCCTTGCCCACAACGTGGGTTTGGAGGTCCCTCATGAGTGACTCCACGAATGTTCACTTCATTCCTGAGGATTTGTGCTAATCAATTATAACCCTGTTTGATCCAGGTCACCAGTTTCTGACTTGCTGCTGTACACTGGACATCACTAAAAGGAAATAGGGAATGCATTCCCAAACTTACTTGACAGACTGTCTCAAAGGACTAGTGTCCTCTGAAATATATTTTAGTAAATGCTGCTTAAAAAACTATTCGATCTTGACATTTGCACAACTAATGTGCCAGATATTCCAACACATTGTCTTAGGATCCAACACTTCATTCTATTTCCAGGGCAAGCTATGGAGTTAGGGTAGAGGAAAGAATAGACCCCATTTAATCAGGATGACCTCATTTCCCTGAGACTTCTGAGGGAACCCAGTCTCTCAGAAAAGGTGAAAAGTAGGAAGTACTGTAGAGATTATATCTAATGCTCTTGTTTCTCAGCAAAGAATTGTAAGTGCCAAATAGCTGGAAAAAAAGAAGTGTCTAACTTCACAGCCACACAGTCATGGAGCTAGGATCCAGAACGAGGTTCTAATACAAATTCAGAAGTTTTTCCACTACACCATGCTGCCTTCAAATCATTTATTATATCTGTAAGATACATAATACTTTCACCTCCACAGCAGAATAACAATATGTAGTAATGCCATTGGGTGGTTAATGCATCCTAAGTAGGTAATGTACTTCTGCAAAATCTCCCTAGATCTGTCCTCTCTGTTTCAGAGAGATCCTTTCACCGCCAGGCACAGTGGCTCACACCTGTAATCCCAGCACTTTGGGAGGCTGAGGTGGGCGGATCACTTGAAGTTAGAAGTTTGAGACCAGCCTGGCCAACATGGTGAATCCCCCTCTCTACTAAAAATACAAAAATTAGCTGAATGTGGTGATGTGCACCTGTAATCCCAGCTACTCGAGAGGCTGAGGCACAAGAATCGCTTGAGCCCAGGAGGCAGAGGTTGCAGTGAGCTGAGATCATGCCACTGCACACCAGCCTGGGTGACAGAGTGAGACTCTTGCCTCAGAAAAAAAAAAAAAAAAGCAAAGACCCTTTTATAACCATCCCATTTTTCCATCTCAATCTCACTATCAAGTGATTTTTAAATTCTAGAAATTATACACTAAGCTCTGGAAGGCAGTTCTCACCCTTTGGGGCAGTCAAATAAAGCCTTCCCCTCACTCTTTATGCATCACATGACTTTGGAAGTACTTGATATTCAAATATTGCTAATTCTAATAATGTCTCCCTCAAAGCTGTTTCTGACCCATGGAACTATTCTGTGTTGATTGTCCCATCCACAGCCAAATTTCCTAAAAAATGATGTTACTATCTGTCACTTCCTCACATGCTGTTCACTCTTTTTCATTCAATCTGGCAAACTATCAATAGCTGGTGAGTTTAATTCGTTCACATTTACTGTTGTTGATATAAGTGGACTGGGTTTCTGCCATCTTACTTTGTGTTTTCTATTTATTTTAATTTACTTTTTCTTTGCTTCCTCCTTTTCTTGTACACTACACTGTCAGGAACTGAGGGAGATTGTGTTTTTGTTATTAGAAAAAGAGAGAATGAATACTGAGTAGGAAAAGTGAGAATTTTACCACATGCTGTCCAAATAATTTAAAACCAACTTTTTCAGGAGCACCAATTACGAACATTACGTTAATTGCAAATCTTTCTTTTCTATTCATTATAGCAAAGCTGGCAGACCTCTAATTTTCTAACATTTCACAATATGTTTCATTTCTCCTCGATTCGTTTAAAATTTAGGCCAGGTGCAGTGGTTCACATCTATAACCCCAGCACTTTGGGAGGCCAAGACAGGCAGATCACTTGAGGTCAAGAGTTCAAGACCAGCATGGCCAAATGGTGAAACTCGGTCTCTACTAAAAATACAAAAAATTTGCCAGGCATTGTGGTGCACACCTGTAATCCAAGCAACTTGGGAGGCTGAGGTGGGAGGATCACTTGAACCAAGAGTTAGAGGTTGCAGTGAGCCAAGATCGCACCACTGCACTCCAGCCTGGGTGACAGAGGAGACTCCATCTCAAAAAAAAAAAAAAAATATATATATATATATATTATATATATATATATATATATATATATATATATTATATATATATATATATATATATATATATATATATATATATATATATATACACACACACAATATGTTTTTACTCTTTTAGTGGCTACCCTTAAAATTTTACCAGAAATACTTAGCATAACAAAGTCTAAATTATTCAGTATCTTAAATCTATCCACCCTTCAATAAGACAAGGGTCTTAGAATACTTCATTTTCAATCACTGCCTCTCAATATATGTGTTCTTATCATCCAGCATTTTAGTTCTGTCCTTTTTGTTATCTCACGAATTTGACATTGTCACCATCAACTTCATCACCATTCATCATTATAAACAGACAATGCTTATTTACATTTACCGACATGTTTTCTGATTTATTCACTCACCATTCCTTCTTACATCTCAGATATTTTTTCCTGGATCATTTTCCTTTTGAAGTCCAATCCTTTAGAAGCTTCCTTAGTGAAAGTCTGCTGGTGATAAATTCTTGGTTTTTGTTAAACTGAAATTTTATTTTGTAGTCTCACTACTGTATAGATAATTCTAAATTGGTGGTAATTTTCCTTTGGCACTTTGAAGATATTATTCCATTGTCTTCTATCTTTTGCTGTTGTTAGAAAGTCCACCATCAATCTAATAGCTGCTTCTTTGTTCATGATCTGTCCTTTTTCTCTAGCTGCTTTCAAGATTTTATCTTCATTTGAGGGCTCTGCAATTTCATTATAATATACCTAGGAATAGATTTCTTTTTATTTATCCTGGATGAGATTTGTTTTGCTTCCTGATTAAGAATAACTTTTATCAATTACAGAAATTATTTCTTCAAATATTTCCTCTCTCCCATTTTCTTTGTTATCTCCTTTTGTGAACCTGATAAGACATATGTCACACATTATCATGTGATTCTCAATGTCTCTTGTCTCTCTTTACTATTTCTCAATCTTTATCTCTTCAGGCTTCATTCTTTATAGTTTTTTAGACCTATCTTCCAGTTCACTAATTCTGTCTTCATCTTCCTCTTGTCTATTGTTTAACACATCCACTGAGGTTTTAATTTCAACTATTATATTTTATTTCTAAAATGTCTATTTTCTACCTTTTAAAGTCTGCCTGACATTTTTATGACTTCTTATTTCTTGCTCATAGTTCATTTCATCTTTCGTATCTGTAGGCATTTCACACTTAGTTGCCTTATATTCTATATCCAATATTTACAATATTTGAAGTCCTTGGAGATCTAAATCTCTTGTTTCTATTCTACTAATTCCCATGCATAGTGGTTTGTTTCCTTGTATGTTTCGTAATGTTTTTACTGTAGGCTTATATTTTATAGAACTTAATCTTGGGAATTCTGAGGGCCTAAACTGGAAATATTTTCCTCTAGGCAGGACATGTTTACTCCTGTCAGATTCAAGGGACCCTACTGACTGGGTCTTGACCCTTTCACCTCCTCTCGTTTGCCAAGGTTCCAAGATCTAATCTCTCATTTGCAGAGCTGATATTATATTTGCCTGCCAAGAAGTCCACCTGTTTGAGTTTGCTTATTGCTCACAGCTCCCTCCTTCCTGATCTGTGTTTAACTCCCTGATTTATGCACAATTTTTATTTGGTTTTGTTCTTCCTCTTGGTGATTTCTCTTATTTTCAAAAGTAAGATGTTAATTAATTATTAAAAATTAAGGCTAGGCATGGTGGCTCAATTCTGTAATCCCAGCACTTTGGGAGGCTGAGGTGGGTGGATCACCTGAGCTCAGGAGTTTGAGACCAGCTTGGGCAACATGGCAAACCCAACCCCTACCAAAAGCACAAAAAATTAGCCAGGCATGATGGCATGCATCTGTGGTCCCGGCTACTCAGGAAGCTAAGGTGGGAGGATTGCTTGAGCCTAGGAAGCTGAGG
Organism: Homo sapiens; assembly: GCF_000001405.40. Taxonomy (NCBI): domain Eukaryota; kingdom Metazoa; phylum Chordata; class Mammalia; order Primates; family Hominidae; genus Homo; species Homo sapiens. The sequence goes on along the minus strand of NC_000017.11, from coordinate 51,413,496 downwards.
TTGCAATGAGCCGTGATCCTGCCACTCTGTCATCCAGCCTGGGTGACAGAGTAAGACCCTATCTCAAAAAAAATTATTAAAAATTATAGTTGATTGTATTTAGCATGAAGGCCTTTCATAGTATTTTGTTTGCTGTACCATCAGCCCATTGATGCTTCAGCCCAATGTAGCCTGGGTCTGACCTCCTCACTCCATTATAACTATTCTCACAAAAGTCACTGGCAACCACATATCATATCTAGTGGCTTCCTCATTCCAGCATTCATCCAAATTGACATCGTTGTAGCATTTGTTAATATTAGCCACTAATGCCTTGTTAAAATTCTGTGCTCCCTTGGTTTTTGCGACAGCTCTCTCTACCTCCTCCACCTCTGGTTATTCTATTTCTCTGGTTATTTCTCCTCCATCTTTTCACTAACTCCATTTCCTCTATCCAAGCCTTAAATAAACGCATTCCCCAGGATCCAGTTCTTCACTTTCTGTCATGCTCTCTTCCTGGCCTCTCAAAATCACTTCTTGGTATCAATTAATGCCCATTCAAACTTATCCATCCAAATATTCATGATGCCTAACCCATATCAGCAGCCCAGGCTCTCACACAAATGCCATTCACAGACCCGCCTGAGTCCCACTAGCACCCCAAGCTGACTACATCTAAAATGAAACTTATTCCATCTACCCACAGTTGTTAAAAACTTGCTCTTTGTCCTTTGTCCTCTGTCTGTGGTGATAGCATGTCAATTACCAAAGTCGTTCAAGCTAGAAGTCACACTACCCTTGACTTCGACATTCCCTCCACCCATGAGGTGTCTTTGTCAATTCTTCCTATCTATCACAACTGCTATTCCCTTGATTCAGATCTTCTTTTTATCTTGTCTGGATTCTATCAACAGCTCCCTAACTCATCTTCCCCATCCTCCTCACTCCATCTTCGTGGTGATATTATCACAATCTGATCACATTATCTTCCTTCCTTGACTAAAGAATTACATTTATGATGACTATAAATACTACTTACAGTTTCCAAAATTCTATGATATAAAAAGTAAAAGGCATAGAAGATATATAGATACGCTAAAAATATGCAAAAGAATAGATATGTGTAAAAGATAGACATAAAAATACACCAACTAGTAGTTGGATTGAGGTGATAAAATTCACCATGGATTTTTCTCTTTTGTCTATTTTTCATAATGAGGTTAAACTACCTTTTCAACTGAAAAAATAAACTTATTTTTTAAAATTAAAACTCTGATGCATTCCCATCACCTATAGCAGAATTTTCTAAAGTGCTTTGAGATGTTAACCGGTCTTGAGTGAAGAAAAACAAAAAGGAAACTGATAATCAAATAAATTGAGGAAATACTTGACAGACAAAGTTAAACAGGTCTCTTTGCTGCATGATTTCTTGGGGTTTTTGAATTATTAATGTTCCTTATGAATCTTCAAATGGGGGCAAGAGTATTCAGTGATACCCAAAGTGATTTCATCTTTAAACCCTATTTCTGCAGAATATATCAAAGGACAGAACACTTTTTTAGAATCTCTGCCCTGTAGGAAAAAAGAATGTAACCTACAAATCTTTTCATAGCCTGGCTCTGCCTACTTTTCAGACTCCTTCCCCACATCCTCTCTCCCCAGTCTGTATTAGGTTTCTATTGCTGCTTCAACAAATGACCACAACCTTGATGGCTTCAACAACACAAATGTATTCTCTTACAGTTCTAGAGGTTGGAAGTCCAGCACAAGTCTCACTGAACTAAAATCAAGATGTCAGCAGGATCATGCTCCTTTCTGAAGGCTCTGTGGGAGAATCCCTTGCCCTGCCTTGCCTTGCCTCTAGTGTTTCTGGAGGTCACCCACTCTTCTTGGCTTATGACTTCTTTCTCCATCTTCAAAGCCAGTTGAGTTCAGAGTGAGTTGCGTCTTTCTCACCTTGCATTACTCTGACTCCTTCCTCTGCATCCTTCTACTTTCAGGGACATTTGTGACTACATTGAGGCCCCCTGGATAATCCAGGATAATCTCCCTATTTTAAGATCACCTTATTGGCAACCTTAATCCCATCTACAAAGTTAATTCCTCTTCGCGTGTAAGGTAGCATCTTCACAGGTACCAGGGATTAGGATGTGGACATTTGGAGGGCAGGAAGCATATTCTGCCTACCACACCACCTTTTACATTTCCATACCTTTCTTCCATAATACCCTATACACTTTTCACCGAAGCCACCTGTTATTCTCAGAGAGAAAATTGTTCATACCTCTACTTTCCTCTATCTCTAATACCCATTCCCAGCCTCACCATTGTCTTACCTATCCAGAGCATTCCTACTTATCCATTGAAGTCTTGTTCAAATCTCACATCCTCTATGAATATCTCCCTGAATCCTCCAAGTACGATGGGACACTCTGGGCTCCTATATTATTTTGTTCATGTCACCAAGATAACACTCATCATACTGTACTGCATTCATAATAATATAACAGCTAATACTAATTGAGCACTTACTAATGTGCCCATCACTATGCTATGTGCTTCACCCACATTATCTCATTTTCTCCTCACAGCAACCTTATCAGGTAGGCATTATTGACCCTTCATTCTCCTCCTCCAGCCCTAGATGATGAGCATTTACAATGCGTGAGCCCTCCATGCCTCCTTCTGTTCCACACCATCAACACCTCACTCAAGCTCAGTTCATTTGGATCTGTTGAACTGCACTGCTAGTTCCCTGAGCCAAAAAAGTATTATTGGCCACCCTACTAAATGCTGGAATGAAAGCTTTCCTGTAGGTCACACTAAAGGCCTATGACATCTGATCTGTCTTGAGTCTTGGGATCAGGAGCAAATATGTCTGAACTTGGTACATGACAGATCACAATGGAGCCCAGCTGTGTGAAGAGCAGCACACAAAGCCCTCAATGAGCAAGAAAGAACAGCTCGTAAGGCAAGTGCTGCATCAAAAGCAGATTTCTGCTGTAGCACCTGCAGACACCACTGTGGTGTCCAGTTGGTCATGCACCCCTTCTAAAAGAATGAGCCATCCAGGCCAGGCGCAGTGGCTTACACCTGTAATCCCAGCACTTTGGGAGGTCAAGGCGGGTGAATCACTTGAGCTCAGGAGCTTGAGACCATCCTGGGCAACATAACAAAAACCCGTCTCTACAAAAAAATACAAAAATTAGCCAGGCATGATGGTGCATGGCTGTGGGTCCCAGCTACTTGGGGGGGCTGAGGTGGGAGGACTGCTTGGACCCAGAAGGCAGAGGTTGCAGTGAGTTGAGATCGCACCACTGCAATCCAGCCTGGGTAACAGAGCAAGAACCTACCTCAAAAAAAAAAAAAAAAACAAAAAACAGCCATCCATCACTGGCTGATGATTCAGCCCTTAAATCAACCATGGAATAAATATTTGTTGAGTGTACCCGGTTACATATTAGTATAGAATAAATTCACTGATTAATAAGCACATTGGCATAGTGAATGGCAACATTTCTTCATATAATAATAGTTCCTGAAGACATGCCACATTGGGGGCATAGACAATGAATAAAACCAGGCTCCTGCCTGTGAGGATGTCATAGTTCCATAGGAATAACAGACCAGAAAACAAATCTGTACAATTGGACTGTGATGGAATAATAAAACCCCTGGACAAAAAAAAAAAGATTTGAGCTTATTTATTGCATAAGCCTCAGGTTCCTCACATTTGCACTGGGGATAATAATAGTATCTACCTCTATAGGGTTTGTGTGAGGATCATAAGAGTTACGCATTTAGGGAGCTCAGATGGACAGGAAGACACAGGGGGAGTTTTGTTTTGGTTTGGTTTGGTTTGGTTGTTTTTTTTGTTTGCTTGTTTGTTTGAGATGGAGTCTTGCTCTGTTGCCCAGGCTGGAGTGCAGTGGCGCAATCGCGGCTCACTGCAACCTCTGCCTCCTGGATTCAAGCAATTCTCCTGCCTCAGCCTCCCGAGTAGCTGGGATTACAGGCGCCCACCACCACACCCGGCTAATTTTTTGTATTTTTAGTAGAGACGGGGTTTCACCATGTTAGCCAGGATGGTCTCTATCTCCTGACCTCGTGATCCGCCCGCCTCGCTTCCCAAAGTGCTAGGATTACAGGCGTGAGCCACCGCGCCTGGTCCACAGGGGGAGTTTTCTGTAGAAATAGTCTCATCGCAGGGGTGCCTGTAAGGGAAAGGATGGTCCTTGCTGCTCTGCCCTAGGGTTTCTCTTTGACGCCGAGTTATGCCACAGATGATGTTAGCCTGAAGAACTTGGACTGAGCTGTTTATAGCCAGTAATTTCATAATCCTTAACAAAGAAAGTGTAATAGATGGTTAACACTTGTGCAGGGTATTTGTGGGGGCTTTGGGGGATGGAGGAGGTTACTGATTGTATTTATTGTGACTCTGAATCTTTAATAATAAAACAAATGTAAAAAAAATGTTTGCCATCAGACTAGAAGTTCCAATAAACGAAGCGGCAGAAATCAGTGGCTATTCGTTTTATCATTGAGGAAGTTTTAGACTTTGAAGGATAATAAAGAAATGGACAATTTAAAAAATTAAAATAAACAGCCCAGAACAGGGTCTGGCACCTAGAAAAGTCTGATTCCTGTTGACAATGCACAAAGTTCTGTGGAAGCAAACATGGGGACAGGTGCTCATGCAGAGCTAGGAAAGGCTTCCTGGGATTGGTGATGTTTAGCCTGGGCCTGGAAGGATAAGGAAATGTTCACCCACCCAGAGAAACAGGATAAGAAGAATTTAGACTTAAACTTTCAGAGTTTTGTTTAGGGAAGAAGAGTTTAGAGGAAATAGCAAAGACAAACGCATTAAGATTTGAGCTATGCCAGGTGCTGTGGCTCGCGCCTATAATCCCAGCACTTTGGGAAGCTGAGGAGGGAGGATCACCTGAGGTCGGGAGTTCGAGACCAGCCTGACCAAAATGATGAAACCCCATCTGTACTAAAAAACACAAAATTAGCCAGGAGTGGTGGCACATGCCTGTAGTCCCAGCTACTCAGGAGGCTGAGGCATGAGAATCGCTTGAGCCCCAGAGGTGGAGGTTGCAGTGAACCGAGATCACACCACTGCACTTCAGCTTGGGCTACAGAATGAGACTCCATCTCAAAAAAAAAAAAAAAAAAAAAAAAAGATTTGAGCTACAGAAATAATGCTATTTGTCCATCAAACCCATTTCTTTGTCCTCCTGGGCACACAACTCAACTACATTTCCCAGCCTCCTATGCAGTTATCAGGGCCACACAATTGAGTTCTAGCCAATAAAATTGGAACAGAGTGATATAAGATCTGGCTCCTAAAACTTCCTAAGAATCCACCTATACATGTTTTTTTTGTTTGTTTGTTTTGTTTTGTTTTGTTTTGTTTTGTTTTTGACAGTCTCCCTCGGCCACCCAGGATGGAGTCCAGTGGTGCAAGCTCAGCTCACTGCAACTTCTGCCTCCCAGGTTCAAGCGATTCTTGTGCTTCACCCACCTGAGTACCTGGGATTTCAGGTGTGTGCCGCCATGCCCGGCTAATTCTTATATTTTTAGTAAAGACGGAGTTTTGCCATGTTGCCCAGGCCAATCTCAAACTCCTGGCCTCAAATGATCTGTGTACCTCAGCCTCCCAAAGTGCTGGGATTACAAGCATGAGTCACTGCGCCTGGCCTCATCCATACACTTTATCCTCTCATCTCCTGGCTGGATGGCTCCAGGGTGAACTTAAAATCACTTGTAGAGATGAAAGAAGCCTGGATCCCTGAGTTATTGCTTGGAGGAGAGCTGCCCAGGAAAGCTGCCAAACCGGGAATGTCACATTAGACTGAGGAAAAGCAGTATATAAAGTTTTATTGTGTTAAGGCACTGAGATTTCAGAGTGTATCTGTTACCTCAGCAGAGCCTAGCATTACTTACCTTAATACAATATAAAACCTTATCTTGAGCTTAAACAATAACTAGGAGTTGCTCACTAAAATTTAGATTCGTATGAGAAAAGGCTGGAAAGGTATTTGGGAATCAATTTGCAAAGGAGCATAAATGCCTCACTAAGGACTTTGGGCCTTATCCTACAATCAATGGGAAGTTATTAAAGGTTTTGACTAGGGCAATAGCAAAATCAAAGGTGTGCTTTTGAAAGATCACCCTGCAACAGGGAGGAAGGAAAACCTGGGTGGAAGTGGGGCTGAAAGTGGAAATTCAGTTATTAAAGACCATTAGTTAGTGAGGCCTTGAAGGCAAAGAGTGTATCATGCCCAGCATTGTCCCAGGACTTAGCCCAGTGCAGGTCCTCAGTGCAGGTGGGTGGTTGGAGATGGATGGGTGGACGGGCAGATGTTATTACAGAAATCCTAGTGAGAGATGATGAGGCATGAACTAGAATGGTGGCGGTGGGGATAGAGAATAAGGGACAGACTGGAGATGTATTTAAGGAGTCTGAGTAGACAAGGCTTGGGGACCCATTGGCTGTAGAGATGATGAATTTCCAAGAAACATCAAGTTCTGAGTCTTGAAGTCCAAGCCTAGAGCCAGGGAAGATAAATAGTAGAGGAGAGCCCTGTCATGAGCCAGATTTTCAGAAGGACCATCTCGAGAGCTGGCCTTTTGCCTTTCAAGACATATTTTCCTACAATCTCTGCAAAAGGCTTTGCATCCCCCACAGAGACAGAGGAATTAAAAGAAGCAGATGTATCCATTTCCCAATATGTCCTGGCTGCTATTGCCAGGTCTGTGGAAGGTCTATATTCTCCCTTCATTCCCCCTTGCTCCTTTCCCTGGGAAGTAGTGTTTTCTCACAAATTCTCTGCCTTAATCTTTTGGGGGTTCCTCACTTTTCTGATTCTATGATTCCTCATTTTGAAATTCCTCCCACCTTAGAAGTCAATGATGTTCTATGTCAGGAATCAATAAACTTTTTCTGTAAAGGTCAAGAGATTAGATATTTTAGGCTTTGTGGGCCATGCAGACTGCCACAACTCCTCAGTTCTGTTGTTAAGCCATAGATAACATGTAAATGAATGAGCATGGCTGTTTCCCAATAAAACTTTACTTACAAAAACAGGCAGTGGGCCAGATTCAGCCTGTGGGCCACAGTTGGCCAACCCTGCCCTAGACAGACCCAAAGCCATATTGGAGTGGAAACCACAGCCAGCAAGGAGAAGACCCAATCCCTGGTCTGCTTTTACTGTGTCACCATGAGCAAAGACTATAGAATCTCCCTGGACCCAAGTTCAGGGATAATAGGGATATTGTTATCAGTTATTCCTGCCATCCCTGATATTGCAGACAAAACTGACTACTGTTACATGCCAACCATGTGCCAGGGACTTTCTACTCCATATTTCATCTAATCCCCAGAGGAACCCCATGATGTATTATCACATCCACTTTTCAGATGAGAAAGGCAGGTTTCAGAGAGGTTAAGTAAACAATGTCTGTATTAGTCTGTTCTCACACTGCTAATAAAGACATACCCAAGACTGGGTAATTTATAAAGAAAAGAGGTTTAACCCTCCACATGGCTGGGGAGGTGTCACAATCACTACGGAAGACAAAGGAAGAGCAGAGGCATGTCTTAGATGGCTGCAGGCAAGAGCGTGTCCAGGGGAACCTCCCTCTATAAAACCATCAGACCTCATGAGACCTATTCACTATCACCAGAACAGCAGGAGAGAAACCTGCCCCCATGATTCAATTACCTCCCACCACGTCCCTCCCACGATACATGAGGATTGTTACAATTCAAGGTGAGATTTGGGTGGGGACACAGAGCCAAACCATATCAATGTCACATTGCTAAAAAAAAATAAATAAAATAATAATAATAATAAAAGATAGAGCTAGGATTTTACTGTGGATCCACCTAGTTCCAAGTTCAACCCCCTTCCAGTATATCATACTGTTCCCCAAAGAGAGCTACTGCCAGGGAAAAGCTAGCTGACCAGCTCTGGCCAGAGAGGCCATCAACGTCATCATCACTTCCCCAGGTCTGGTCCTCAGCTTGCAAGGTGAAGAGTTAATTGACCTGTCTCTCTTGGACAAACTCCCATTAACCAAGCTCATAAAAGACTTTTTATAAATCAGAATGCCAAAGTGTCTGTTTCTCATGGTGGATCCCATTCTTCTTTTTTTGTAACTAGAATGTTCCAGTCCCTAAATCAGTGCACACCCCTTCCCAATATCAGGACACACAAAGGTCAAATTAAAATCCCAGTGGGTGTGGAATCAGCCAGGGGAAATGGGAAGCCAAGGTGAGGCCCAGCTCATGTTCCATCTCTGGACATAACAGGGCCTGGAATCCTCATGGCCCCAAATTCAGGTCTCAATGACCAGGACATTGCTGTCTACTGCACCTTTCTGTTCTCTCTCTGGCTCCCCATTTTCCCAGGAAGGAAAGTTGGTCATTGGTGGTGGAGGTATCTGAAGATGGACAGACATACAGTCTCTTCTTTTCAGACCTGTTGCTGTTCCTCTCCACAGAGATCTGGACTAATAGAGACAGGCCCAGAGTGCAGCATGAGAGATGCAAGTCAGACCCAGGGCATAACTTGATGGCTAAACACCTCCCTTTTAATGGCTCATTCTTTCTTTCTTTAATAAGTGTTTATCTTATTCCAAATACAAGTTCATTTTAGGAAACTTCAAAACTACACTAAAGAAAATTATTATAAATCAGCCATAATCCACCACCTCAACATAATTGACTGAAGACTTGGTCAATATTTTGGAATACAGACATTCAACCTTTTTTCTATACATGGTAGTATATATACACATAAGTATGTACATATATGCATATATATATATATATATACACACACACACACACACACACACACACATACACATATATGCTTTCATAAGACTGGCACTGTGTTGTATATGCTTCCTGGTCACTTTTTTCTTCACTAAATAATATGTGGCAAACAATTTCTTTCTTTCTTTTTTTTTTTTTTTTTGAGACAGAGTCTTACTCTGTTGCCCAGGCTGGATTACAGTGGCACGATCTCGGCTCACTGCAGCCTCCGCTTTCTAGGTTCAAGCAATTCTCCTGCCTCAGCCTCCTGAGTAGCTGGGATTATAGACCTGCACAAACACACCCAGCTAATTTTTGTATTTATAGTAAAGATGGGGTTTCACCATGTTGGCCGGGCTGGCCTCGAACTCCTGACCTCAAGTGATCCACCCACCTCAGCCTCCCAAAGTGCTGGGATTACAGGCATGAAGCACCGCACCCAGCTGGTAAACAACTTCTAATGCTGCCATCTTGCCTTCTTGATCATTAATTTAATGGTTGCATGATAGCCCATTACAAGTATGTGCCATAATTCATTTTCCCAGTTCCCCTTCTGTTGGACTCCTTCTTCCTTTAGCTGCATTAATATTCACCAATTTGACAATAGCTTGTCCTGGGAACCTTCAAGTCTCTTAATCCCTTGCCTTATTTTTATTAGTCATGCTCTCTGCCTCTCCTATCTGAGCCATTCTTCCTCACAGCATGCTCTGGGGTCTAAATAAGGTGTGCACATTAAAGCCCTCTGTGTGCTGTAAAGCATGGTCCCCAGGGAAGCGCTGATTGAGCCTGCATATGAGAAACCGACAGGAGGATGGGATTAGCACCAGGGAAGAAGGTACCATGGAGTGGGGTCGGGGAATTACCTTGGGTTTTCTATCCCTGGCCTCTCCCTCCAAGGAACTCCAGAAACGCACACTAGAGAACAAGGGAGTGGGACTGGGCAGGCAAAGGCCAAGGTGCATCAGTGCCCAGCGCCATCAACTGGGACAGCTCACGGTGCTCCTGTACTGACTACAATCACTCATGCAAACACACACACACACACACACACACACACACACACACACACGTCAGAGTCTGCCAAGAATATGAAGCTCCTCAATGTCAATGTCAGAGTGAGAGAGTCCCCTTCTTCCTGTGGCTGCTGAGAGAGCAATGAGCATCTGAGCTCTGGATTCAGACTCTCTGGGTTTGAATTCCCAGCTCAAATCCTACCAACTACATGGCCTTGGGAACACTGCTTAACTTCAACACAGCTGTACACTGTGCCTTTGTAGATTGGTGACAAAATAATGTCTACCTTACAAGACTATTTGAGAAGCATGAAATAACATATATTAAGTGTTAACATATGTGCCCAGCACCTGGTAAAGGCTTAGCAGGCATGAGCTATTTTTATTATTATTATTATTGTTATTGCTGCTGTTGTTAACAAAGGTTAAGTGACATCTCAGAGCCAGCTACACAGAGAAGAACCTGAGCCTTGATAAATTCCAGCTCACTAAGGCCCATAACAACTCCATTATCACAGCCATAAACCACTGGGGGCACCTTCAGCACACTGGCTGATATAATGCTCTACTCTGGATGACAGAGGCCGGCCCATAAATAAATCAGACCAAGCTTCAAAGCCAGAGCATGCAGCCTCCTAAAACTTAGCAGTGTGCTTGTCATTTCAGCTTCCACCCTTTTTCCATCAGCAGGGTCCCAGGGCCTAGGTTTCCACAACCTGTCACCACTTGCAGGTCTAATTAGGAAGGGAGGCTGGGTGTGGGAGTAGGCACTTCTAACCCTAGCTACTCAGGAGGCTGAGGCAGGAGGATCAGTTGAGCCCAGGAGTTCCAGGCTGCTGTGAGCTATGATTGCACCATTGTACTCCAGCCTGGGCAGCAGAGCAAGACCCCATCTCTTTAAAAAAAAAAGGGAAAAAAAGAAAAAGAAGGGAAGTGGAAAGTATCGTGGTGGAAGCAAAGAAAGGCACAAGTAGGAGGCGTGTGGGGATGATGTAACTGGCAGTGGAGCTATCTGAGGATGCACAGACCATACAGTCTTTACTTTTCAGAGCCTGTTGCCGTTCCTCTCCACAGTGATCTGAGCTAATAGAAACAGGCCCAGAGTACAGCATGAGGGATGCAAGTCAGACCTACGACATAACCTTATGACTACAACAACAGTTAAAACAGTGGCTGAGAAGTCAAAGTTGTTTTAGCGTATCTTTCCTCCAGGGTATCATTAAAAAGAAAAACAGATTGGATCTCCCTGGTTCAGCCAGACTTCCCCAGCAGAGAGGAAGAAGAGGACGGTGAAATGGGGAAGAGGAGGCAGTGAACAAAATAGGAGGGAGACACATGCTGTACCTGTTGGTCATATGCTCACTTTACTCAGAGATCAATTGCATAACAAGTTCATATGCTCTGAAGTCAATCATGACATTAATTCCAAAAGGAGATTTATTTCCTCGCCTGAGTTGAAAGTCCTGTATTGACACATGTCTGCTACTTGGCACCCTTCTTGTAAATTAGTGTCTCTTTCCATCAGGGTCTGCATGCTGATGAGAGCAGGTGGTTTTTAGTAGCAGAATCAGGCTCCGGCTGCATGGTTTGAAATTATACCCCGGTGTGCAGCTAGATCCCAAGCAATTCACTCCTTCTAGGCTGACAACATCACCACCACCCACCCCACCCCACCCGACCCACCATGGGAGAAGGTGATCTTCCTGAGCTCTATGAAACAGAATGGGGTTCCTTCCCTGCTCCCTCATTCTCTTCTTCCCACACTCACTTCTTCCTGAGTCAAGGTCTTTGGTAAGGCTGAAAAAGAGGCACTTTGTTAGGATAATGTCACCCCCAGGTTCTCCTTTAAGAGGCTGTAGATAATGACAAAGCAAGGGTTTTTGGTCATATGGAGGTTTCACTCAGAAGACTTGGCAAGACCTGCAGTGCCCAGGGTTGGGCCTACGGAAGCCCTTCAAGGTGGAGCTGCGACTCTGTGGGGAGAAGCAAGAGCCTGAAAAGACCAAGACGATCCCAGGGTGGGAAGCGGACAAGAAGGAAGGGGGTCAGAGAGAAAACAGCCTCCCAGGCATCTAGTAATGGGAGTTCGATATGGACAGAAAGTTGGTCAAACGAAGCAGGAAGGAAATGGCTTATACCCTCTGGACTTTGTGTGTTTTTCTTGGTCGAGTGAGGGTAAGACTTTCATTCTGGCAATAGTCCACATAACCACACCCCACCAGATGTCATGGACATTACCAAGGGCTTTGTCCTACACCAAGACTCTGCCTATCTTTTTCTGGTGGCACACTGAGAGCCCAAGAAGGACCACATAATAAGAGTAACAGCAAATAAGGATTTGGAGTTTACTGCCTATCAGGTGCTGGTCCAAGCACTGTATGCATATTAATTTATCTAGTTTTCTCCACAGCCCTCTTACAAGCATAGCTCATATCCCCATTTTATAGACGAGGAAACTGAGGAGCAGAGAGGTTAAGGAATTGCACAAGGCCACACAGCTAGGCAGTGGATGAAGCTGGGATTCAAATCCAGGCGGTCTGGTTTCAAGGAAAGGCCGTGGGCCAGGATCAGCGCTGAGGAATAGAGCTTGAGGCCATGTCAAGGAGTTTGGAACAAGGAGATAAACAAGATAAATGGGAGAGGATGTCAGGGACAAACATGAGTCATAAGGGAAGACCTCATGAGTGCCTAGAACATCCTCTAGCATTCAGGACTTGTTTGGGGGTGCAAAGAGGTATGGGGCAATGCGTGTGGATGGTCTCACCCGGCTTGATGGGCCAGGAGTGGTGGATGTACCAGATAAGCAGCACATTAGAGAGTGAGATACTGACAGGTTCTGCATCTCCATCGACTACTCCTGCATGAGACCTTTTTGCCCTCTCTGATCCTTTCACTATATCAAATAGGAAGAGCCCACTAATGAATCAACACATATTAATTGAGAAGCTCCCATGGGCTAGGAACTGTCCTAGGTGCCAGGGGCATAGGGGAGTGAACAAGACACAGTCCTGCCCTTAACGTGCTTGCATTCAAATGGGCCCAGAGGAATAAATTTTGAGCAAGAAAAGGAGAGATAGGATGGACCCATCCGAAGAGATGCTTTGAAAATAAAATTCCAAATACAATCTGGAAGCAAAGCAATGTTTTCACAGCCCTTCTGTGTCAATCTGCAGGGAATGTCAGCATTAAGAAAACCAATTTGATCACTTTAGGGAACTCTCTTGCACGTGGTACAATAAGTCCTTTAAGGTTTAGCTAAACACCAATAAATTGTTCCAAAAATCTCATAATAATCAGTCATTCGGATCACTCTTCATGAATTCCGTATTTTTTAAAAGGGATATTTGAATGCACTTTGCAAATTATGGTGTCTTCCCTAAATGGTATCTAAAGTTCATGATAATTTTCAGTGACAGTATTTGTGTAAATATGGATGCCATTCATTCTTTTATATATTCCACAAGCGATTATTCAGTGCCTGCTCTGTGCTGGACACAGCATGCTGTGTTTTTTCTTCAAGGATCTACGGCATAGCAGGGACACACAGAAAGAGCAGACAATTACAATATGGCCACGAGGCACTGAGTGGGGTGAGTACCCAGCACTAAGGAAGGCCTAGATTTGTGGAATAAGAGGCCACATGAAGCTAGGAATTCACATCCTAGCTAAGACCTGCAGGATGTATAGAGTGGCCAATAAAATACCCAAATAAGAATCCTGCTATCAGCTGGGCATGGTGGCTCACACCTTTAATCCCAACATTTTGGGAGGCCGAGGCAGGCGGATCACTTGAGGTCAGGAGTTCAAATCCAGCCTGGCCAACGTGGTGAAACTCCGTCTCTACTAAAAATACAAAAATTAGCTGGGCGTAGTGGCATACGCCTGTATTCCCAGCTACTTGGGAGGCTGAAGCAAAAGAATCACTTGAACTGGGAGGCAGAGGTTGCAGTGAGCCGAGATCATGCCACTGCACTCCAGCCTGGACGGCAAGGCGAGACTCCATCTCAAAAAAAAAAAAAAAGAAAAAAGAAAAAGAATCCTGCTATCACTTCTGGAGAGAATAAAAGCTCCTGATTCAGAAAAGCCTAGGTGTAAATCATAGCTTACCAGTTGGGTGTTACTGGGCAAATTCCTTCATTTATGTGAGCCTCTGTTTCCTGATTTGGAAGATAAGCATACTAACATTCACTTTCCGGGCTCAGTTTAAGGATTACTTGTAAATTGCCCAGCACAGTACCTGGCACACAGTACATACTTAATAAATGGGAGCCATTGTTTGCATGAGAGTGGGAAGTCAATAAACAGTTGTTCCTTTCAACAGACCAGGAGTAACCCTGAGCTGACAGACACAGGCAGCCAGGGAAAATAAAGTAAAAACATTACCATATTTCCTCATTAAAACCTGACTTCGCTTTGAAAATGAGAAGATTTTTCCTCCCTCTTCTCTCATACATTGTGATTAACAAACCTACTCCAAAGTGGGAGAAATGCCACTTCCCCCTCCAATAAATAATAAGGTGAAATTTTTCTACATGCTCCGGGCCACCTCTGGTCTCATCTTTGTGAGCCAGCAGGAAGCCTCTCCTGAGTGCTGAGGGTGACTGTAATTGAATCATTTGGCATGAAATTGGGGAATGCACCATAATAAATCAGACCCACTCCTGTATCCTGAAAGAAGCAGGCACCTAAGAGACGCGGATGCCAGATCTAGCTGGGAGGGCCCAGCTGCTGGGGCCATAGAAGGTTGCATGCATTTCTGCACAGTTGTTGAAAGGAAGACTATTGACAGGTCATGCCACCTATCCTTCTGACTCCAGAACACCGTGCACTCATCCAGCAGACATAGACAGAGCCTTTGATGTGTGCAGACGTGCTCAGGAAAGCAGATTGCTCAGGCAGCAAAATCAGATAGTGGGAAAAGCAGAGGCTCTGAGTCTGACAGCCTAGTTCAGGACCAAACCTTTGTTCCATCTCTTGCTAGCTGTGTGTCTTTGGGCAAGTTCCTCAACCTGACTGAGCTTCCTCATTTGTAAAAATGAGGATTATAAAAATACAACCGTATTAGTTTCCTATTGCTGCTATAATAAACACTGCAAACTTAGTAGCTTAACACAACACAGATTTATTCTCTTACAGTTCTAGAGCTCATAAGTCTGAATTCAGATTCACTGGGCTAAAGTCAAGATATCAGCAGGGCTGGTTCCTTCCAGAGCATCTGAGAGGAGAATTCATTTCCCTGCTTTTTCAGCTTCTAACAGCCACTTGTGCTTCTTGGTTCGTGGCCCTTTCCTCCGTCTTTAAAGTACATCACTCCAACTGCTGCTTTATCACGTTGCCTTCTCTGACTCTGACCCTTTCGGCTCCTTCTTACAAGGAAGGGCCCTTGTGATTATACCAGGCTCATGTGGATAATCCAGGATAAGCCCAGTCTTAAGATCATTAACTTCTGTCTGCAAAGTCCCTTTTGCCGTGTAAGGTATCACTCACAGATTCTGGGATTAGGATGTGGACATATTTGTAGGGGTCATTATTCAACCCAACAATATTACCAAAGAACAAAACAAGATATGTAAAGCACCTAACACTATGCCTGGAACCCGACAGGCCGTTGGTAACCTTCCCTCCTTTCCTACTCCCCCTGGACCCCCAGGGGACACTTGTGCCTGGAGGGATCATTGCATAGGTGCGCCTTGCCTTTCATGCCATACTTACCATACCCTGTCTTCACAGCTGACTCATCAAGCTGCACTTGGAAGCTGCATAGCTTCCCACTGAGATTCTGACTGTTCCTGATTCTGTGATGAGGCACCTCTCGTCATCTGTGACATTCTTCTGGTCAGGGGTTGTTTGCTTTCAAGGAAAAGAAACTCTCTTGGGCTAGATTGAGTCATTGTAGGGCTACAATAAGCAATCAAGCATCCAGAGACAGGAAACTGGGTCGCAAAGGACTGGGAAACTCCTGCAACTCTCCGTCTGGACCTTGGCACATCTCTGCTTCTCTCCACTTAATCCTCTCAAAAGACCAGCTTTGGGGCAAGGCTCTAGAGTCTCCCCTAATACCTTCAGTTTGCCAATGGGTCTCGCTGGCCCTGGCTCCAACTCTGGCCCCAACATTGCATGAACGTCCCTTGCCCAACACCATCCCATCCAGTCAGTCTCTATACCCTTTCATTCTGTTGATCAATAGAGATTGGTTGGCTTAATGCATTGGTGATACCCCTGACTTAGGTGTCTGCCCCAGCTCAATCAGCTCTATGGTTAAGGGGCTGAGATGGCAGAGGACAGACCCAGACTCATATCTCTCTCCACACCTGGGAGAGAGAGAGCAATCTCCAAAAAAGGCAATCTGGGCCGACACTCACTCCAAAGCACAGATATTTGACAACCATCTTTTTTTTTTTTTTTTTTTTTTGAGACAGAGTATCACTCTGTCACCCAGGCTGGAGTGCAGTGGCATGATCTCAGCTCACTGCAACCTCTGCCTCCTGGGTTCAAGTGATTCTCCTGCCTCAGCCTCCTGAGTAGCTGGGACTACAGGAGCGTACCACCATGCCCAGCTAATTGTTTTTTTTTTTTTTTTTTTTTTTTGTATTTTTAGTAGAGACGGGTTTTGCCATGTTGGCCAGGCTAGTCTTGAACTGCTGACCTCAGGTGATCCACCCAACTTGGCCTCCCAAAGTTCTGGGATTATAGGCGTGAGACACCATGCATGGCCGACAAACCACCCAATCTCTAAAAGGGATCCAGAACTCTGCTCATATTCAAAAGCAACCATTAGTTTTATTAGTGCTTGGAATACCCAAGAATCATTAATAACAAACTGCCTAATGATTAAGAATGAGAACTCCATGAATATCTAATCACAAATTCCCACTTCCTTGCCCTGGAAGCTGGCAGCCTAGTGTAGTAAAAGGCACCAAATGGGCCCAGGGTCTAATGCTGCCAGCTGCTCTGCCCCTAGAAGCAAAGATGTCCATTTCCTCCAAGGCTACAGAAAGCCCAAAACATACATGACAGTGCCTAATTTGGGAACTTTAGAAATGTCTTTCTCTATCGTTAGACCTAAGACAATTGTTCAGCAAGAAAAGCCAGCCCTGCTGTCTGAGCTTTCAATGATTAATGCAAAAATTGCCCATTTAAGGAAATACAGAGTTGAGTCTTGATTCCAAAAAGCCAAGAATTAGAAGGCAGACAGAGAAAGAGATAGAATCTGATCCATTGATCAGACCACAACTTGCCCACACCCAACAATAATGGGAGATGGAGTCACCATGCCCTGGAAGTATCATTGGTGTCGTTTGTAACTAAGATCTTGTGGACCTCATTGGCTGTTCTCCCAAAAAGGATGTGAGGACATCCCTGCGTAGGTGAGCCTCCTCTCATCCCCCTAGTCCACGGAAACGTAGCCAAATCAGCATGAGCTTGCACCCATCTGGACCCCTTAGACCTCGTCTGTTTCAAACACACTGGAGAAATGGAGGTAGTTTAGAAGACTCTTCATTGAAACGGTGGTACTCCTGCCCATGGGGGGAGACGGGAATCCTTCTAGGCCAGAGTTGGCGGGGTTCTGCCTCACTGCCGAGCCCAGCATAACGGAACACAGGGAATGGGAGTGAGATTCATGCTGTGTATGTTTATCAGCCCGTTTCCAATTTTGTGTCTGAAATCAAACAGCCAAGGATCCGCATGCTTTGAATTTTAATCTGTCCCTTTAGGACAGTCACAGGTTATGAATACAGAGTTCCCGGCATGGTGAGCCAGCTATGTACATATATTTATCCTGTGTGTCCCTTTACCAAGGCCTCAGCATAGAGGTCCTGCTGGTCTTATTTTAGCCGAAATTCTTGTGCCAAAAAAAAAAGAGGCATTTTTATTTCCATCCAATAAACACCTTCTGACCATGCTCTGGAGGCAGCCAGGTAGCTGATGAAACCTCATTTCCTCTCTTGAACAGTGATCTGGTTTGACATCTCAGTCCCCAGGTGACCATGTTCGGAAAGAACTTCGTTTATCACTGATGTTTGGCCTCCACGAAAACAGATTCTTCATTTTCAAAATATCTTCTCCATGGTGGCAAAAAGAAACCAAATACTCATTCTATGGGGCCTCAAAATTGAAATCGAAGTTAAAATGAATATCAAAAAATAAAACATTAGAACTTTATGAGTAGCCATTGATTTTTAGATATTTTGAATGTATGGATTTCTTTTACGCAGCCTTAATGTTATGCATTCCAATATCTTTGGCCATGCTCAGGATTTTCAAAAGTTATATGTTGTCTATAGATGTGAAGGTTGAGTTCTAAATTATGAAAAAAACAAAGAGATACTTTTTTTTTTTTTTTTGAGATAGGGTCTGGCTCTGTCGCCCAGGCTGGAGTGCAGTGGCATGATCTCGGCAAACTGCAAACTCCACCTCCCAGGCTCAAGGGACCCTCCCACCTCAGCCCTGCAGGTGTGCACCACGATGCTTAGCTAATTTTTGTATTTTTTGTAGAGACAAGGGTGCACCATGTTGCCCAGGCTGGTTTTGAATTCCTGATCTCAAGCATTCCGCCTGCCTCAGCCTCCCAAAGTGCTAGGATTACAGGTGTGAGCCACTGTGCCTGGACAAGATACATTTTTTGAGTAGGAAAAGATGATACCACAAGCAACTCCAGAAGTTTCCTGTAAATCAAAGCACCTGACATTCAACTTGGACTCTTAACCAAGTCTAAGTCTACATATTTAGCAAGTGTATAATGAATGGCTGATTGGGATTTAATCCTATTTAACTTGCAAATATGAAGAAAGAAAAAAATTGAGACAAGTTTTTTTTAAGGCAAATTGGTTTTATTTTTGCAGAATCAAAGGGCAGTGCAGCTTTCTTTCCCCATTTCAGGCTCTATTCAAGATGTCTGTTTAAATCTAATCAAAGGCTTCTTCCTTTGCATACCATATCAGTGTTTCTGAAATTATGGATGATCAACAACCATAAAGCTGGAAAAGTATGAAACCATGTTTTGTTTTGTTTTTAATTTAAGGTCTAGTTTGGCAAATGGATTGAATTATTTAGTGAGCCTACAAACTACATGTCAATTAAACTTCTGGGCTTGGTAAAGAAAAAAAAACTCAACCTTCTACGAGGGGAAATCTTTGGCCATGAGCCACTTATGCAAACATAATTGTAGAAAAGAACCCCAATTTGCACACAGACATTTATCTTTGTACCTTTCCTACTTTAAATCAGTCTCAATGCTAAATGGGCGCCTTGCAGTTCATTGATTTCTTTCTCTGTTGCTTTCAAGGACGAGATTTCCTAGAAACAGAGTTACTAGGAGAATTAACTCTAGAAGGTAGATTGAAAACACTGAGAATAGTAGATTCTCCCACGTGATGGGCAACAAGGCACTGTTCTGGAGCCAGGAGGGTAATCTCACTGGAAACTGAGGGAGACTGAAAGCCGTGCCCAGAAGCCTAAAATGAGAGGGCGGATCGCAAGTTCAGGAGTTCGAAACCAGCCTGGCCAACATAGTGAAACCCCGTCTCTACTAAAAATACAAAAATCAGCCAGGCATAGTGGCACATGCCTCTAGTCCCAGCTGCTCAGGAGGCTGAGGCAGGATAATTACTTGAGCCTAGGAGGCGGAGGTTGTGGTGAGCCGAGACTGCACCACTGCACTCCAGCCTGGGCAACAAAGCAAGACTCCATCTCAAAAAAAAAAAAAAAATGAGAAAGATATATTGGATCTACTCTTTGCTCTGCTTCTAATACCCTTCTTTAGCCTCTCCCCTCATCTTTTTCAGCTGGAAGAACTTCCCATCCTTTGAGCTCAGACAAATTGACACCTTCTCTTTAAAGCCTATTGGTTTTATTGGCCGAATGAGGATAACCTCAGAAGAGAAAGGGTTTTTTGTGAGGACGGATGAGTAATGGTCTGAAAAGGACCACGGAAGCAGGAGGGAAGCTAATAATCTACACCCCATTGACCAAAACCACTAGGCTTTGTCACACCTGACCCTATGCACCTTTTATCATGCTGTAACTTAATATGTTGTCTTCCCAGCTGATTCTACCTCCTCCCCACACTCAAAACCTGTGCCCATGAGCCCCCCAAGGTTCAGGACTATATCCCAGGATCTCACACAGAATAGAACCTGAGACATAATCATCTCTCAGAAAATCATCTCTCTGGTCTGTCCTTGTGGATTCTCACTCATGCTCATGAGTTCCAGCTTATCTTTACTCTCCCCCACTTGAAATCCATCCTCCCTTCCTGACTGCCTACCTGGAGAACATCAAGCTTCAGCATAAGACAAAAGCCTAATAGAGACTGTTTAACCAACTTGCACAATTGAGAACAGAGTAAACTTGTAACTGTGTGTATATCTCCCAGGGTTCCGTTTCTCTGATTGAACCTAGTATTGTCTTTTTTTTTTTCTGTATGCTATGATGAATGGTGGAGGCCCTCTACTCTCAGACACAAAGAAAGACAGCCATCGATGTTCTCTAAATCAGGAACTATTGAGTATAACAGTGTCCAGGAAAATTCTTAAGGCAGGAATTCCTTCAGAATTCCTAAAGATGAAAATACTGTTGCGCTCCCCAGCTCAGCCGCAAATACTCCATCACGAGCCACGCTTTGGCACCTAAAATGTTTTTGACCTGATACCCAGAAATCTGTAGTCTTCTTTATTTTCCCTCTTACTGGCTTGCTCTTACCCTTAAACTCAAGACTGTGTGCCCAAATTGACTACGGCCAAATACACCAACCACAAAACAACCACTGCTGCTGATAAAATGTGTTTGAAAATGCTGATTCTTGACTGGCCTTACCCTGAAAAATGGCTGTACACTGGTGAGTGTCCACGTGTCATCTTCCTTTCCCCAAACGGTGTACCTCAACGTCTTTGAGTGTCTCCAGCCTCGGCCCAGTGTTCTGGACCTCCAGCCCACAGCCCCTTGGGAGAATTTGAACGTCTAAAGTAAAAAAATAAATAAATAAATAGTAAAGAATGCTGCTTTCCACTGTCTCTTCACTCCACAGAACCAATGGCAAGGGCAGCTCACAGTGGCCAGCAGGGAGGGTGAACAGAGGGAACAAGAGTCTCCCACAGGTCAGCCTCAGGACAAGCTCCCTCCACCTTGTGATGGTGGTTGCCAGCTCTTCTGCCTGCACTGTCTACCCATTCTCTCCACAGCCACTGCCCTGCTCCAGATATACACACACTCACAATACACACACACAAACACACACACACACACACACGGTTCATTCTTAGCACCTCCTACCATCCAATGCTCCAGCTGAACAAATGAGGTGGCTCTGTGATCTGTCAGTTTATCTAGGCTGAACATGATTTCCCAAAATTTCCTTCCCCGTGGCTTCCCATTAGGTTTGACCACAGGTTGGGGCAGAATCATCGCTGTTTTTGTAGCTCACAGGTTGTCACTTATCTGATGACTCACCTCATTGGCACGGGGGCAGCGTCAGGTCTGCAACTGTCCCACTTTCCCCTGGAGCCTCCTTAGCCCTCTCTGACTCGTGGGCCAGGCGTGCATTTAGCTCTGTGATGAAGGACTCCTACCTCCACCACAGTATGATCACATCATCCAGGCTGGAGACAGTGAGAATGCTGCAGGTTCTAGTCTGTCCTCGTGGGTTCTCACTCATGCTCATGGGTTCCAGCTTGTCTTTACTCTCCCCCACTTGAAATCCATCCTCCCTTCCTGACTGCCTGCCCCGAGAACTTCAAGCTTCAGCATAAGACAAAAGCCTAATAGAGACTGTTTAACCAACTTGCACAATTGAGAACAGAGTAAACTCGTAACTATGTGTATATCTCCCAGGGTTCCGTTTCTCTGATTGAATCTTGTATTGTCTTTTTTTTTTCTGTATGTTATGATGTTTTGGGGTGTGTGTGTGTGTGTGTGTGTGTCAGAGTCTTGCTCTGTCACCCAGGTTGGAGCACAGTGGTGCAATCTCAGCTCACTGCAACCTCCACCTCCCGGGTTCAAGAGATTCTCTAGCCTCAGCCTTCCAAGTAGCTGGGATTACAGGTGCCTGCCACCACGACCAGCTAATTTTTATATTTTTAGTAGAGATGGGGTTTCACCATGTTGGCCAGACTGGTCTCGACTCCTGACTTCAAATGATCTGTCTGCCTTGGCCATCCAAAGCGCTGGGATTATAGGCATGAGCCACCATGTCCAGCCATGTTTAGATATCTTAATAACATTTCTAAGTGGGAAGAGACTGCCCCTCCCTGAGCTAGCCAATTCTTACAGAGAGCAAAGGGATCAGCCAGGATGTGCCTTAGATACGCAAACCAATCAATATAGAGCCGCACCTCTTCTATCTGGCTTGTGATCCCCAGGAGACAATATTCCTCTGCCTTCATCATCCCAGAACTGGTACCAGGCAACTGAGGGCCATTGGTGCACACACACAAAGTTCATTCTTAGCAACTCCACCCTTAAGCTTGTAGTCCACTAAAATTATTTAAACTAGCCCATAGGCTGTGCCTCCCCTTTCTAGGACCTGAGAGTACAGTCAGCTTTGTTTTCCTGAGGCTCTCCTGTGTCTCCTCTCGTGGCCACACCTAACTGACCATTACATTAAAAACACAGGACAAATCTTGGCTGACACAACATAAATGCTAGAAGACCCTTTTCTTCTCCATCTGCTCTGCATCCCCTGGGATTGGACTGCTGTGTCCCTCCTTTGGTCTCGCTGCAATGAAAAGGCATTTTCTATCTTCTCTGCGGTGGATGTTATCTTTATTCATCCCATGCCCTTTCATTCCCATTCCTGGATTATACCCAACCTGGGGCCAATAAAAGAACCAAATATCCCTCAACAAACGTGACCCAAGCTGAGGCCATTACAGTCTTTTTACACTGGAGCTGACAGGGAATACTCTCTTGCTTTGGGGGTCATGGAGAACGCTCCCCTGAAGGAAAAGGGAATGAAACTTAATGAAATCCAGCAGAAAGAAATAGCGGTGAGAGAGAAACTGACAGACAGAGACTCCGTTCTATCACACGCTCCTGATTTCTGTCATGACATCACTCATACCAGTCCATGGACATCACTGCAGCTCCATGGCCCTTCACAGCTGTGGCCTGTTTATTTTGCTTCCCTGGAACACCTTTCCACAAAGACTGTTTCCTAAAATACAAATTCCTCAACACGGCAAAGGATTCCACCATCCACTAAGATGGGGAAACCCCGTTATGGGCTCAATTGTGCCCCTCCTAAATTCATTCATTGATGTCCTAACTCCCAGTATCTCAGAGTGTGACTGTATTTGTAAATAAGGCCTTAAAGAGGTGATTAAGTTAAAAGGAGCCCTTTAGGGATCTGACTGGGAGATTCAGGAGGTGTACATGCAGAGAAAAGATCATGTGAGGACACAGCGAGAAGAGGGCCATCTGCAAGCTAAGGAGCAATTACCTTGGGAGAAACCAAACCTGCCAACACCTTGATCTCAGACTTTCAGCCTCCAGAACTGTGAGAAAATAAATTCCCATTTCTCAAGCCACTCAGTGTGTGGTACCACCTTATGCAGCTGATCTGACCAGGACACTGACCATAACGTCTCCATGAAGAGACACAGTGTGTACTAACCAGGTAAAGGCTCTGTGAAGTCCTGCAGTGAAGATCACTTCTTGCCTTCAAACTGTGTTTCCTGAAGTTCTTTATCTATTCTCTGCACAGAGCTGCCATGATCAAGAATGATGGCAGAGAGAAGGCCATCTGGATATCAGTAAAAATTATGTTCTTGCTCTTCAGAAATAAAGAGATGAAGAAATAATTGTCAAAACATTTACCAAATTATGAAAAAGGAGGGATGTTATAAAAATGTAGACAGCTTCATGGTGTAAAGATAAAAACACCAAAGTTAAAACCAAAGTTCAGATTCCATCTCTGCTATTAACTGGCTGGGTGACTTTGGTCTCTGGCCTTCTCCTCTCTGGCCTCAGTTTCCCCATTTGTAAAGTGAGTGGTCTGCCTGGTGATCTCTTTAACTAGGTTTTCCCTGAGTCAGAAATTTGTTGGAATGCCAAGATTTCTTAGAGATTCCCTAGTTAACCTACCACGGTCTCTTTCTTGTTTTCAACATTCAGGTTGAAGTTTCTTATTGTTGCTATTTTAAATTTGAAAGCATACCTCATAACTTGGTTCCCAACTCCTCTCTGATGTTTTCAGTTTTCCTGATCTTTAATTTTTTTTTCTCACTCTGTCACCCAGGCTGGAGTGCAGTGGTGCGATCACGGCTCACTACAGCCTCAACTTCCCAGGCTCAGACAATCCTCCTACCTCCGCCTCCAAGTAGCTGGGTCTACAGACATGTACCATCATGACCAGCTAATTTTTTTTATTTTTTGTAGAGATGGGGTCTCCCTGTGTTGCCCAGGCTGGTCTCAAACTCCCAGGCCCAAGTCATCCAACCGCCTCAGCCTGCCAAAGTGCTGGGATTACAGGCATGAGCAATCGGCACCCAGCTTTAATTTTTTCAATATTTAACTGTAGTCATAAAATAACATTTTGATAAATTACCAGGATTTCCCACCTCCATGCATTTCCTTTATACTTTGCTCTTCTTTATCCATGAATATGAGCATTCATTCTATAGTTACCATTTCAAGGAAGAAATCACATAGCAAAATACAGAGAGAAAAAGTGAGTCATTCTTGGCTTTTTGACTGAAAATCTTAAAATCTGAGTGGGTTTGGGGCATAGAAGAAACATGAAGAAGAGCAAAGCTGGACTAGCTGGAGATTTCCTGGAAAGACTTCTGGTTCCAAAATGGTAACATAAAACTCCTTCCACCCCCTTTCCTTCTAAAAAATTATCTCAAAATAACAAGGGGAAAAAGATACCAGAAATCCAAATTAATGAGGCTACAAAATATCCGTAAAATCAAACCATGACATATAGAAATAGAGAAGGATGGAGGAATGGAAAAGGGCATGGCAGAGAAAAGTCAAAACTGAGCATCCAGAGGAAGAGATCATCAGCGAGAAGAAAACCAGTTCACCCCTCAGACCCTCAGAGAGGCAGAAAGACTGGAGGCAACAGACAGCTTGAAAGGCGGGGCACTAAAAACAGGGGGCTTCTTGAGAGTCTCCATAAAGAAACAATAGATCCTGTGATGGCCAGTCTTTAGGATGACCCACAACAATCCCCATCTTCTGGTATTCACACATTTGCATTATTTCCTGCACATTGTACCAGGGTCAGTTTGTGTGACCACAGCAGAAACAACAGTAAGTCATTTCCAAGATTAGGTTATAAAAGACACTGCAGTTTCCACCTGGGTCTCGGTCTCTCTGTCTCTCTTTCTCTCTCTCTCTCCTCTTATGGTTACTAGTGTCATCTTGATTGGATTGAAGGATGTAAAGTATGGTTCCTGGGTGTGTCTGTGAGGGTGTTGCCAAAGGAGATTAACATTTGAGTCAGTGGACTGGGAGAGGCAGACCCACCCTCAATCTGGGTGGCCACAATCAAATCAGCTGCCAGCACTGCTAGAATAAAGCAGGCAGAAGAAGGTGGAAGGAGCAGATTTGCTGAGTCTTCATCTTTCTCTTGCGCTCATTTTTTCCTGCCCTCAAACAGCAGACTCCAAGTTCTTCATCTTTGGAGTCCTGAACTTAGACCAGTGGCTTGCCAGGGGCTATCAGGCCTTTGGCCACAGACTGAAGGCTGCACTGTCGGCTTCCCTGCTTTTGAGGTTTTGGGACTTGGACTGACCCACTACTGGCTTCCTTGCTCCTCAACTTGCAGACGGTCTATCATGGGACTTTACCTTGTGATCGTGTGAGTCAATTCTCCTTAATAAACTCCCTGTCATGTATACATTTATCCTACTAGTTCTGTCCCTCTAGAGAACCCTGACTCATACACTCCACTCCACCTTACTCCTTCTCTCTTTCTCTCTCTGCCTGTCTCTCCCTATCTCGTCACTAGCTCTATGGACTAGTACAGGACTTCTCAACTGCAACACTGAAAGCTAGAAGATAATGAAGCAACACCTTAAAATTCTGACTGAAAATTATTTTCAGCCTAAAATTCTTGCCCTCACCAAATTATCAGTCAAGTGTGATGCAAGAAAAGATACTTTCAAATGCTCATGGACTCAAAAAGAATACCTCAGTGCACCCTTGTCTCAGGAAACTGCCAGCAGCTCTGCTCCACCCACATGAAGGACTAAATCATAATAAACAGAGCTATGGGATTGAGGAAGCAGAATGTCCAACACAGGAGAGAAGTAACGGGCACCCCAGGGTGATGTGTACGCAGCAGGTTGAGGCACCCAGGACAGCCTGGGGCAGCAGGACAGAGGACTCCAAGAGAGATGACTCCAAGGTAGGGGGAATAGTTTTGACCACGTGGACATTTGTATCAAAGACTACTTCATAGAATTATTGGAAGATGGGAGGAGGCTTAGCCAGAAATGCAAAAAAAAAACAAGAAAGCAAATAAAATGTCACAATTATTAATGTTTTAAAAGAGTTGTTCAAGAAAGGACATAGGATCAAAGCCTGTTCCATAGTGAAAAACAGTAGTGTAGTTATAATAATGAAACACTTTGTATGCACAAAAACCTGCAATACAACTAGATTAGAGGGATGAGAGCATTGAAGAGGGTGAACAAAGGTAAAATATTCTCTTCTACCATAATAGGAATTAAGTAGAGAATGTCTAAAGTGGGCAAATGAAGAGAAAGCCCTATACACATATTATTTACAAAGCTGGAGAAATAGATTTTTTTTAAAATGGAAAGGGTTGCCTCTGGGGAATGAGAAGGAGTGGAAGTGGGAGATAGGCAGGTCAGGGTTTCTCGTTTTTATTAAAAGAATTTTAGCACAATTTGTCCTTCATGGACTGATGCTGGGATGAGGGGAGGACACCTTGGGAACGACAGCGGAGACACCACCAAGACCTTGGCATTATGTGAGATCCCAGAATCCATCCCCCACAGGAAATGGGAGAAGGACCCCAAAAAGACCATTCATTAAGTGTCCTTCACCCAGCCCGATAAGGGCTTGCAATAAATATTAAATTCAGTCATAGAACTTGAAGTTACAGTTCTTAACCACCAAAGTAAACGGACTGATATTCGCACCTGTTAGCAACACAGCCCGGTAGAACTTTCTGGAATGGTGGAAATGTTCTGCACTATCCAGTGTAGTAGCCACTAGACACATGTGGCTATTGAGCCCTTAAAATATGGATAGTGTGACTGAGGTCCTGAATTTTTAACTTCACTTAATTTTAGTGAATTTAAATGTCAATAACCACGTGAGGCTAGCGGCTGCCATAATGGACAGCGCAATAGAGTGTCTCCCATTACATCAGTCTGTCGTTCAACAAATGTGGGGGCCTACTGGGGTGAGGCCCTGTTCAAGGAGATTGAATAAGTCATGCCTAGTCCCTTTCCTCACAGAGTATGGGGCTAAGTGGGTGACACAGACACTCATGGTTCCCATGCATGGTACCATGAAGGACAGACAGGCTGGTAAGGGAGAGCATCACTGTGGCTCCTCATTCAGATGGAGAAGTCCTCTCAGGAAAAGGGGGCAGCAACAAAGCCAGGAAACAACGGTGGGACCCGAGGCCAGGGTATCTGCAGGCCCAGGCTTGAGGGAAGACAAGGACCAGGAGATGAGGCTGCGCAGGTGGGCAAAACCACATTGTCAGGGCCTCTTGGCCAGCCTGGGAGTTTATATTCTACTGTCAGTGGCACAAGCAGATTTCCATTTTAAAATGGGAATTAGGCTGGGTGCAGGAGCTCACACCTGTAATCCCAGCACTTTGGAAGGCCAAGGCGGGCGGATCACCTGAGGTCAGGAGTTCAAGACCAGCCTGACCAACATGGGGAAACGCCGTCTCCACTAAAAATATAAAAATTAGCCAGGCGTGGTGGCAGGCGCCTGTAATCCCAGCTACTCGGGAGGCTGAGGCAGGAGAATCGCTTGAACCCGGGAGGTGGAGGTTGTCGTAAGCCGAGATCGCAGCACTGCACTCCAGCCTGGGCGACAAGAGTGAAACTCAGTCTCAAAAAAAAAAAAAAGAAGAAGAAACGTGAATTAAACTCCAGTTGTGTGGAGAATGACGTGAAGAAGGCAGAGTGAACGGGTGAAGATTTGCAGGGGACTGCCCCAGCTCTAGGGGCGAGTGACGGTGACTCGGGCCATGCTGGAGGCGGCTGAGGCGGCATGACCAGGTCACGGTTGTTTATGGGAAGAGTCGCTGTGGTTGTGGGAGGGGACAGAAAGGGATGCGGGAGCGGGCCTAGAGGAGCCCATGTGAGGGGAAGGATGGCGGATGGATCCCGCCAGTGATCTGGGTCAGCGCTGCAGCTTCTCGGATCTGGGTCAGCGCTGCAGCTTCTCGGATCTGGGGATCTGTTCTCCACCCAATCTTGGAAGGCACGAGGGATGCAGGGGTCGTCCCTTCAGCTCCCGTTGGATGCTCCAGAGCCTGAGCCCCTGTCCAGCTTACTACGCAGCAGCAGCACTCTCTGGTGGCCCAGCCCCCTTTCCCCACCCCACATACCCATCTCACTCCAATCTGGGTTTTCACCGCAGGTCCTTACTTTCACCTGGAGTTCTTGTCACCAATGAATGTCTCTCCAGGCCCCATCTCCTCGACACCCCACCCCCCAGAAGCCTGTCCTGTGTTTTCCAGAGCAAAGACCCCCACGCTTAGGACAGGGCTGGGGGCTCAGGGTTAAGGGGCTGGGCATGGGAGTGGGCTGGATTCAGAGCGAGGGCTGCGTTTCCAGGATGAAAATGTAGCTGGAAGTCCAGGGAAGAGACAACATCCCAGAGTCCGCAACGGAGGGAGGGGAGCAAGAACAGACCCCAGGCAGGATGGAAGGCTGAGGAGGCCACGGGCAGAGAGCCCCTTCAAGAGGCTCCTCGGGAAGACTCCCCGGGCCAGTGGCACACAGGCAGGGGCCTTTTATGGCCTGTCTATGAAGGAGCTCTGGGCTGAAACAGAGCCCCTAAAACCACCTCAAGGGAAACATTTAACTCTGGTGAAATGTAAACTCTAAAAGGCTGGGCTGTTTTCCTTTACACAGAAAAGGCGCCGCACCCCAAACTCCGCAAAAGCCTCCCTACCTGGGACCACGTGGTCAGCGTCCACACTCTGAAGGAGCTGGTGCTCTGGGGCAGCATGGTCATGGCCATGTCTCTCAGATCCAGCCAGTCCATGGGCACGGCCATGACCCCTAACACTGCCCGAGGCTTCACTCGGCGCCTCCCTAGACCCGGATGAGCTTGTGTTGGTCTTTTCTCCTTCCCATAACCTGACCGTTGAACCGGTCTGAGCTCCCAGGTGTGTACCCTTTTCTCCATCTGGGGTAGGGGGTTCCCATCTGAGTGGCTCAACTAAGAGGATGCCAGTTTAGGCATATCTGGGAAATCTAAGGAATCAGTGTTCTGTGTGCAAAAAGGAAACAGGGGCCTCCTGGGATGTAGGGATGTCAACTTAAGAGAAAATGTGATATATAAACTTTTGGAAAGAGAATGTTTCTGGAAAGGTTGGTGAAGGTAGGGTGATTCTGACCACAGTCCCAGAAAGAGGAGTTGGCTGGAATAAGAGCCCCATGACAATCTCTGCAAGGTGGTGTGAGCAGAAGCCAGACCCTTGCTTTGCAGCTTATGTTCCATGCTCCAGTGTGACACACACAGCATAAATGCCACCTCCTCCAGAGGACCTCCCAGTAACCCACACTAGGTAAATTCTCCTTGCCGTATGTTCCCACAGGATCCTGTGCTTCCCTCTCAGCATTTATCAACTTTCTCTAGCACTTGCCTGTCGGCTTACCCACCTCTCTGCTGGACGGAACCATTATGAGCCCACAGGCCACATCCGTCTTGTTTGCTGTTGTATGCCCAGCACCTGCAACAGTGCCTGGCACAGGACTTGGAAAGTCATGATGCAAGTGTAGACACTTTCCCCATTTCAGTGAGGAACAAAGTTCCTTCCTAGGGAAGACACCTGCACTACCCACTGACATCCAGTGCCGAAGACCTCCTCAAGGAGCTGGCAGGAACTCAGGAGAAGTTTCAGTGACTACAGTTCTGCAGGCAGGAATAAAAGCAAAGGAAAGCTGCATGCATGTGCCTGCAACCCTGAAACTGGCCTAGTTAGGAAGCAACTACAACACACACTAGAACATCCTAAGCAAAGGATACCAAGGTCAGAGCCACATCTCTCCCATCATAGGTTAAAAATGCAGGGACTAAGTTGTTGCAGATGGATGTATAGAAAAGTAAAGCTTCTAGGCCCGGCGTGGTGCCTCATGCCTGCAATCACTTTGGGAGGCCGAGGCAAGTGGATCACCTGAGGTCAGGAGTTCGAGACCAGCCTGACCAACATGGCGAAACCCCGTCTTTACTAAAAATACAAAAATTAGCTGGGCATGGTGGTGGGCACCTGTAATCACAGCTACTAGGGAGGTTGAGGCATGAGAATTGCTTGAACCCAGGAGGTGGAGGTTGCAGTGAGCCGATATCATGCGACTGCACTCCAGCCTGGGTGACAGAGCAAGACTCCATCTCAAAAAAAAAGTAAAGTTTCTAATAGAAGCAACAACATTTCTTCAGCTTTACAGACACTGTCAGATACCACGACAATATTCATTGTCTTTTCTCCTGAGTTAAATCATTTTTCCTCAGCCACAGGACCATCAGTTTAGAATCTGATGTGCAGCTATCAGAGAGAATAACAGACACTTGCTGCTCCAAACTTGACTCCTAAAATAAGATAATAATTCCTTTGACACCTCAGAGAATATTCCATCAGTTGGTCAAAAATGGATGAAGCCATCTAAATATATTTCCAGAACTCAGCAAGGGTTGATTTAAGCACATTTGTTTTAAAGAATTGGAGAAGCAGGTAGGGAGGAGACTGCTGATTCTTAAGCCAAGAAAAGTCATGAATTTACTACTTGACCGCAGGCTAAAACCATATTAATTTTATTTCAAATGTATGTATTCAAGCTAAGAGAGGGTGTCGTGAAAGGTTTAAATCTTAAATCAAATGTTCTTTACAATAAGGTCATTAGTGACAGGCTGAAATGTTGCAAGGGATGTATTACATGATGGATGTTTGTCATTTATTCAAAGAAAAATGCTACAGTGAGCCTAAAGGGTCATTTCTCCAGCCACAAAGTATTCTCAAGGGGCAAAGCTGCCAAGCAATGAAATCCAAATTGCTCTCCTCCCCTTCTCACCATGTTAATTACTCCTGAACTTTGCAAGGACAAGCATTCTGCTCTCAATCAGCGGTCTCCCACATTGCCAAAGGAAGTTATAGCCAGTATGTTTGAACATGTGCTCTTCAGGAGATCACCAAACCCCAGAAAAGGGAGAAGGAAGAAGAACCTTACATCATCAGAAATGTCTGGAGGCTTTCCCTGAGCATGAGATTTTTGGACACTTTTACATGTTCGTATTTGGGAATAACTAAAGTAACCAAGGATATCACTGGGCCAGAGGTGGATGTGGGTTCCAATTCTACCTGTTAGTACATGACCTGTCATGGGACCATTAAGTAACAATACCACTGCTATGTCCCCCAGCACCTAAAACAGTGATAATCAGATAGTTGCAGAATCTCCCTGAAGTCCCCATGAACAATCTAGGGTTGCACAGAACAGAGTTAAAAAACAACTAGGGAATTTGAGATTGCATGGGTGTAGGCAAGGTTAAGACCTGACCCTACCACTTCCTAGCTGGGTGACCACGGATAAAATGTGTAGCTAAGTAAACAGCCTTTCCCTAGTGCCCCACAACTCCTCCCAGAATCCCCTTCTTTGTCCCAAAGCCTGCTGGTATCCCCACTGTCAAGTAACTATAATAATCAGCTAGCAACCGTGGTTGCAATAAGCAGAATACCACTCATATATATACAGTCTACAAAGCATTTTCAGCATACATTATCTCACATCTTTCTCCTGACAGTCTCTTGATGGAGGGAGCACAGGGCTACTTCCCTATGTTATAGGCCAAGAAGAGCTCAGAGAGATGAAACCCAAAACCACACAGCAAAGAGATGTGCCAGGACTAATACTGGGAGCTCCAATGTTCTCTTTCTACACTGTGCCACCTCCTCACTCAGCACCTAGCAGTGCCCACCAGTCACCTGGCATACACAGGAGTTTATAACCATGTCACAGTCTACTCCAGGAGGCCTGTAGGAAGCCTGTGGTCCCAGGGGAAATGACTGCCCTGGGCTGGGCTTTATGAAGGATGTCGTCTATAATAAAATAAAGCCAGGGCTGTCCTTGGAGCAAATAAATTGGCTCTTGCATCACACTCAAACCTTTTCTTGAATATTACAAATGAGAGTTCATGGATGTCCATAGAAATGGCCATATCATGGTGATACTGCTGCTCTGGGCTCCTCTGGTCAACTATCTTCCACAATATTGGATTTTCTGTTCTGAAACCGCATGGAAAAGTCATTATAGAAATGATAATTCTCTACGCTCATTGTAAGTTGCCAAGATGAACAAGTCACCTTTGATATCATATTCAACTGGCATTTGGTATGGAAAAAAACTTTGTAATTTACAAGTCTTGGACTGGCAACATTGAGCTACATTAGCCAAGCACAAAATCTGGAAAGTCTAATGGCAGGGCAGCCTCTTCTCTTCACATACATTGAAAAAACAGCTCTTCAGGACCACTCCCTCCCTGCTTATTTATGTCTTTCCAGACTGCTAGAGTCAGAGCCAGGCACCCTCAGTGTCTAATAGTCTTATAAGTGGTCAGCCTTGGCTAGGATTTGGGAGGCTCTTGCTCCTGTCCTGGAGGACTCCATGTACCTGATCTTTTCTGCCAGGAGGGACCTCAGGGATGGTTTTATCTTATAGCCTCGTTTTACAGATGAGAAAACTGAGGCCAAAAGAGTTGAAGGCCCTTGCCCAGAGACAATCAGCAATTTAAGATATGAGCTTAGATGTTGTTAAAGAGACACACTAAATGAACCAAAGCAGCACGTGTTTCTCCTAATTCCCCATGCAATAATATATTCAATCGCTTTTCTTTCTTTAGGGTAAGCATAACTCTTTTGTGCCACCAAGCTAAGCTCTGGGCCTGATATGATCCTTGCATCAATAGAACAAAAGACACACATGATTAGTCTCATTTTATAGATGAGGACGCTGAGATGGAGTTGTCCAAGGCCACACAACAAAGAAGCAACAGAACCGGAATCCAAATATAGTTTGGCTTAGCTCCCAAATATGTTCATTCTCCTTCCTCAACCTGTGGAGTATACAGAGACCTCAGCTGGGTTGTTCTGGAGGCGGGCACTCACCTGGAATTTGGAAGTACAGTTCCAGGTATGCTGCTGAGCACCTGGTCCTTGCTCTCCCAGAAAAGAACCCTTTCTGCTTAGCTGTCAGGGGAGCCTGCAGCAGCCAGATGCTTACAGACCACCTGAAGATGTGGAAGCCATTCTCCTGAATGCCCAGAAGGTGCCTTTTGTGAACAGAGTAGCTGGGAATCTCTACCTCTAACCTGCCACCACCATTACTTAGCCCCTTTCCTCTGGCACTGGGAAGCCAGTCAACTGCAAAGACTTCTGTCAGGAGAGTAGAAAAGCTCCTGCACCAAGAAATGGGGCGAAGGTCTAAGACGGACATGAGACTCAGACCCATGTGATTCAGACTGCCACCTGAAACCTGCCTCGCACTGGCACAAATGCCCTCCACACCAGGCAGCCCGCCTCCCCTGGGCCCTGGGCTCCATGCTTCTGGAGTCTGCTCAGTGAGAGGAATGGCAGACCGCCTCTGTATGCTGGTGCAAAAAGGAAAGCAATTGATTTTGTTTGGGAGAATTTTATGTTAGTCCTTTTTATTATCTCAAGAAGGGTCCTGGAATCTACTAAAGCAAAATCAATTACAACCATGCTGAGGGAGGCCAGAGCAGCCCTTTGGCTTTGAGCAAGAGGCAGGTCTCCAGATGAGAAACCTAGCCTTTGAGTGGCTGCTGGTCTTCTCTCTGCTGCCTTGGACTCATGTCACCCTCTGCTCTCTATAAAGCTCCTTTGTCACCTGACTGGATAGCCCTGCCCCAAGACCCACAGTTTGGGACAAGGGGGGACACTGGTCCACACTGGACCAATTGATTCCCTCTCCTAGAAATTGAGAAGTGGGATCCTGAGCCAGATAGCCTCTGAATGTGGCTGGAACAGAAGGGACATTAAAATGGTAGCTGGGGAAAGGGCATCTTCTACCATGTGTTCTAAAAAGCAAGGGAAACCTGTCTGAACAGAAAAAGAAGAAACTGATAGATAAAAAGAAACAGAAACAAAAGACAGTGCAAGACTCTGGCAAGTCTTCAGACCCTGGCCCCAGACCCCCTGACTAGGCATGGCTTCCAGAAGGAACTCTCTCAGTTAAGCCGGCCCAAGCTGGTGTGTGCTGTTTGCAACCAAATATTAGAAATATTATTTTTCTTCAGTTTGGTAAATGTAAGAATAATACCCCATAAATGCATTCAGATGTTTTCTTTTTTTTCTTTCTTTGAGATGGAGTCTCGCTCTGTTGCCCAGGCTGGAGTGCAATGACACCATCTCGGCTCACTGCAACCTCCACCTCCCAGGTTCAAGTGGTTCTCCTGCCTCAGCCTCCTGAGTAGCTGGGAATATAGATGTTTCACCACGTTAGCCAGGCTGATCTTGAACTCCTGACCTCAGGTGATCCACCCACCTCAGCTTCCCAAAGTGCTGGGATTACGGGAATGAGCCACTGTGCCCGGCCTCAGTTGTTTTCATTAAGAAACAGGGCCAGGTGCGGTGGCTCACGCCTGTAATCCCAGCACTTTGGGAGTCCTAGGTGGGCAAATCATGAGGTCAGGAGATCGAGACCATTCTGGCTAACACGGTGAAACCCCGTCTTTACTAAAAATACAAAAAATTAGCCAGGTGTGGTGGCATGCGCCTGTGGTCCCAGAGGTGACAGAATGAGACTCCGTCTCAAAAAAAAAAAAAAGAAAAACAACCAAAGAAAGGAACAATATGTTATACAAAATATCCAGAATAGGTAAGTCCACAGAGATAGAAACAGATTGTCGGTTGCCAGGGGGAAGTAGGGCGTGACTGTTTAATAGGCATGGGGTTTTCTTTCGGGGTGATGAAAATTTTTTAGAACTTGATATAACTGCTGGTTGTACAAAATTGTGAATGCACTGAACACCACTGAGTTGTATACTTTTAGATGGTTACTTTTACATTCGGTAAATTTCACCTCGATTTTCCTTAAAAAAAAAAAAAAAGCTTGTTCTACCTATGACTATCAGGAAGGCCCAATAAAGATGCACATTTTGCCAACTAACTTGCTGAAGTACCTAATTCATTTGTCCATTTATTCATTAATGAGAACATAGATACATAGTATTGGCCACTTGCCAAGCACTGTGCTGGGATTACTGTGGTGGCCAAGATAGACATGAATCCTTGCCTTGGAGAGCAAGAGTGGACAATTAGCAAGCTGTAACATTAAAGTACTTGTTTTTGTCCTCCAGCACACATTCTTCCCTTTCTTCCAGCAACAGAACTCTCCTTTTCAACAAATAATGTATTCTCTCTCTGTGATACATAAAGGAGGCTGGTTCTACCCACCCTTTCCAAGAGGTCAGTCAGCCACAATGATTGGTCCGGAAATGGACCCATCCTCCTGGCCACAATGATTGGTTTGGAAATGGACACTTGACCAAAGGTGAACCAATGAGAATATCCCTGGAACTTTTCTACCATTGGTATTCAGAAAGACTCTTCTTTCCACTGATGTTGCTAAGCATGAGATGCTGGGGCCGTCTTGCCCATCATGTGGAGACAACTGGTCCAAGAAGTAGAGAGAAAGAGAGAGGGACCCAGAGCCCTACAATTAGCTGTCCAGTGATATTTCACATTTCCAGTGATGAAGCCAAGAAATTATCTTGCTTTTGTGTTAAGCTAGTTTGAGTTGTGTTTAATCACTTGTATTTAAGATTTTTTTTCATTGCAAGGAGGACAGGGGACTTACTTGATATCGTGGAAGCTCACAACAGGCACATCTATTAGAGCACAGGTTATATGAAGTGCTTTTTCCTATAATTTACATATATATATAGGATTTCAACATTGATTGATTAGTGAACATTTATACTCAAACTGCTGTTGCTATACATCACTTCACTATGATTTCCAAAATGCTTTATGAGACCAAGCACAGTGGCTGATGCCCGTAATCCCAACACTTTAGGAGGCTAAGGCAGGGGGATCGCTTGAGGTCAGGAGTTCAAGACCAGCCTGGGCAACATAGTGAGACCCCATCTCTACAAAAAAAATTTTAAAAATTAGCCAGGCATGGTGGTGCATGCCTGTAGTCCTAACTACTCAGGAGGCTAAGGTGGGAGGATCCCTTGAGCCTAGGAGTTTGAATCTGCAGTGAGCTATGATCATGCCACTGCACTCCAGCCTGGGTGACAGAACGAGACCCTATTTCAAAAAATTAATTATTAATTAATTAAATGTTTTATGACCACTACTGCTTGGGAAACATGACACCACAACATACCATCTCTGAGCCCTTGGAGAACAGTCGGTAAGGGAGCCATTCCTGGGGCCTCTGTGTTTCCAAATCCCTGAGGAAATAGCTGGCCAAAGCCACACAATGGCAGTAGCAGTGCAGGGGTAACCCTCAGTCTCTGGAAGCTCAGAAGAGCCTGAATTGATCATGAACATTTAGCATCCTTCATTACATCCTTCATTCCAGCAGGACTGAGGCTGGTTTCCTAGCAACCCTGCTCCATTCCTGTCCACCCACCCAGAATTGCAGTCCATTCTTCTTCACTAGGTTACTAGAATTACTCCCTGATGGTCAGATTCTCAAAGTCTCCTACCTCCCTCCTCCCTTAACTGCCCCCCCAGGAAGGAAGTTCTCACTATTCATCACACATGACATTTACATACAGCTTCACCATTTATAACATGCTTCCACTCACCTTGCTTCCTCAGATACTCACCGCCACCCTACGAGGTAGGAATTACTCCCTTCAATGTACTGATGAGGAAACTGAGGCTCAATAAAGGAACCAGGATGGGACAATTAAAGAAGAAATCACCCATCTCAACAGACTGCTGTCCACATGATTACTCATAGACTGAACACTCTCCCACCCTGGTTTCTGGGCTTTGCCAGTTGATTCTGTCATCAGTCTCATTGAAACTCTGTGACTCTTGCTATCTTAACTGGCAAGGGACCTGATCCTGCTTTACCTTCCAGGATGCAGTT
Source organism: Homo sapiens (assembly GCF_000001405.40). Classification (NCBI taxonomy): domain Eukaryota; kingdom Metazoa; phylum Chordata; class Mammalia; order Primates; family Hominidae; genus Homo; species Homo sapiens. The sequence goes on along the minus strand of NC_000017.11, from coordinate 51,376,393 downwards.
TCCACATCCTGCCCACATTCCTGGGGACATCTAGTCTCTTACTAGCTGGGTGTTTTGCTTTTCACCCATCACAGACATCTCAGGAGGTCACAGGGTCACAGGCATAGGACAATGGTTGGAAAACACCAAATCCAGGAGGTCTTTTGACAACCTGAAGGTTTAGGTGCCTGTCAGTTATAGCTAATACACAGGTAAACAATAGGGATACACAAAGTAATTCAGGATATGGCTGATGTTTCCAAAACTAATTTGACATTTATGGCAAAAAGAACTTAACCCTAACAGGACTCTGCCCTGGCTCCCTGGGGTGGGCCAGCGAGCTCAGTTCACCAAGGCAGGGGGAACTTCCAGAGAAACCAGAAGCAAAGCAGTGTCTCCAGAAGAAGGTGCTGATTAAGCAGAGGAGGTTGTGCAAACTGTTCAATTCCATTTAAAATTATGAGAAAAAACTCCAGGAGACCTTGTGTCACAATGTCAGCCACAGCAGTTGTCTGTGACAAGGCTGGCCATTCAGAGCCCGGTTACCAAGCTCTGGCAGCAAGAGTTTATCTTACACGATGATATGTGTTTATGTGCATGTGTGTGTCTGTGTGTGTGTGTGTGTGTAGTTTTATGATTGTGGTATATAAAATTGCTGTTTTGCTTTGTTTCTGGTTGTTTTTTGTTTTTTTTTTTTTTTTGAGATGGAGTCTCACTCTATCGCCCAGGCTGAAGTACAGTGGCACAGTCTAGGCTCACTGCAACTTCTGTCCCCTAGGCTTCAAGTGATTCTCGTGCCTCAGCCTCCTGAGTAACTGGGATTACAGGAACTCACAACCATGCTTGGCTAATTTTTGGATTTTTAGTAGAAATGCGGTTTCGCCATGTTGGCCAGGCTGGTCTTGAACTCCTGACCTCAAGTGATCCTCCCACCTCGGCCACCCAAAGTGCTGGGATTACAGGTGTGAGCCACCATGCCTGACCTAAAATTGCTGTTTTTCTAAGACCAAAGCAGCTAGGCCTTGGAAATGTTGTTTGGTTCAAACTAATGTTTTGAAAAATGGAAAATTCCATATTCATGGATGATGTATTCACAACCCTCCTCCGAAAGTTTACTTTTCAAAACCAACAAGCAACACAAAGGACTGATTTGGCTTTCAGTTGATGAGTATGAGAAGTAAGGGCCCGAGGAAGAGTGGGCCGTGCTCTCAATCATGCCCAGTCCCCGGCAGCTCCAGCAGGAGGGATCACAGCCGCCTATCAAAGGCTTCATCTGCTGAAACAAAGCCAGACCCTGCATATTCTGCTCGGAACCCCTATGTGCCTCATTTGCTGGCAAGATGATCTTGTTCTCTGCTTCTGTTTCCCCTTCGTGGACTCTAGCACTTCCTCTGCTTCCCAGCAAGCGTGAAGTCTTCCAGGACTCCGAGCTCAGCCTGCAATTCCACTCCTGGCTTCTCCTACTGCAAGGTGTCTTTTCCTTACCGTACACCCCCTCCCAAACCCTCTTTCCCCCCTACTCCCCATTCAATGCCAGCACACCACAGGATGGCTTTCGTGAATGTTTTTAAATGTCTCAGAAATGTATTACAATGGAAATGTTTGTCATTTTTATCCAGGTCTATTCCCCTAAAAATGTGGGCTGTCTTGAGAAAACTTCAATAAGGCAGGATGCTGCTTTCAGAGAAAAGAGACTCCAGGAGAAGCTGGGAAACTTGCAACCTTATTGAGGAGGACCTGGGGAAAGAGAGGCCTAGGAGATGGCAACCCAATAAGGGGCACAATTGGCCAGAAAAAAGGAGCTGTCCAGGAAGGGATGAACCCTCAAAAGCTACCCATAGGAGTTTTCAGGGCCTGATTCACCCCAGGTGGGCTTCTCCAGGAAAAACATCCCAAAGTCACATACCCTGAGACAGGCAATGCAGCCTTCGGTTCAGATGCTGCTGCTGGCAGTCCTGTGGGAAGAAGGTAGAGACTGAGAAGAGGGAAGGGAAGTGTGCAGAGGAAGTCAAGAAGCTGACGTTACTGGGCATCGGGTACCCACCGACAAGGCTTGTGCAATTTCTCCATTGTTTACAAAGCAGGCATTTCACCAAAACAAGGCTCTTTAGTTTGGTGATGTTATACAAAGAGTGCAATATTTAGGACATATTTATACTAAAATATTGTTCATTGTTTATCTGAAATTCAAATTCAACCTTTGTCCTGTATTTTACTGGCAAACCTAGGAGGGTGGGGAGCCTTCCAGAAGGGATACAAAACCACCTACCCAAGCTGTGATGACAGCCTACCCACACCTCTCCCCCAAGGTGAAACCTACACTACCATCAGCACAGATGAAGGACAGGCTCACATTTGAAAGGGAGAGTCAAGGGGGGTCAGGATGAAGATGCGACAAAGAAGTGCTCCCAGCTCCCTGCATCCAGCCTGGGCTCTGGCCCAGTTCCCAGACCAAGGGTCTAAGCATACATGATGTAAGTAGCTCCTACACCTACCTGTCCATCACCTCCAGGAAGTATTGTATCCCTCACCCTGTGACACCTTCCCCGAAGTACATTTGTGGTCCCTACAGCAACATTTTTAAATTTTAATCTTGACTATGTAAATGATAGCTGTAAATGATTATGCAAATGGTTCACTGTAAAAGAAATGGAAAATAAAGGAAACCCTAAGTGAAAGAGAGAACAAGAGGCAATCCTATTGTGCTGAAATGCTCTCTTGCAGTCTTTTCATATGCATATATGAACTTCTATTTACATAGCTGGCATCATACCATACATTCATGGTTTTCCCTTGTTTTTACTCCAGCTGTTTTTTCATTTGACATCATCCCATTCAACTCAACTTTAGTCAATAAATATTTACCAAATGTCTGCTATAGGCGCCTCACTGTGTGCGGAGCAGTAAACAAGCCTGACACAGTCTCTGCCCTGTGATGCTGTGGTTCAAGGTGGGAGTCAGAGACTGAACCAGGGAGATAAAAAGTGAATTAAATAGTCTCCTACAAAGTCTGCAATATAATTCAATTGTACATTTTGCTTTCGAGGAAATATGTTCTTAGAAATACAGAGAGAATATTTTAAAGGGTTATATTTAAAGTAAATATTTTGTGTATGACTCTAAGTCGTAGAACATTTAAATGAAAATAGGTATTGCCTATTTGAATTTATTTGTGCCTCACGTGAACCCCGAGGCTTCCTGGGATTGCTACTTAACAAAGCACTGTGATGTCTGAAGGGCCAACATGTTCTTCTACCACATGATTTTGGGGTCTGCCTCCAACACTTCTGTGTGACACTTTTGTGTGAATAGACTATAAGTTCTTTAACACGTTATAGATAAACATTTACATTGATTCTAAACATTTACTTTTATAATAACAGAGCAATGAACATCTTTGTGCATGAATATCTGTGTGTGCAAACCTGATTATTTATTTGGGATAAACTCTATCATCCATATAAAGAATGAGTCTGGGACAGAAATTGGCTGGTTATACACAAAACCTACTTCCTCATTCTCCCGGGCACAGGCTAGACTACATTTCCCAGCCTCTTTTGTAGTTAGGGATGGCCACATGACTCATTTCTGGCCAATGGAATGAAGGCGGAAGTGATGTTTCCATCCCCACTGGGCCTGGCTGGAATGCCTCCCGTGTGTGCTCCTCCATGTTCTTTCTACTTCTTGTAAGAATCTGTAGAAGCCACGTGTTGAAAATGGAAGAGTCCCAAGTTGGAAGGAGGTTGGGTGCTTCTATCACCATTTGAGGAAGAATTACCCACTAGCTGATCAGGGATCAGCCATTTTGAACATTACACAAGCAGGAAATGAACTTCTATTGTGGTAAGCCACTGAGATTTTAAGTTTTATCTGTTATAGCCACTAGTGTTAACTAATACAGGAGTCCTGCCTTCACTTCCCCTGCCTGAGTCCAATCCAGGTATGCCCAGCTGGGCATCTCAGGTGGTAGAAATGCCATGGTCCCCACTCAAAGTTTCCTCTCCATTCGTGTATGCACCTATCCACAGGAACCAAGCCCCCAGTCTTTCTCCTGATAGTCTTCCTCCTAGGAATCATCCCAAAAGCTGAGCCTCAGTGGAAGCTGCCCTACCCAGATATCCACCTGGGAAGACCCCAGAGAAAGCCACTGGCTGCCTACCCTGGGATTTGTTTTGTAGCCTCTGCATCTAGAAGACCAGCACCAATTTCTACTCAAGGAACAAAAAGAATCTATACACATCACAGAATAAATAACCCCACAGATTACAAATAACCCATTCTCCAGGCTCACTGGCCTCATTCTATGCCCGGAAACCTCTGTGTCATTTTGTCTCTATGTCTCTTTCATCAGAAAGCAAAATGCACAATGTAGCTCTGTTCTGGGAAGAGCTATGGGTTACTGCAAATGGAAGCGTCTGACTATGACTGCCGGACTGCCTGGAGTTTGGGTCAGCAGGGGATGTCAGCTTTTCAATCCCTCTCTAAAAGCCCCTTCCCCCAACTATGCATTAGGGAGACTTCTCTGTAGCTGGAAGACAGACGCTTAGTGTTCCTTCCTGGAGGCTGCAAGCCCATCCATCCTTGTGCTGTGATTGCCATCTTGTGGCAGAGAGACAACAAGGCAATGGGGGAGGACCCAACCAATGATGAGCCTCCCAAGAGCACCACGAGATGATGGTCAAAATCAGAGTTCCTTTGTCTGCCCCCACCACCCACCACCAAAAAAAAAAAGCGTCCTGCTCTCTGTTTACCATTCCCCAAATCATATGCTTTGGGGATTCTCTGCAACTGGTTTTTTTATTTAGCTATTATAAAAATGATACATGCCCATCATTTACAAATTTAGGCCGGGTGCAGTGGCTCATGCCTGTAATCCCAGCACTTTGGGAGGCCAAGGTGGGCGGATCACAAGGTCAGGAGATCGAGACCATCCTGGCCAAAATGGTGAAACCCCGTCTCTACTAAAATACAAAAAATTAGCCAGGCGTTGTGGCGCGCACATGTAGTCCCAGCTACTCAGGAGGCTGAGGCAGGAGAATCGCTTGAACCCAGGAGGCGGAGGTTGCAGTGAGCTGAGATTGAGCCACTGCACTCCAGCCTGGGCGACAGAGCCAGACTCTGTCTCAAAAAAAAAAAAAAAAAAAATTGAAACATGACTGAAGAATTTAAAGACTAAAGTCAAAAGTCACCCCAAATGCAGCCACTCTGAACTACCAGCATTAGTATACGGGGCAAGTCCCTGCAGCCATCTCTCCATGCCACTGACAAGCAGAGAAGCAGATGGCCCAGTAGCGGTTCAGAGCTTGGGCTCTGGTGCCCGGCTGCCGGGGTTCCTGGTTGGCTTTGCCACTTCCTAATTTGTGACCTTAGGCAAATTCCTTAACCTCCATGTATCTTATGTTCTCACCTTAAAAACAGGGACAACAGTGGCATCTCTTACAGAATGGCTATAGGGACTTCCTCTGCAAACCTCAGAGCACAGTGCCTGGCACTTGGTAAACATTCACATGTCAGCCACTGTTAATGATGGATGGATGAACGGGCAGATAGCGAGATATACTTTTAGGAGAAGGATGTTTAATGTCGCATGTTACCTTCTTTTTTCAGTTTTATTTTTCCCCTTCTTTTCACAGATGGTGATGCATGTTACTTTTTACTTTAAAGAAAAAAGTATGAACTGTGAAAAGAACAGGATAGGGAATCCATAATTGGAGAGGCTAGGAACTGAGTAGCTGAATCCTCCTGGGTCCACAGGTGATTAGCCACATGTCTCCTGACTGGCTCTTCCTCCCCATCTGGTTTCCCCCTGCCACCAGCATGCCACCAGAGATGCTGCCCCTAGCTGTAGCAGTTCCCACTTGAGCTGTTCTCAATCAGGAGGAAAAAGGTGTGCTAATAACCAACCAGGGAGAAACGGAATCAGGAGAGAAAACCCATCCTGCTGCTGGCACAAATCTCTGAGAGCCAGCACCGATGCATTGCTCTGTCCAGGGGCTTCAAGGCCACTGAGGAGGATGAAAGAAATCAGTGACCATTTCTGCAGTTGTGAAAGGCAGCGGGCATACCACACCTCCTCACTGCCTTCATGTACTGCCCACTAACTGTGTATGATGCAGGCCTTCTCCCAGCCCCTAGCAGAACACGGACCTGCCCTGGCTCTGACTCCCCAGAACCCACAGTCAGGTGACTGGACCTCTTTCCACTCCAAACTGTGGGTGAGATGGCCAAGTGATGCAGAGCTGGCCATCACCAGGGCCAGCCTGCTTTCCAGCCCTCTGGCTTCCCCATCCAGGATTTGAAGAGTAAACCCAGAGTTTCCCAAAGCAGTCAAAGGAGCCCTGAGAAGAGTCACAGGGACGGAAGGAAAGTTCCTGCCACATAAGAATGGGGCATAAAAGGCTATGTCCAATTCCCCTTAGGAATCCCATACACCTGTAGGGAAAAAAAGAGGCTGGCAGGCTGGGAATGTGCTCACAGAAACAGCCAGCCTTTGGGAGAATGCCAAGTAGCAAGGGCATGGACACTCCCTCTTGCCCAGGACAGAGGCACACACCCTGGGGCTGCTATTCTCCTTTTGTCCTCCCCTCCCCTCCTGCAGTGAATGGAGGCCTGGACAGGTAAGAACGTCCCACAGAAAGGCATGTCCATGACGAGGCACTGGGAAAGAGAGAACAGCATTCCCAGAAATGTGTCCCAGGATTCTGCCAGACCACATATTTGTCACATTTGAGTAGTCCTGAGAAGGCCTCTAGATCTCTTCGTGTACTAGCTGGCTTTGTAAGTAGACATCAGATTTGGATTCTGGAAACTTGGGCTCAAGTCCCAATCCAGGCACTAGCCATGTGACCTTATGTAAGGCATTCCCCATCTCTGGGCCTCGGTTTGCTCAGTAGCATGACAGGGTAAATTAAGAGATGCCTCCTTGGCCTCCTCCAACTCTGACTCTACAGTCCTCAGTAGTGGCCGTAGCATGGAGAAAGGAGAAGAGGACTGATAGGGGAGGCTCCTGCTCAGCTTAGGTCCATCCCCAGATGCAGCAGATGAATGACTGACTGGTTATGTTTCCACTTTTCTGTCTACCCAAAACATGCCTGCCCTTGTTTAAGGAAGGCAACTCCTGATCTCCACCTTGATTTCACATCAGAAAGACATCAGAGAGACTCAGAGTGCAGCTGGGCAATCCTCACATTTTACACGCAAAGAAGATAAAGCTCCGAGAGTTAGAAGCATTGCTAGCAGTGAAACCCAGGACTCTGAGTCTACCTCTGCAGAGTGATTGCAAGCTTTCTGAAGCATGCTATCCTTCTGATTGAGACTGCCCAGAAACACAGGGGCTGAAATGACATTAGGGGCACTAGAGTGGTAAGCACAGAGTATGAACATGGAAATTATTAATTCTAGGAATCCAGCTGCATTACAGCCCAATTATTTACATAATCTCAACAATGGAAGTTTCATACATTTGGAGTTCATTAAATAATTGTTCTATCTTATAAGAAAGTTGGAATAATGCAGTGGCTTACTCTGTGGATCTAAAGAAAACAATGGACTGTGATCTTGACCCTGACTTCCCAAAAACATAAACGCCTGTTCTTGAAACAATTTCAAAGGATTCCCAAACTCAATGAAACTCACAAATAATCTACTAGGTGTTAAGGGACCCCAGATTAAGAGTCCCTGGAAAAGAAAGACCTCAGGCTTTTAAAAATTGACACATGAGATCTAATTAAACTAAAGAGCTTCTGCACAGCAAAAGAAACTATCATCAGAGTGAACAGGCAACCTGCAGAATGGGAGAAAATTTTTGCAATCTATCCATCTGACAAAGGGCTAATATCCAGAATCTACAAAGAACTTAAACAAATTTACAAGTAAAAAACAACCCCGTCGAAAAGTGGGCGAAGGATATGAACAGACACTTCTCAAAAGAAGACATTTATGCGGCCAACAAACATATGAAAAAAAGCTCATCATCACTGGTCATTAGAGAAATGCAAATCAAAACCACAACAAGATACTATCTCACGCCAGTTAGAATGGCAATCATTAAAAAGTCAGTAAAGAACAGATGCTGGAGAGGACATAGAGTAATAGGAATGCTTTTACACTGTTGGTGGGAGTGTAAATTAGTTCAACCATTGTGGAAGACAGTGTGGCAATTCCTCAAGGATCTAGAACCAGAAATACCATTTGACCCAGCAATCCCATTACTGGGTATATACCCAAAAGATCATAAATCATTCTACTTTAAAGACTCATGCACACATATGTTTATTGCAGCACTATTCACAATAGCAAAGACTTGGAACCAACCCAAATGTCCATCAATGATAGACTGGATAAAGAAAATGTGGCACATATACACCATGGAATACTATGCAGCCATAAAAAAGGATGAGTTCATTTCCTTTGCAGGGACATGGATGAAGCTGGAAACCATCATTCTGAGCAAACTAACACAAGAACAGAAAACCAAACACTGCATGTTCTCACTCATAAGTGGGAGTTGAACAATAAGAACACATGGACACAGGGAGGGGAACATCACACACTGGGGCTTGTCAGGGGGTTGGGGGCGAGGGGAGGGATAGCATTAGGAGAAATACCTAATGTAGATGACGGGTTGATGGGTGCAGCAAAACACCATGGCACATGTATACCTATGCAACAAACCTGCACATTCTGCACATGTATCCCAGAATTTAAAGTATAATTTGAAAAAAAAAAAAAAAAAAAAAGGAAAGAAAGAAAGACCTCAGGCTTCTTAGTTAAAATTCTAAGGTTCAAATCTCAGCTCCACTACTTACTAGTTATATAATCTTAACCCATTTTCCAAGCCTCTGAGCCCCCATTTCCTCAACTGTGAAGCAGAGGTGATACCTCTTCCAGTTGTGGGATTAAAGGAGATGTGAAATCCTATAATATAGGGATGCTGCCAGGCTTGCAGTCAGTAATAGGTGATAGAAACTGAGTGCTTTCTAAGCACCAGGCTCTGCCCTATGCACTGTATCTGCACTATCTCAACACCACTAGGAGACAGGTACTATTGTGATCCCTGTTTTATAGATAAGGAAGCTGAGACAGAGAGGTTAAGTATTTGCCCAAGATGGCACACCTTCTAAATGGCACAGCCAGTCAGTGGATTCCAGAGTCCATGCTTCTAACCACTACATCATATTATCTCATTAAACAATTTAATTTACTCCAGAAGTTTGGCTTTAAAAAAATTAAACTCAGAGAAGGAAGAAGAATGGAAAGAAAAAGATAGATCTTGGTGAGGAATGAGTTGACCCAAAGGCCCCTTTACCAACCTGTCTATTTTGTCCCTTTCTAGGGACAGATGTAGAAAAGCAGTGTCCTGAGTTCTGGGCAGCAGATGGCCCTGAAGCTCCATCTCACCCAGGTTGTGGCTGGCCGGTGCCTTGAAGACACATTTCACGTGCAGGCACTGCCCGAAAATGCTTTGCAAAAATCATCCCATTCAATTCATCCCACACACTCACAGTGCTATGAGACAGATGCTACCATTAGCTCCATTTTACAGGTAAGAAAACTAAAACACAGGTGTAAAATGTCCCCCACAACCACTGCTGCTCTAAACTACTACCACCACAGGGTCTCATAAACAGTTTTGGTAAAATGCTGAGAGGGGATAGTTCACTTGACCCCCTTTGCGGGCAGGAACTGGAGTGTCTCGTTTCACTCAGCCCACCACTGGCCACTCCTCGCAGGAGGGAGAGTGTGAGTGAGCGAATGCAGGAACCTGAGCGAACGAACACTGGAACTGGAACTGGCTGGTCACTCCTCTCTGGTGGGAGCAGGCTCTGTGTGGGCCCCACAGCAGCGTCCAAGCGTGTTACAACCAGCGCTCTTTCAGCTCTGCCATCAGGATCAGCCAAGTGCCAACCAGCTCAGGGGTCAGGGTGGCAGCCTCTGCCCTCTCAGCACCCAGGTTCTTGTCCAGCGTCCAAGAAGAATCAGGTCACATGGACTGTTTGAAAGGTGATGAGTGCGGAAGACTTTATTGAGTAGTGGGTGGCTCTCAGTGGAAAGGAAGGCTGGAAAGGGGATGGGAAGGTGATCTTTCCCTGAAGTTCAGCCATCTCCGGCCGGGCCCCTCTCTGAAGCCACACTGTCTGAAGTCAGCCACACCTATCCATAGTCTCTGATGCTCAGTTGCTTCTCTGCTCACTCCTCAGCCACTTGTATCCTCGATGCTCAGCCGCCTGTGTTGTTCTGCCAGCTAAAGTTTTTATGGGCACAGGATATGGGTGAGGCAGGCCAAAAAGGCAACAGTTGGACGGAAAAATGGGGTCAGCTGTTTTCACTTAAGGGGCAGTTCCAGGCTTAAGAATGGGGTTTAGCTGGGAGCCCAGCCCTCTGTATCAGTACGATGGTTAAAATCAGAAACTTTGGGGCCAAATCCAGTAAAACATGTGGGGGTGGGGAGAGGGGCTGTTGGGGAGGAGGGTTAAATAAGCACAGTCCACATACTGCACATTGGAGCTGTTTCTACCCAATGGGAACTGCATGGGTGTAAGGAACATGGCTGTGCTTTGGTCAAGGATAGGCCGAGGTAAGATGTTTACATCCCTGTGTGTCTCAGCGAGTTCAGAGCACAGGTGTAAAACTCCACTTGTTATCATAGCCATGTAGCCATCACTAGATGGGAAGGCCATCGCTTGGCTCTACACCACTATTGTCTATAAAAGGTATAATTGCCCTGTTGACACTGCACAGGTGCACTGGCACCCAGAGAAAGAGAGAAAGAGCCAAAGCTGTCCATCTGCAAGATGGACAGAGGGGAGCCGCGGCACAGCTCATGCTGGTGCCCAGAGAGAGAAAGGGTTAATTTGCTGACCCTGAAGGCAAGAGAGAGCAGGCCATGCAGCTGTGTGCGGGGGCCGCCGGACCAAGCAGCTGAGACAGGGTGGACAGTGTGAGAAAGCTGTTGGTAAGAGCTGCTGCTGAATAAAATAATTCACCTGCCTACGACCCCCCAAGTGTTCTTTCTGCTCATCCACCCGCTCCCTCTGGACCTCACCATGACCTTTGGCGTAGTCATGAACTTGACAATGGGTGCGGCAGGACTCATCAGAGAAGCCATCCCAAGGCTGGAGTAGATAAGTAGAGGAAGTGAGCTGGCAGACTTGAGTCAGGAAGTTGTTGGGCGAGGCAGGCGGCGCTTTAAAGGAGGAAATTGGAGGCCTGAACCCCAGTTAGAAAACAACAACCCACTCTGATTTTCAGAGCCCCTGGGAAAACTCAGCACTCAGGGCTCTGGCATAAACGACAGTGGGGCACAGGAACAGCCCTTGCCCCATCCCCTCCAGCCAAGTGAACCAGACCTCATTCTTTGGCTCTGAATTCAGCCTCCAGATAAGCAGCAACAAGTCAGTGGGGCAGGACGGAGACTTTCCAAAGGAAGAAGTGCAGGACTACAAAAAAGCTGACACCCTGTCTGCATATGCATCCCGACATCCCTCACCTTGCTTAAAAATAGTTGTTCCTAATCTTGGCCATACAGTGGAATTACTCGAGGAGATTTTTAAAAATACCAATCGTCTCTAGGGATGGGACTTGGAGATTCAAGTGTCAAAAAGCCACCAGGTGGTCTTCATGTGCAGGTAGAATTGAGGATCCATCCTCGATTTGTCACCCATCATGTCCTATCGAGGACACCTGCACTCTAAGTGTGGTCCACACAGCCTCCGCCTCAACATCGCCTGGGAACTTGTTAGAAATGCAGAATCACAGCTCCCTCCTCAGTCCCCTAGACTCGGAATCTGCATTTTAACAAGATCCCCAGATGATTCATGTGCACAGTAAAGTTTGAGAGATGCCAGTTTAGACTCTTACTACCCACCCACCACCACTTTCCATCTGAACAATCAGCAGCTGTTCCACTCCCCACCTCCCTTAGCCTGAGACAGGAATCAAGATGTAATGCAAGGGTTCCCAAGTTTTAGCATGCCTCAGAAGCATCTGGGCAGCTCATTTAAAATACAGATACCCAGGCTCAGGTGTGTTTAACACACACTCCCCACCCCAGGTGCTTCTGCCCCAGGTGCTCCAGAAGCTGTGAATGGAAAAGCTGTTATCGCGAAAGCACAGAGGTATTGGAATCAGGTGAATTACACCCTAAATTCTGACTCTGCCACTTGCTATCTATGTGAAATTCAGGAGTCACAAACATCTCTGAGTCTGTTTTATCACCTACAAAAATCAGGATGACGACATCTCACTTACAGTGATGTTATGGCTTGTATTGTGTCCCCCAAAAAGAAATGATAGACTCCTAAACCCCAGTACCAGAAAATGTTACCTTATTGGGAAATAAGATCATTGCAGATGTAATTAGTTAAAATAAGGTCATCCTGGAATAGGGTGGGCCCTTGATCCAAAATAACTGGTCTCATTAAAAAACACACATATACACAAGGGGAGAATGTTTTGGGACAACAGAGGCAGGGACTGAAATGCCATAGGTGCAAGCCAAGGAACACCAAGAATTGCCACCACCACCAGAAGCAAAGAAGAAGCAAGGAAGCACTCTCCCTGCTCCAGGTTTCAGAGGGAGTGTGACCCTGCCGACACCTTGATTTCAGACATCTAACCTCCAGAACTGACAGTCAGTTTCTGTTGTTTGAAGCCACCCAGTTTGTGGTGCTTTGCTATGGCAATGCTGGGAAGCAAATACCAGTGAGGGTCATGGATTAGGGAGTTAATATTTGGGAGATCCTACAAATACAAGGTATCAACAAAGATGGTTCCCATCTCCTGTACCCCATTTTCTGATTTTCCAGTCCTTTGTCGGCATTCAACATGACAGCACTACAGCTGACCACTCCTTCAAGGAGCTTTGGGTCCAGAGTAAAGCGGCAGGGAAAATTCTTTGCAGGGTGACACACGAAGATACTCAGTCCTTGCACCATAAGCAGCCAGACAGCAGCTCTCAGAGCAGAGCAGTGGGATCAAAACCTAACTCTGCCTGTGCCAAGTCCACAGAAGCAGTGACCCCCCCGCGTGGCCCCAGCAGCTGTCAGCAGCCCAGAAGGAAGGCTTCTCCCTAAGTGACCCACTGCTTCCTCTACCCACACCCCAAAGAAAAAATTCAAAGGATGGATCAAATAACTACTCAGACTTGGAAAATTATTTCAGAAAAGTCATAAAATCTTAAAAGGAACTTTGAGTGATGCCAACTGGATGGGGTAAAAGAGAAAAGAGATGCAAGGACAAGCCTATTTGAATATGAAAAGCAAAGAATGGCTCTTAGAATGAATGAAGAATTATAAGACATTCCTGCAAAAGGGGCCTTAGAAAGCATCTCCCATCCCCCCTGCTGAGAGGGCGATGAGCTCACCCTGAATCATTTTACAGATAGGGAACTGAGGCCCAAAGACAGGAAGGGTTGTCCAAGGTTACACAGGTAAAACAGAGCTAGGACCTGAGACTTCTGACTCCCAGCCTGGTGCTCTTTCCAACTCTAGAATTCCTGGGAGGATGCCTCATTCGTTTGTCTGTACAGGGTTATTGAGTCCAAGCTGGTTGATTGTGAGAGGTTCTCTCAAGCCATAGAGCTATGAGCATGTGAAAGAAACCCGAGAGTGTGGCAGCAGGGATCCTTCCATTGAAGTCAATACAAAGAGAAAAGTTTCGTTTTGTCATAAAAAATCAGACCCAGAAACCCTGCCAGGCAGCCACTCTGGACAGTGCTCCCCTAAACACACTTGTAGACTTTGCCCTGGTGTCTTTGCTGCACAGACAGAGAACCTGCTGGGCTCCCCTCACCTTACATTGTATCCTGACCCTTTGTCATGGACCGAATGTTGGTGTCCCCACCAAAATTCATACGTTAAATCCCTAACACCTAATGTGATGGTATTAGGAGGTGGGGCCTTTGGGAGGTAATTAGGTTTAGATAAGGTCATGCGGGTGGAGCCCCTACGATGGGATTCATGTCCTAACAAGAGGAGACCAGAGCCCTCTCTCTGCCACGTGAGGATACAGTGAGAAGGAGGCTACTGTGAGATGGAGGCCATCCAAAAGCCAGGAGGAGGGTCCTCACCAGAACTCAACCATGTTGGCACCTTGATCTTGGAATTCCAGCCTCCAGAGCGGTGAGAAATAAATGTCTGCTGTTTAAGCCACCCGTCTATGGTAATGTTACAGGGAGCTGGACAGGCATGAGCGGTACTTAGACACCCACTAAGAATGCTGGGTGATGGTTCGGCAGTTATGACATTGCCTCTCTAAAAGTGATAAATTAAGGCTGGGCACCGTGGCTCACGTCTATAATCCCAGCACTTTGGGAGGCCAAGGTAGGTGGTTCACCTGAGGTAGGGAGTTTGAGACCATCCTGACCAAAATGGTAAAACTCCATCTCTACTAAAAATACAAAATTTAGCTGGGGCTATGGTAGCGCATGCCTGTAATCATGGCTACTCAGGAGGCTAAGGCAGGAGAATCCCTTGAACCTGGGAAGCTGAGGTTGCGGTGAGCCGAGATCGCACCACTGCACTCCAGCCTGGGTGACAAAGGGAGACCCTGTCTCAAAAAAATATAAAATAAAATAAAAGTGATAAATTGGCAGCTGGCGCCAGGGAGAGGCCATTTCCTCAAGGGCCACACCTGTTGCACTAAAGTGTTAATTGCAGCAGGGCAGGTGGCTCACGCCTGTAATCCCAGTACTTTAGGAGGCCGAAGTGGGTGGATCACCTGAGGTCGGGAGTTTGAGACCAGCCTGACTGACATGGAGAAACCCTGTCTCTACTAAAAATACAAAATTAGCTGGGCATGGTGGTGCATGCCTGTAATCTCAGCTACTCGGGAGGCTGAGGCAGGAGAATGATTTGAACCCGGGAGGCGGAGGTTGCTGTGAGCCAAGATCATGTCATTGCACTCCAGCCTGGGCAAAAAGAGCAAAACTCCGTCTCAAAAAATAAAAAATAAAGTGTTAATTGAATGCAGATGCCTGGGAAGAAGCCACTTCCTAGGCATCTGCATTAAGAGACAAAATGGTGGAGTATGACTTTCCGGGGGCACTCCACTGGAAAAGGGAAGAAGAGCCTCAGATGGGCATGCATACAGCTTCCTAAGCACACTGCATGTTCTCACTTCCCAGGCATAAGAAGGGCACTGCACACATGGGCAGCCCATCCTAAGGGAAGAATCATGGGAAAGGGTCAGCCTATAAAGCCCTAGGATCACAGTTAAACTCCGCACTTGACCTTCAGGTGCCCACTTGGGTTTCTTCCAAGCATACTTTTCTTTCTTTCTTGTTCTAAAGCCAATTTAAATAAACTTCCACTCCTGCTCTGAAACTCACCTCCATCTCTTTTTCTGCCTTATGCCCCTCAGTCAAATTCTTTCTTCTGAGGAGGCAAGAATTGAGGTTGCTCTAGACCCGTATGGATTCACTGCCGGTAACTGGGATAGCTTCCACTGGTAACAGTATTTTGTTATAGCAGCTTGAACAGAATAAGACATCCTTAAAATCCTAGAATCACTCAGCCAGAGGGGGCCTTAGGAGCATTCTGGTCAAACCACCTCATTTCACACCAAAAGCCAGGCCCAGAAAGGAAGGACACATTTGGAATGGAATAATGAGAATAGCAATGGATGGTGACAAAAACAGATGCTTGTTAAACAGTGATCGTGCTAGCCATGTGTCAGGTACTGCTGCATAGTACTTTCATGACCTCCTTGAATACTCATGACAACCTTGGGAGGTACTTGTATCAATTGGGGTTTAGTACAAGAAACAAGGGGCGGTGGCTCATGCCTGTAATCTCAGCACTTTGGGAGGTCAAGGTGGGGGGATCACAAGGTCAGGAGTTAGAGACCAGCCTGGCCAACATAGTGAAACCCCATCACTACTAAAACTACAAAAATTAGTCAGGCATGGTGGCATGCACCTGTAATCCCAGCTACTGAGGAGGCTGAAGCGGGAGAATCACTTGAACCTGGGAGGTGGAGGTTGCAGTGAGTTGAGATTGCATTATTTCACTCCAGCCTGGGTGACAGAGCAAGACTCCACCTAAAAAAAAAAGAGAGAGAGAGAGAAAGAAAGAAACTGGGACAACTCTGGGTATTTTAAGCCGAAAGAGATTTAATAAAAGAAATTAGGCACTACAAAATCACTGGAAGAGCTGGAGGAGTAGGCTCTGGCCTAGGTGCCAGGACTGATTTCCAGAACAATAAGCACTGGTCAATTTGGGGAGATGCTATCTCTAAGGCTGACACTAGACTACTATGTCCATGACATGGCCCCAGTGCTATGAGCCAGAGGTCAGAAACCAGAATGAGGAATTCTCTGCCCCCAAATACTGTCTCTGTAACCACTACTAGAACACTGCAATAAAACCTTTTACTCTCACTCCCTTGCTTGCCAGCAGAAGGGTTAGGAAGAAGGCCTGTGCGTGGCCTCACTTGGCCTTCCAAATACGGGGCAAGTGTTCTAATTACAATTAGACCCTACATTCTATTCTAAGCCCTAGCTGCAAAGCATCTGGAAAATGGAGATTGTTGCTTTCCAGGCTCCATAGTACAGGAAGGCAGCCTAAAAGGAGAGTGGAATGGAGATTGAGCAAGCCAATCCACAGCATTGCTAGCCAATCTGTAGTAATTACTAGTGTCATTTCTATGTCTTACCGATAAGGAAAATGAGGCATGGAAAGGTTCAGTAATTTGCCTAAGGTAACACAGAAAATCAGTGGTGGAGCCAGGATTTGAACCCAAGGGATCTGACGTCAGGATCCTCACTCTTAAAATGATCCCTTTCAAGAAAGGACAGTTTACAACTTTAGACAGTATATTTACAAAAGATATATACTTTTTCTTTTTGCTGCAGAAAATGGCAAGATAAAGCTTCATTTTTTGATATTATACTATCAAAAAATTGTCAATATGGGACTCTAAATTCAGCAGAACTGCTTGAAATAGAGTTCAAATATCTAAGAAGTTTTTAAAATAGCCATTGTATAAAAGCTAGTCTCACATGTTGATGGAAATAGAAGGATGAAGTAACACTATGTTATTCAACTCAGAATATCCTAGGAGAACAAAGAGAAGCAGAGAAACTATAGCCTTGGAGCACCAGCAGCTTGTCCTGGCTTTTTTGTGAATGGCCGTGAAGAAAGGTGAATAAGGAACTGTAAAACTACTAGAAGAAAACAGGAAAAGCTCTACCCCATTGGTCTGGGAAAGTATTCCGTGGATATCATTCACCTCACAAACACTGGCAACAAAAGCAAAAATAGACTAACGGGATTGCATCAAACTAAAACGCTTCTGCACAGCAAAGGAAACAACAGGTGAAGAGACAACCTACAGATTGGGAGAAAATATTTGCAAATCATGCATCAGATAAGGCGCTAATACCCAAAATACATAAGAAACTCAAACTACTCAGTAACAGGAAAACGAATAATTCTTTTTTTGTTTGTTTCATTTTTGAGACAAGCTCTCACTCTGTTGCCCAGGATGGAGTGCAGTGGCATGATCTTGGCTCACTGCAACATCCACCTCCCGGGCTCAAGCGATCCTCCCACCTCAGCCTCCTGAGTAGCTGGGACTACTTAATCTTAAGCAGGGACAGGTGCATGCCACCATACTCAGCTAATTTTTTGTTTTTGTTTTTGATAAAGATAGGACTTCATCAGTTTGCCCAGGCTGGTCTCAAACTCCTGGGCTCAAGCAATCCAGCCACCTCGGCCTCCCAAAGTGCAGGGATAACAGGCATGAGCCACCACACCTGGCCCACTCTATTTTAAAATTGGCAAAAGACCTGAATAGCCATTTCTTGAGAGGCTGTATAAATGGCCAACAGATAGATGAAAAAATGCCCAACATCGCCAGTCATTAGGGACATGCAAATCAAGGCCACAATAAGATATCACTTCACCCCAGTTAGAATGGCTATTATCAAAAGATAACAAATGCTGCCAAAGATTTGAAGAGAGGGGAATTCCTATACATCATTGGTGGGAATGGAAATGAGCACAGCCATTGTGGAAAACAATATGGCAGTTCCTCACAAAATTGAAAACAGAACTACCATATGATCCACCAATCCCACTTCCGGGTTTCTATTCAAAGGAATTGAGATCAGTATGTCAAGGAGATGTCTGCATCCCATGTTCATTGCCACATCATTCACAATAGCCAAGATCTGGAAACAACCTAAGTGCCTGTCAATGAATAAATTGATTTTTTAAATGTGGTGTCTATATATACAACAGAATATATTCAGCCTTGAAAAAGAAGAAAATTCTGTCACTTGCAACAACATGGATGAATCTAGAGGACACTATGCTCAGTGATATAAGCCAGGCTCAGAAAGACAAATACTACACATGATCTCACATATATATGGAATCTTTTTTTTTTTTCTTTGAGATGGAGTCTCACTCTGTCACCCAGGCTGGAGTGCAGTGGCGTGATCTCGGCTCATTGCAACCTCCAACTCCCGGGTTCAAGCAGTTCTTCTGTCTCAGCCTCCCAGGTAGCTGAGACTACAGGCACCTGCCACCACACCCAGCTAATTTTTGTATTTTTAGTAGAGATGGGGTTTCACCATATTGGTCAGGCTGGTCTCGAACTCCTGACCTCAAGTGATCCACCCGCCTCGGCCTCCCAAAGTGCTGGGATTACAGGCATGACCCACCACGCCCAGTCATGTATGGAATCTTCAAAAGCTGAACTCATAGAGTAGATTTTAGAAGTCCTCATCACAAAAAAAAAGATAAGTATTGAGGTGATGGATATGTTCATTAGCCTGATTTGATCAATTCTACAATGCCTACATGTATGGAAACATCACATTGTACCCCATAAATATATATGATTATTATTCATCAATTAAAAGTTTACAAATTAGCCAGGCATGGTGGCTCACGCCTGTAATCCCAGCTCTTTGGGAGGCTAAGGTGGGAGGATCACTGAAGGTCAGGAGTTCAAGACCAGCCTGGCCAACATAGTGAAACCCTGTCTCTACTAAAAATACAAAAATTAGCTGGGCACGGTGGTGCGCACCTGTAGTCTAAGCTACTCGGGAGGCTGAGGCAGGAGAATGGCTTGAACCTGGGAGGCAGAGGTTGCAGTGAGCCGAGATCACGCCACTGCACTCCAACCTGGGAGACAGAGTGAGACTCTACCTAAAAAAAAAAAAAAAAAAAAGTTTAAAAATTAAAGTGGATTAATTCTGAAAAAATAAAAGGAAAGCAGATAGGCATCTGGAAGAGGTACCAGAACTTCCCCATTCCAAGGTTACTTATCTCAGAGTTGTGAATGGATGTCTCGGGGTGATGCTGTAGAACAAAGTGATCAAGGACAAGCAATGATTCCCAAACCCTCACCTGGGATCTAGAGTGCAAGACCTACCCTGTGGGCAATCAGGAGAGATCAGTGAGCAGCTGTCCTCACCCTTGGGTGCCCACCTCCTTTCTTCAACCTTACAAATCTGACCTGTGGATATAAGGTCTAAAACCCCCATCGACATAAGTCTGATTTTCTTTCTGTTCTGTCTGCAACACAGAAAAGAAGAGAACCTTTTAGGGCATTTAGAAAAATGATAAATTCCAACAAGGTTTGAGATTAATTGCATTTTTCATTTTTTATTTAACTCTCTTTGCTTTCTATGGCTATAGGAAAGTGTGAGTAGTCTATAAGGGCTGTCCCTTAGCCGAGCATCATAATCTTTGCTAATTCAGGACCATGACATGCATGGAGGAACAAATGGATAGTTACATAGATAAATTGACTATTGGTGGGTAGATGAACTGGTAGATAAATAATGCTGTAAAGAGAGAGGAACAGAGACAGGGAGAGTAAATTTTAAACAGTCAATCAGCAAGGCCAGGGCTGGAACAAACACCATCTCCCTAGAATTGCCCAGAAGAAGAACGTGGCTTCTGGAAGGCTTCTAGGAATGTACATTGAAGAATATTCAAACTGCCCAAAGAAATAGCAACAACAACAACAGCAACAACAAAAATCAGTTATCCAACTACAAAAGGGTGAACAGAATAATTATGAACCTCAGGAATTAGAAGAGGAAAGAAAATGGAAAGACAGACTTATGAAAAATCTTAACACTTCTATCTACTGCCACGTTCAAAGTAAAGTCCAAACCAATCAGCAAAACTCCTAAGAGGAGCCTGCGGCTGCGAGAAATCTTTCTGAGGTCACTGAGTCCCTACCCTGCCTGAGGGAGGCAGAGCTGTTCCTAAGTCGCCCTCCCCTGGAACAGAAGCTCGGATCCCAAGGGCTGATTGATTCCTGCGCCTTGGAGAAATACTCTTTAAAATTAAAGAATTACTCGGCAGGTTTTTTCCTCTCTTGCCTAGTCGTGCATTATTACCAAAAGGGAGAATAAGCTGCAACTGTCAGGTCCAGCGGCTCCACCCTCAGTCTAGGAAGGAGCTCACGTGTGCACTGTCATCAGACAGATTTGTCCCTAGAGCCGAGATGTTCTCCGCAGTGTCGGTTATAATGCCCAGAAAATTAAATCCAAGGCTGCTGCTGTTTCTGCAGACTGGCGCTGGTCAGTTACAGGCAGGGCAGGGAAGAAGCAGTGGATGGAGAAAGTAATCATCTGTTTTGAATTAGGGATGGCAGGGAGGCAGTATGGGAGCGGGAGGAACATGCACAGATCTTTGGGTTTTCATTTCTGCTTTGCCAGATGGCCACTGTGTGCCTGTAAGCAAAGGACCTCACCCCTCTGTCTCTCTGAACTTCCACTTCCCCATATACAAAAAGAGATAGTAGTGCCTATCCCCTGAAGTTATTTCAGGATTAAAGATTATGCATAAAAGGGCCCATCCCACAATCCGTGAAAGCTGTCATCACGGTCATCAGCCCCTGCCTGGCTCTCAGGCCTGCTCCGCTGCTCCAGCCCTGCCCACAGCTGAGGCTTCTGACTCCACATGCAGTTTCTTCCCCTCACTTCCCTCCAAAAGGCAGCTCCAGACAGAATGTGTCAGCTCTGCCTCAGTCTTCCTTGCTACTGTGCCAACTCTAATGAGGTGGCTCCAGCATTACAGGTGGCCTTTGACGTGGTGTCTGCCTCTAGTTTCTTGGCCTCATCAACTATGCAGTGGTCTTACTGAGCAACTGCTAACTCGGGTCCCTTCTGAAACAGACATCCTGCCTGGCTCCTGCCTTACTCTCAGTCTCCCTCCCAGAGACTGGACTTCTACTCTGAGCCCTAGTCTGATGACAAATGCTTTGCTATTCAAAGAGAGACCTCTGCGCTGACAGAACCCTAAGCATCTCCCACACCAGGATCCCTGTTGCTGGACTCTGCCCATGTCAACCCCCACCACTTGGTTCAGTCCCACCCTTGTTGCAGGCTGCCTGCCAGAGATCAGCAGGCACCTCCCTCCTTCCTGCCAAATCTTTCTCCCTCTGCAGAATGTGATTTGGTGGAATAGACACAAATTATAGAATCAGACTGCCCTGAACATCTATGTGTGACCTTGGGCAATTTCTTCACCTCTCAGAACCACATGTATAAAATGAGGATAACAACAGCCTCATTGGGCCATGGAGGAAATTCAGGGAAGGACGTGCATTGCAAGCCTGGCACTGTGCCTGGCATGGGGGCAGTGCTCCCTAAAGGCCCACTCCCCTTTGCCTCCTCCCATCGCCAATGGCCTGTAACTGGTCATGTCCACCTGAATCCAGAGGTAGAAAATGGTCATTAAAACAAATTGTCACTTGATTCTATAAGCCAGGTGGCACATGACAGCCATTAATTTTTCACATGAAAAATGGCTCTGCTAATTGAAAAACATCAAAAAGATTGAGGTTTACACAAATGTTCAGCTCTGTTTATTTTTTCTAATTTACTTTTCAGCAGTCAGTAAGAACTTAATGAGCTCTCATTTATGGCTTCCTCCCTATTTATAGATATTGGCGCCTGTGGTGTTCTAGATGTATATACTGAGAGCATTCAGCCTGGGCTACATGGCCAGTAGGGAAGAGTTACAATACCCAGGTAAATTCCAGACAGGAATTACTGCTCCTCAAAAACTTAGCTGATACACTGTTCATTAAGAAAACGCCCTGCTACTTTACATTGGCTGGATACTGTTTTCCTCTTCTTGGGAAAAATTTTTCTAGCTGGAAGTTTCATTTGATATGACATGAAAATAGTTAACATTTATGGAGCAATTGCTCGGTTTCAGACACCGTGTTGTGCATGGTATGTGGATTCTTTCATGCTTGTCATAACACTGAGGAAAATACCCTTATTAACCCTGTTTCCAGATGAGGGAATTAAGATGTAGGGGAAAATGTAAAATGTTGAAACCCAATTTTCTCTGGGTCCAGATTCCATATTTTTATCATGGCATCTACACAGCCATACCCTCTTTTCAACAAGCAGAGAGCCAACTGGTGAGTTCTGTCCATTTGAGGAGAGACAGATACGGGAGAAGAGCACTGCGCCAAGAGTCAGGAGACATGAATTCAAGTCCCACATCTTCCAAGAGTCCTCAGGACCTTGAGCATGTCCCTCACCATCTCTGCTTTGAAGTTTAGAGGTCTGGGATAGGGCTGGAGCCAGAACGCGGGCACCAACCCTTCTTCCCCTCTCGCTGACCAGCTAACAAAGACAACAAGGGGAATTAGAGTTTCAGATTTATTAATGGCCAGTTTTATACCCCCAAACCACCCAAAGTAGAGCCCTCTGACAAAGCTGGAATGGCAAACACAGATTAGACTCAGGCCAAAGTGGACGCCTCTGACTCCTGCCCCAGGTCTAGACCTTGGAACCCACCAGACCATGAGGATGCCCCACCTGGCCAGGCTTGGAGTGAGAACAAAGGTCTTTGAGTCCTGGGGCAAACAGCTCAGAAAGATAAAGTGGAGCCTCTTTCCCACTGCTGAGGCACCAGAAACCCTGCCCAGCAGCAAAACATGACTCAACCAGTCCTCTAATGAAGAGAAACAGGAGGGCAGAGAGAGGAACAGAGCTTACACGGCAGTCCTTCCCTGAGCGGGGAGATGTAAAAGCAGAAGTTCTCACCCCCATGGGCCAAGGTGGGGGTCGGCAGAGAGGAGGAGAAAGATCCCCCTAAAATTCTTGACCTGTAAACTAAAAGGCTGGACCCCTGAAGCAAGAGGCAACACTGATGAATGAGAGGAATGGCTGCCACTATGCAAAGTGAATGGATTCAAGAAGTTGGATTGTACCTGACTGCAGACTAGAGACACAGCAGTGGGAAGGTTGGCACCTCTGGTTTGGAGAAACTGAGGATGATCCCTTTGAGTTAAGGACACTGTCTTATTCATTCTATATCCCCCACACCCTGCACTGATGGAGGCTGGCTCAGGGTCAGGCTCAATCAGTGTCTGTTGAACTAATGAGAGAATGAATAGAAGGGCTGTGGTTTGGCATCTCCTGAGACAACGAGCCCACAGAGCTGCTCTGAGACATGATTCATAAGCCTTCTGGTGCTGCAGGGATGGTCACTGGTGTTGTACCTGTTCATTTTGACTCCCAGTCACATATTAACAACCAAGATGGCAGCAGTTCTCACAATAGCATTTGTGGGGAGATGACACAAATAGAAATAAATTACTTCTAGAGATCAGCATGTTACAGCACAATCACTTGTATAACTGCATACCTCAGGCCTTGGGAGTAGAATCGAAATTTAGCCTGGAACCCTGGGCTCCCAACTCGCATTTTGGTGCTCCTTTCCTCCACCACAGAGCGCAGCAGAGGCTGCCGTACAGGCAGAGCTACATACAGCACCGGACTCAGTGAAGACCCCATCTACACTCAGGCCAAGAACTCTTTTTTTTTTTTTTTTTTTTTTTTTTTGAGGCAGCATCTCACTCTATCACCCAGGCTGGAGTGCAGTGGTGCAATCTTGGCTCACCGTAGCCTCAAATCCCTGGGCTCAAGCAATCCTCCCACCTCAGCCTCCCAAGTAGCTGGGACTACAGGTGTGCACCAATATGCCTGGCTAATTTTTTTATTTTTAGTAGAGATGAGGTCTAGCTATGTTGCCCAGGCTGGTCTCAAACTCCTGGGCTCAAGCAATACTCCCACCTTGGCCTCCCAAAGTGCTGGGATTACAGGCTTGAGCCACCACACCCAGGCAAGAGCTCTTCTTACAAACTGGTTTTTTCAACACTCCTAACCTTGCCATCATCCCACAAGTAACAAATAATCAAAATCCTCTTCTTGGACTTCAAATACAAGCACCAGGAATACACAAAAATATATGCATGAGTTCTCTTGCAATCTTATGTTGACAACTGAACCAGTGAGTTCAGGCAGCTAGTAAGCAGCTGAACTGGGCTGCGGTCCCAGATATTCCCTGAGCCAAGGCCAAGGAAAAGCTTTTTCAAGAATGTGATGTTTAAGCTGAGCCCAGGAAAATGAATAAGCAGGAGTTAGCTTGGGGAAGGGGATGAGATGGAAGCTCCTACAGGGAGAGGGAGGAGCACTTTCAACATCCTTGAGGTGGGAGCGCTTATGATTTTTCCATCAGACCACGCTGCCTCACAAAACCTCATTTTATGAATGAAAAGAGGACATCCCCCAGAACAAAAATCTTGTATCATATCACGGGAAAGGAAGGAAGGGGCAGGGAAGGGGAGGAGGGGAGAGTGGAGGAGATCGAATTCTTCCCCTTTCCAATATGATAACATCCTTTTCAGCAGATCACTCACCTTGGGAGATGCTCCATTAAAAACAGAGTTCTAAGACCAAATAAATTTGGGAAATAACCACATAGCTATATCCTCCTCTTGACAAGTCATACAGCTCATTAACCATTTAAAGACCTTGAGAAGTCCTGCAGCAAAGAACATGAGTTTCTCCAACCCATTTGACTACTTCTTCAATCAATACCTATTTAACATTCCATAGGATATACGTCAAGGAAAGCCTTCCATAAATTAACTTCAACAGCCACGTGGAAAGTGCTAACTCCGACCTCAGCCCCAAGGACCAAAAGCTCTTTAATACCACAGTCTATTGCACCAAGTTTCCTATGCAGTCCCGTGAGCATCGCAAGTGCCCTGGTCAAGCCCCAGGCTTAAAGCACCCATCCCCAAGACAAGGGGCATGTGGAATGAAGCACACGCTCACTATTTGATCTCTGGGAAAAGGGAGGAGGAGGCATGGCTTGAGCTGGCTTAACAGAGATTTACTTCACCGGCATCCTTTGGAATGGATATCCTGCATGATTGAGCCGGGCTTTGTTCAATTCTCAAAGCAATTTGCCAGGAGTGAGAAAGGAGCACTTAGAAAAGCAAGTTGGTCAGTCCTGGATGATTACTTCTTATTCCAAAACAATTACCATAAAGGTAAAATGGGTTATGTTGCTGTAAAAAATATGACTCTCTCCAAACAGTAACACATGGATTCCCAACCGGAGCCATCAAGGCCACGGCCAAAAGCAGGCCGGGCATAGGAACTCGGGGGAAGATGCTTCTGCCTGTCAAACAGTACTGGTTTAAAACAGAATTAACACAGATAAAGGAGGGCTAGATAAGTAGGGGTTGTGGGGGGCAGTGATGGGGTGCCCTGAAGACAAGTACCTCCTTAGCAGCCTGAGCCCATCCCTACAGAGTACTCTGAGATGTAAAAAGACAAACACCCAGTTTCCTTCTTCTTCTGCCTCAACCTCCAGACCTACTGGACCTCCTAAAAGAATAGGGCTAAGTAGGATTTCTCAACCTCAGCACTGCTGACATTTTGCTTGGGTAATTCTTTGTTGTGGGGGGCAGTCCTGTGCATTTTGGGAAGTTTAGCTGCAGCCCTGGCCTCCACCCCAAATACCAATAACTCCCTCCTCCCCACCCAGTTGTGACCATCCAAACTGTCTCCAGACATTGCCAAATGTCCCCAGGAGGTAGGAAGTACGAGCAAAATCATGCCTAATTGGGAACCACAGGACAAAAGCAATATGGACATGGGAGAAGGAGCCAACCAAGTCTTTGGATCCAGCCCATCGCCAAGAGAAAACTGTGCTCAAGACTGGCCTCTCCAAGAGAGCAAAGAAGAATGCATCCAGAAGTTGTTGCTGTTGGCCCCTTTCTGGGCACTGATGGAACAAGAGGGGTCTGAGTGCCCAGTCACTGGCATCACAGCCAAGTGCCCAGCCTGCTCCATAGAGGACAGCCAGCATAAGGGATAGAGCCAAAAGACACCAAAGAGCCTTCCTGATAAGCCAAGTCATTCTAGGCAGCCACTCCCCTTACCTAGCCTTGCTTCCAATCATTCCTTTGCTGGTTGAAAGAAGACAAGTTAAAATATGAGAGTGTCTTGTAAGACTCAGGGAGGCTAAGTAGGAAGAGTTTGATAACTGTTTCTCAAAACTAAAGATGTTCATTGTTCCCCAACTGACAGCCAACAAATAATGTTGCTATATAATGGCCTGGGTTTGTTTCTCACAATTTATTAATAAGCTGCCATTAATATGAACTGCCTATGAATGATAGAGTGGGAAGAATGCCTTGGCTTGGTGTTAGATGCTGAGGTACAGGTCCTGATGCTGACATCTGTTCAAGATCACTTCACTTCAGCATCCCCAAGCTTTCTGTCCACCATAAAATGAAGAAAACAGCAATATTCCAATACCCACCTCCCTGGGTTGTTGCAAGTTTCAAATGCAATGTATGTGAAAGCGAGTTGCAAATGCAGAGCACCAGGCTGATGTCAGTTGTTTTTATTAACTCATCGGGTCAGTTTTGATTCACTTAAAAGTAGACATGAGGCAACAATTTGCAGAGGAGAACACTGGGAAGAAATATCTGCTTTGAATATAGTGATTAAGGGAAGCTAAGAAGGAAGAAAAACGTGGAAAAGTGTTTTTAAGATTCTAACAGTGATTATTAAAGCATCTCAGAACTCTTAGGTACATAGAGAAAAAATAACATTGCTCTTCAAAGTGGTCCTTTCTGTGTCTTTTTTTCCACTTTCTTAGCCGTTTATTCTCTTTTCCCCCATTCACCTCATTTCCATCTCCACCCAGGCCCCTGAAGTACACTTAATTGTCATTGCCAGCCTCATCCAGAGCCACTATGAAGCATTTAACTGCTGATGGCACCAACCAGGCACTGTACCGAGAAAATTACTATTGGTGTAGGAGGGAAGGAGGAAGAGAAGGAAAGAGAGAAGGAGGGAAAGAAGGAGGAGGTGAACAGAAGGAGAAGCTGGAACCTGACCTCTCTTAAGCTTTGAATCTCAGCTCTACATCCAAACCTGGAAGTAGGAGGGGAAACTAACATTGACTGGGGACCTAGCATGTGCCTGGGACTGTGCTAGATGCTTCACATAGCTGATCACATCTAATCCTTGCAGCATTCTTAAGTAGGGCAGCCTTCCCAAAGCATGTTCCATGTAACTGCAATGGAACTACAATTGCATTGATTCAACCAATGTTTACTGTGCTTTCTCTATGTGCCAGACACCGGTCTAGGTAACTATAAAAGCAAATATTTATATAGGGCCTATTATTTGCCAAACACTGTTTTATATATGCTCATTTAATCACAACAACTTTATAAAGATATTATTATCATACCAATGTTACAAATGAGAAGAATTCAGTAATTGCCCAAAGTCACACAACTAGTGGGACAGGCAGGCTCTCAGATGGTCTCTGAAGACCCCACCTTCGGGTATCCACACCACCACATAGTCTCTCTCCTTGAGTGTAGGCTGGCCTAGTGACTGCTTCTAACCAACAGAATATAGCAAAGGAGACAGGCTGTTACTTCCATGATTAGACTACAGGAGATTGTGCCTTCCATCTTGCTAGCACACTCTCTTCTTCACTGGCTTTAATGAAGCAGAATGTTATGCTGGAAAGGCCCACATCTCCAGCCAATAGCCCATAGGGAACTGAGTCCTGCCAACAGTCCCATGGGTTTGGAAGCAGATCCTTCCCCAGCAGAGACTTCAGATGAGAGCCCAATCCTGGCCTGCACCTTGACTGAAGCCTCATGAGAGACACTGAAGCAATGACTCAGCTCAGCTCTACTGGATTCCAGACCCATGGAAACTGTAATATAACGAAAGTGCATTGTTTTCAGCTACTATGCTTGTGGTCAATTGTCATACGGTAGTAAACAGCTGATACAACTAGTAAGGAACAAAGGTGGGGCTTGTGCTCAAGCCATCTGGCTCCCAAGCCTGTGTGCTTCACCACTACATTATATCACCTTTCATGTCTAAGGGGATATTCTGTTTGTTTAAAAAAAAATGGTAGTAACATAAGTTTGGAAATGTTGAATATTATACGGCCTTCTTGAAGATTCACATTGCAAGAAGTCCTGTAGTGAAGAAGTGTCTTTATCTTCACCTGACCCAGCATTGCTCATACTTTTCAAATCACATATATCTTTGTTTATGTGACACCTGTGGCATCCCACCAAACCAGAATTCCATAGAAGTGATTTTAGAAATGTTGAGACAGGCATAATCTCCTTATTTTACAGATAAAAAAACTAAGACTTGGAGAGGTTCAATAATGTCAGACGTCACATATGACAATGGTGAGCCCGAATTTGTGGTCTGACTCAAAGACCCATGCTTCTCCCACCAATCTACCCTGAAAAGGGAAGGGGAGACAAAATGATGTCGTGAGTAGGGTGGGGAGGAGTTGGGGAGTGGAGAAGAAATCGCCTGAAGCAAGCATCATTTGACTGATCAGCGGCCACTGCTTAAACCACAGCCAATCAAAAAGTCACCAGCCTCACACCTGGAAGCCCTCGGTGCCCAGGTGATATCACCTGAACACTGGGAAAGGAAGACTCATCTGCTGGGGCCACAACTGCAAAATGACTGTGGTGAGAAAGGACAGGTGGGAAGGTGCAGTCCAGTAAGCAGGGGAGAGAGCCACCAGGACCTGTGTCTACAGCATGTGCAACCCCAACTTTCCTTTATGCCTTGCTTTGCCTGGACAATCAGGTCCCGAGGCCCTGAAAGTGCTGCCTACAAGCAACCTAGAGGCCTGCTGTCCTCTTCGGCCAGGTGGACACCTACACTCATGCCCTGTTTGAGGGAGCTTGGCATTATCACCCCTAATTAGCTCATCCTTTGAACTGACCTCTGAAAAAATGATGAGAAGGAGAGAGGAACACTGCCAAGTAGTTATATTTTTCCATGCTAGATGCTGAACAAACACTATAGCATTGAATCCTAACAAGCTTCTGAACTGGTGACTCTCCTGCCTCTCCCATTTTATAAGTGAGAAAACCGAGGTTCAAAAAGATTAAGGCATCTGCTCAAGGTAAGTAAATGGTAAGTAAACCCAGGTGGGTCTCACTCCAAAGCCCAAAATTCATTTAAATACAGTTTGAGGCAGGCAGAAGTTTCGTAGAAACCCTTTTCCCACTCTCCACATTTCACACAAAGCTGATGAAACATACATGCATTGGGAGCTTTCAGAGAACTAGCAATGTCAGAGCAAAGCACCCATTTCTTCACGAACACTCAGCTCTTGCTAGGTTTCCAAAAAACCTTAGTGCTAAGAACAACTCTAGAAGGAATGTTTCTGCCCCATCTGTGGACAAATGTAGAAAAACAGCCTCAGGGGTTAGCTTAGGATGTGAGGTTTTGGTTTTCTTTTAATGGCCATTTTTATAAGTGAAATGGAAGGAACTACACTTCCCGGAATAACAGAGGGGGAGTTTTATCATCCAGGATGTCTTGGAAGCTGCATGGGCCAGACAGAGCAGAGTCCATCAGAGACAGAGCCTCTGCCTTGTACGAAGCTGTGGTTCTGGTGCACCACCGGCATACCAGCGCGAGCAGGATCCACAACAGCCCTTTGTGTAGACAGGCTGTGAAAGCAGATGTCTTGGTTAATATTCTGCAGGGCTACTCCTGGGCTCACATCTCCTTCCGCGTGTGTGTTTGTTTGTGTTTGTGTGTGTGTTTTGTAAGATTCAATCACCCCTAGATGGGCAAATAACTATGAATCACTCCATCGATCCACAAAAGAACACAAAAAGGAAATTTACATGTAATGAATTCACTCCCAGACTCTGCACCAGGCACTAAGCACACATTTTCTTGTGTAATGCTCAACTTGCAAGGCAGACCCTCCCCCATCTGCTATCCCCAGTTTATAGATGAAGAAAGAAAGGCTCTGAGAGGTTAAGCCACTTGTATAACACCACACAGCTAGTCCATGGTCAAGCCAGGATCTCACCCAGGTCAGCCTGGCTGCAAAATGCACATCCATCTTCTGCACCATGTTACTTCCAAAGGGAAAGACATAAAGAGAAAAATGAGCAAACCCTAAGGGGTCCCAACTGCATGCATAGTGTCTGTGCTGGCTGCCTTCCACATTCAGTCCTTACAGTGATCCTGCAAGGTAGATCCTACCATGCTCATTTCACAGATGAGAATGCAAAGGCTCAGAAAGATTTAATAAATTGCTACAAGATCAGCCATGATCTGAACCTAGAAATACCTGACTCCAAAGCCTGGGAGCTTTCCATCACACCATCAGTACTCATTGACACAACTCTGCCCTCTTCCCCAGGCCTCCACCTCCACTGCCCCACCCCTCCCCAACCCACTTCAGGAGCACTGACCCAGGGAGGTAAAAGAGACAGACTGGGAGCTAGACTGGCTGTTTGGGCACCAGCATAGAGTGGGTTTGGGGGATCAGTGTTTGTCTCAGCCTGCTACGGTGAGTAAGGGTGGATTCTGGTGACAGTAGGAATCATTTTCACTTATGGAGCAGTGTGTGTGCACTGGATGAAGGAGGGGCTTGGGCGAAGGAGAAAGCATATTTGTTGCCTCTGGCCCAGTTACTGTGTTCATGCAATTACAGTGGTCCCATCTGTAAAGTGGGGTCAACCCAACAGTCCTGACGCACCTCACCCTGCAGGTGCACAAGTGGAGGAGAGTTGGTTTCCGGAGAGAGCAGCACGCTGAGGCAAATGCCTTTGGCCCAGAGCTAAAATCATTCAAGCACCAAGTAGCCAAAAGAAGTCACATGAGACTCTACAGGCCCATCCTATGTATTCACCTTTCCTATTCCACTCTCCCTTCCTCTTCGTTCTAAAAGATTCACTCATGTTACATTATAACCTCTAGTTTGTTTATTTTTGCCTAGATAAGAACAAATTTGCTTTTTAGGGGGTCAGATTACATTATGTAATTCCAGTTTTAGTTTGCTATAGCTACATCCATTTAGGGAAGCCTCTTAGAATAATAAAACATGGGTTTGCTTGTTTGTTTGTTTGTTTGTTTTGAGACAGAGTCTCACCCTGTTGCCCAGGCCGGAGTGCAGTGGCGCGATCTGGGCTTACTGCAACCTCCGTCTCCCAGGTTCAAGCGATTCTCCTGCCTCAACCTCCCGAGTAGCTGGGGTTCAACCTCCCGAGTAGCTGGGGTTACAGGCATGCACCACCACACCCAGCTAATTTTTGTATTTTTAGTAGAGATGGGGTTTCGCCCTGTTGGCCATGCTGATCTCGAACTCCTGACCTCAAGTCATCCACCCGCCTCGGCCTCCCAAAGTACTGGGATTACAGGTGTGAGCCAATGTGCCTGGCCAATAAAACATGTTTTAAGGAAATGTTTCAAAAATGAGTCTCCATGCTCTTCCAGGAAGCAAGAGGTCGCAGCCTAGTGCCCTGTCTCGTCCTGTGTTCCCTCTGATCCCTGCACAGCAGGCTGCCATGCATCGTTACTCTCATCATGCATCCATTTATGCATTCCTTCCTTCATTCACTGAAATGTACTTATTTATTTATTCATTCAACGCCTACCAAGTATCGGTTGCTTGGGAAACACGGTCATGGATGAGCAAAAGTAAGCACTGTCCTTCTCATAGAATTTAGTGTCTAGTGGAGGGGAAATGAATTAATATGTCACGTGCAAAAAAAAAAAAAAAAAACAGTATCCCTAAAAAACATGATAAGGGCCTGGAAGGAACAGTACATGATACTTTGAGAGCAAACAACAGAAAGACCTGACCTGGTTGAGGGTGCAGTGGCTCATGCCTGTAATCCCAGCACTTTGAGTGGCCAAGGTGAGCAGATCAACTGAGGCCAGGAGTTCAAGACCAGCCTGGCCAACATGGTGAAACCTCCATCTTTACTAAAAATACAAAAATTAGCCGGTGTGGTGGTGGGCACTTGTAATCCCAGCTACTAGGGAGGCTGAAACAGGAGAATCTCTTGAACCCCGGAGGCAGATGTTGCAGTGAGCCAAGATCACGCCACTGCACTCCAGACTGGGTGACACAGTGAGACTCTGTCAAAAAAAAAAAAAAAAAAAGAAAGAAAGAAAAGAGAAGAAAATTTGAGGTGTGGCCTGAGGCACAATAGAGCTAGGCATGGTGGTGCATGCCTGTAATCCCAGCTACTCGGGAGACTGAGGCAGAAGGATGGATTGAGCCCAGTAGGTCAAAGCTGCAGTAAGCTATGATCACACCACTTCACTCCAGCCTGGGAGATAGAGTGAGACCCCATCTCAAAAAAAAAAAAAAGGAATGGGGTAGAAGGGGAGTTCCAGATATGATCAGATTTGCATTTTTATAGTGGGGAGAGTCAGGGGGGTAATTTTCCTACAGGGTACAGTGTTCACTATTTGGGCAATAGGTACACTAGAAGCCCAATCCCCACCAGTATGCAATTTGCACGTGTAATAAACAAGCATAGGTACCTCCCTGAATCTAAAATCAATCAATCAATAATAAAAGATCCCTGGCTGCAGGTTGGCAGTGGAGACAGTGCAGGCTCCAGGGCATGTGAGGAGAACAGATGGGAGAATGTTACAGAACTCCAGGAGAAAAGTGATGCTGGCTTGGACTAGGGTGGTAGCTACAAGTTGAAGAATAATGGGCAGAGTTCAGAGCTATCACAGCAGTATCACTGACAGATTCAGTGACTGGAGGGTGAAAGGAGGAGGCAGGCATCAAGATTGACTCTTGGTTTTGAGGCTGCCTAATGGGATGGCTGCGGGTGCCATTCATTGAATTTATCACCCACGGAGTGCCCAGCACAGTGCCCAATGCCATGAGCCACACAAAGGGAGCACTGGTCTTGGACCCTTCCCCTGTGTCCATGCCTTACAAAGGCCCGGGTTTGATAATCTCTCATACAAACCCATCCAAGCCATGAAATGATTCCACGTGAAGGCTGTCATAGTTCCCCTGGTGGTGCTTTAAACCCTGGTCACAGTGAATTCCGCATCCTCTCCATCCCAGAAGATGCCAGGCCTCATTCCAAACTCAGTGGCAAAAAAAACAAAAAACAAAAAACAAAAAAAAACAGGCATGGCTCCTGCACTGGTGTAGAAGTGAACTTGAACCTTCCCTCCCAAAAACCCAGGTGTCCACCCTGACCCACAGTCCCTCTTGCAGCCATTGTCACAGACTCTTCGGCTGGGCTGTGACCTGGCTCTTGGTGTCCATTCTGTCCTAATTTTCAGCAGCTTCACATACATTTCCCACAGCCCCCATCTCAGTCGTGCACCTGGTGCCTGCATCTGATGACTGAATTTGGCCCTCCTGCTTTAAATCCTGCATGCTCTAAGGTCAAAACCCTGTCCCCCATCAGGTTCCTTCCACCACCCTGAAGGGCAGGCTTTTAGCACTAAAACACTAGGAAGACAGCAATTAAAAGCCCTAGGACAGAGGGCACCAATGCCTCGGTTTAGGGTTTTCGTTCGTTTTGAGGGAGAACAGTTAATGCATAAGAACGTGATAATTACCTAGATGCTTGAAGATTACCAGAAAGCAGGAATAAAAGGGGTTAGAATTTTTCTGTGAAGTCACCATCACAAAGAGAGGTAGATTTCCTCCTGAAGGAAAGCTCACCGGGTTGTAAAAAAAAGACCAAGCTTGAGTCACCACTTAACTGTTTAAGTAAGTGATATCAGACAGATCAGATCACGAGTTTGGCCTCTCTCCCCTGTAAAGCAGAAAATAACATCCACCCAACAGGGTCATGATGAGATCTAAATGGGGTCATGGGAACCACAAGGTGCTGTACACAGGTAATTCTTGTCACTGCCAGCAGGTCTGCAAGGCTCATTCTAAAGCCTGAATCTTCACATTCACTTTCTCTAGACCTGTTTCCTCTGCCCTCTGTTCAAAGAGGTCTTTTGGTCTGCAGAAGGCTTCCCTAGGGGCCTCATGGGTACTGTCCCTCTTTTTTCTCATCCAGAGGCGAAGGGAGTGATGCATTCAGGCCCCAGAATTTCAGCCCAGTGGGCACCCTCCCTGCCAGTGCCCCCAACCCTATTCATTATTCCATCAATAAATATTTAGTGTGGAACTTTGTATTGGGCACTGTTTGGGGTGCTGAAGGTATAGAAGTAAAAAAAAATAACACAGTGGCCAGGCAAGGTGGCTCACGCCTGTGATCCCAACACTTTGGGAGGCCAAGGTGGGTGGATCACCTGAGGTCAGGAGTTCGAGACCAGCCTGGCCAACATAGTGAAACCCTTTCTCTACTAAAAATACAAAAAAAGTAGCTGGGCATGGTGGTGGGTGCCTGTAATCCCAGCTACTCAGGAGGCTGAGGCAGGAGAATCGCTTGAACCCGGGAGGCGGAGGTTGCAGTGAGCCAAGATCGCGCCATTGCACTCCAACCTGAGCAACAAGAGCAAGATTCCGTCTCAAAACAAAATGATAAATAAATAAATAAATAAATAACACAGCACCTCTCAAAAAGCCCATAGTCATGGGGAAATAGCTAGGTAAACAGGCAAGTGTTCTATGAAAAGGTATGTACCTTTAGATAAGGCAGGTGCTTGCATAAGATAAAAAGGCAACAGTGAGGAGGAAGATTTAGCCAGAAGGAGCCCACCCAGGAGGCTCACAGAAGAGGTGAAGCTTGAGGAAGGCATAGAACAAATGCAGTCAACCTGAGATCTTCTGGGGTCATGAGCAGGACAGAGATGTGGAGGAGAGGAGGCCTTTCTTGAATCAAAGAAAGCCATATTGGAAAATAGAAAGAATTTTCCGCTTCTGCCCTTCTTGTAGTGTTTTCCTGCCAGGTCACAGAATTTTTCATCACAGTGGAATCAAACATTCTTGGATTGGAAAGTGAGACAGCTCACTCATGCATGTTCTTTTAAAAGCATGTGACAATAAAACCAGTGACCTGGTTAACATCCTACATGGGTTGTCTTCTTTTCTTCTTTCTTCCTTTGCTTCCCTTTTACCTGAAAGGGACAAACATGATGTATACCACCACCATTCATAAATTAGGCAGCCACAAACCCTGAGCTGAGCAACTTTGGGGAAAGTATAAACTTTTTTTTTTTTTTGCAGTAATCACATGCATATGATAATCCAGGGACAAAGAAATTAGCAAACTCTTCCAGTTACACTCAAAACTCCAACCCTGGCATTTACTTGAAAATATTAAGTACCTTCAAGGCAAATCATTGAAGTGGCTGAGAAGTCTCTACTGCAACATTTAATGATGCTTATAAATCCTAAAACCCTCATGGGACCATTCCTGGCTGGTAATGGAACAGTGTTTGATGTTTCTGAAATTTTGAGTGTTTAATTATGTCTAACAAAGTTGGTTATCAATAAAGTGTGCATCCATGTCTGAACTCAATCCATCTTTTCCTGTCATTTAGGATGACTGGGAATCAGTTTGAATGGGGTTAGTGAGCTTTTTCTGTAAAAGCCCAGTTACTACATATTTTTAAGCATTGCTGTCCACAATGTCTCTGTGAAAACTATTCAACTCTGTCATGGTGGGGCAAAAGCAGCCAGAGGTAATCCATAAGTAAATGAGCAGATCTGTGTTCCAATAAAACTTATTAATGGACACCAAAATTTGAATATCAGTTTTCATGTGTCATGAAATATTATTATTCTTTTGATTTTTTTAACCATTAAAAAATGTTAAAAGGTCAGGTGCGGTGGCTCATGCCTGTGCCCTCATTTAATCTTCACCAAGGGCTTCTGATTATTCATTTTATTTTATTTTATTTTTATTTTTTTGAGAGAGGGTCTGGCTTTGCTGCCCAGGCTAGAGTGCAGTGGTGCAATCTCGGCTCACTGCAGCCAAGAAGGCCAAGGCTGGAGGACCACTTGAGCCTAGGAGTTCAAGACCAGCCTGGACAATAGTTTTTCTATTGATTTAATTTATGCTGTCAGAATTTATTATAACACTGTATATCAACTGTAGAAGTAAACATTTTAAAAAGTTTAATGCAGTAGGACTGCATTGAATGATTGTTATAGATCAGAATAAAGGAAATTTCTAAACTATGATTTAGTAGGTTAAATGTTGCTTTTATATTTATTCA
Source organism: Homo sapiens (assembly GCF_000001405.40). Lineage (NCBI taxonomy): Eukaryota > Metazoa > Chordata > Mammalia > Primates > Hominidae > Homo > Homo sapiens. Next base: position 51,340,146 of record NC_000017.11, on the reverse strand, counting down.
ATATTTATTCAAGACATATATTGACCACCTATTACGTGGTAGGCCCCTTACTCCGTACCGAGTATTCAACTTATATTTAATACCAAAGAAAGGAAATAATATTGAGAATATAGGCAAAATTATATCTTTCAAATTAAAGAAGTGCTGTTATCCACGGAATAGTTTCTCCATTTGTTTCAGGGATTCAGCTTATAAACAAAAGCCAGAGTAAGGAAATAATATCTAGAATGTGGAATAAATTACATATTTAAAATAAAGAAATGTAGGCTGGGTGTGGTGGGTCACGCCTGTAATCCCAGCACTTTGGGAGGCTGAGGCAGGCAGATAACTTGAACCCAGGAGTTCAAGACCAGCCTGGGCAACATGGTGAAACCCTGTCTCTCCAGAAAATACAAAAATCAGCTGGGCATGGTGGTGCTCACCTGTTTTCCCAGCTACTTGGGATACTGAGGCAGGAGGATTGCTTGAGCCTGGGAAGCCGAGGTTGCAGTGAGCTGAGACTGTACCACTGCACTTCAGTCTGGGCGACACAGTAAGACGCTGTATTTAAAAAAAAAAAAAAGTTATACTCAATGGATAGTTTGCCATTCAATTTAAAAATAACCTTGTCTCTACAAAAAAAAAAAAAATGTAGCTGAGCATGGTGGTGTGTACTTGTAGTCCCAGCTACTTCGGGGCCTGAGGTTGGAGGATCACTTGAGTCCAGGAAGTGAAGGCTGCAGTGAGCAGAGGTTGTGCCACTGCACTCCAGCCTGAGTGACAGAGCAAGACCGTCTCAAAAAGAGGAAAAAAAAATGTAAAAACCATTCCTAGATCACAGATCACACAGAAACAGGCAGTGTGGTGGATTTAGCCTGCAGTCTGTAGTATGCCGACCCCTGATTTTGAATGTTTGGGCTGCACTGGAAGAGTATGAAGAACATAAACTTAGACTTCCACAATCCTTACACCTGGGCAGCCAAGCAAAATCCTTAAGCTCCCTGGGTCTCCATTTCTTCTCTCTAAAATGAACAATCAGGCCAGACGTGGTAGCTCATGCCTATAATCCCAGCACTTTGGAAAGCTGAGGCAGATGGATCTCTCGAGCTCAGGAGTTGGAGACCAGCCTGGGCAACATGGCAAAACCCCATCTCTACTAAAAATACAAAAAATTCGCCAAGCGTGGTGGCATGTGCCTATGGTCCCAGCTACTCTGGAGGCTGAGATGGGAGGATCGCCTGAGCCCAGGAGGGAGAGGCTGCAGTGAGCCAAGATTGTGCCACTGCACTCCAGCCTAGATGACACAACCAGACCCTGTCTCAAAAAAATTAAAAGAAAAATAATAAAATGGGCTGTATGCAGTGGCTCATGCCTGTAATCCCAGCACTTTGGGAGGCCAAGACGGGCAGATCACCTGAGGTCGGGAGTTTAAGACCAGCTTGGCCAACATGGTGAAACCCCGTCTCTGCTAAAAAAAAAAAATATATATATATATATATATATATATATATTTTAGCTGGCATGGTGGCACACGCCTGTAGTCCCAGCTACTCGGGAGGCTGAGGCAGGAAAATCACTTGAATCTGAGAGGCAGAGGTTGCAGTGAGCCAAGATCACACCACTGCACTCCAGCCTAGGTGACAGCAAGACCCTGTCTCAAATAAATAAATAAATAAATAAAATAATCGGAGGCTCTTGATGAAGACTAAATGAGGTGATATATGTATAGCAGAGAGATGTTCAGGAAGAATCCAGAAGGTTCAAGCTCAGGAGGGATCTGAGTGTTCTGTAAATGCCAGCTCTCTCTCTCCCCTACTTTCTAAGTGTCTTACTACCAGTGTTTTTTGTTTAATCCTCTATCTTTGTATCTAATCTTCCCTTGTAGCAACTGATTAAGTAATGAAGCATGAGAACAGATTTGCTCCTAACAGGAGGAAAACCAGCCCCGTCCCTTGTTGACTTGAGCCCTCCCAGGCTGACACTTTTCCTCTTGGTGTGGGTGGCCTAAGCCCGGTCCTGGAGGGCTGGGTTTTAACTACTATTAAATATCAGGGAGAAACTAATGAAGCCACAATTGATTAATCAAGCTGGATCCCATCTCCCTGTGAAAGTGCCCCATTAGAGATTCAGGGTCTCTTTGAGGGGATTTACAGCGGCTGCAAATATCAGTGGCAATTATATGCATCTCATCTTTCTTATCAAGCAGCCACCTTCTCCTCTCCCTCCCTCAAGTGCCCCAAGGCTTACCAATCACAAGCACCACAGGTCACAGCATCCTCCACCAGACTCGGTGTGTCCCATGGGCTGGGTAGTGGTGAGGGAGCATCTCTCCCCAGCATGAAAGGAAAATCCCAGAAGAAGTAAGGAAGCCAGAGCTTCCTGAGAGCTGGAGAGTGGAATCCAAGTGGGATCTTCAAGATCACCTGAAGCTGATTCTTTCTAACTGTGAAACTATCCAGAAGTTATTTTAAAGAGGTATGCTCTGACCTACTGCTTCTTGAAGAACAGGATCAGAAATCCTCTCATTTCAAATGCTCCATATCTGTATTAGTCAAGGTTCCCCAGGCAGACAGAACCAGTAGGATATATGAAAAGAAAGGTATTAGGGGGCATTGGCCCTTGTGATTACAGAGGTGGAGAAGTCCCATGATAGGCCATCCACAAGCTGGAGAATCAGAGAAGCCCGTAGCATGCCTCAGTCCAAGTCCAGAAGCCTCAGAATCAGGGAGGCCAACAGCACAGACCTTCGTTGGAGGCTGAAGGCCTGAGGGCCCCGGGAGGCCATTGGTACAAGTCCTAGAATCCAAAAGCCAAAGACCCTGTAGTCTGATGTCCAAGGAGAAAAGGCATCCTGCTCCAGAAAGGTGGGAGAGAGAATCCTCCTTCTTCTGCCTGTTTGTCCCCAGCCTGGCCTTGAGCTGATTGGACAGTGCACACTCACACTGAGAACGGGTCTCCTTCTCAGCCCGCTGGCTCACATGTGAGTCTCCTCTGGAAACACTCTCACAGACACACCCAGGAATGATGGACGCCACCAGCCACTGAGGCATTCCTCAACCCAGTCAAGCTGATACCCTAAAATTAACCATCACAGTCTCAGATCTTAAGAATGCCCAAGGACATCTATTCCGGCTGGCCAGTATGCTAAAGTTGATTGGTGCCATTGGGAAGAGCTGATGAGATGCACTAGAGATGACGCAGCTTTAGAGTTAGGAATCGGTGTCCAGATTTCTGCCTCTTCCTGCCTTCTGATGCTGAACTTGCCTCTCTGATCCTCAGTATCTAAACCTCTAATGCCATGGGAAGATGGAGATCATAGCTCCTAATGTTAACCAAGGAGACAGCATCTGTTGAGCTTTTGGGTTTTCCTATGAGTACTTCTTCCAGGAAAGCCCATCAAACCTTCCTCTACAAAGGTTTATTCCTCCAGTGAGCTCTGCAAGGGCAGAGAGTGCCTCGTGCCCCTCACTATCCCTAGCAGCCAGCTGGGTGCAGGACCCAGCAAGTGCTCAGTAAGCATCTGCAAAGCAATGACAGCATGCCTGGAATCTACTGAGAGAAGAAATCAAATGGCCATTGTTCACAGTTGGCCAGGTCTGCCATAACAAAGTACCACAGGCTGGGTGGCTTAAACAACAGAATTTATTTTCTCACAGATTGGGAGGCTAGAACTCTGAGAGTTGGTTTCTTTGGTGGCCTCTCTCTTTGGCTTGCTGTGTGTCCACATGATCATCTCTCTGCCTGTGTGTTTTCTGTGTCCTAATCTCTTGTAAACACACCAGTCATATTGGTTAGGACCCACCACATGAGCTCATTTTATCTTAATGACATTTTTAGTGGCCCTATCTCCAAATACATTCACATTCCAAGGTACCAGGGATTAGAACATCAATATGAATTTTAGGGGGACACAGTCACTGCCTACATCCCCATCCTTCTGCTTTGCCCTTGTAGCTTCGCTTCCTGGGTTCTCCATGCAAGGCCAAGGGTGGAGACGCCACACCTGGATACAGCCACCTCAGAACCCACCATTCAGAAAGGCCTCTGCAAGTGACTTGGATCCCTGACAATTACTCCCTTGTGCCTCTGACCACGTGTCCTTGTTCCTAGAAGCAAGCATGGGGTAGCTGATAGGACCTCTTGTAGATTCCGCTATGTCCTCTTCTCCATGGGCAAACTCTTTACCTTCTTGAAGGCCTGTGCTCTCACCCTTCACCCCCTCAGCCCCACCTTGGTCCACCACTGCAGGGTCAGACCCTCCTGGACCCAACACCAGCCTGAAGTCCACAGACCCCGGCAGAGACACACCCCTTTGGTGTCAGGCTCCCACTGCCCTGACTACTGGTTTGTCCCTGGCCCCTGAGATTCATCTGCTCTCTTTATCTCCTGTCCGTTCACCTGCACTCCTCTGCACTGGGATAAATTTTGAAGAGCTAACTAGTATGTTTTCCCCACCATCCATTTTTTCCTAGTCAGCCCTCCCTACCACAGCTTCTCTTACATCCATCCCCCGTGCCCGCCACATCTTCATCTGTCCCAGCAGAAGGGGAGGAAGAAAATCTGCTTTCTGCTGATCACACCTTCTTCCCAAATCTTTCTACTTTATAACTGCTTCTGTGGCTCTGGAACTTAATGGGTAATAATTTGCCACCTCTTTTCTCTGTTCTGCCCAATGCTGGTCTCCTCGCTGGTCTCCTCCCTCTTGGGGAGAATCAAAGGGCCTGGATAAACAGGGCGTGTGCAGAAACCGCACTGATGAGTTTCTTACCCACCACCCTCCCTGCCACACACACATCTGAGGGCCTTGGTTTCTGATCCCACCTCACTCCCTTGGCCCCTGTCATGGGCTAAATGTTTGTGTTTCCCAAAAATTCATATATTGAAATCCTAACCCCCAAGGGGATAATGGAGGTGGGGCCTTTGGGAGTAATTAGGTCATAAGGGTGGAGCTGTCATGAATGGGATTAGTGCCTCATAAAAGAGACCCCAGAGAGCTCTCTAGCTCTTTCTGCCATGTGAGGATAAGAAGTCAGCAGTCTGCAACCCAGAAGAGGGCCCTAACCAGAAAGTTGTTGTGGCCCTGATCTGACTTCCAGCCTCCAGAACTATAAGAAGTCAATGTCTGTTGTTTACAAGCCACTCTGTCTTGACTTTTGTTACAGGAGCCCAAATTAACTAAGATAACCCTATCTGAGACTGGGCACAGTGGCTCACGCCTGTAATCCCAGCACTTTGGGAGGCTGAGGAAGGCAGATCTACAAGGTCAGGAGTTTGAGACCAGCCTGGCCAACATGGTGAAACCCCATCTCTACTAAAAATACAAAAATTAGCCAGGCACGGTGGTACACGCCTGTAATCCCAGCTACTCAGGAGGCTGAGTCAGGATAATTGCTTGAACCTGGGAAGCAGAGGCTACAGTGAGCCAAGATTGTGACACTGCACTCCAGCCTGGGCAACAGAGCAAGACTCTGTCTCAAAAAAAAAAAAAAAAAAACCCATCTGGAGAAAACTAAAAAGCTCAGTCTTTCCCCTGGGCCCAGAATGCCCTTCTTCCCCTGCCCTAGGAAAGCCCAGTCACCTCTGAGGAGGCAGCAACATCCTGGCTCCTCCCACTTGCTTTCAGTGCATCCCCACGTCCATTCTCTCATGGAACCCTGTGCACATCTCTATCTGAGCACCCGTAAGACTGTGTTCTGCTAGCTCATGTGTTCATCATCTCCGTGTTGACTGTAAACTTCACTTTGTACCTTGTCCCCCAGAATCCAGCACCGAATCTGGCACACTGAATGAATGAATGAGTGAATCAAAGAATGAGTGGGCAAGTAAGTGAATAAATTAACGAGCTTCCCTGGAGTGATGACATAGAATTGTTTCTTAATTATTTTATAGGTTTCTCCTCTTTCCAGCTTCTATATCACAACAGGATGATTCTAAAGGGCCATCCCAGCTTCAGAGTTCCCTGGGGGCTAGCTGAGGCTTTCACTGGGACTTCATCAGTGCTCAGCTTCTTCATCTGCCCCATCCTGCTTCCAACTCATTCTTTCCACAGGTGTTGATCCGAAGCACATTCCTCGTAAATCTCCTGCATACAAATCTCCATCTCAGAGCTAGCTTCTGGGAACCCTCATGCTACAAGTCATTAGGAACATGGATTTTGGACACTTCTAACAAGCCTGAGTTTTAGTCCTGGCTCTTGTACTTACTTGCACTGTAACCTAGAGAAAAATTACCTAACTTCTCAGAGGCTTCATCTGCAATAGAAATGAATTCATTGAGTCGTGGGAGTTCAATGAAATGTTGTTTGAAGCACATTTAGCACAGCACCCGGTACACTGATAAGTGCTCACTAAAGGATTACTTGTATCATCATCAATATTGCATGGTCCAAGGCACATGGCAAGGCTATGGAACACACAGAAGCCAACTAGATTGGCTACAAGGCCAGCCTCAAGAGAGGTAGGTCCACTCTGGCTTTCAAGAGGTGGTGGTTGGGCCTGTAGTCATATGGTAGTGGTACCTGGAGTGTGCATGCACCATGGGCTGTATGATGGGTTCTTTGGGAGTTGGTGGGATTTCAGAATGAAGTCTATAGTCCAGGTACTCCACCAGTCCTCAAGCAAGTTCCATGCATCATGGGGAACTAGAATTTAATCAGCTGCTAGAGAAAGCAATAATGCATTTTTCCAATGGTGCAAGTGGTATTGTCCTAGGGGGATGCAAGTCTGAAATCTGTATCAGACTATGGAGGGAGGTACTGCTTTTCTGACTAGGATGCTAGAGACAGACCTGAATACATGCACAGATATGTTGTGCTTTGAGTAAATTTGGCTTTGTTTAATCTCTTCTCTTAGTCTTAGAAGCCACAGCTGCAAAAGCACTTTTGTCTCTTAAAACATCAGGAAACACAAAAGGGATGGTCCCTTGTTAAAGGTCTTGGATGTTCTGTTCTCACTTAGTCCTATTAATGAATACTAGGTGAGAGAGTTTCAAAAACGAATAGGACCAGATCCCTACCCTTGAGACACTGATATTCTTATAGGAAGAAACAGATATATATAAAAAAATACAGGGGCGGAGGAGCCAAGATGGCCGAATAGGAACAGCTCCGGTCTACAGCTCCCAGCGTGAGCGACGCAGAAGACGGGTGATTTCTGCATTTCCATCTGAGGTACTGGGTTCATCTCACTAGGGAGTGCCAGACAGTGGGCGCAGGTCAGTGGGTGCAGCGCACCATGCGTGAGCCGAAGCAGGGCGAGGCATTGCCTCACTCAGGAAGTGCAAGGGGTCAGGGAGTTCCCTTTCCTAGTCAAATAAAGGGGTGACAGATGGCACCTGGAAAATCGGGTCACTCCCACCCAAATACTGCGCTTTTCCAACGGGCTTAAAAAACGGCACACCAGGAGATTAAATCCCGCACCTGGCTGGGAGGGTCCTATGCCCACGGAGTCTCGCTGATTGCTAGCACAGCAGTCTGAGATCAAACTGCAAGGTGGCAGTGAGGCTGGGGGAGGGGCGCCCACCATTGCCCAGGCTTGCTTAGGTAAACAAAGCAGCCGGGAAGCTCGAACTGGGTGGAGCCCACCACAGCTCAAGGAGGCCTGCCTGCCTTTGTAGGCTCCACCTCTAGGGGCAGGGCACAGACAAACAAAAAGATAGCAGTAACCTCTGCAGACTTAGATGTCCCTGTCTGACAGCTTTGAAGAGAGCAGTGGTTCTCCCAGCACGCAGCTGGAGATCTGAGAACAGGCAGACTGCCTCCTCAAGTGGGTCCCTGACCCCTGACCCCTGAGCAGCCTAACTGGGAGGCACCCCCCAGTAGGGGCAGACTGACACCTCACACAGCCGGGTACTCCTCTGAGACAAAACTTCCAGAGGAACGATCAGACAGCAGCATTTGTGGTTCATGAAAAACCACTGTTCTGCAAACACCGCTGCTGATACCCAGGCAAACAGCGTCTGGAGTGGACCTCTAGCAAACTCCAACACACCTGCAGCTGAGGGTCCTGTCTGTTAGAAGGAAAACTAACAAACAGAAAGGACATCCACACCAAAAACCCATCTGTACATCACCATCATCAAAGACCAAAAGTAGATAAAACCACAAAGATGGGGAAAAAACAGAGCAGAAAAACTGGAAACTCTAAAAAGCAGAGCACCTCTCCTCCTCCAAAGGAACACAGTTCCTCACCAGCAATGGAACAAAGCTGGATGGAGAATGACTTTGATGAGTTGAGAGAAGAAGGCTTCAGACGATCAAACTACGAGCTACAGGAGGAAATTCAAACCAAAGGCAAAGAAGTTAAAAACTTTGAAAAAATTTAGATAAATGTATAACTAGAATAACCAATACAGAGAAGTGCTTAAAGGAGCTGATGGAGCTGAAAGCCAAGGCTCGAGAACTACATGAAGAATGCAGAAGCCTCAGGAGCCAATGCGATCAACTGGAAGAAAGGGTATCAGCGATGGAAGATGAAATGAATGAAATGAAGCGAGAAGGGAAGTTTAGAGAAAAAAGAATAAAAAGAAACTAACAAAGCCTCCAAGAAATATGGGACTATGTGAAAAGACCAAATCTACGTCTGATTGGTGTACCTGAAAGTGACGGGGAGAATGGAACCAAGTTGGAAAACACTCTGCAGGATATTATCCAGGAGAACTTCACCAATCTAGCAAGGCAGGCCAACATTCAGATTCAGGAAATACAGAGAATGCCACAAAGATACTCCTCAAGAAGAGCAACTCCAAGACACATAATTGTCAGATTCACCAAAGTTGAAATGAAGGAAAAAATGTTAAGGGCAGCCAGAGAGAAAGGACGGGTAACCCACAAAGGGAAGCCCATCAGACTAACAGCAGATCTCTTGGCAGAAACTCTAGAAGCCAGAAGAGAGTGGGGGCCAGTATTCAACATTCTTTTTTTTTTTTTTTTTTTTCAGTATTTATTGATCATTCTTGGGTGTTTCTCGGAGAGGGGAGTTTGACAGGGTCATAGGACAATAGTGGAGAGAAGGTCAGCAGATAAACATGTGAACAAAGGTCTCTGGTTTTCCTAGGCAGAGGACCCTGCGGCCTTCCGCAGTGTTTGTGTCCCTGGGTACTTGAGATAAGGCAGTGGTGATGACTCTTAACGAGCATGCTGCCTAGAAGCATCTGTTTAACAAAGCACATCTTGCACCACCCTTAATCCATTTAACCCTGAGTTGACACAGCACATGTTTCAGAGAGCACGGAGTTGGGGGTAAGGTTCGTAGTTCTCCTTGAAAAGGTCCTTCACATCCCTTGTAAGTTGGATTCCTAGGTATTTTATTCTCTTTGTGAATGGGAGTTCACTCATGATTTGGCTCTCTGTTTGTCTGTTATTGATGTATAGGAATGCTTGTGATTTTTGCACATTGATTTTGTATCCTGAGACTTGGCTGAAGTTGCTTATCAGCTCAAGGAGATTTTGGGCTGAGACGATGGGGTTTTCTAAATATACAATCATGTCATCTGCAAACAGGGACAATTTGACTTCCTCTTTTCCTAATTGAATACCCTTTATTTCTTTCTCCTGCCTGATTGCCCTGGCCAGAAATTCCAACACTATGTTGAATAGGAGTGGTGAGAGAGGGCATCCCTGTCTTGTGCCAGTTTTCAAAGGGAATGCTTCCAGTTTTTGCCCATTCAGTATGATATTGGCTGTGGGTTTGCCATAAATAGCTCTCATTATTTTGAGATACGTTCCATCAATACCTAGTTTATTGAGAGTTTTTAGCATGAAGGGCTGTTGAATTTTGTTGAAGGCCTTTTCTGCATCTATTGAGATAATCATGTGGTGTTTGTCATTGGTTCTGTTTATGTGATGGATTACGTTTATTGATTTGCATATGTTGAACCAGCCTTGCATCCCAGGGATGAAGCCAACTTGATCATGGTGGATAAGCTTTTTGATGAGCTGCTGGATTCGGTTTGCCAGTATTTTACTGAGGATTTTTGCATTGATGTTCATCAGGGATATTGGTCTAAAATTCTCTTTTTTTGTTCTGTCTCTGCCAGGATTTGGTATCAGGATGATGCTGGCCTCATAAAATGAGTTAGGTAGGATTCTCTCTTTTTCTATTGATTGGAATAGTTTCAGAAGGAATGGTACCAGCTCCTCTTTGTACCTCTGGTAGAATTTGGCTGTGAATCCATCTGGTCCTGGACTTTTTTTGGTTGGTAAGCTATTAATTATTGCCTCAATTTCAGAGCCTGTTATTGGTCTATTCAGAGATTCAACTTCTTCCTGGTTTAGTCTTGGGAGGGTGTATGTGTCCAGGAATTCATCCATTTCTTCTAGATTTTCCAGTTTATTTGCATAGAGGTGTTTATAGTATTCTCTGATGGTAGTTTGTATTTCTGTGGGATCGGTGGCGATATCCCCTGTATCATTTTTTATTGCGTCTATTTGATTCTTCTCTCTTTTCTTCTTTATTAGTCTTGCTAGCAGTCTATCAATTTTGTTGATCTTTTCAAAAAACCAGCTCCTGGATTCACTGATTTTTTGAAGGGTTTTTTGTGTCTCTATCTCCTTCAGTTCTGCTCTGATCTTAGTTATTTCTTGCCTTCTGCTAGCTTTTGAATTTGTTTGCCCTTGCTTCTCTAGTTCTTTTAATTGTGATGTTAAGGTGTTGATATTAGGTCTTTCCTGCTTTCTCTTGTGGGCATTTAGTGCTATAAATTTCCCTCTACATACTCCTTTAATTGCGTCCCAGAGATTCTGGTATGTTGTGTCTTTGTTCTCATTGGTTTCAAACAACATCTTTGTTTCTGCCTTCATTTCGTTACTTACCCCATAGTCATTCAGGAGCAGGTTGTTCAGTTTCCATGTAATTGTGCAGTTTTGAGTGAGTTTCTTAATCCTGAATTCTAATTTGATTGCACTGTGGTCTGAGAGACACTTTGTTGTGATTTCTGTTCTTTTACATTTGCTGAGGAGTGCTTTACTTACAACTGTGTGGTCAGTTTTGGAATAAGTGTGATGTGGTGCTGAGAAGAATGTATATTCTGTTGATTTGGGGTGGAGAGTTCTGTAGATGTCTATTAGGTCTGCTTGGTGCAGAGCTGAGTTCAAGTCCTGAATATCCTTGTTAAACTTCTGTCTCATTGGTCTGTCTAATGTTGAGAGTGGGGTGTTAAATTCTCCCATTACTATTGTGTGGGAGTCTTAAGTCTCTTTGTAGGTCTCTAAGGACTTGCTTTATGAATCTGGGTGCTCCTGTATTGGGTGCATATATATTTAGGATAGTTAGCTCTTCTTGTTGAATTGATCCCTTTACCATTATGTAATGTCCTTCTTTGTCTCTTTTGATCTTTGTTGGTTTAAAGTCTGTTTTATCAGAGACTAGGATTGCAACCCCTGGCTTTTTTTGCTTTCCATTTGCTTGGTAGATCTTCCTCCATCCTTTTATTTTGAGCCTATGTGTGTCTCTGCATGTGAGATGGGTCTCCTGAATACAGCACACTGATGGGTCTTGACTCTTTATCCAATTTGCTAGTCTGTGTCTTTTAATTGAGGCATTTAGCCCATTTACATTTAAGGTTAATATTGTTATGTGTGAATCTGATCCTGTCATTATGATGTTAGCTGGTTATTTTGTCCATTCGTTGATGCAGTTTCTTCCTAGCATCAGTGGTTTTTACAATTTGGCATGTTTTTGCGGTGGCTGGTACCGGTTGTTCCTTTCCATGTTTAGTGCCTCCTTCAGGAGCTCTTGTAAGGCAGGCCTGGTGGTGACAAAATCTCTCAGCATTTGCTTTTCTGTAAAGGATTTTATTTATCTTTCACTTATGAAGCTTAGTTTGGCTGGATATGAAATTCTGGGTTGAAAATTCTTTTCTTTAAGAATGTTGAATATTGGCCCCCACTCTCTTCTGGCTTGTAGACTTTCTGCCAAGAGATCCACTGTTAGTCTGATGGGCTTCCCTTTGTGGGTAACCCAACCTTTCTCTCTGGCTGCCCTTAACATTTTTTCCTTCATTTCTCCCTTGGCGAATCTGATAATCATGTGTCTTGGGGTTGTTCTTCACCAGGAGTATCTTTGTGGTATGCTCTGTATTTCCTGAATTTGAATGTTGGCCTGCCTTGCTAGCTTAGGGAAGTTCTCCTGGATAATATTGTGAAGACTGTTTTCCAATTTGGTTCTATTCTCCCCGTCGCTTTCAGGTACACCAGTCCAACATAGATTTGGTCTTTTCACATAGTCCCATATTTCTTGGAGGCTTTGTTTCTTTTTATTCTTTTTTTCTCTAAACTTCTCCTCTTGCTTTATTTCATTAATTTGATCTTCAATCACTGATACCCTTTCTTCCACTTGATTGAATCAGCTATTGAAGCTTGTGCATGTGTCACATAGTTCTTGTGCCATGGTTTTCAGCTTCATCAGGTCATTTAAGGTCTTCTCTACACTGTTTATTCTAGTTTGCCATTCGTCTAACCTTTTTTCAAGGTTTTTAGCTTCCTTGCGATGGATTCAAACATCCTCCTTTAGCTCAGAGAAGTTTGTTATTACCGACCTTCTGAAGCCTACTTCTGTCAGCTCGTCAAAGTCATTCTCCATCCAGCTTTGTTCCGTTGCTGGTGAGGAGCTGCGATCCTTTGGAGGAGAAGAGGCGCTCCAGTTTTTAGAATTTTCAGCTTTTCTGCTCTGGTTTCTCCCCATCTTTGTGGTTTTATCTACCTTTGGTCTTTGATGCTGGTGACCTACAGATGGGGTTTGGGTGTAGATGTCCTTTTTGTTGATGCTGGTGACCTACAGATGGGGTTTTGGTGTGGATGTCCTTTTTGTTGATGTTGATGCTATTCCTTCCTGTTTGTTAGTTTTTCTTCTAAGAGTCAGGTCCCTCAACTGCAGGTCTGTTAGAGTTTGCTGGAGGTCCACTCCAGACCCTGTTTGCCTGGATATCACCAGTGGAGGCTGCAGAACAGCAAATATTGCTGCCTGATCCTTCCTCTGGAAGCTTCATCCCAGAGGGGCACCCGCCTGTATGAGGTGTCAGTCAGCCCCTACTGGGAGATATCTCCTAGTTAGGCTACATGGGAGTCAGGGACCCACTTGAGGAGGCAGTCTGTCCATTCTCAGAGCTCAAACCCCATGCCAGGAGAACCACTGCTCTCTTCAGAAATGTCAGACAGGGTCAATAAACACATGTTTCTTAAGAGAAACAGGTGAAGTTCATGCCTGTAACCCCCCGCACTTTAAGAGGCTGATGCGGGAGGATCACTTGAACCCAGGAGTTCAAGACCAGCCTGGGAACCAGAAGGAGACCCCATCTCTATTCAGGAAAAAGAGAGAGAGAGAGAGAGAGAGAGAGAGAAACAGGTGAAAAACAGGAAAAAAATCTTAACAAATAAAAGTGAAGAGATAAAAAGAACTGAAGAGAAACTGACAAATATTGAAGGCAGGCAAAGAAGATCATACATACAGATAATAAAGTTCCTAAAAAAAACCACAAGAAGGGAACAGAACAGACACTAAAACTATAATTCAAGAAAACTTTCCTGAAATAAAAAAAGATTCCAGACTTCATATTAAAAGAGCGGACCTCATCCCTGAGGATATTTACCCAGAATAACCAGTACCAAGACATTCTAGTAAAATTACTGTACTTTAAATAACGTCTTTAGCTATAAAGAAAATTAAAGTACATGATTTAAGAAGGGAAAGAAATTCAGCTAATTATCAGACTCTTCAACAGCAATATTTTATGGTAAAGGAAATGGAATTCACATATTTAAGATGCCCAAGGAAAGAAAGAGCCAAGGATTTTATATCCAGTAAAACTGATCTTCAATTGTAAAAGGCACAGACAAATGTTATCAACATGCAATAAATCCCTTACCTCAAGTCCCCCCAGTTCTAAATGTTTATTGAAAAGGTCTAGAAATAAGGCCCAACCTCAGTAGTAATGATCATCACTAGCAGATTGTGGTCTTGATGTATAGTTTTGTATTAGGATTCTCTAGAGGGACAGAACTAATGGGATAGATGTATATATAAGGGGGAGTTTATTAAGGGGTACTGACTCACACAATCACAAAGTGAAGTGTGAACAGGCCACCTGCAAACTGAGGAGCAAGGAAGCCAGCTGAGCCCCAAAACCTCAAAAGTAGGGAAGCCGGCTAGGCGCGGTGGCTCACGCCTGTAATCACAGCACTTTGGGAGGCCAAGGCGGGCGGATTACCTGAGGTCAGGAGTTCAAGATCAGCCTGACCTTGTCTCTTCTAAAAATACAAAAATTAGCCAGGTGTGGTGGCACAAGCCTATAATCCCAGCTACTCAGGAGGCTGAGGCAGGAGAATTGCTTGAACCCAGGAGGCGGAGGTTGCAGTGAGCTGAGATTGTGCCACTCTACTCCAGCCTGGCTGACAGAGCAAGACTCTGTCTCAAAAAAAGAAAAAAAAAAAAGTAGAGAAGCCAAAAGCGCAATCTTCAGCCTGTGGCAAAAGGCCCGAAAGCCCTGGCAAACCAGTCGTGTAAGTCCAAGAGTCCAGAAGCTAAAGAACTCAGGATCCGATGTTTGAGGGCAGGAAGCATCTGGCATAGGAGAAAGACGAAGGCCAGAAGACTCAGCAAGTCTGCTGTTTCCATCTTCTGCCTGCTTTATTCTAGCCACGCTGGTAGCTGATTAGATTGAGCTCAGATTGTGCCCATCTAGATTGAGGGTGGGTCCACCTCTCCCAGTCCCCTAGCTCAAGTGTTAATCTCCTTTGGCAACACCCTCACAGACACACCCAGGAACAATACTTTGCATTCTTCAATCCAATCAAGTTGACACTCAATATTAACCATCACAAATTTCTTATCCAAAGAAACCAGTGATTCTCAGAGAAATGGCTCATTTTATGTCTGGAGCAGGATATATATGAGATGAGCCTGGAACACTTCTTCATGCCAAATAATAAGGAAACTATAAAAAAACACTATGATCATGTCAAAAGGACTTAGAATCAAACCTGAAGAAGCTTCCACTGACCAAAGATGGGGGACAACTTGAGCTTCAATGATGATAATAATTGCAATAGACCGGGGTGTCCAATCTTTTGGCTTCCCTGGGCCACACTGGAAGAAGACTTGTTTTAGGCCACACATAAAATAAACTAACAACAACTGATGAACTTAAAAAAAAATTGCAAAAATAATCTCATAATGTTTTAAGAAAGTTTACAAATTTGTGTTAGGCCACATTCAAAGCTATCTGGGCTGCATGCAGACTGTGGGCCACATGCTGGATAAGCTTGCAATAGACTAAAACCATCAAATATATTTAAACCTATGGATTCATAATGATATTTTTTAAAATGATTGGTCACCCTCAGAGGATGATAGGGAATTAATTCATTGTCTTGAAAACTGGTATGTAAAGGGGGAAAACTCCAGCATTAATCCAGCCTTTCCCATAGGAACTGCACCACTGGGTAAACAAATAATAAACAAGGGTAAGTTTCCCTTTATAAAAGTATCCCAACTAATAAATGGAAAAGAAATGATAGAATATCACCATTCTGCAGCCCTCAATAAAGTACGTATGAATGGTTACAAACATAAAAAGAGACCATTAGATATTATGCACTTCCTATAATCATGCCTAACACCACCTACAATCTTGCCAAAGAAACTGAACCTGAGTTCTAATCCAGTCTCTGAACTACCTGCCAATTTGTAGAAAACACAGAGGACTGAGGAACATGCTTAACTGCACCATGAGTATGCAGTCAGCAAAACCCAGACTATGGGAAACTCTACAAGCCAAAAGGCCTGAATTCTTCTACAGGCAAATTGGAAAGAAAAAAAAGAGGGATGGAGGAAGAATTTACTGAATAATCGCGGCTTTAAAAAATTATCACTTTTTTTTAATGAGCAAGACTAGAGTATCTTGAGATGCGCATTTGGATCTTTAAAAAAACTTTAAAAAGTAAATGATTACTACAAAGGTCAAGAAAGTGACTACTTATAGAGAGAGAGGGGTAGGCAATTGGGATGAGGGAAAGGGGCACAGGTTCTGGGGTGGGTGGCAAAGTTCTACTTCTTAACTCACGTGGCATTCACAATAATTCATTAAGCCGTGCATTTGTTAGGTGTGGGTTTTTGTATCTGTGTTTTATTTTTCAATAAAAAGTTGAAGTATTCTTAAGTAAATTGGGAACTTTCACTCACAGAGTTGATGGTAGTATAAACTGATAAAGGTTTTTATAAGGCAATTTAGCCATATCCTTTTCTATTTCAAATTCATACTGGTCCCATGTGCCTCATGGGTTTGGAGCAAATGAAGTCATTAATGTTACTGTGGATGGATAAATGTGAAGGACAAAGATAAACACATAAGATAAACTCAGGCTGACCAAGCCCCTAGTAAGTGTCAGGGACAGTGCTTGAACCCTTTACACAGGTCTGTGAGATAAGAATCATCATTTCAGATGTGGCACCTGAGGCCCAGAGAGACGTTCAGCAACTTACCCAGCATCACCCAGTCCACAAGTGAAACACCCCTTCATTTCAGAAGTGAATACTCCAGAGGTAAGAAAATAAGCAAGCAATAGCCCTACCCTGCCAACCTATCGGACAACAAAGACGGATGAAATCAATGCTTTTATTGAACAAAATGGAATGTTCTTGGTAATGTGTAAAAGCAAGAGGCCCAGAGGCCTTGAATAAGAAGTTATCCTTTGTATAAAATGCAAGTAAAAACTCATTAGTATCTTTCCAGTAATATCATATATATTACAATACTTGATATAAAATTAAATCATTCTGCAATTTTCAAATGCACAAATATATGTTAGGTTTTCTTTCAAGTTGAAGGGACTCAAGGTAATTCCACCCAACAGACAACTAAGTTAACTCCCAGCTGAAGGCTCAATGTACTCACTGCATGAGCAGGAACCCTCCAGCCTTCCAGAGACTGAGTAGCCCTCCTGAATCCTCCTGAGAGGCCTGCATCCTGGCCTCACAGAAACAGGTAGCGTTTTGACTGGTGGGTTTCTGGAAACTATCACCAGGCAGAATTCTGACAAAAGGAGGAGAAGCTGGAAGGAAAGAGAATTCACAAACATGAAAGTTGGTCAGGCAGGTCCCCAAGGGAAATACCATTCATTTCAGAGGCCACTCAGAGGGAGAAGGAGCACTGAACTCAGAGTCAGACCACCTGGGGTCCTGACTGCCATTCACTGGCTCTGTGACCTCAGATCAAGTCATTTAACATTTCTGAAACTCAGCCTTCCCAGGGGTATAGAAGGGTTAATAACACCTGCCCTGCCTATCTCCCAAGGCTGCTGTAGGTATCAGATGAGAAAATAATAACAGCTGGCATTTATTGAATGCTTGCTATGTGCCAGGCAGTGGGCCATGTGCTTTATATGTCGTAGCACCTTTTAATCCTCCATCAGCCCTCTGAAGTAGCTTTGATTGTTGTCCCTCAGTGAAGAAACTGAGACTTGGAGAGTTTAAATAATTTGCCCAAGTTAAGGCTGACGTTAAACCCAAGTAGACTGACTCCAGGTTCTGTGTTCTTAACTCTGATGCCATACTGCCTCCTAGAGCACATCTCTAGAAAGACCTTGTGTACTTAACACTCTACAACAGAAGGTGGCAGTAGGTATGAACTGTCACCTATAACTCAATTCCTCCAAAAGTGAAGCAGAGGGATGCTTCAAGGGCACTTGTAAGCAAAGATTGAGGAATGTAGGGTGATTCCATGATAAAAGTCCTCCAAATGCTCACTCAGACGAGACAGACTCTGCTAAGTAGCAGGAGGGGGCATTATATCCTCCCCCAACTCCCACCCCATCCCTGAGAGACAGCCACGCATGCTCTCTAGAGAGAATTTCCAGTTTCTAGGATTGCATGAGAGAGTCCACTTTTTGCAGAGGAGACAAAAAAAGACTTTTGAGCACAGAGTCAAGGCCTTTGTCACTTTCTAGTGATAAAAGACAGGGACTCCACAAAGAGACTGGAAGAGCATGGGGTACTGTCATAGAAAGAGCATTAAAATACAAATCAGGACACCTATGCTCAAGTATGAAGACCTGGATCCAAAGTCCAGCTCTAACATTAATTAACAAGTCGTTTAACCTTGGACAAAGCCTTCTCACTGTCAGGATGACTTCTAAGGTACTCAATAAACATTTGATTCCTACAACCCTATCTTCTCTGCCTTAACTGGCCCATGGGCACTGGGATAAGGGAAGATGAGTAAGCAGTTATGAAGTGCCTGTTACATACAATGTACGGTCAGAGTCTTTTAAAAATCATAGTAGGGGTAATAATACATATCAAGAACTTACCCTGTGTGGGACCCAGTGCTAAACGCCTTATCAATGTAGCAATTCTATGATAAGAAAAGTTAAAAGACAAAATGATTACCCCATGGAAATAAGACAAAATGATTACCGTGTCCTTTAAAAGTCATATTAGAGCATTGTGTAAGAAGGAAGAGTCACAGTAGCATTTTTTTCTTTTTTTTTTTTGAAACAGGGTCTCACTCTGTCACCCAGGCTGAAGTGCAGTGACAGGACCACGGCTCATTGCATCTTTGACCTCCTGGGCTCAGCCTCCAGATTAACTGGTACTACAGGAGTGGGCCACCCACACCTGGCTAATTTTCTGAGAGACAGGTTTCACCATGTTGCCCAGGTTGGTCTTGAACTCCTGGGCTCAAGAGATCTGCCCACCTTGGCCTCCCAAACTGCTGGGATTACAGGTGTGAGCCACCACACCCAGCCCACAGGAGCATTCTATTGCCAAACTGAAATGGGGAGGTGGGCAGAACCATCAAAGAGCAGACACCCACTGGAGACCCAGGAGCTTCAGGAAGAACCCAGGGCTGGAAAAAGAGAAGCAGTCAATAAATGCACAGGGAGCTTTCACAGTAGGACAAGGAATTCCAGAGGACAAGGGAGAGCAGGCTTGGGGAGAAATGGGGTGAGGGGAAGGCGCTGGCATGAAATACTCCTGGCCAACTTCTACTCACTCTTCTGAACTCAGCTTAAACATGGCTTCCTCAGGAAGACTTCCAGGACCCTTCAGACCAGGTCCTGTTTCCTTGCCCTATGCTCCCAAAGCACTATGCCTTTCTCTTTTGGTCATGTTTGTCCAACTTGTAATTAACTAATCCATGACTTTGCCTCTGTGAGTGCTGGGAATCCAGCGTGAACCACATAGTGCCTAACATCCACAGGAAGTCCATTGATTCTCATTGGGTGGATGGGAGGAGGGATGGGTGGGTGGATGGATGATCTGAAAATCCAGATGAGGGCAACAGAAGGAAGATGTTGCATTTGAGGAAGCAAGAGTTTGGGGGAGAACAGGAGGTATATAAAAATAACAGCATATAACCTTACTGGAACTTTTGGGAATTTGATTTTATTTTACAGAAAGCATATAGGCAAGCCTATATATGCTTTCTGAAGAAGAGGTAGGATCTACAATGAGGGAATTTTATCACTGCTTAGGTGTCAATGAGAAAATGCATTTGCCGGCTGCTGGCTAATTCAGTTTCATGGTTTATTTTCAACTCATCATTTTTAAAACTGACTTGAATTTTGTCTACAGCTACCTATAGTTAATCTGTCCTTGTGCCTCAACATTCCCTCTCAAGCTCTTCTTTACAATTTAAACCCCCAAATAGTCCCAATTCCAAATATTCTGACTTGCTGTCCAAAAACCATCAAAATACCTCGGAATTTTCATCATGTCTACATTCATACCATGCCTCCAAGACAGCGTCTCACATCTGAAAATGGCACAAAAATCCCTAGTTAGCCCATGTATCTTGATTTGGGACTCAGAAAATGTGCTTTTAGCCCTCACCTCATATTTACTCTGTAAACCAAACATAAAATTCTAAACCCCTCAACTGACTGAATGGACTGCTGCCTCTTGGCCAAGGGCATTTCCAAAATAAACCTGAAAAACTAGTTCAGGCCATGATAGGAAGGGAAGTCGAACATCCCTCATTATACCCTCCTCCCTTTGGAATTCAGGCACAACTGATCAGCATTATCATTAAACAGAGATATTAAGACTGACAAAACAGACTCTTTGTAGCAGTAAGATACCAAATTCCAACCTGACCCTAATATAGCATCACATGACAGATAGCAGGCCCTGAAAGAATTCAAAGTATTTTACCCAAAAATATATTTCTTTGACATATTTTGAAATGGCCCTGCAAAGCTCTCTCTTGTAGGAAAAATCCATATTCTGTAGAGAATCCCCTTCCCTTTCCTGGTCTTTTCTGATCCAGGAGATAGTTAATTGAGAGTCTGGCAGCTTTTTAGGTCTGATAAGAGACATTTGCCATCTATTCTCTCTGAAGCCAGCTACCTGGAGGCTTCATCTGCAATAATAAGAACTTTGGTTTCCACAACCTCTTATCTTAACCCAAATCTTCCTTTTTATTGATTCCAGGTCTTTAGATAATAACTTAACTCTTTCGACCAATTGCCAATCAGAAAATATTTGTTTTTTTTTTTTTTGCAGGGGGGATGGTACATGTAGGATATAATAATGCTTCTTCAAAGGTGTTAGCCTATAAATTGTTAAGTACAATGAGTTCTGAGATCCTCTCCAAAGAACCAATGTATCAGTATGTTCAGCTCCCCTGTTCTTTGTTCCTCATTTTAAAGCTTAACTTCCTCATTCTTTACATCTCCTTGTCCCTAGTTTCAGTAAACAACCCCCTCCTAGCCTCTATTACCTGCTCTGACCTTAGTCACCCTTGGTCACCTGCTCCGACCTTAGTCATCCTTGGTCACCTGCTCTGTTCTTAGTCATCTTGTACCTGTTCTGTAACTGTCCTTCCTGCCAAACTACTCTCCCTGCCACTCCAGCTCATACCCCTGCTCTCTTTAAAATAGCCCACTGGAATGAGCTTAGACTGTGTGATCCAACCCTAGCCAAAGGGGAACAACACAGCAGTAGGGGCTACCTGTGTCAGGGATAAGAACCCCTTCCACTCCCTTGTGCTCTCGCCATTGCTCCATCTGCAAAACGCACCCTTCTATAGAAGTAAAATTGCCTTGCTGAGAAAATTCATGTTCGAGTGCTATTTCTTTTGCGGCACCATAAATTTATTTCTAACAGTGCAGGAGGAAAGACAAGAGCTCACTCTGTTACCCAGGCTGGAGTGCAGTGGCTCACTGAAGCCTCGAATTCCTGGGATCGAGCTATCCTCCCACCTCCCACATAGCTGAGACTACAGACATGCACCACTGCACATGGCTAATTTTTAAAATTTTTTGTAGAGACAAGGTCTCACTATGTTGCCTAGGCTGGTCTCGAACTCCTGGGCTCAAGCAATCCTCCCACTTCAGCCTCCCAAAGTGCTGGGATTACAGGCATAAGCCACCACGCCCAAGCTAGAAAATATTTGAATCCACCTACAAGCTAGAAACCCTCCAGCCCTTCAAGTTGTCCAGGCATTCCAGACCGAACCAATGTATACCTTACATGTATACACACTGATGTCTGCCTGTATCTGAGACAGGTCTCAGTTAATTTAGAAAGTTTATTCTGCCGGCCAGGTGCGGTGGCTCACGCCTGTAATCCCAGCACTTTGGGAGGCTGAGGCGGGCGGATCACCTGAGGTCAGGAGTTCGAGACCAGCCTCAACATGGAGAAACCCTGTCTCTACTAAAGATACAAAATTAGCCAGGCGTAGTGGTGCATGTCTGTAATCTCAGCTACTCGGGAGGCTGAGGTAGGAGAATTGCTTGAACCCAGGAGGCGGAGGTTGCGGTAAGCCGACATCATGCCATTGCACTCCAGCCTGGGCAACAAGAGTGAAACTCTGTCTCAAAAAAAAAAAAAAAAAAGAAAAGAAAGTTTATTTTGCCAGAGTTGAGGATGCACACCCATGACACAGCCTCAGGAGGTCCTGACGACATGTGCCCTAATTGATTGGGGCATAGCTTGGTTTTACACATTGTAGAGAGACATGAGACATCAATCAGTACATGTAAGAGGTACACATTGGTTCTGTCCAGAAAGGCAGGATAACTTGAAGCAGGGAGGGGGCTTCCAGGTCACAGGTCGGTGAGAGACAAATGGTTGCATTCTTTTGAGTTTCTGATTAGCCTTTCCAAAGGAGGCAATCAGATGTGCATTTATCTCAGTGAGCAGAGGGATGACTTTGAATAGAATGGGAGGCAGGTTTGCCCTAAGTGGTTCCCAGTTTGACTTTTCCCTTTAGCTTAGTGATTTGGGGGCCCCAAGATTTTTTTTCCTTTCACATTTCCCCCCTTTTCTTTTGAAAAGCTTTGGGAGAAAGCATATTAGAAGGAAATGAATCTCTGGTCTCAGGTTTCATCTGATCTCTCATGGCTAGGACAGTTTATTCCTAGATGGTAGGTCCCAAGTTATCAGGAAAGTTCACCTTTAGCAGGCTGGGAAGTCTCATGTCCTAGGAAGAGAAAATAGGGGGAGGAATCGTGAAAAACAACAAAAAACAAAAGAACAATCCTGGAAAATTGATATAGGCCACATTATTCTGAAGTCCATACAAGCAGGTAAGAAAGTGGCTTACATATGTATATGGTTGCTGTTATTTTCTTCTGATGTTTAAGTTGTCTAGCTTCAGTTTGCAGAGTTTTAAGAAAGCACAGCTTAGTTTTCAGTTATTTCACGTTAGGAAAATGGTGCGGGGGGGGGAAGGAAAAGAAAAAAGAAAAAAATGGAAAACATTATTTTGGAGACTTGTAGCCAGGAAAAATTAGAATTGAGTCCAAACTGTAGAAAATAATAAAAACTGAAAAATATTAGGCAAGACTAGAATCTAACAACAGATGTATTATAGTTTTTGAAATATAATTTTTCTCTCTCCTGTTACCAATTTTTACAAAAGACAAATAATCATAGGACCAATTTGCTTTATTATACTTGGCTAGACTATTTCTATAAAGTGAAGCAAGAATAATTATTTTTCACATAGGCTTTTAAAATTGGCTTTGATGGAACTTTGTTCCACAGAAGGAATCTCAGATAAGACTTTTTAAAGCCAAGTCCAGTCATGGATTTGTACCATCGAATACCTATGAGTTGAGTAAATTCGTCTCTTCTTGAGGTCCCAAGATAACTTGGGGCTCCTGGGCCTGTCAGAAAGTGATATTCTTTACTTACCACAGATCAGGAACCCTATTCAGGAACTGTGTAGGCATGGTATGCAGCCAGTTTTCTTCTAAGGGGTTTTTATTGGCTCTATAAGTCAAGTTTGATTCCTTAAAGAAAAGCACGCCATTCCAGTCAAGCCTTTGGTAAAACAACCAGTTTCTCCAATTCTGTCCTGTTACAAATGAAAACAGATTCTTATTGCACTTATGCAAATAACTATATGGCCATAAGTTAGGAATACTCTCAAAAAGTTTCCAAATTCTGGAGAAATCAGGTAGCAAGAAGCAAATATGCTCTAAATTTTGTTTATAGGAGTATACTTTACTTAATTGTTAAACACTAGCCCAAAAGAAGTTTCCTTTACTCTGAAAAACAAAACAAAGGATCAGCAACATTTTAAGCAAAAACTAAAAAGATTACTCCAGTCTTCTATTAGTTCAGTCCACTCAGTTAATTCCTGTTCTGCTTAATACTCATAAATATTTCAGCTCTCCATGAGTCCTGCCATTTTTCCTCTATTCTGATGTCACAATCTCCAAAGTAATCAGAAACCTGCATTCAAGAGCACCTGTTAGAGTTTTATAGCTAATCAGCTATAAAACCACTTCCTAAAGAGGACCAAAACAAGACAACAATTGTCTGTGGATGGCAAAAAGTTTTAAGGCAGCCATAGTCAAAGACACAATTGACAAGGAATTACCTCTGTGGCACATAATAATTTAACATAACAATTATAATTATTCCTGATAACATACACTAAGTCAATCAGAATTATAGGAGTTTCCCATAATTTTGGAACACATACCAATAATATACAAATACAGCCCAAAGAAAGCCAAAAACCATTTCATATTTGACAAGGCTTCCTGTATAATTTTTATGCCAAATAAGCCAAATTATGTCATTTTTGGACTTTAGGGAAAGGAATATCTTAAAGGAATATTTATGTCAGAAAAAGTCATAATTTATAATTTGATTTTGGAAAGTTCGTCAGATATCAGAGGTTTAAAACACTTGATATCACAAAATAGGATCACAGGTCATTGTAAAATAAGTCATTCATTTAACCAAACTGATAACTCAAGGATTTCAAAAAAAGTCAAAAACCTTCGGTCTTCAAGAAACTTAATTTTCCAAACAATAAGCCCTAATAAAAAGAACATGAAGACAATTAGTTTTTCAAATTGTTATAAATTATAGAATTTTAATATTGACCATAAGATATAACATGAATAAGCCTTTTACAATCGTTGTAAGTTTTATTAAGAAGTCAGTTAATGCTTCAAGAAAATATTGTTAATCTGACAAAGGGGCCCATATGCTGGTCTTGCATCAGTGTACCTTTCACATTAATGGTTAATTTATAGAGAAACTGAACTTATTTTCTCTCTCAAAATCAGCCCTTATAATCTCATGCACCTACCTTTTCCACAATAGCCCCTGGGCCCTGAGGAGTTGAATAACTTTAATTTCTGGCCCTGTGTCTCAGGAACACAGTTTATTTTGATTGGCATCTTCTACCAGGCCAGAAGACGAGGGCTTAATTATTGCCAGTGTTTAAGATTTACAAAGACATAGTGTACTTTTTATTTTTTGTTTAATTTTATTCTTTTGAGGCAGGGTTTTGCCCTTGTTGCCCAGGCTGCAGTGCAATGGCGCGATCTTGGCTCGCTACAACCTCCGCCTCCTGGGTTCAAGCAATTCTCCTGCCTCAGCCTCCCAAATAACTGGGATTACAGATGCACACCACCACACCCAGCTAATTTTTGTATTTTTAGTAAAGATGGGGCCTCACCATGTTGGCAGGCTGGTCTTAAACTCTTGACCTCAGGTGATCTACCTGTCTAGGCCTCCCAAAATATTGAGATTACAGGTGTGAGCCACTGTGCCTGGCCTGGTGTCCTTTTTAGACCCAGGTGTCAAAGCCCTGTAACTCAATGTCACAAGGACTTTAAAAGCACATACAGAAAGATACACAGGTGTAATAATCTTAATTTAATTTAATTTTTTTGAGACAGAGTCTCGCCCTATTGCCCAGGCTGGAGTGCAGTGGCATGATCTCAGCTCACTGCAACCTCTGCCTCCCAGGTTCAAGCAATTCTCCTGCCTCAGCCTCCCAAGTAGCTGGGATTACAGGCGCACACCACCAGGCCCGGCTAATTTTTGTATTTTTAGTAGAGACAGAGGTTCACCACATTGGCCAGGCTGGTCTCAAACTCCTGACCTCATGATCCACCCACCTCAGCCTCCCAAAGTCCTGGGATTACAGGCGTGAGCCACTGCACCCAGCCAATAATCTTAATTTTAACAAAAACTTTTCACGCCTGTAATCCCGGCAATTTGGGAGGCCAAGGTGGGCAGATCACGAGGTCAGGAATCAAGATCTCCCAGCCAACATGGGGAAACCCCATGTCTACTAAAAATACAAAAATTAGCTGGATGTGGTGGCCCATGCCTGTAATCCCAGCTACTCGGGAGGCTGAGGCAAAAGAATCAATAAACCAGGGAGTCGGAGGTTGCAGTGAGCCAAGATCGCACCACTGCACTCCAGCCTGGCAACAGAGTGAGACTCTGTCTCAAAAAAAAAAAAAAAAAAACTTTTTTAATCTCAGTTTTTTTCTAATCAAACCAAAACTTAATAATAATGGCATGCGAATTATTTCAATAACACATAAAATCTGTTAAGCCAGTTACCAAAAGGCAAAAGAAAAGACCTTCTGCACTGCACAGAATATTATGTTGGAAGAAAACATTTGCTTTAGACCTTTAAGGAAACATTGTTGGCATAAGGCCACAACAAACAGAACCTGAGGGGGGCGGAAAAAACTTAAGCTGAAAATGGTTTGAAGAAGAGTGTTATTATTTCATGCCTTTTAAAGGGGGAGAGAAAACCAAAAATGGCAAGATGCAATAAAAGTTGAACTTTGGGTTAAAAAAATTAAAATCTCTTAAGAATAAATCAATCCCTTAAGAAAATTTCATTGTTCTGGCCAGACACGGTGGCTCATGCTTGTAATCCCAGCAATTTGGGAGGCCAAGGTGGGTGGATCATCTGAGGTCAGGAGTTCAAGACCAGCCTGGCCAACGTGGTGAAACCCCGTCTCTACTAAAAATGCAAAAATTAGCTGGGTGTGATGGCAAGTGCCTGTAATCCCAGCTACTCAGGAGGCTGAGGCAGGGGAATCACATGAACCCAAGAGGCGGAGGTTTCAGTGAGCCAAGATTGTGCCACTACACTCCAGCCTGGGCAAAAGAGTGAGACTCTGTCTCAAAAAAAAAAAAAAAAAATTTATTGTTCTAACCAATTTTTTAGTGTATAAGAGTTTTTTTTTTAATATCAAACCCAATCTCTAGAAAGGCCATTATATTTTCCCTTTAATTATAGACAACTTGATCATATAAATGCTTTTGGTATTTTTTAAAAATACTCATATAGAGGATCCATGACATGCTGGGACTTTCTGGTTTGTCCTGAACATCTCTCTCTTTTTTTTTTTTTTTTTTTTTTGGAGACGGAATTTCACTCGTTGCCCAGGCTGGAGTGCAGTGGCAAAATCTCAGCTCACTGCAATCTCTGCCTCCCAGGTTCAAGCAATTCTCCTGCCTCGGCCTCCCAAGTAGCTGGGAGTACAGGCGCATGCCACCACACCCAGCTAATTTTTTGTATTTTTAGTAGAGACAGGGTTTCACCATGTTGGCCAGGCTGGTCTCAAACTCCTGAACTCAGGTGATCCACCCGCCTCAGCCTCCCGAAGTGCTGGCATTTAGAGGCATGAGCCACTGCGCCCGGCCTGAACATCTCTCTTTCTTAAACGACCAGTCATTTTATTCTAGGACTAAATTTACCATACAAGATTCTTTCTCATATGAAATCATTTCTCTTGGCTGGGCATGGTGGCTCACACCTATAATCCCAGCACTTTGGGAGGCTGAGGCAGGTGGATCATTTGAGCTTGGGAGTTTGAGACGAACCTGGCCAACACGATGAAACCCCATCTCTACTAAAAATACAAAAATTAGCTGGGTATGGTGGCATGTACCTGTAATCCCAGCTACTTGGGAGGCTGAGGCAGGAGAATTGCTTGAACCCAGGAGACACAGGTTGCAGTGAGCCAAATTTTGTCACTGCACTCTAGCTGGGCGACAGAGTGAGACTCTGTCTGAAAAGAAAAAAAAAATCATTTCTCTTTAAGCTTTCCTACCAAAAAATACCTCTTTATTTCTATAACTTTCTCTTTTTGTTTGTTTTTTGAGCAGGGTCTCACTCTATCACCAAGGCTGGAATTCAGCGGCACAATCTCAGCTCACTACAACCTCTGCCACTGGGATTCAAACGATTATCCTGCCTCAGCCTCCCGAGTAGCTGAGATTACAGGTGCACACCACCACATCTGGCTAATTTTTGTATTTTTAGTAAAGATGAGGTTACACCATATTGCCCAGGCTGGTCTCGAACTCCTGGCCTCAAGTGATTCACCTGTGTCAGCCTCCCGAAGTGCTGGGATTACAGGCGTAAGGAACCGTGCCGGGCCTTTATTTCTATAACTTTCTTTACATCTCTCTTATTTCCTGGTTCCTTTTACCTTGCTTATACATAACCTTTAAATAAGCATTGAATTAGACAAAAATTATTCTCCTTTTTCAAAACAAATCTTTTTTTAAGAAGGAATGTTTTCCTACCATATATTTTTATTGGAAAATACCCAAATAATGAAATATCTATTATTTAACATAAGTTTAGATTCTAAATTATGACAAGTTTGTCTACAAGTATTTCTGCCATTACATTTACCTAATTATTTTATTTTGTTTACCTAGATTATTTATGAAAACTGCAATAGTCATCATTTAAAGTTATGAAACCGCCATTGCAAAATTATAACTGAGACAGTGAAAAAGATATGATTTAATCCATCTTGCTTCTAACTGCCAAGATGTCCTTGTTCATTCCTGGGCATAGGCAAAACTAACTTTGGGAGGATCTTAGTTTATACTTCAGCTTTTGTGATGGTTAATACTAAGTGTCAACTTGATTGGATTGAAGGATACAAAGTATTGATCCTCGGTGTGTCTGTGAGGGTGTTGCCAAAGGAGATTAACATTTAAGTCAGTGAGCTGGGAAAGTCAGACCCACCCTTAATCTGGGTGGGCACAATCTAATCAACTGCCAGCTCGGCTAGAATAGAAGCAGGCAGAAAAATGTAAAAAGAGAGACTGGCTTAGCCTCCCAGCCTACTTCTTTCTCCCGTGCTGGATGCTTCCTACCCTTGAAAATTGGACTCCAAGTTCTTCAGTTTTGGAAGTCGAACTGACCCTCCTTTTTCCTCAGCCTGCAGATGGCCTATTGTGGGACCCTGTGATTGTGTGAGTTAACACTTAATATTAACTCCCCTTTACATATATATAAATATATATATTATATAAATATATGTATATTTATATATTCCATTAGTTCTATCCCTCTAAAGAACCCTGATTAATACAGCTTTGAAACAAAGACAATAACAGTCCTTTCCCAAAACAGACCTCCTTCCTGCCTGTACACTAGACTGCCTAAAGCCACAAGATTAGAGGTTACGGTATTTTAGTAAATAATTCAAGATGTAGCTATCTTCATTAGACCAATGTCAATGTCTTCTTTATTAAAAATTATACAAGCAAAGATCATTCTGTTTGGGACTGGATTTATAGTTTTGTAACCCCTATACCAAAATTTTGACACCTTATAGTATTTGGCAGGGATAAGTGTGAAATTGCTTGAACAATAAATACAAACAAAAATGCATGCTGGCAATTCTTAAGACATTTCTAATATTACTTTACCAATAATTTTAAAGACAGCTTATTTATTAAAGATTTTACTTAAGTCACATAAACTTGAAAAAGCATTTGACTAGTCTTTCCATTTTTTCTGACAAAGTATTTGATTTAATTGCTTTTATTTTTCTTTAAGCCACTTAATTAGAGCTTTTTTATTATTATACTTTAAATTCTAGGGTACATGTGCACAACATGCAGGTTTGTTACATAGGTATACATGTGCCATGTTGGTCTGCTGCAC